>NC_000015.10:58276874-58901874 GCF_000001405.40 Homo sapiens
TTGTTCTTTCTGTTTCTGATAAGTTTATTGTGCAGAATCTGATTCCTGTTCCAACTGTGAAAATGAAATCAAAGTGGAGTAATATTTGATTTTGCTGTATCACATCATTTCTTTTATGGTTCTGAACACTAACAGTGATAAAGTGTGTTCTTGGTACTATTTAATACAATTCCAGCTTATACAGCTAAGCAGATGTGACTGATGTAACTGACATCACTTACAATATCACTGTTTGGTGGCCTGTGTCCCTCAATCACTTTGTGTCATGAGGTGAATGACATTAGCATAGTTTGTTAGTAAAGAATAGAAGATAACTAGGTAGGTTAGACAGAAACAGAGTGTAAGGGAAGGAAGATCACATGACTGAAAAGAAGACTGAAGAAACCAGGTGGGAAAGAGGCAGAAATAGACATCTTCAAAGATTTTAGTGGCAAGAATAGCCTAAAGTCCTTAGCAGAGCATGGATTGATGAAATGACTCCAACCACTGTACCTCATCCTTGTGACACTGCAGCCCAAATTCCAAGTTTCAAGTATGGGTGTGTATGCGTGTGTGTGTGTGTGTGTGTGTGAGAAAGAGAGAGAGAGAGAGGGACTTGGTAGTTAAGCAGAGGCATTAGTGCTTTTCTGTTACTAGGTTTGGGCTTGAAGAATATGACAAAGCCTCTAGCTTCTGAAGAGGAAGAACATGCCATTGATTTATTGCCTCTCTCAATTTCTGTAGGAGAACTGTTGCTCTGAAAATAATTTGGACCACTGTAAAAAAAGATCTTTGGTACTGGGGGGCTAAAACAGTATCAACTATTACTGCCAAGGTATGTTGAGGAAACAAGCTAGTTTAGTTATTCTGGAGATTCCTTTAACCGCTATTTTTCTACAGTGCCAAATTACACAAATATTGCTAGTGGGAAATCTTATTTTTGCAGACATATTTGAAAGAGGATTTCTAAATGTCCATCTCAAATGAATGAATAGGTATTATTATCAAATGAGAAGTATACTGCTCAGAACATGGACTCGTCGGACACTGAAATCAGAAAAGGGGAACTTCTAACTTATTTTTAAGAAGGCTTTGTAGCCATGGCCATGTGAGTAACCCATATCCCCAGTGAATAAGAGTAATTAATGTAACAAAACCCTAAAGATAATCTCAAGATAGTTAAAGTGTCACCTTCCGACATCATTGATTTAAACAAATAAAAATAAATAAATATGTAGACAATGGCCCCTACATACAACAAATTAGACTTACTTTTGAAAAAAAAAAGCTTTGAAAATCTGAAAACTACTTTTTGAAATGTTAAATTTTGTTTTCATTACTTTGCAATTCATTAACTGATAATTTTTTTTTCCTTAGAGCTCAGTTTGACATTTTAATTTATTTTTAATGTGTTTTTTTTTTGTGCACAATTAAAACCTTTAACGAACAAAGTGGAGCATATTTAAATCTTAAGTTTGAAAAAAACAGTTCTGGTTTGTGGTTCCGAGTAATGTGTGAACACACATACATTTATCTCTTCTCCCTCCAGTGACCACATTAAGATGGAACTGAAGGAATGAAAAGGGACAAAGTCAATGACAATGAAGAAAATCAGAAAAGACCATCGACGACGAATGAGAGACTTCCACAAATTTATGCAAGAGGAAAGGTGGGGAGAGACTTTCATTTCTGGGAGTGCAGTAGATTGAATATTCTGCAAGGTCCTGCTGCTAAAAACTGAATCCTACATAAATTACAACCAACATGACTTTAAATGCCTTGCTGGGATCAGAAGAAAGTGAGGGAAATCTCCAAAAGCCAGAAGTCAAAAAAAAAAAGAAGGAATGAAGGAGGAAAAGGAGGGAGAAAAGACAAAGAAAAAGAAAAAGTGAGCCAAACACAGAGGAGTAAGCAGTGATCAGTATGAAGAAATTTCACCCTTCATGTGGTATATGGTTCTAAAACCACCAAGAGATGGAATTGTGCATAATAAAAAGAACAGGACATACAAGAAAGCTGGGATTGGAGAAAACACTCCAAACCTGTATAGTCTCATAAAAAATTTACTGAACTGTAATAACAAAAGTAAATAAACACATACACAAATGCTACTGCCATTTTTTGTTTTCTATAAATAAATAATATTGTAATCATAGACAAAACATTTAAACGTGCTTGCTGTGGTCAAATGCTGTGGAGAAGAGGTAGTAAGAAGGGACAACGTCATTCTCAGGCTGAGATGTGGTGACCCCCGAGGTGGAAGGTTGTGGCTCATTGTCTGCATTTCTTTCTTTTACTCTGGCTTGAAATAGAACCCTACCTTTGTTGTCTTCCAGTTTCTTCCTTTCATAAAGAAGCTGTATGTGCAACTCCAAAGGCATCCAGACACCAAGTGCCATCCTGCTGCTCTGAGCACTGGAGTCTGCAGCTCCAATCCTTGGCAAACCCTTCCCAGTCCCAATTAGCACAGATGATAACTGGGACGTGATCATCTCTCTTTGCTTTTATTTTCAGTGCTGTCTCTGGTGGAATGCAATGTGGGCTCCTTTGTTTCTTGGCTATCCCCTGTTCACGTGCCTCTTTTAAAATTGTAACTCTAAGTTTCTCCACAATACTTTAAAGCTTCCTTTGTTTGTTCACTACTTGGATTCATATAGCCAGAATGTTTCACCATGTTTGGAACGTTCTCTTTAAAAATTATCTTAAAAAGAATACACAAGCTTGGGAGAACAGTGCAATACATACTTGTAGGTTATATGGATAAACTGGGGGAGGAGAAAAGTTGAGGGCTGTGTGTGCTGTGTGGCCTTCCATGAGACACTATATTCAGCAGGTGGCTTTCATTTTTAACCTGGTGCTTGACTCAAGCACAAAGCATAGTCTAAATGTGGGAAAACTGCCGCTATGCAAGCACAATTTCTAGTTGGGTGATTTGTCCCTTTGCATATTTACCTTGTATATATAAGTTTGCCCATTACAAAAAGAGAGAGAGAGAGAGACAGATTATGATGATGCAAAGGCAAGATTGCCCCAGAGGCAAAAGTTGATAACAGCTCTGCTGTTATCAACTAAACCCCAGAGCTAAATCGGATAGTCATCCATCATTGAGCTAGGACTCTTAAAGGGGGCTGAAATATTCTTGGTAGCACCCCCAGTTCCTGAAGGAAACAAATGCAAAATTTCTCCAGATAAAAGTAACAACATTAGGCTCTTAGGATTCCCACAAGCCAATCTCCTTCATGAACATAGAGGCATAAATTTTAACGAAAAAATTTATAAATCAAATCTAGTGATATACAAAAAAGATCATACATCACAATCAAGTAGGGATTATTGTAATAATTCAAAGGTGGTTTAATATTTGCAAATCAACTCATTTAATTCACCACATTAATAACAAAAAAGAGGGGTGGAATGTGTATGGCAATTCAACAGATGCAGAAAAGCAATTGATAACTGAGCACACTGGGAATAAAGGTAAACTTCTTCAGTCGGCTTAAGACTATCTATACAAAATCCACAGCAAACACCTTGCTTCATGGTAAAATGCTGAGATGAGCAATGAGACAAAGATGGAAGGATGAGAGAATCTTCTCTTTCATTCATCATTGTGCTGGTTCTAGCCAACACACTGAGGCAAGAAAAGAAATCACAAGGATTAGGGAGAAAAAAAATACTACTACTTTATTCACAAACAATATGGTTATGTACATAAAAATCTAAAAATATCCAAAGGAAAGTTTCAGAATTATTAAGTAAATTCAGCAGGGTCACTGAATACAAGGTCACATATATAAAACACTGCTTATTTCATTTGTCAGCACAAACAAATAAAACGTGACCAATTTTAGATGACTCCGTTAAAGGAGCATTAAAAAATCAAAGTATCAGATGTATGCAAATTAAAAACACAGTTTTATACCACTACCCACCCCACAATGCTATAACAAAAAATCAAATTATTTCAAATGATGGCAAACATGTAAGGAAAGTATGACTCTCACACACTGCTGGTTGGAGTGCAAATTAGTACAACCACTTTACAAAACTATTTTACGCTATCTAGTAAAGCTGAACATATACCCACCCTATGACCCGGTACTTCTATTTCTAGGTATATATTCAACAGAAATACATACATAAGTTCATCAAAAACTACATATAGCAACGCTATTTTAGTGCTATTGCTAATATTTAAATATTGTAAAGACCGTAGGTGTCCATCAACGTTAGATTGGATAATTAAAGTGTAACCATTTCACACCATGAAATACTGTACATCAATAAGAAGGAATGACATCTAAGTATTTCAACAATAGGGATAAATCTCACAAACATAATGTTGAAAAAAGAAGCCATCTACAGAAGAGGACATACTGTATAGTCATTATTTATATAAAATTCAAAAGCAGGCTAAACTTATTCGTAGTGTTAGAAGTCGGGATAATGGTGACATTTGGTAGCAAGTAGGTGGGAGGGAAACTAGGAGACTTCTGAATGAGGATAAAGTTCTATTTCTAGAACTAGGTAAGGATTACAGAGGTGTGGTCACTTGGCAAAAACTTATCAAGCTTGACACTTACGGTTTCTGTACTTTTTTAAAGTGCAATTATACTTCAACTAAAAGCTTCCTTAAGCAGGAAAGAAAATGTAGATCCCCAAGAAACTGGAAGGCAAAAGAGGATGGCACAGGTAGAAAGAAGAAGGGAGCAACAACGTTTTCATCTTAGAAAGTGGAGAGTTGATAGATATTGAGATTCATGGAATAAGAAATGTAAGCTTAACTATTTCAAGGTTGCAAAGATGATGAATGGAGAAATCAAGAATAATGTTACAGAATAAGGGTATGTGGCAGAATAGGGTGAAGCAATGAACTAAATCTTCATTTGTCCATAGCAGGGAATTAATAAACAATGCCTAAACTAGATGAAAAAAACCAACTTAGTATCTTTTTTTTTTTTTTTTTTTTTTTGAGATGGAGTCTCGCTCTGTCACCCAGGCTGGAGTACAGTGGTGCAATCTTGGCTCACTGCAACCTTCACCTCCCAGGTTCAAGCAATTCTTCTGCCTCAGCCTTCCGAGTAGCTGGGACCACAGGCGCATTCCACCACGCCCAGCTAATTTTTTTTTTCTTTTGTATTTTTAGCAGAGACAGAGCTTCACTGTGTTAGCCAGGATGGTCTCGATCTCCTGACCTCGTGATCCATCTGCCTTGGCCTCCCAAAGTGCTGGGATCACAGGCACGATCCACTGCACCCAGCCCAACTTAGTATCTTAAAACAACTATGTTATTTCTCATGATTTTATGGGTGAACTGGGCAGTTCCTCCTTGGCTGTTTATCTTGCTTGGGCTCAGCCATAGGCTGCATCTGGCTGGAGACATGGCTGGGCTGGACATTCCAAGCAGGTCTCATTAGCACATCTGGCAGTTGGTGCTGGCTGATGGCTGGGACACATCAGTTCTCCTCTACGTGGCCTCTCATTCTTCTGTAGGCTAGAGCAGCTTCTTTAAATGACAGTCTCAGGACAGCATTCCAAAAGGTCAAAAGCAGAAGCTGCAAGGCTTCTTAAGTCCTAACCTCCAACTTTATAAAATGTTGCTTCTGCCTTATGCTACTGAACAAAGGAGGTCAGAAGGTCAGCCTGGATTCAAAGGTTGGAGAAATTCTGCCTCCTGATGGGGGAGGAGGAGCAGCGAAGTCATGCTGCTAAGGGGTGAACAAAACCAGTTAGGAGGACTTTGTGGCCACATGTGCAATCTACTATGGTCTGTCCTCTGCCCACAATTATTTACATTTCTCTCAAAGCAACAACATTAGGAAGTTAAAATTGGTTCTCTCTAGGAAGTAGAACTGGGGTATATTATTCAAGGTTGTCCAGAGAAACAGAACCAACAGGAGATATATATATATATACATATATATATATACGTATATATACATATATATATACATATATATATGTGTGTGCATATATATATATATATATATATATATATATATATATATATATATAAAGAGATTTACTAAAAGGAATTGGCGGAAAAAATTATGGAGGCTGAGAAGTCTCACCATCTGCCGTCTGCAAGCTTGAGGCCCAGGAAGGCTGGTGGTGAAGTTCCAGTCTGAATCTGAAAGCCTGAGAACCAGGAGAACCAATGGTGTGAGTCCAGGTCTGAAGACCTGAGAACCAGCAGCATTTACGTCCAAGGTCAGAAGAAGACTGAGGTCCCTGCTGAAGCAGAGAGCGAATTCTCCTTTCCTCTGCCTTTTTGTTCTATTCAGACCTTCAACAGGTGATGTACACGGGGGAGGGTGGTCTTTTTTTCAGCCCAAGTCAAATGCTAATCTCATCCAGAAACACCTTCACAGACATGCCCGGAAATGGTATTTAGCAAAAAATCTGGGCATCCCTTGACCCTATCAAGTTAACACATAACATTAATCACCCCAGGGAGTAAGAAAGAATAGGGACACGTTTTCCTTCATTCTAAGTCCTTCTGTAGGACTCTTTTTAAACATGTACATGTTGTATAAAAATTAACATTTCTAATATCATATAAGAGTCAATCCCTTGCTCTGGACAAAAACAATAACAACAACAACAAAAAAAAAAAAAAACACTAAAAAGACAGTTTCCCCTATCCTCGCTTAATAAATGCTGAATAGCATTTATTGAATATGGATCTTAAGAAGTATAATATCATTAAACCACTCAGAACCCACATTCTTCCGTCATATCCTGCCCACTCCATGAGACTAAGGATTCAGTTAAAAAATATGATCATATATGTCAAAAATATTTCTTAAACTGTAAACATTTTATAACTCACTATACATTATCTGTTGCTACTGGTTGTATGTTGTGTGCAGTGCTGTATTAAGCCGTGTGGAGACCCCAAAAGAACCAGAAAATAGGTTCCTACCAGCAAGGAATTGGAAGTCTAAGTGAGGAGACAGAATGACACCCACTACCCAATTATAGTCCATTACACTAGACTGTAGGGACCCATGCAGTCAGGGGCCATTACTCTTCGTTCATTACTGCCCCACCAGGCCCCACACATAATAAGACCTAGATAAATACATGCTAATGGAGGAATGGATCAATTACCTGGCAGCCTATGATTCAGAGTCTGGACACAGGACTGATTGCAAGTGCTAGAAGCATCGGCGAGCAGAGATAGAGGAGGTGGTCGCACTCAGCTAAGGCACTGAGGCTGGGCTTCATTTCCAAGTTGCAGCGTCAAAGAAGGGAAGACAAATATTCCAACCCAGGGGAGGCCAGACAAGGAAAGATACATGGAAGTGAGGAGTTCAAGGCAGCTTGGATGGAAGAAGAGAAGTGGGAAGAAGGCTGCAGGTCCCCTGAGCACTATGGCAGCTGGACAGTGGTACGGGGATGGAGTGGAGAAGGACAGGAGGTCCTTGGGCACAGGGAGAAGGAGGGAGGGGAAAAACCCTACAGCCCAGCAGGCCACAGGGGGAACCCTGTCACAAACGCTTCTGCCCTTCCATGTAGAAGAACCCCACCTTTTCCTCTTTTATTCAGTGTCCAATCCATTCTAGAATCAGCTGGGTGAGCAAAGGTGAGTTGGAGCAGTCTCCCACTTACCAGGACATCAGAGCCTTTTACAGTGGGACCGACAGTCAGTGACATGAATCACTAAGGGCTGTGGCGCATACCAGGAAAGCCAGGGCCATGAGCCCAGGCACACTCAGATGCCCATCCCAATTCAACACTCTTAGGTCGAGATCCTTAGGCAAGCTGACTTTTTTAAAACTCAGTTTCGTCACCTAAGACCAGTCCCTGCCTCACTAGCTGGGAAGATGAAATGAAGTCTCCCAGGTAAAGCATTCAGAAGGGTACATGGCTCATTCCCAGGACTGCATGAACCTTCGTGTTGTCACGGAGAGCCACATCGGTGAGGCTGGGGAAGGCTGGATGGAGGTGCTGGCATTACAGTGTTACAGAATAAGGGTATGTGGCAGAACAGGGTGAAGCAATTAACTAAATCTTCATTTGTCACAGCAGGAAATTAATAAGCAATACCTAAACTAGATGAATCCAGACTTGAAACTAGATGGATCCAGACTTGAAAAGAAACAGCGTTTAGATTGCAGAGAGGGAAAGCCAGGGCATCCTTTGTAGGAGGCACAGGAGCAAAGCACCAGTGCAGGAAAACAGCGTGTTCAGGGAGTTGCGAAGCTTTCTTTTTGACTCCTGGAGGGTGCATAGGAGCTATGTCAGGAAAGTCAGAGAGACTCTCCTGGAGGTGTCCTGAGGTGTCCACAGCAAGAAATGCAGACCTTGTTCTGGAGTCAGTGGAGAGCTGCAAAGGTTTTGAGCAGGAAAAGGAGCCGGTCAAGGTGACGGCCCACGGAGCTCTCTGGCAGGCCTCAGGCAGAGGCTGCTGAGAATGGACTATGTGGGGAGCCTGTGTGGCCCAGGCCTAGCTCCCAGAGAGGGTGGAAAGCGGGGCGCCTTTGCAATAAATCAATGCTGACATGTGCTGATGAAGACCTAGGATTGAGATGTAGTGCTTGGGACTTTATCTCTTTCACAACTGGCTTAGATGGGGTAACAAGAGAGGAGATAAAGGGTCATGTTAATGATTGCAGAAGCAACACGGTTCAGGGAAACATCGATACACCTCATCTAATCATTCACCAAGAAAGCATCAACCAGGGAGTTGCGTGAGAGGAGTACAGCTCTGCAGCCCTGACAAACGAGCTGGAGTCCAGATGAGGCCTGGGCTTGGACAAAATGAAAAATGGATTGTTCTCAAAATCTCCTTCAAGCCTCTTCAGGGTCCCCTTGCCCAGTTACCATCACATTTACCCTCGAGTGACCAGGCCCCATGGCCACACCCAAATACACCATGTCTCCAGGTGCAGTGTGGCGTAGATGTTAGAATTCCTACAGTGCTACTCCCTAGCTGTGAGGCTTTGGGTGACTTAACCTGGTCACTTGAGACCTTGGCAGCAAATGGAGATAAAGGTGACTCCTTTATGAGTAGACTTACTGTTTGGGAGTCCCCAGGCAGGAAGCTAAAGTAAGTAAAATAGAATAACTTTTATTCTACTGTCTTAGTCTCTTCCTCCAACATTAAAGTAAAAGCTAGTGAAATCCTACAAGGCACTGGATTGAGAGTCCCTGTAGGTCCCTGACCTCAACAGCTGCTGGTGTGTGTTCAAAGAGCCCATGTATTTCCCTTTCATGCTGATTCTAAATACACAGATACTGTTTGCTCATAATACAAAGATATGTCACAATCTGTGAGAACATCTAAACTTATTTTAAAAACTTATAGTAGTGTACTAGGGCGAGCGTTCCAGAGACTTGCAGGTGTTCTCAGACCAAATTGCTGTTTTCTGAAGAAATTATGTGACATGTTGACACCACAAAAGCAATTCCAAAATGAAACCTGATTTCAGTACATCTTTCTGATGGTTTGAATGTAAAACAGGTTTATAAAATTTTATTTCCCTTTTGAATCTGGCAATGATCTAATAGGAGTGCTATTATTGCCTTTTGATATTTTTCCACTGAATTTTAAGCCACTTACATCATATATGTATGGGTATCAAAATAGATCTTCTTATGCTTTCTCATTAGGAATACAAAGTTCACGACAACTTTTCTTCTCGATAAATCTAATTTTGGGGCTAGAATTTAAGTTTCTATTTTCCTACCAAAGGAAGTAATAATGGCACTCCTGTTAGATCATTGCCTATTAAGTAATGAATGCAAATGTTGTAAGACTATGGGAACCATGTTTGTCCCACACGAAACACTAGAGAGTAAAAGTGTGTTAGAGGCAGCACTTGAATAGAACTGATTCTTATCTGTTCAATTTCCGGTGGGCTTCTCCTGCAATGTTTTCTTAGCTCAGGTAAGTTCCTCATAGCAATGGAAAATAATAGAATCGTATTTTGAAACATCTCTGAGTAATTCAGGCTAGGTTTTCTTCCAGCTGGTCTGAACATGTACGGTTTTGTAGGGTGGCATTAAGAATAACATTAAGAACAGCCTTGCAGGCATTCTCAAACTATTTAGATCTGCCCCCTTATCATAATTGCCACAAGAGGTGGGATAAATGTGAGAAAAAATAATCAGAGTTCTTCCTGGCTCAGAACTAAAGCAGATTCATCGAGAAGAAACGGATTGTAATGGAAGCATATTAGAAAGTTTGAAGACTCAACAGGAATGCCTCTGTGAAAACCAGCGCCATAAAAAATGGAAAACTAACATAAAGCTAAAAGAAAACTTGGTTTGGGGAAACAGAGATAATTCAGGGAAGAGAAATTATCTGATATCACAAGCAAGTAAGAAAGCTAATAATAACACAAGATAAAACCTAATATCTACAGAAAAATGTAAACATATATTTTATATGTACATACATACTTAAAAGTTACACCATCCTTTAGGAACAGTCAAAAAACAAGAAGGTTTGAAGTTTTACTTCACTTTATTTTTATTTTGAGACAGGGTCTCACTCTGTCACCCATGCTGTGAGTACAGTGGCACAATCTCAGCTCACCGCAGCCTTGACCTCACAGGCACAGGTGATCCTCCCACCTCAGCCTTCTAAGTAGCTGGGACTACAGGCATGCGCCACCAGACCTGGCTAATTTTTTGTATTTTTTGTAGAGAAGAGGTTTCACCACGTTGCCCAGGCTGGCCTTGAATTCTGGGCTCAAGCGGTCCACCCACCTTGGCCTCCCAAAGTGCTGGGATTACAGGTGTGAGCCACCACGCCCTGCTAAAAGGTTTGAAATTTTAGAAAGATAAATTAAAATTCTAATAATAGGCCTAAAGTTAAAAGTACAAGTGAGTTTTTCATTACAGGAAGCCAAACCACAAATGGATAAGAAATATGACATAAAAGATGAGATGCATCTATCAGTCTAGGAGGCCTATTATCCAATTAATAGGTGTTACAGAGAAATTAAGAAAATGAAGAGAAGGGACATATCTAAAATATTAGATCCTGCACATGTATCCTGGAACTTAAAATAAAATTTTAAAAAATAAAATGAAATACTAGAAAAAATGTCTCCTAAATAAAAGTTATATGTAAACAGAGAATTATTTTTGCCCAGTAAAATAAAAATTTTGAAAGATCCACAACTAAGTACATGATACCAAGAATAAGGAAATATAAAAAGCATCCATAATGTTGAGGTGGGGGGCAGAGTAACTACCTACAAGACAAGAAATGTGCTGACATCAGACTTCTCATGAGCAACACAGGATGTCAGCAGAAACAGGTGGGAAAATGATTTCTTGAAGATGGAATTGTATACCCAAACAAGCTGTCAATCAAATGTGATTGGCCTAAATAAAGACATTTTTGGATAAACAAGCCTTCAAAAAACCGCTTCTGACTTTCTTAACCAATTACTTTGGGATCTACTCCGTCAAAAATGGATGAGAACAACCCAGAAAGAAAAAGACTGGGATCCAAGAAACAGTGGGTTCAACCTAGGAAATATGTACAGAAAAATCCCAGAAGGATAGCTATATAGGAGAGAGCAACAGGTCCAATATCAGGTAGGAGAACTTGAGAACTTAGGTGGGAAAAAGATGGGGACTCTGTAATTGTTGGTAGGCTTGAAAGGCTTGGTGAACTTGAGGTTGTGATCGAGGTACATTCTCCCCTGACCTTTTTTTTGTCAGAAAGGAAAGAAAGAAGGAAGAATAAAAAGAAGGAAAAAAGATATGACAGATGTCAGGAAGACCAAATCCTGAACAAGAAAGTAGTAATCCAAATACACGGCAAAGTAAAATGTGACATGATTTTAAGCAACTGACAGAAAGAAAAGAAAAACCATTTGACCTTGAAGTTATTGTGCCTCCTCTCTTTCAAGTCACCCATAGGTCCCGACATCAGACCTGCAAAGAGAAACATGGAATCCTAGCATATTGTCCCTCCCTGTAGAGGGCAACGATTAACTGATTATAATAATATAAATGCTTTTCTTATGGGTTACTTTTTAAATCACTTTTTAAAGAGTTATAACTATTTAAATCACTATGAAACATAAAGAAGAGAAGAGGTAGGAGAATGCAAGGCCATGTGACCTAAATCTCCTTCCATTATAACAAGAAGTCCATGGAATGTTCTAAAGCTGATGAAATTAGGAAACAGGGATACAAGTGTATTATTCTGGATTATGAAATAAGCCATGGAAGAATGAAAAAGAGAAGCTTCCAGTGAAAGTTTCCTTAGGGGAATGGAACTAGGGCTTGGAAGAGTTAGGCCAGCAGAGTCACGCTTTTCATTATAAGCTTGCTTATGCTAGTTCACTTTTTAAAAATGAATCAGTTGTGTCAATAATATCTTTAGGTATGTGTGTGTGAGAGAGAGTGTGTGTATGTATGTGTGTTTTCCTTATAGAAAGAACCATATCTCATCTAGCATTGTTTTCCTATGTCTATCCTGGTAATTGGTACAATAACAATAAAATAACAACAATAATAAAGTGCTTCACATACATTATTATTACTCTTTCCACATCTCTGCAAGACCAACATTATCTTCATTTTTCTGATGAGGAAATGAATGTAAAAGGAGTTTTAAAACAGAAATTGTCCAAGGATATACAACTGATTAAGAAAGGATTTGAACCTAGGTCTGACTGTTTCTAAGAACTTGGGCTTTAAAACAAAACAAAACAAAACAAAATCAGCATTTCAACAAATGATTGTGAAGCAACGAATGCATACGAAACTTAAAATTAATGTCGGTTATGTTGTTCCATGCCTCAAAAAATACCATTCTATCTTGCTATAAATATCACCATCTAGATCCAAAATGCTTTTAGACTCTTAAACTTACTATGCCTGAAATAACTTGAAGAGGCTATTGTGAAGTAATAAATAAGGTCGAGAGTGAGCCAGTGGGAAAATTTAGATTCTCAGAAGTAAGTGGAGAGATTTTGTCAAGTAATGGAACAAATTGAAACAATCCACGCTGAAGGAACACTGGGTAGTAAGTATATATTGAATCAACCTCAACATTTTCAGCTTTCTGGACTAAAATATTATTTTCATGCAGATGTAAATGGCACAGGCATTAGGGCTTAATGCACAATTAGTTTGCCTAAGTGGCTGTGTCTTTGAGCCCAAAGAAGGTCATACAGATGCAAGAGTGTGTCCTGTCGCAATAACATGGCCTGTGTGCCCAGGCTTTACCCTATCAATAAAAATGGTGGTGCACCCCACCTTATATACGTATTTATATATCATATCCTCTTCTACTTGATCAAGATATGCATTTCAGCACATACACGAAAACAGAGAGGATGAAATAAATACAGTATAAAAACAGAAGTTCTACTTTTTCCTTTTACCCTTCAATGGGTCTTATGCAACCCCAGCTGTACCCCACTTTGGAGAACACTGATCTATGGGGTGACTTATCACACACTGAGCAAATAGCCATGAAAACAAGTTGTGTTTAAAAGAAGAAACTATTACAATCAGAGCCAACACTTATTAACAACTTACCTTTTGCCAAGCACTATTCTAAGCAATTCATATGTTAACTCATTTAATCCTTACAACAACCCTATGGGAAGTTTTACTATTAACCCCTCATTTTACAAAACACAAGATTGAGGCACTGAAAGATTAAATAACTCATCTGAGGTTACACAGCTGGTAAGTGTTGGATCCAGAATGCCTTTTTCTTTTAAATAAACATTTTGTTTTGGAATAATTTTTTATTTATAGAAAAGCTGCAAAGATGATACAGAGAGTTCCCATATGCCCATCACACAGCTCCCCCATTTGTTAATATCTTACATAACCGTGGTACATTTGGCAAAATGAAGAAACCAACATTAACCAAAACGCCTGACTTTGAGTTTCACCAGCTTTTCTACTAACGCCCTCTTCCTGTTCCTGAGTCCCAGGGTATCACAGTAAACTTAATTGTGTTCTTGCCTCATTTTCTTCTGGTCTGTGACAGTTTCTCAGGTTTGCCTTGTTTTTCAAGACCTTAACATTTGTGAGAATGACTAGTCAGATATTTTGTAGGAATGTTCCTCAATATGAGTTTGTGTGATGTTTTGCTCATGATTGGACTGGGGTTATGAGATTTTGGAAGGAAGATCACGGACTTGAAGTGCCCTTCTCACCACCTCATATCACAGGTCCATGAGATCAACATGATGTGACCGGTGATGGTATCCTTCATCACTTGATTAAGGTGATGTTTGCCGGGTCTCTCCACTATGTTACTATTTTTCACATCTATAATCTTTGGAAACAAATTTCTAAGTCTATCCATTCTGGAAAAGGGGGGAGGGAATTCACTTCACTTTCTGGAGTGAGGGGTATCTACATATATTACCAGAATTGTTCTGTAAAGAAAATGTGTCTCTACTCCACCATTTTATTAAATCAGTTATTTATAGCAATAACGACCCATATATATTTATTTTTACATGGTGTTACAGTCCAATACTATGTTATTTATTGTTGCTCAAATTATCCAACTTTGGCCATTGGGTGCTTTCAGGTTGGCTCCTGTGTCCCTTTGATACACTGCCATCAATGTGGTTGGGATTTTCTTGTTTCCTTTTAATATTTTCTCATTTTCTGGTACCACAAGACACTCCAGGCTCATTTTGTATATCTCCTGTTTACAGTCTTAGATTGAGCCATTTCTCCGTGTAGCCCTGGTTCCTTTTGTTGGAGGACAGCACTGGAAACCAAGATCTGGATGCCACGTCTGCTCAATGCTACTGCAGTTTCATTGCTTTTGGGCCCTCTCCATGAACAGAGCAAGGAAATATACGTATGTATGCGAACCCATGTATACACACATCTCTATAACTGTTTCGATGTCTATATATATTAAGCTAAACATGAGTGCATATTAACAGTCTTTAATCCAGGAGCACAGGGTTCATTTTAGCCTTTCTGGGCTGCTTATATGTAACTTCCCTCTATGATAGTGAGAAAACTGGTTCCCATCATCTACCATCCATTTACTTATTTTTCAACCCTACCTACAGATAAAGAGTTTCAGAATCATTAAACTGTAAGAAACTTACCAAGAAAAGTACAATGTTTCTGTCTACTTCCTTTAGCCTTTAGCCTCTAGCCTCACAGTTTCTTGCTAAAATCACTTTTTCCAGTCACTTAGGTCAGCTCCTCTTTTCCCCCAAACCCCCTTCAGTGCTGTTATATCATACACTGTGCACCAGTCAGGATTCTGCCAGAGAAACACAGCCACAGAACCAGTAGGATATGGAGATATACACACACATGCAGACACACACACACAGTTTCTTGGCTTACAGGTGGCCATCTTATTCCTGTGTCTTCATATCACTTTCCTTCTATGCAGGTTTGTGTCCAAATTTTCCCCTTTTTATAAAAAAGGTTATAGCCTTATTGGATCAGGGCCCACCCTCATCACCTCATCTTGATCATCTGGGAAACTCCTATTTCCAAATAAAATCACATTCACAGGTACTGGGAGTGAGGGCTTCAACATCTTTTGGGGGTATGCAGTTCAACTCCTTATAATAGACAAACCTGAAGTCCACAGGACCCAAAGTCACCAAAGTCAGGAAGTGTAGGCTGGAAAGTCTTAGGCAGGAGCTGAAGCTGCTATCCCCAGGTAGAATTTCTCCTTTAGAAAAGACTCAGTTCTGCTCTTAAGGCTTTTCATCTGATTATGACCCCTCCCTCAAATTATCTAATATAACCTTTCTTATTTAAAGTCAACTGATTAGGGACTTTAATCACATCTACCAAATACCTTCACAGAAACATCTAGATTAGTGTTTAACTGAATAGCAGGGGACTGTAGCCCAGCCAAGCTGACACATAAAACTGACCATCTCACATTGTAATACATTTAGATGCATTTTCCCTAGTCTGCATTCCACAGCATGCCTTCTGAGGTCAGAGAATATACAAAGCAAGTCTAGAAGCTGCTGTGACTATGAGCGTCAACGGTGAAATCTTAGGCATCTACTTCATGCCAGACTTGTTCCACATGCTTTATCTCAGTTAATCCTTTGAGGAGCCCTGTCAGTTAGGTTGTCAGCCTTACTCAGTGAAGAAGGAGAGGAAGAGAGACCTGCAGTGGCAGAAGCAGGACTGAAACTGAGGCAGGTCTGTTTGGCGCCAAACCTTTGGGGTTTAAAACCTTAACCACAATGCTGCAGAACTGTCTCTCTGATTCCCAGTTGGGTCTTTTTAAACATACACAAGAAAAACTCCAGGGGAATGATGACTAAGCATCTTAAGGTCATGTGATTTGCATTTACCAAAAATAATTTCACATATTAAATGCAGTGCATCAGGTATTTTTATGTAAGGACAAATTTCCTGCATAACATACAACTGACTATCTGAACCATTTTTCTCTTTTTTTTTTTTTTTTTTTAGACAGAGTCTCACGTTGTCGTCCAGGCTGGAGTGCGGCGATCTCAGCTCACTGCAACTTCCACCTCCCTGGTTCAAGCAATTCCCCTGCCTCAGCCTCCTGAGTAGCTCGGATTACAGGTGCACAGCACCATGCCCGGCTACTTTTTTTGTATTTTTAGTAGAGATGGGGTTTCACCATGTTGGCCAGACTGGTCTCAAACTCCTGATCTCACCCAATTCCCCTGCCTCAACCTCCCAAAGTGCTGGGATTACAAGCGTGGGCCACCGTGCCCAGACCTGAACCATTTTTAAGTTTACAGTTTTCCTTTTGTCTTTTGAGGTTAAAAAGGCTTAGGTATTCTACAAACAACAAATGTCCCTCTAAAGTTGTTTAGTTTATGATTAAGGCTGTGATGAAACCTTCCCGGGCTAATAGCAAGAAGGAGAACCTGGAATAAGAAGAATGCAATGGGCTTTGCAAGGTGGAGGGCAATGGACTTTGCAAGGCATGTGCTGTAGGAGGACCAGCTTCCCCCAGGCATTGCATCTGCACCGTGGACGTGTTGGTGGCAGCTCTTGGCCAGGTGGCAGAGATCAAGTATCCACCAGGGCCCTAACAAACCTCTACAACATTCTGTCAAGACACAGTGCGAAGTACTGTACAATTTTCTCTTCATACCTTCTTGATCTTTGAATTATTGTCAAGTCCTCAAGTGAGGATCTTGATAATCGGCCAAACAAAAGCAGAAACAACACTTAGGTGGGTATGGATCACCAGGACAGCAGTTAAGGAAAGCAATCCCCACCAACCTCCTCCCTGCTGGCAACAAAGGATCACAGTTCTGAAGCTTAGTCATTAACTAGCCTGGCGACCCCAACAATGTCCAAACCCTGGGTGGGGTCACGTTTTACACTTCTCAACACCCTATATATGTTTGAACAGAAAGGGACTATTTGTTAGAAAGGGTTACATGGCAGTTTCCTTAAAATAGCTACAAAAACAGGGGGCAGAGTCTTAGGGCAGTGGAAGGAGCCTCCAGTGCACACCTTCTCACCTGCTGCTCTCACCTGCTCACCAGCAGCTGTCCCCTGCTTGCCTGAAACAGTCACCTGCTCACCGGCTGCCCTTTTACCTGTTCACCTGAAACTCTCACCTGCTCACCTGAAACTCTCACCTGCTCAGCTGCAGTTCTTACCTGCTCACCTGCAGCTCTCTCCTGTTCATCTGCAGCTCTGCTCCACAGGTCAGACACTAATATTAAGGAGCAAGTGAAATTGTCAGGATGGAACAAGCAATTTCACAATGCTGGAAATCTGTTCATCCTACTGCAAGTCACCCACACTACCTACCCTCCACAAATGAGACCTAATTCTTTGCCCTCCATGGTATCCACAGTTACTGCTCAAAGACCAATGGGAATAATAGTGACCCAACTCTATCCCAGATACCCTTGGGCATCTTCAGGAAATCCTCTCTTGCTTTCCAGCCAGAATCTGAGATCTGTCTGAGAAGAGCAGAATGAAATTATCCCTTTTCTGCTGAAGGAGCTAGCCTAGAGTCAAGGGTGTTACAATGTGAGGCTAATTACTGTAGCCTTTTAACATTCTTTTCTCTGAGGCCCTCCTGGGAAGGATAAAATAAAATGCTGCATAATAATAGGTGAAATGAACGGTGAACTGGGAACCTTCACTTGCTGCATGACCTTGGACAAAGTAGTTGACCCAGACTTGCAATCTCATTAACACAAAGGGAAAAAGAGAGAAAAAGGCCCCTTTCTTTTTTTTTCACCAGAGCATGGGGCATCAGAGAGGAGCCAGGATGGGTCAGAGAGGACCCTCCTACTAAATAGACCTGGGGAGGTGGCACAGCCTTGTTGGAGACACAATGCTTGGCTGTATAGCTTTGGATTCTCCATTATGGAACCCCTTACATTTTCCTGAGAACTTTTGTTCATTTGGAAGTCTCAGTTTTATTTTCCCTACAGACGTTTTGTTTTAATTGCAAGCCATATCATACATACAAAAGTGTAAAGAAAGCTTATGTACAGTTTAGAAACTAATAATAAAATGAACACCAGTGTATTTACCTTTCAGGACAGAAATAAAATCTTACCATACCTTGGAATTCTTACATGCCTCATTCTGGTCACAGTTTCCTCCTTCTTCCAAGAGCTAACTGCTAGACTGATTTTTGTGTTAACTGTTCTCTCTTGCCTTTTCTTATCACCTGTGACTATAACTCTAAAAAGACATTGATAAATTGTTTGATATTTAGATCACTACAGTCATGCTGTTATGAATTCATCTATTACCTGCTTCTTGTGATTAATTTTATGGTTTTAAGATATCTTCATGTCTTTTAGGGTAGCTGTGTGCAGTTCACTCATTGCCACTGCTATATCATATTCCTTCATACACTGAATTGAATATATCACAATGTATTTATTCATTCTGTCACTAATGGGCATTGGGTTGTTTCCAGTTTGGAGCCGTTAAGAGTGATACAGCCATGAATTTCTCTTGCATATGTCTCCTGGAACGCGTGTATAAGATTGTCTACAGATAGGAGTAGAATTGCTGTGTCATAGAGTATGTGAATGTTCAACTTTACTAGGAATTGTAGGCAGTATTACTCTGTTTTTCATAGTGGCTTGCCAATTTATACGAGCAGTTAATAAGAGTTCCCATGGCTTTACACCCTCCAAAGCACTCTAAATTGTCAACTTTGTTGTGGTTTTTGCCAATTTGGTGACAGAAGATGGTTTCTCACTGTAGTTTTCGCTGGTAATTCCCTGGTTAATGCTAAGATTGGGCATCTTTTTATATGACTCTGAGTCATACGTGTGTTCCTTTTCTGTAAAATGCCTGTTCGTGTCTTTTGCTCACTATTCTACAGTCACTTGTTTTGTTGTTTTTTCTTCATAAGAATTATTTTACATTCAGCAAGTCCTTTGTGATTATATGTTGCAAATATCTTCTCTCCATTTTTATCATCTTTCTGCTCATTATTCCTTTTTGTATCTCAGATATTTCCCCTTGGACCATTTCCTCCTGCCTGACGTATATTGTGCACAATTTTCTTTAGTGGGAAACTTCTGGTCATACATAATGTTTCATTTGTTTGTTTTATTTGAAATATCTTGATTTTGCCGATCTTTAAACATTATTTGGCTAGGTATAGAATTTTTGTTAGGAATTATTTTCTCAGTGGAGATATTATTCCACTGCCCTCTGGCTTCCATTATTGTGGGTGGGAAGTCATCAGTAACATTAACTGTCATTCTTTTGTAGAGGGTCCATCTTTTCTCTCTGGCTGCTTTTAGGGTCATCTCTTTTTATTTACTCTGTACTGAGTATGGCTATATCTAAGTATGACATATGGAGGTAAATTTTTCTTTTATTTATCCTCCTTCAGATTTGTTGACAATTAGTGTCTTTCAAGAGTTCTGGAAAATTCTCAGCCATTACCACTTAGAATAAAATCCCTTCCCCACATACAGCTAAAGCGTCTCATTTTTCTTCTTTTTCCACTTTTTCTCATATTTTTAATTTACTTCTCAAATTTATAACCATAATAATTTCATCGCATCCATCTTCATTATTTCTTTCTAACTGTATCTAATTTTCAGGTTACTCCACCCATTGAGGTTTTAATTTCAATTATTATATTTTTATTTTTAGAAATTATGTTCGGTTCTTTTACAAACCTGTTTCCTCCCTAGTGAAATTTTCAAGATCCCTCTTTACATCTTCAAATGTATTTTGCATAGTCACTCTACTTTTGGTATTCAATAAATGCAGTATTTGAAGCTCTTGCTGATCTATTTTTACTACCTGGGTTTTTTTTTCCTACTGATTCTCTCATTCATAATGTTTTATTTCCTTATGTGTTTTGTAATGGTTGGCTTTAAGCTTCTCACTTTCCTTGGACATTTATCTGTGGAAATTCTGAAAGACAGCAAGATTCCTCCAGAATATATTCATATTCATTCAGTTGGTCACATGAGGTAGTACCAAACTGAGGAACACTTTAAATTTTCAGAGTTAAATATTTAGGACCAAATGTGTTGTATGAATTTGAACTGCAAATGCAAAGTAGTCTGTTTGTGCCAGCAAAATTATTATCTGACCTGAGACAGACTTTTCTTGGACCTCTTTCTCTTTTCACCAAAAACTTGTATTCCTTTGGGACCCCAGCTTTATTTAAGATTCTACTATGAGATACTGTACTCTGGTTAAGCTCTGGATTCAACTCTGTCTCCTATCCCTATACGATCTCCAAAACAGAAGCCCAAGGCTCTGGCACTGGGTGGAAATTTCCAGGCTGAAAGCAAGATTTGGTATTCGTTTACCTCCCAGGGTTCTTTGTTTCAGTTTGTTTGGCACTCAGAGGATTTCTTACTTCCATATAAGCTCACAAAGCATTTTTAAAAATTTTTAAAAATTTACTTTATTCAGCATTTGAGTTGTTTTGGAAGGGAAAATGTTCTGGCTATCTAATTCACTGTATCACTGAAAACAGAAATAGTCAAGCTGGTTTATTTTTAGCCAAAGCTAATTTCCAGATTGCTCTGCACCTGTGAACCTGAACCAATTTGCATGAATGTGCCTTCCTTTTCTAGCTGAAAAGAATTTCCAAAGAGGAAAATCAATGGAGTTCTGTTGGAGGAAAACCAGTAGCATGCCAGTCTACCTGTCCTAGTGACTCCCAGAATGATGATTCTAACCTACGTTTGAAACTGTCATGGCAAATGCACTGATAATAATAGCTAATGTTCCCAGGTAAGGCATATTGTCACTTACCAAACACTAAGTGCATTATACATATTACCTCAATTTTCACAACAACTCTCTGACATAGGCATTATAATTAGCTCCATTTTACAGATGAGGAAACTGAAGGGCAAAATGGTTGAATAATTTTCCCAAAGAATGTGTTGGAAGTGGGAGGCAGTTGGGCTCCAGGGCACAGATTCTTAGCCTCTCTGTTGTGCTACCTCTGTCAGAGAAAAAGCAACCAACGAAGACCCAGCTGCCTGAGAAATGTGGCCCACACTGGATTGTTCAAGGAAAATTATTTCCCTAGCATCACGGTTCTGGCCTGAGCTGCCTGTCTGAGGCACCCAGGGAGTGGATTCAAGTAGACATTCTAATTTAGTTGGTCTGGAGTGGGGGGCCTATATCTTTATTTTGTCAAAGCTCCCCAGATGTTCTGATGAAACACTGTGATTAGGACCACCCCCTTCCTTTGTGAGTTGTTACCCAGGTGCTGCCCTGAACAGCTTACTCTCTCTCTCTCAGTTCATGTTGGAACACTTTGTCTGGTTTCACCTTCCCAGTAAAATGGATGTTGGGCAACAAACAGTTGTCATCTCACTAGTCACGTCTGAATGTCCCTGGGCAAATCACCTCCCTAATATCGAGCCCCAGTTTCCTCCTGTGTAAAATGTGAATTTGTTTTAGTGTGAAGATTTAAGACTCGAGTTTGTAATCGGTCATTGAATAAACCCGATGTCTTTTGATTTAGGACTCTGTAGTAGCAGGTAGGGGCTGGGAGGAGTTGCCGCTCTGGCTTGAATTAGGCATGGGGACTATTTGTGGATTTTATATATCCATCATTCCATATGCATGAATATTTGGAAGTGAGAGTCACCACAGGATGCTGTCACCTAAGTGATCCTGAATGGTCTCCAACACAGAGGACCCTCACTGAAAACGTCAAGATCTCTCCTCCCCAGCAAGAAGTACAGTTTAATTGAGGAAGAGTCTTGAAGGGACAGAGTCCTAAAGAAGGGGAAGCCCAGATTAAGAATGCCACCCACTTCCACATGCATGCACACGTGCACGCGCACACACACACATCTACTTTTTCCAAGGGTGCTGAAGCCATCCAGGCAGAAATAAACTGCTTTTAAGAAATTTGTCTTTGGTGGGTCTGTGCATAAGAAATTCCAGCACAGATGTTTGTCAGCAACAGACACTCTGGGCCAACACAGCAGCAGCTCTCCTTCCCTAGTGAGTTCTGGCTCCTGGTTTGCATCATCAACTTAGTCCTTCCATTCAGTCTATCTGGCCAGAGCCCTCCTAACTGCACTGGATCCCTCCCAAGGAGCAACCACATAATCCCCGCCAGGGCTCAGCCCAGACCTCTCCCTTGGTGCTCACAGCCATGGGCTCTGAAGGGCTTTCTGGGTCTGCGCTCTTCGCTCATGGTATTCCCCAGCCCTCTTAGGTCAGGGGCAGAAGTTGCTCCACAAGCAGTTAGAAACACGCCAGAAGAATGTGGTGAGTTTTCTGAGAGCCGCTGAGTAGCTGTGGGCCGATTCATGACTCAGTTTCATCCACTTCAGGACTCCCTGGGAGGCAACTTTCCCCCAGTTCACCTCTACCTCTCTGTGGATCACTGATTAAGCCTGGCTCTGCCTTCTTCACACCCTGGGCCTCCAGAGGTGACCCTCTGTGAAGCCTAGGCAGGGCCAAAGACAGGCCATCAGCTTCAAAGGAGAGGAGTGAGGTCTTTGTTTCCTTCACAGCAGTGGTTTTTAAACCACAGAAGTTGCTTAGAAAGGCCTCTGGGAACTCTCTTGGGGAAGACTGCAGGGGATGGAGGCCACAAGGACCTGTTTCTGTGTCTGTATTAGTCTGTTTTCACACTACTATAAAGACGCTACCTGATACTACCCAAGACTGGGTAATTTATAAAGGAAAGAGGTTTAATTGACTCACAGTTCTGCACGGCTAGAGAGGGCTCAGGAAACTTACAATCACGGCAGAAGTCAAGAGAGAAGCAAAGGCATGTCCTACATGGCAACAGGCAAGAGAGACCCAACGAGCAAAGAGGGAAGAGCCCCTTATAAAACCATCAGATCTCATGAGAACTCACTCACTTTCACGAGAATAGCATGGAGGAAACCACCCCCATGATCCAATCACCTTCCACCAGGTCCCGCTCTCAACATGTGGGGACTATAGGGATTACAATTTGAGATGAGATTTGGGTGGGGACACAGAGCCAGACCATATCAGTGTTAGATGAGCTAATGTGCTGAGGGCATTTCCCAGCACCTAATAAGGGTCCATACATCTCAGCTGTTACACACTGCTAGCAGGGGGCAGGATCTTCCAGATGCCAAGGGAAGAACTTTACATATGTTCTCCATGAAATCCTACTAAGGTTTCTGCAGAATAGGTATTACACTATCACAGTTTTATAGATGAAACTTGGACACGTTAAGTGGCTTGTCCAATGCCACACAGCAGCAGTATGTGGCAGAATCTGGTTTTGTATATGAATTAGTCTGACTCTAAAATGTGGACTCTTCCCCCTGGTCCGGGCTGTCTTATTTTCCCTTAGAAAAATCTGCAAGCTTCTCAATGCATGTGTTTCTTAAAATGACTAACAAAATACAAAATTTTTAAAAGGTAAACAAGAGCTATTAGGACAAAATCCAAAATGCCTGTCATTATAATCAGTGTGGGTATTGTAATGGAGCATAAAATGATGATCTGGCCTCCTGAAAGGCCAAAGAGTGATATAAAATACAATCAGTAAAATCTGTCTTCCTGAGCCCTCGTCCTCTGGTGGCTCTTCCTCCCACATCCCGGTATCTACCTCTATCCTTCTACCAGAAGTATTCTAGTGTCTACTGCTTGATCACCACCCAGGGTAGCATCCCATGCCCTGGTCTTATCTCTCCTCCTTCAGCTTGCGAGCCTGCCTTGGGTGATCAATTTTTCGTGCAATTTTTTGTGCAGGCATACAAATCAGAGAAAAAGCCATGTGCAAAAAAGAATTGGTCTGGGCAGCACAGGCAATTACAGACCAGGGCAGAGTACAGTGAAGGACCGTTTGAGGATTAGACAGGAGGGGCAGTAAGCTTATCTCCAGTGGAGGAAGCCTCTCCATAGGTCGTGGGCATGAGGGAGAATTCAGAACTGGAGTGTCTTTGGACACCTTACATATTGTATCACACAGTCTCCTGCCTACTTCACCACGGTTTTGGCTGCTCATTCTCTTCACAATCAGTGCAAGGTCAAACAAATTTTACCAAACAATCCTGGAAGAGCAGGATTATTTCCCTGAACATTGCATCCCCTTCCTACTCTGTTGGTGTGCGGGACAAATGCAGCTAATTAAATCTGATACTGAAGGCAGAGTACGTCAACCAGTGGTTCCCAGTTCCTGGGGGCTATGAAGATATTTCAGGGGTCTAAGAAACCATATGTGCACCAAGCACTTACTGTAGACTGACTATGCCTCCTATTATTGTGAACCACCATTTCACACATGTACGCAGATACTATTGAGGCCAAGGAGTTTCAGCTCAGAGAGAATGCTGAACACGGCAGGCCCCATGACAGATATTCCACTCCTTGCTTATATACCTGCAACATACCCTTCTTTCTTAACAGCTTTCAATACATCCTATTCATTGTAATGAGTATTACACAGCTATACACAACTCACTTGCTCCCAGCAAGAAGGCAACCAAAGACATGTGTTCTGCAGGTACTATGTGCAATGGCTAAGTCATGTGGACCCTTGAAAAGTTGACTTTCTGCAGCAAGCCCATGATCTTCTGATAATACTCCTCCAGTGTTCCTTCTGCAACCCTTTCTAACGATAGGTCCTCTCTATTCTGCAAACTCGGGGCAAATGGTGAATGGAGACACAACCAACACACCTGACAAATATGGTGGAAGGTGAACAGAGAATTTTTAAGCTGGCAATAAAGAAAATAATAACATCTATTTTGTTTTTTAAAAAAATGAAAGAGGGAATGGAGTAGTGTTATTCAATTGTCAGATACTTTAGCAGAGAGTGGAAAATTCACCTGAAAAAGAGGGAGGGACAATCCCCTTATTTCTACAACTGATCCTAAGGCTGTAGCTACCATTTATAACTCTCTTCTTCACCTCTTCCATGTTCCCTTTGCTTTTTGCCCAAGGGAGTAACTCTAACTTTTGCTATCAGAAAATCTTTTGGCTGCAAATAATAGAAAACCCAAGAGTGATTGGATCCAACTGCAAATACTAGAAAAGCTATCAGTGGTGTAAATAAATAGAGATTTGTTTTTCTCATATAGCAGGAAGTAGAAAGCAATTTCTGGTGTTGGTTTAGCAGTAATGCAGGTCTCTGGGTCACATCTCTGTTCTGCTCTCACGCTTTGCCTCCTGATCACAAGAAAGCCATCATGGGTGTCCAAGCCATGTTCAAGGCAAGAAGACTGAAGAGAGATTGACACCAGCTGCTTCCAGACTTTGTATCAGCAAAAGCAAAGCTTTCATAGGAGCTTCCAGCAACCTTCTCCTTCCATCCATCTTCCTGGCCAAAACTGAGTCACACCACCACTTCTGGCTGTATTTAAGGCTGTGAAATCAAATATCCAGCAAAAGGAGAGGGGAATGTCATACTGGCTTAAACCTAATGCAATTCTTTAACTGGGTCATCTTGAATAACCTTCCCCTAAACAAAATGAGCAAGAAAGACGTAAGGAAGTAACTGGGTAGATGGCACCCTTGCCTGTCTTGTCTAGTCACAGCTTTCTACTAACTTTTATAGTCCCTTGCATCATATTTTACAATAAGACCTTCCCTTGATAATCAACAACAAGGTCCTTTGCTAATACCCTGTAGCCCCAGCATTGATCAAATTGCTTATGGCAGTTTCTTGTTCTGGAGGATTTTTATCATGTCCATTAGAGGAAGTATCTCTCTACTGGGTAATGAAACTTCCAGACCAGCAGATTTCAGCTGCAATGGTGAGACTGCATCATCAGGCATAAACATGAGGGTCATGCTTACAGTCATGCCATGGTGAGACTGCAACATCAGGCATAAACATGAGATTCATACTTATGGTCGTGCCATGGTGAGACTGCATCATCAGGAATAAACATGAGGGTCATCCCCACCTCCACCCAGAGATTCCTGTGTCTTTTCCCCTCATTATGGGAGGAGACAGCACCATATAAGATAACCTAAAACCATTAATGTATTTACCATTGTTTTGCTCTCATTATATCTTTGCTCAACCAATCATCCCAAAACAAGAGTTATGTAAGTGTGTGAGAAATAATTTTGACTTCAAAAAGGGTTCCTCACACTCAAAGGAGGTTGGATCCTTGCTGGTACAGTGGGAGGAGCTCCAGGAGTTCAGAGACTTTTGTGCAAAACCTGGCTCTGCAGCTAGGTAACCAGCTTTGTGACCACGGAGAAACCATATCCTCTCTCTGGATCTGTTTTGTGCTCTGTAGGATCGGCATGTTGGACCAGATAACTGCGAAGGCCGCTTCTAGCTTGCAACATTTTCTGCTAATTTATTAGGATCATGCAACTCTAAAATCCTGCGGTCCTATTACTTTCAGCGTTTAAACTTCTTGTTCTTCTTAGTTTGTCTTCATTTCAGACACTAAAGATGGATGTCTCATTTCCACTAAAAAGAACGAGCTTTCACTTTAATTACCTAGAATGTTGTAGTAGCATGTAAAAAGACTCCCCGTGGTCGTCATGCTATATTATTTACAACTTCTATTTTCAAACATTTAAAAAAGGAAGGAAAAGGAACTCAGTTCAAAAAGTCTTAAATCCCCCCAAAGTAAAATAAAACAAACTGAAATTGTCTGGGTATTATTGATATCTTTCACCTTCTAGGCTAATTGGCCATCCATCAAAAGTTTCACAAGTTTCTAACAGAATTCATTAATGCCAAAATTCACTTATTCACACGTGATGCAAAAATGATGGTGTGTGTGCCATGGTGAAATAAATCTTCATTTAACAAATAAATGTCAAGAATATTTGAAGATTTTTTAAAATTAAATGTTTGGTTTTTCATGCCTCTCTTTCTGGCCAAAAAATGATTACTGGATGAGCTACAGAGAAAACTGAGCTGGGAATTACTTATTAAAACTGTCAGCTGCACTAACTGTGTGATCTTAACCAAGTCCTTTTACATTCTTTAGCTTTGAAATGGAGAGGATAATAAGGAACACTCACAGCTTTGGTGAGAATAAAATCACACCGGAAGTAACATGATAATATATGCCAACATTTTATTTTATTTTTTTTTATTTTTATTTTTATTTTTTTTTTTTTGAGACGGAGTCTCGTTCTGTCGCCCAGGCTGGAGTGCAGTGGCGGGATCTCGGCTCACTGCAAGCTCCGCCTCCCGGGTTCACGCCATTCTCCTGCCTCAGCCTCCCAAGTAGCTGGGACTACAGGCGCCCGCCACTACGCCCGGCTAATTTTTTGTATTTTTAGTAGAGACGGGGTTTCACCGTGGTCTCGATCTCCTGACCTCGTGATCCGCCCGCCTCGGCCTCCCAAAGTGCTGGGATTACAGGCGTGAGCCACCGCGCCCGGCCACCAACATTTTAATAAATTATAAAATACAATTAAAATTCAAAACTCATGGACTAAAATGGAAATGATAAAAAAGAATCATTTGTGAAATATGTGATTTGTAATTAATAATTTTGCTGGAAGTTCAAAAGATCCTGTACCTCTGATTTATTTGCCAAAATCCAAAGCAGCTGAATGCCTACTGGTACACATACACCCACATATGTACTTTCCTTTAAAAGGATTTTAGAAATTTGTTTTCGTTTCTTTGGAAAAATTAATTATTTACATCATGTTATTGTTTTGCAGGTACACATATGCCAAAACTTATCAAATTGCACACTTAAAATGGGCCTGGTTTATTATATGTCAGTTCTCCTGAAATAGAGCTGTAAAAATATTAATTCTAAGTAGTTACTTGATATGGAGGATTATATCCTGGTTAACTCACTCTTCCAGCTTTCTTCTCTTGCATTTCCCTTTGTGAAAGTGGCTGAACGTTTATCCAAATGGTGATATTTCAGAATGGCAGAGTTCAGGATATGCTACCTGGAAATATGGCACCTTGGCACACTGAATATTTTAAGCTAAAGGAATTTGAGAAACAGCATATGCAGAAAGGACCCTCTGACCTTCCCCTGAAGCAGATCATTAGACATTCATGTGAGAGGTGGCCTCCTTTATACCCAGAAGAAAGGAACATCCTTACCTCTGAAGACAAAGGGACCCAGGAACCTGAACGAGTGGGCCTTGCTAAGTTTCTCCCAGTTTATTACACTTAGCCCATGCCCCCTTTGTCCTGCCATGTTTCTCCACAACTCTCTGCTCTTCATCAAACGAAGGATAAAAACACTCAGGTTTAACCACTTTCTTGGGTGTTCATTACCTTATGAAGGCTCTCACATGCTTTTCTCTTATTAATCTGTCTTTTAGCACAGAAGGCCCTGCCAATGAACATAAGATGGATAGCAGGAAAAGACATGTTTCCTCCCCTACAAGAACAAGAGACAGAGGAACATAAAGAATTACAATGAGGAAAAAAAAAACACGGAAAATAATTAGTGAACACCTGCTTTACGTCAGACACTGCATATATTCATTTGATTTTCCCAAAAAGCTGATGAGCTGGGTATTTGCTGTCCACTTGTTACTGAGAAGGAAGCTGGTACTCAAAAGACAAAATGACTGAATGTCATAGAGCAGGATTCTCAATTTGTATGCACAGTGAAGTCACCTAGGGAGCTTCAACGATACTGGGTCCCACCCCAGAGATTGTAGCCTGGGCTTTGGCATTCTTTTTTTTTTTTTTGAGACGGAGTCTCACTCTGTCGCCCAGGATGGAGTGCAGTGGCGCGATCTCGGCTCACTGCAAGCTCCGCCTCCCGGGTTCACGCCATTCTCCTGCCTCAGCCTCCCGCGTAGGTGGGACTACAGGCGCCCGCCACCACGTCCAGCTAATTTTTTCTATTTTTAGTAGAGACGGGGTTTCACCGTGTTAGCCAGGATGATCTCGATCTCCTGACCTCATGATCCACCCGCCTCAGCCTCCCAAAGTGCTGGGATTACAGGCGTGAGCCACCGCGCCCGGCCGGCTTTGGCATTCTTAAAAGATCCTCCAGGGATTCTGTCGTGGAAAGGGTTTAGGAACCACCATCCGAAAGTAGTTGGTGGAGATGTTAATTGCCCCAGTTCTTCCTTCTCTCTGGGTAGACACTCTGCCTAGACACATCCACAAGGCCACACCACTTCTGTAGATTTTGAACAAGCTTCATATTAGTTGGTATACAGCTGTTGCCTCAAGCCCCCGTTCTCTCCAACAACTTCACTTCCTTTCTCTGGCTCCCCAGCCTCTCCTCAAAACCCCTCAACCCAGCAACTAAAGAGTTGGAAGACTCTGACTGGCCCTACGTGCTAAAAAGGTTATTAAATACCTTGGAAATCATCTCTACCAGTTTTAATACTCATTCCCTTTTCACAGTACTTCAGTGCACGTGGACAGAGTCTGAAAGAAGATTTTGGGCAAAAAGCTTCCTGAGCATAGGTCACACGAAGCTGAAAATCCCTACCCGACCTGTCCACCATGCTGATACTAACTGGTAAAGCCAACAGCAAATTGGGACCTTTGCTCAGTTTTTGCAAGAGACCTCTTGGGACTGTGAGGTCAAAACGTGTTTTGTTCTCAAATATACCAAGTCCATAGTCAGGTGAACTCCATGCTCCATGAGTTGTCCAAAACAAAACAAACAAAAAGAAAAAAGCAAGACACACTAAGAAAATAAAGGGAAAAGAAAGACCCAGGAAATGATCTCACACTTCCCAACCAGCTCCTTCTTCCTGTAATACAAAGAACAGGCCCAATAAGTCTGAGGTTTGAGCAAAGCATTTCTGTCCTCTCTGGGGCAAACAGGAGGGACTGCAGCTTTCCATCATTAGCCAGAGTAAACCACATTAAATAGAACAATCAAGCAACATGCAGGGACCAGCTAGAAGCATGTGTCCCCTGTAAATCTGGTCAGAAATAGTAAATACAGGAAACGGAGACAATATGCTGCCCTATTAGTTCATTCTCTTTCATAATTAACAGCAGATGAATGTAAGCAGTGATACAATCTTTATCTTACCCAAAGCACCTTAATCCTCTGAGACCCCAGCTTTACTGTCTGCAGAAAGTGAGTCCTTTTTAACTCATTTAACAGACATCAATTGAGCAACTACTATTTGCCAAAAACTCTGCTAGGAGCTAGCGTGGAATGTAAGCCTAAGTAAGACATGATGTTGGTTCCCAGGAGCCCAGGAGACAGACATGCAAACAAATAATTATAACGCACTCTGGGAAAAGCTGTAACAGACTCTATGCAAGGTGCATGGGAGCTCAGAGCAAGCAGTAATTAGTTTGGCTGCTGAGTTAGGAAAGACCTCAAGGAGAGGCAGCATCTGAAATAACATCACAGATGGATGGGTCCAGATAATCCCTGTGGTTTATTTCAACTCTGTGTTCAGATTCTGTTAAAAAAAAAAAAAGAGAGAGAGAGAGAGAGAAAGAGAGAGAGTACAATAGAGACACACGCTGAGAGCAGTCTTGAATAGGCATGCATGTTCCTTAAAGGGTCAGAGCCTCTCTTTATGCATCACTGAGCACCCAAGACAGTGGCCTGTTGATATTTGCTAGATCTTGAAAGGTATCAGACTAAGGTATGATTTGGAGATTATGTCACGACATTAAAGAATCAGCCTTCAGTGAGGAAACAGTGGATCCCTTCACTATGAATCACGCATTTCTCAGAAGTCTCTGATTCCCTGAAATTTCCCTTGGAAAATTCCCAAATGCACTAGTGAACTCTTCCAAATGGCACAGTTTTCGATCATGTCAGCCTCACCATTCCAGTAAGAAAAACTGGGTGTCCCAGTAAGATTTTCAATGGGAACGTCTTTCCCATTGAAGACGTGGTTGGGTTTCATTTTTTCACCTTCCCTCCCCCTGTTTCTTTTTATGGGCTGGTTTGGAGTGATAATTTATTGTTTTAAAAAAGAGTAAACCTATGATATTTCTAAATAGAGACTTTGGAAAAAACCTGACAATTCTGGGAATATATGTGGAATTAATGAAAAGTTTTCCCTAAAGAACAGCCCCCTTTCAAGGCCTGCTGTCTGGGAGCCAAATGGAAGGGAGGGCAGGGCAGGAGAGAGGAAAAGGCATTCCAAAAGCAAACTCAGGAGCAGACTTTGGTAGAGGAGAAAAGAAATGAATTCATCAATTCTGACCCCTCCCCTCCCCACCTAATCATCATGGCAGGTAGGAACTTCTCCCATAAGTTTATTGGTGCGTTTGTCTAACTATGTTCTTACTGAGCATCTATACAACCCAGGAACTGGAAGAGAGGAATCAGATACAAAGGCAAAGGAAAAGGCTCTCAAAGCAGCTTATGCTCTATACGCAGGTATGGATGGTCCCCAACTTGTGATGGTGCTGCTTACAATTTTTCAGCTTTACTATGGCAAGAGGCATTCAGTAGAAACTATACTTCAAGTACCCATACGACCATCCTGTTTGTGACTTTTGGTATACTATTCAATACATTACTTGAGATTTTCAACGCTTTATTATAAAATAGGCTTTGTGTTAGATGATTTTGCCCACCTGTAGTCTGATGTCAGTGTTCTGAGCCCATTTAAGGTAGGCTAGGCTAAGCTTGATGTTCAGTAAGTTCCATATATTAAATGTATGTTTCTGAGGATATTTTCAACTTACAATGGGTTTATCAGGATGAAACCCCATTATAAGTCAAGGAGCCTCTGTACATGGATTTTTTTTTTATCATGAACAAAGCATAGGGGGCAGTGCTGAGTGCGGAAAGTAGTCTTGGCCTCTTGGTCTCTCCATCGAAAGCTGGCACTAGGTGTGCAAGGACCACAGTAAATTCTATGCCTGGATATAGACATGTTTGGGAATCCTCCCACTTCTGGGGCAAGCAGAGTCCATTGCAGAGCAAGGTGTTTGGGAGATTCCTCTCTGACCAGCTCCTGCAGCCTGCCCTCCTCCTCTGGGACGTGCGTCCACGGCTTCAAGGCCCCGCGTGGTGTGGGAGGGGCATGAAGGCATGCGCTCCATTATGCTGAGGACAGCGAGTCTGAGGGAAGATGAACTGCTGGCTGAAGAGCTCGGCATGGTAAAAGCACTCAACAGGAGGTCAGGACACCTGAGATTTTGTCCCAGCTCTGTCACTCACAGGGTTGTCACCCTGTCACCAAAAGGAGACAACTCACTCAGTCTCTTGCCTCCGCTTCCTTACCTATAATGTTGGAGGTGGATGATATCATCTCTGTTTCCTCCTCAGGTTCCCCCAGAACCTGGGTGAACTGTCCTCAGGGGCCCCACCTTGGCCCCCCGCCTGAGGCTCTCAGCCAGCGTGACCAGTGTGGCTTCCCAGGAGACCACCCCCAGAGAAGGTAATAAATGCCATGGCTGGGAGAAAAGAGCTGTCCTGTTCCTAAAATGGATGTCCCCATTGTGAATCACTAAGCTAGGAGTCTTCCTTACATCCTTTATCTGTCTTTTTGAGCCCTGCCAGTTCCGGGTCATGACAAGGCTGAGGGACTATTGCTGGGGTAAGACCACGCCAGGCCCTCCACAGGTGTCTCCTGACAAGACCTTATTCAGTTCCCTTCCTTCTCTTTGTTACCGAACCCACTTGTCCAGCACTTACTGAGGCTCTCTTGACCCAGGAGCTTATAGTCTAGTTGGGGACAAAGATGTTGCTATGGTTGAACTGTATTTTCCCTAAATTTTTATGTGAAGTCTAACCCCCAGTACCTCAGCATGTGACCTTGTCTGGAAATAGGGTCATTGCAGATGGAATTAGTTAAGATGAGGTCGCAAGGGCAGGCCCTAATCCAGTATGACTGGTGTCCTATACAAAGGGGTAATTTCCATGCCAAGGCACACTCAGGGACTCTATGTGAAGAGACAGAGAAGACAGCCACCCACACTCCAGGCAGAGAGGCCTGGCGTGGATCCTTCCGTCAGAGCCCTTAGAAGGAAGCAACCCTGCTGGCACCTTGTTCTCAGACTTCTAGCCTCCAGAACTGTGAGACAGTAGACGTCTATTGTGAAAGCCACCCACTTTATGGCACTTTGTTTCAGCAGCCCTAGGGAACCAGCAAAGACGTGTACTTGGCAACTGCCAAGCACAAGGCAAGGCCAAGCCTGACAGAGGATTCAGCTGGTAAAGAAACAGCTAAGCCTTTTCAGACTCCATTCACCACCTGTGTGGAGTGAGAGGAGGAGGAGCCAAAAGTGCAAGGTCCCTGCGGCCCTTGTGCAGGGTGACACCAGAGTAAAAGGGGCCACATGTCAGAAGCACCAATGACAGGATGCCTATTGTAGAGGAGCCAACGCCCTCTGCAGCTAAGCAGCTTTATGGCCTGCAGCAGCATCTTGAGGGGTGAGGCAAAAGGCCTCATATCTCATCAGAACCCAAGGAGACGAGCAGCTGTCTCAGGACGGCCTCCTTGGTATATGTAAGGAAACGAGTGAGAAATGCCCTTGTAGCAGCTCTTTGCAATTGTCCCGTGCTGTTGTGTTCAAGGAGAGCCACAGGCAGGCATTCTGCCAAGACTGAGATCTGCTGTGGGTCAAGTCTCGGCGCATGCGGATATGGGCAGGGTTTCCAGGGTGCCACAGCACAGCCACTTCCCCAACCACCGCACTTACAAGGAGAAGACAGTATGTGTCGGGATTAGGAGCCCAGCCTCCCAGCGCACAGAAGCTCGGCGCAGTAGGACGGTGGAGCAGAGGGCTTGAAGGAGGCAGCTTCAAAGGAGTAATCATAGATTAGTTGTGGGCTATCCAAGAATGAGCTTCCTGTTTTTAGGAAATAACCTTTTTAAAAATTCTTGGCCGGGTGCGGTGGCTCACTCGTGTAATCCCAGCACTTTGGGAGGCCAAGGTGGGTGGATCACCTTAAGTCAGGTGTTCGAAGCCAGCCTGGCCAACATAGCAAAACCCCGTCTCTACTAAAAATATGAAAATTAGCCGGGCGTGGTTGCGGGCACCTGTAGTCCCAACTACTTGGAAGGCTGAGACAGGAGAATCGCTTGAACCCAGGAGGTGGAGGTTGCAGTGAGCCAAGATCATGCCACTGCACTCTAGCCTGGGCAACAGAGCAAGACTACATCTAAAAAAAAAGGGAAGGCCAGGTGCGGTGGCTCACGCCTGTAATCCCAGCACTTTGGGAGGCTGAGGCGGGCAGATCACGAGGTCAGAAGATCGAGACTATCCTGGCTAACATGATGAAACCCCATCTCTACTTTAAAAAATACAAAAAATTAGCCGGGCGTGGTGGCGGGCACCTGTAGTCCCAGCTACTCGGGAGGCTGAGACAGGAGAATGGCGTGAACCCGGGAGGCGGAGCTTGCAGTGAGCCAAGATCGTGCCACTGCATTCCAGTTTGGGTGACAGAGCGAGACTCCAACTCAAAAAAAAAAAAAAAAAAAAAAAATTCCTGGCGTCGGGCAGGTACAACATGAAAAATTTAGAAAATTAAAATCTAAAAGTCATAGACATAACGCTGAGCAAGCCATACACACAAAGCATACATACTTAATGAGTCCATTGCTATGAGGTTCTAGAATAAGCACACTCATCTAAGGAAATGATGAGTTTCCCTTGCAGGGAAGGTGGGGATTCAGCAGGTCACAAGGGAACTTTCGGGCAGATGGAGATGTCTATATTATGATAGGGACATAAGATACATGGGTGTATTCACTTGTCAAAATTGTACAGTTAAGGTGTGTGTGTTTTGATATGTACATTTTACTTTAAAAATGTATAAAGAAGACAATAACCATCACCTAAAGTCACACCAACCAAAGTTAACCAACCAACACTTTTTAATTACCAGATAGCCATTTTTTCTTGCAAAGTTTATGAAGTTGAGATTATATTGAATATATAATTTTAAGTTTATATAGATTTTTTTCCATATCATTAAACATCTTAATCAACATCGTTTTTAAGTAGGTGCCTGATTTTCATTGTTTGGGTAATCTGTAAATCATATACCATCTCTACGGTACTGGGCATGTAGGTTGCTTTGGCAATAATGAATAACAGTGTGATTAACATCTGTGCTCATATGTCTTTGTCTGCATTTCTGATTATTTCTTTAGAAGATTCCTGGAAGAGGAATTACTGGGTAAAGTGTATGAATATTTTAAGGCTTTCCGGAATGCACTCCTATCAACAGCGTGGGCTCTGTGCTTTTCTCCCTGCACCCTTACCAGCCTTGAGTAGTGTCCTAGTCTTAATTTTGCACGATGCAGTAGGGGAAATAGTATATTATTGTCATTATTTGCCTTTCTGTGATCACTGGTAAAGCTGATCATTTACCCACATGTTGTGAGCCATTTTTATTCCCTTATCTGTGAACTGTCTGTTCATGTCCCTACCCAGTTTCCTACGTTGATATTTTAGTGTTTTTCTTGTCAAAGTAGAAACCCTTTAAAGACTGAGACCACTAACTGCTTCTCTACCACATTTGTGATTCCCATTCCCAGCTGGCTTTTAATTTTGTGGTTTTTTAAAAAACTTGCATTTACCATTCATCCATCTAGTTGGAATTGTTTCCTTTGCTTTCGTTGTTAATGCTCCCATGTCTTGTAGCTCAGGGTGGGATATTATAGGTGGAGTCAGCCATGTGAGCTACAGCCTGGAATCTGGAAGGAGATGTTAAGGTGAAGAGAGAGGGGCTGAGGGCACGGGCTTCTGTTGGGAAGTAGGAAGGAGACTTGGCGAGATGTGTGAGGAGGGGACTGAATCATCGGAGCTGTTCCTACGGGTGGGGAACAGGCACTGTGTGATGGATGGGCAGGTAGGGCACACAGGCTCTAGAGCTCAGCTATTCATTGCTTCACCATTGACCACTTGAAATGTGCCTAGCCTCAGCTGAGATGTGCTGTGGGGAGAAAGCACATGCAGATCTCAAAGACTTAATATGGGAAAAAAAAAAGAATATCCAATTTTTTTTATATTAATTGCATGCTGAGATGACATGTTCGCTATATTGAGTTAAATGGAATATATTTCTAAAGTTAATTTCACCTGTTTTATTTTCCTTTTATGTATTTATTTTTACAGAACAGTATGAATATAACTCTTTTACTTTTTTAACGTGGCTACTCAAAAATTTTAAATTCCGTGTGTGGCTCACATTCTTTTTCTATTAGCACCTCTGCAATAAAGTCAGAGAGCAGCCTTCAAGGGCAGCCCCTGCTGTTGACCAGCTGAGGACCCTGATGGTGGGGTGTCTACACTCTGGCAGACACTGTGCTAGATGCTTGGGTCTGCGTGTCTTCATGAGATAACTCACAATAACCCTGTGAGTCAGGTCACATGATACCCATTTTACAGATGAGGGAACTGAGGGTGAGATCTTAAATCACGTGAACAAAACCACATTGCTAGTGAGTAGCAGGACCAGGACTTCTGATTTGGGTCTTGTGCTGTTTCTAGCCCATGATGGGGAAGTCACTTAATCTCTCTGAACCTCAGTTTCCGCATCGTTAAAATGTGGGTATCACAGGTTGGGTCGTCTAGGAAGCAGACACTGGGATGGAGATTAGCATGTGGGAAGTTTATTAGGGCATGCTCTGCAGATCCACACTGCGGGGGCAAGACAAGGAAGCAGGGCTGGGCAGAGGGAGAAGCTGGGCTACCAGACAGGCAACAAGGACTCAGCTGACCCCACGGGGAGCTCTGGGGCTAGGATGGCCCTTCACAGTGGCCCAGACTGGGGTGAGAAGGCCAGGCCTTATGGACCCACATCAACCAGTCATTCCCTGGATGTTGCTTCCCTGGGGGAGGGACATGACCTGGAATGAGATGTCTTACTTCAGCCAAGAAAGGAAAATGCACTGAGAGCTGTCAGGGAACAACCTTCCCAGCAGCTGGGGAGAAAATCAAGCAATCTTGAAGGAGGATTTAGGCAGCAGGGCACAGCGTCCATGACAATGGCTAACAATAATAAATAACTGCATTACAGGGCTATATAAGGATCAAATGAGGATATATATTAAGGAAATATATAATGCAGAATATATATCATATATAGTACATCCTTTTATATATATGAGGCTCTCTATATAGCTCCTCGATACAAGGATCAAATGAAGATATAAAATAAGGAAGTCTCTTATCAAAATATTACTATTATTATCTTGTGTATAATAGTGAGCTATTATATCCGTCATGTATAATAGTGAGCTGCCAGTTGTTTGTAAGAAAGGTGACATGATGATGAGATTAATGCTCCAAGAAAGAACAAGCTGACACTGGTATGAGATGGTTTCTAAATTATACATAGAAAGTAAAAAGACCTCATCGTGGGCAGGTGAGGTTCTGAGGTGATAAAAACCTGGGCCTAGGTCATGGCCTAGGAAATGAACGAGGAGAGAGGATGTAGAAGCTGCTTTAAGGGTAGAATTAGCAAAAATCAATGACTAGTTATCTAGAGGAAACGAGTTTGAAGCCTGAGATTTCAAATTTGGGTGGCAGGAAGTTAGAAGTGCCATGATGAAGGCAGGAAACGTGCAGGAAGGAAAAGGTTTTTAAAAGGGTAACAAATTATATTGTTGTGAGCAGCTTTGAAAAGTCTCACTGTTGACTCTCAGAATGTGAGTGGAAGCAGTTGACAAAAGGAAGCATGTCCTTCAGAGGAAAAGTACCCTCTCACCAAATTTACTGCTAAAAAGCACCACTCAAAACAGCCAGAAAATACTCTTTTAAGAGTAATTTTCTCAATTACAATTAGCCCTTCAATAACACAGGTTTGAACTGCATGGCTCCACTTAGACAAAGATTTTCTTCTGCCTCTGCCAACCCTAAGACAGCAAGACCAACCTCTCCTCGTTGTCTTCCTCCTCAGCCTAGTCAATGTGAAAACAACAGAGATGGAGACCTTTATGGTGATTCACTTGCACTTAATGAATAGTAAATATATTCTCTCTTATGATTTTAATTTCCAACTTTCGTTTTAAGTTCAGGGGTAAATGTGTAGGATGTGGGGGTTTGTTACATAGGTAAAAGTGTGCCATGATGGTTTGCTGCACAGATCATCCCATCATCCAGGTATTAAGCCCAGCATTCATTAGCTATTCTTCCTGGTCCTCTCCCTTCTCCCACCTCCCACCCTCTGACAGGCCCCAGTGTATGTTGTTCCCCACCCCATGTGTCCATGTGTTCTCATCATTAGGCTCCTACTTACAGGTAAGAACATGCCATATTTGGTTTTCTGTTCCTGTGTTAGTTTGCTAAGGATAATGGCCTCCAGCTCCATCCATGTCCTTGCAAAGGACATAATCTCGTTCCTTTTATGGCTGCATAGTATTCCGTGGTGTACATGTACCACATTTTCTTTATCCAGTTTATCATTGATGGACATTTAAATTGATTCCATGTCTTTGCTATTGTGAATAGTGCTGTGATGAACCTACGCATGCATGTATCTTTATAATAGAATGCTTTATATTCCTCTGGGTACATATCCAGTAATGGGATTGCTGTGTCTAATGGTATTTCTGCCTCTAGGTCTTTGAGAAATCACCACAGTCTTCCACAATGGTTGAACTAATTTACACTCCCACCAACAGTGTAAGAGTTCCTTTTTCTCCACAACCTCACCAGCATCTACTGTGTTTTTCACTTTTCAATAATAGCCATTCTGACTGGTGTGAGATGGCATCTCATTGTGGTTTTGATTTGCATTTCTCTAATGATCAGTGATGTTGAGCATTTTTTCATATATTTTTGGCCACAAGTGTGCCTTTTTTGAGAAGTGTCTGTTCATGTTCTTTGCATACTTTTTAATGGGGTTGTTTTTTTCTTGTAAATTTGTTTAAGTTCCTTATAGATGCTAGATATTACAACTTTGTCAGATGCATAGATTGCAAAAATTTTCTCCCATTCTGTAGGTTGTCTGCTTACTCTGTTGATAGTTTCTTTTGCTGTGGAGAAGATCTGTAATTAGATCCCATTTGTCAATTTTCGCTTTGTTGCGATTGCTTTTGGCATCTTCGTCATGAAATCTTTGCCCGTGCCTATGTCCTGAATGGTATTGCCAAGATTTTCGTCTCTAGGGTTTTTATAGTTTGGGTTTTACATTTAAGTCTTTAATCCATCCTGAGTTGATTTTTGTATATGGTGTAAGGATGGGGTCCACTTTCAATTTTCTGTATATGGCTAGCCAATTCTCCCAGCACCATTTATTAAATAGGGAATCCTTTCCCCATTGCTTGCTTTTGTCAGGTTTGTTGAAGCTCAAATAGTTGTAGCTGCGCAGTCTTATTTCTGGGTTCTCTATTCTATTCCTTTGGTCTTTGTATCTGTTCTTGTACCAGTACCATGCTGTTTTGGTTACTGTATCCCTAAAGTACAGTTTGAAGTCGGTAACATGATGCCTGCAACTTTATTCTTTTTGCTTAGGATTGCCTTGTCTCTTCAGGCTCCTTTTTGGTTCCACATGGATTTTATAATTTTTTTTTCTAATTCTGTGAAGAATGTCAATGATAGTTTAATGGTAATAGCAAAGAATCTATAAATTGCCTTGGGCAGTATGGCCATTTTCATGATATTGATTCTTCCTATCCATAAGCATGGAATGTTTTTCCATTTGTTTGTGTCATCTCTGATTTCTTTGAGCAGTTTGTAGTTCTCTTTCAAGAGATCCTTCACTTCCCTCATTAGCTGTATTCCTAGGTATTTTATTCTTTTTGTGGCAGTTGTGAAAGGGACTTTATTCATGATTTGGCTCTTGGCTGGCCTGTTGTTGCCGTATAGGAATGCTAGCCATTTTTTCACATTGATTTTGTATCCTGAGACTTTGCTGAAGTTGGTTACCAGCTTAAGAATTGGGTTGAGACAGTAGGGCTTTCTAGGTATAGGATCATGTCATCTGCAAACAAAGATAGTTTGACTTCCTTTCTTCCTAGTTGAATACGCTTTATTTCTTTCTCTTGCCTGATTGTCCTGGCCAGAACTTCCAATACTATGTTGAATAGGACTGGTAAGAGGACAATTGTGTCTTGTGTTAGTTTTCAGGGGGAATGCTTCCAGATTTTGCCCATGCAGTATGATATTGGTTGTGGGTTTATCATAAATGGCTCTTAATATTTTGAGGTATGTTCCTTCAATACCTAGTTTATTGAGAGTTTTTAACATGAAGGGATGTTGAATTTTACCAAGGCCTTTACTTTGTTCATTGAGATAATCATGTGGTTTTTGTCTTTAGTTTTTTATGTGATGAATCACATTTATTGATTTGAATATGTTGAACCAGCATTGCATCCAGAGATGAAGCCTACTTGATCATGGCGGATAAGCTTTTTGATGTGCTGCTGGATTTGGTTTGCCAGTATTTTGCTGAGGAGTTTTACACTGATGTTCATAAAGGATATTGGACTGAAGTTTTTTCTTTTTCTTTTTTTTTTTTTTTTTTTTTTTGTTGTTGTTGTATCTCTGCCAGGTTTTAGTATCAGGATAATGCTGGCCTCACAGAATGAGTTAGGAAGGCATTCCTCCTTTTCAGTTTTTCAGAATAGTTTCAGTAGGAATGGTACCAGCTCTTCTTTATACCTCTGGAAGTGTTCAGCTATAAATCCATCTGGTCGTGGGCTTTTCTTGGTTTGTAGGTTATTACCGCCTCAATGTCAGAACTCATTATTGGTCTATTCAGGGATTCAATTTCTTCCTGGTTCGGTCTTGGGAGGGTGTATGTGTCCAGGAGTTTATCCATTTCTTCTAGATTTTCTAGTTTATGTGCATAGAGGTGTTTACAGTATTCTCTGATGGTTGTTTGTATGATTTTCTTAGAAACATTGTCTTTTCTCTAGCTTACTTTATTATGACTACAATATATAATATATATTATATACAAAATATGTGTTAATCAACTATGTTATCAGTAAAGCTTCTGGTCAACAGTAGGCTATTTGTAGTTAAGTTTTTGAGAGTAAAAAGTTTTATGCAGAATTTTGACGGTACAGGGGGTCAGTCAGTACCCTAATCTTCATGTTGTTCAAGGGTCAACTGTAATTCGTATCTTGCCTTTTTTCAGAAAGAATTTAGGTTGACTCACAAAAATAGGTAAAATATATCAAAGGAATATAAATCAGTAGTAGGCAAGAAAGAAGAGACAAAAGGAAAATGAGATGGAAACATAAACAGAGCCAGGAATGAGGCCTATACAAAAACGCATGTCAAGAAATTCCGTGCCCTTGCTAAGGGTTGACTCTAAACCTTTCGGTGCCTGAAAACGAAAAGATGTTTAAAAAAAGTGTTAAGTCAGAGAAAGGCCATGGGAAGGAGTTGGGATGAGTGTGGAAGGAGCCAGAGAATACAGAGAAAAGAGGTATAGATTCATGATAGGCTTTTACTAATGCCGAATCACCTTCAGATGAGGGTGCTATGATATTGTGATCTCAGTATATGGGAAACGTAAACTTTACCACGTTTAGAGAGTGATGTATTAAGTTGGCTAAAAGTACTAAGATTAATAATATCTGACATTTATACAGAGTCTGGAGGACACATTGCACAGTGAAATGCACTACTACAAATAGCACGAAGCTCTCTGGGCACCAAGGTGCCAAGACTGCCAGGGTGGGAAGCCAGAATATCACTGTGGCCTACACATATGGGCTCAAGACGGACTGGAAGCTACTGATTCAAATGCAGATTGATTGTACAATGAGACTAAGCTCCCACTCCTCACCGAGGAGAACATCATTTGGATTTTCAGGCTCTGGCACAGTATGTAATTTAGACCAACCTCCCAGCAAAGATAATTTAAAGAAGGACAACACAATCACGTTTAATGTGGAGGACAAAATAATTGTCTATGTTGAAAATCAACAATGGAATCTACAAATGCTACTAGACCTAATAAGTGAGTTTTGCAAGGTTGCAGGATAAAAGATCAATATGCAAAACCAGCTGTATCTCTATACACAAGCTATAATCAGAACTTATAATTTAAAAACTATCATTTACAATAGCATGAAAAATCAAAATACTTAGAGATAAATTTCAAAAATTATGTGAAATACCTATCCACCAGAAGACATAAAATATTGCTGAGAGAAATTAAAGATCTAAGTAAATGGAGAGGTATATCATGTTCATGGGTCAAAAGGCCTAATATTGTTAAGATGTCAATTCTCCTCGAAATGATATAGATTCAAAGCAATCCCAGTTAAAATCCCACATGGCTTTTTTTAAAAAATTACAAGTTGATTCTAAAGAATCTAGAATAAAACAAATCTGAAAAAGAACATAGTTAAAGGAACTGCCTGACTTCAAAGGTAATTTAGGGAGTGATGGATATGTTCATTATTTTCATGGTTTCAGGGGCATGTACATATATCAAAACTTACCCAGGTGTACACTTTAAATATGTGCAGTTTATTCCATGACAATTACATCTCCATCAAGCTGTGTTTTAAAAATGTTAACAGAGTGAAAGAAAAAAAAAAGAGGGAGAAAACATTGCCTTGGTATCAGACCTTCCCAGAGTGTGTAGGCTCAGTTTTTAAACAACCATAGACAATAAAGCTGAATTCATGTGTTAAAACTAGGTCTTGGCTCTCTGTAGATCTCTTTCTAAAATCTTTCAAAACCAACAGAACAGAGCACCCTTGGGCAAAGACAGAAAGAAATTCAGTGTTCTCTTCCTCTTATAACTAAGAGCTGTGGTATTATTTCAAAGAATCAGTGTTAGGAATATTCTATACACTTACTGCAGATACCTCCTTTTTGCCATTTTCATTCGTCCATTCGTTTGATGCATGTTAGTTGAGTGTCTAGTGCCTGTGAGGCCTTATAATAGTCCAAATGGGGACACAGGCAAGAACAAAACAGGCATAATCAAGGTTGCGTTTTAATTTGTGTGGGTCCTAAGCCCTTTAGCCTGTTTGGGTCCCTTCCTTTATTTAAAAAACAAATAGATTTATATTTTAAGACTGTGTTGGTATAAAGACAAATATAATCCAGGCTGGATTTACTCTCTATTATTATTATATTCTTTTTGTAACTGATTTTTTTTAACAATTGAAATGAAAACATTTTTGTGCACCCCAAAAAGAATGATGGCCCAAGGCACTGTGCCTACTCTGCTAATGAGTAAGCTGGCCCCAGGAATAGTTCCTGCCTCACAGAGTCTGCTGTCTAGTAGAAAAGGCAATCTTTCAACAGATACTCATGGTAATAACCAATAAATTACAGATACTCTAGGCAAAGGACCAAACAAACAGAAGAGGAAAAGAGCTTAAAAGGCCAGTGGTTGCAGCCCAACAATCAAAAGGGTGCTCCACGAGACTAGAGAGATAAACTAAAGTTGAATTACGAAGGATTGGGGTCTTTTATCTTAGGACTGGTAAGAAGCCACCAAAGTCCATGAAAGGACACAATTATCGGTGTGAAAAGGCAAACCACACAACCAGAGAAATTATTTGCAAATTATATATCTGACAACGAGTTAATATCTAAAATCTATAAAGAACTCCTACAACTCAACAACAATAATGATTTTAAAATTGACAAAGAACCTAAATAGATATTTCTTCAAAAATATATAAATATCCAATAAACAAAGGTAAAGATGTTCAACATTACCAATCACTAGGGAAATGGAAATCAAAATCACAATGAGATACCACTTTACGGCACAATCACCTTTAAGGTGGAGGACAAAACGATTGTCTGTGTTGAAAATCAACAATGGAATCTACAAATGCTGCAACCCATAAGGATAGCTACTATCAAAACAGAAAATAACAAATGTTGGCAAGGGTGTGGAGAAACTGGAATTTGTGTGCACTGTTGGTGAGAATGTAAAACGGTACAATTGATACATAAAACAGTATGGCAGTTCTCCAGAAGAGTAAAAATAGAATTATCACATAATCCTGCAATTCCATTTCTGGGTATATATGAAATAGAATTGAAAGGAGGGTTCTCAAAGAGTCACTTGTATACCATGTTTATAGCAGCATTATTCACAACAGCCAAAAGGTAGAAGCAACCCAAGTGTTCATTTACAGGTGAGTGGATGAAACGTATTTTATGCATACAGTGGAATATTATGCAGCCTTTAAAAGGAAGGAAATTCTGACACATGCTACAACATGGATGACCTTGAGGACATAATAGTAAGTGAACTAAGACGGTCATAAAAGACAAATACTGTAAGATTCTACTTATATGAGATACCTATAGTAGTCAATTCATAGAGAGAGAAAGTAGAATGGTGGTTGCCAGGAGCTGGAGGGAGAGAGAATGGGGAGTTTTTGTTAAATGAGTAAAGAGTTTCAGTTGTGCAAGGTGAGAAAGGTCTGGAGATTTGTTGCACAAAAGTGTGAAAATAGTCAATACTACTAAACTGTATACTTAAAAATGGTTAGGATAGTAAATTTAATGTTATGTAAAATAAATAAGGCCATTAAAGTTGAGCCATGGGGATGGTATAATACAATTAGGATTTTTTTTAAGATTGCTCTGACTTTTGTGAAAAGAATGAACGCGAGCATGCAAGAGTGAATCAGGTGAAGTCTCCTGGGAAGATGTTGCAGACTTCCAAGTGGGAGGGGAAGAAGACTCGACTTGAGTAGACATCAGGTATCTTTAAAAGGCAGAGGAGATAGAAAGAAATGAGCAATATTTAGGAGTTAGAATTCACAGAACTTGGCAATTGATAAAGTCTAGAAGTTGAGGGAAGGAAAGATATCAACGGTAACTTTCCATTGATATGACATGATTTTGACATGAAAAACTGAGTGGCTGGGGGTACCATTTACTGATCGAGGGAACTCTAAAGAAGGAGCTTTTGGGAGGAAGAGAGGATAAAATTCCATTTGGTACATACTGAATTTGAGGCACCTGAGAGATCCAAAGGTAAAAGCTGCGTTGGCAGCTGAAAATATAGATCCCAGCAGGGGTGTCTAATCTTTTGGCTTCCCTGGGGGCCACACAGGAAGAAGGGGAATTGTCTTGGGCCACACATAAAATACACTAACACTAACCATAGCTGATGAGCTAAAAAAAAAAAAAAATCACAAAAAAAATCTCATAATGTTTTAAATAAGTTTACAGATTTGTGTTGGGCCATATTCAAAGCCGTCCTGGGCCACATGTGGCCTGTGGGCCGCAGGTTAGACAAGCCTGATCTAGAGCTAATAACAATTTTTCACATTGGAATTACATCAAAGTTCAGAAGTTTTTAGGTAACAGATGTGAATATAAAGATGGGAGGATTGTTTTGGGAGGAGTACAGAACCCAGAATTGAGCCCTGAGGAATTGCTGGAGAGTTCAGGTCAAAACCAGAAAGAGTTGGCACTACTATCCCACTTTGTAAATGAGGAAGTTTTTTTGCTATTGAGTTCCTTGTATATTCTGGATGTGAATCCCTGGTGGGATGAATAGTTTGCAATTATTTCTTCCCAACCTACGTGTTGTCTCTTTACTCTGTTGACTGTTTCCTGTGGTGTGCAGATGCTTTTTAGTTTAATATAATCCCATTTGTCTATTTTTGGTTTTATCAGTTCTTAATTTCTATATAAGGCATGTGAAAGTTATTTTCAAAAAAATCTTAGGCGAGTATTTCTAACTTTTTTTTTTTTTTAATCTTTTTCAACTTTTACCTTAGATTCAGAGGCTACATGTGCAGGTTTGTTACCTGGGTATATTGCATGATGCTGAGGTTTAGGATACAAATGATCTTGCCACCCAGGTACTGCACATAGTAGCCAACAGTTAGTTATTTATCCCTTGCGCCTCTTCCTCCCTCCCACCTCCAGTGGTCCCCAGTGTCTATTGTTGCCATTTTTATGTCCATGAGTACCCAATGTTTAGTTCCCACATATAAGTGAGGACTTACTGTATTTGGCTTTCTGTTCCTGTATTAATTTGCTTAGGATAATGGCCTCCAGTTGCATCCATGTTGCTGCAAAGGACATAATTTCATTTTTTACGACTGCATAATACTCCGTACCATATTTATTTTCTTTACCCAATCCACTGTTGGTGGGCACCTAAGCTAATTTCATGATGTTGAAACTGTGAATAGTGGCGTAATAAACATGCGACTGCATGTGTCTTTTTGGTAGAATAATTTGTTTTCTTTTGGATATATACCCAGTAAGGGGATTGCTGGGTCAAATTGTAGTTTTGTTTTAAGTTCTTTGAGAAATCTCCAAACTGCTTTCCACAGTGACTGAACTAATTTACATTCCTACCAACAGTGTATAAGAGTTCCCTTTTCTCCACAGCTTTTGCTAACATCTGGAGTTTTTTGACTTTTTAATAATAACCATTCTGACTGGTGTGAGATGGTATCTTACTGTGGTTTTCATATGCATTTCTCTGATAATTAGTGACGTGGAGCATTTTTTATTTGCTTTTTGGCCACTTACATGCCTTCTTCTGAGAAGTGTTTGTTTATGTCTTTGGCTTATTTTTTAATAGGGTTGTTTTTTGCTTGTTCACTTGTTTAAGTTCCTTATAGATTCTAGATATGAGACCTTTGTCAGATGCATAGTTTGTGAATACTTTCTCCCATTCTGTAGGTTGTCTGTTTACTCTGTTGATAGTTTCTTTTGCTGTGCAGAAGCTCTTCAGTTTAATTACGTTCCATTTGTCAATTTTTGGTTTTGTTGCAATTGCTTTTGAGGACATAGTCATATATCCTTTCCCAAGACCCATGTCTAAAATGTTTCTTAGGTTTTCTTCTAGGATTCTCACAGCTTAAGATCTTACACTTAAATCTTTAATCCATCTTGAATTAAATTTTATATATTGTGAAAAGTAGGGATCCAGTTTCATTCTCTGTATATGGCTAGCCAGCTATCCCACACCATTTGTTGAACAGGGAGTCATCCCTATTGCTTATTTTTTTGTCAACTTTGTTGAAGTTTAGACGGCTATAGGTGTATGGCTTTATTTCTGGGTTCTCTATTCTGTTCCATTAGTCTGTGTCTTTTTTTGTACTGGTATCATGCTGTTTTGGTTACTGTAGCCTTAGACTATAGTTTGAACCTCTGGCTTTATTCTTTTTGCTTAGGATTGCTTTAGCTATTCAGGCTCTTTTTTGGTTCCCTGTGAATTTTAGAATAGTTTTTTCCAGTTCTGTGAACAGTGACATTGATAGTTTGATAGGAATAGCATTAAATCTGCAGATAGCTTTGGGCAGTATGATCATTTTCATGATATTGATTCTTCCAGTCCATGAACATGAAATGTTTTTCCATTTGTTTATGTCACCTGTGAGTTCTTTCAGCAGTGTTTTATAGTTCTTGGAGAGATGTTTCTACCTAGGAATGCAACTGTATACCCTGGAATACAGATGTATTCCTAGGTATCTTATTTTTTGTTGTTATTGTAAATGGGACTTTGTTTTTGGTTTGGCTCTCAGCCTGAATATTATTGGTATATAGAATATTATTGGTATATATTGGCTACTAATTTTTACACATTGATTTTGTATTCTTAAACTTTGCTAAAGTTGTTTATTATTAGTTCCAGGAGCCTTCTGGTGAAGTCTTTAGGGTTTTCAAGGTATAGAATCATATTGTCCATGAAAAGAGGTAGTATGACTTCCTCTTTTCCTGTTTGGATGCCTTTTATTTCTTTCTGTTTCCTGATTGCTCTGGCCAGCACTTCCAGTACTATGCTGAATAGGAGTGGTGAGAGTGAGCATCCTTGTCTTGTTCCAGTTCTCAAGGGAAATGCTTCCAGTTTTTGACTGTTCAGTATGATGCTGGCTGTGGGTTTGTCATGGATGGCTCTTATTATTTGGAGCTATGTTCCTTCAGTGCCTAGTTTCTCGAGAGTTTTATTAATCATGAGAGATGTTGTATTTTACCGAAAGCTTTTTCCACATCTATTGAGATGATCATATGGTTTTGGTTTTTAATTCTGCTTATGTGGTGAATCACAGTTATTGATTTGCCTATGTTGAACCAACCTTGCATCCCAGGAATGAAGCCTACTTGATCATGGTGAATTAACTTGTCGATGTGATACTGGATATGGTTTGTTAGTATTTTCTTGAGGATTTTTGTGTCTATGTTCATCAGGGGTATTGGGCTATTGTTTTCTTTTTTGTTGTTGTGTCTTTGCTCAGTCTTGGTATCAGGGTGATGCTGGCTTTGTAGAATGAGTTAGAGAGAATTCCTTCCCCTCAATTTTTTTGAAATGGTTTCAGTAGAATTGCTACCAGCTCTTTTTTGTAGCTCTGGTGGAATTTGGCTATGACTCTCTCTGATCCAGGCTTATTTTAGCTTGTAGGTTTTTTATTACTCATTCAGTTTTGGAACTTGATATTGATCTGTTCAGGGTTTCAATTTATTTCTGATTCAATCTTGGAACATTGTGTATTTCCATGAATTTATCCATTTCTTCTAGATTTGTGGCATACAGGTGTTCATATTAGTCTCTGAGAATCTTTTGTATTTCTGTGGGATTAGTTATAATGTCACTTTTGTTCTGTCTGATTGTGCTTATTTGGATATCTCTTCTTTGTTAATCTAGCTAGCGTTCTATTAATCCTGTTTATCCTTTCAAAAAACTAACTTTTGGTTTCATTGACACTTTGTTTGGATTTTGGAGTCTCAATTTCATTCGGTTCTATTCTGATTTTAGTTATTTCTTTTCTTCTACTAGCTTTGGGGTTGGTTTGTTCTTGTTTTTCTAGTTGCTCTAGGTGCGATGTTAGATTGTTAATTTGAGATCTAACTTTTTGAGGTAGGCAGTTGGCACTATAAACTTTCCTCTTAACATTACTTTTGCTGCATTCCAGTTATTTTGGTGTCTTGTGTCCTGTTTTCATTTATTTCAGATAATTTTTTATTTCTGCCTTGATTTCATTGTTTACACCAAAAGTCATTCAGGAGCAAGTTGTTTAATTTCCATGTAGTCTTGTGATTTTGGGAGATCTTCTTGATGTTTATTTCTATTTTTATTCCACTCTGGTCCAAGAGTATGACTGGTAAGATTTTGGCTTTTTAAATGTATTGAGACTTGCTTTATGGCTGAGTATGTGGTCAATCATGGAGTATAGTCCTTGGACAGATTAAAAGAATGTATATTATGTGTTGAATAAGTGGAGTATTCTGTAGATGTCTATTAGGTCCAATTGGTCTGATGTCAAGCTTAGGTCCAGAGTTTTTTTGTCAGTTTTCTGCCTCAGTGGTCTGTCTAATGCTGTCAATAGGGTGTTGAAGTCCCCCATTATTATTGTGTATCTGTCTAAGTCTTTTCATAGGTCTAGAAGTGCTTGCTTCATGAATCTAGGCGCTCCAATGTTGTGTGCATATATATATTTAGGATAGTTAAGTCTTCTAATTAAATGAACCTTTATTATTATGTAATGCCTTTCTTTGTCCTTTTTTACTGTTGTTGGCTTAAAGTTGATTGTATCTGATATAGGAATAGTGACCCTTGGTTTTTTTGTTTTCCATTCCTGTGGTAGAACTTTCTTCAACCCTTTACTTCTGGCTTATGGGTGTCATTACGTGTGACAGGGGTCTCTTGAAAATAGCAGATGGATGGGTCTTGCTTTTTTATCCAACTTGCTACTCTGTGCCTTTTAAGTGAAGAATTTAGACCATTTACATTCAAGGTTAACATTAATATGTGAGGTTTTGGTCCTATTATGATGTTGTTAGCTGTTTGTTTTGTAGTTTCTATTGTTTTTGCTTTTATAGGGTCTGCAGGATATGTACTTAAGTGTATTTTTGTGGTAGCAGGTATTGTTCTTTTGTTTCTGTGTTTAGAACTTCCTTAAGGATCTCTTCTAATACTGGTCTAGTGGTAATGAATTCCCTCAATCCTGGTTTGTCTGGTAAAGATTTTATTTCTTCGTTTATTAAGCTTACTTTGGTGGGATATGAAATCTCTGGTGGAAATTTCTTTTCTTTAAGAATGCTAAAAATAGTACCCCAGTCTCTCCTAGTTTATAAGGTTTCTGCTGAGAAGTCCAATGTTAGCCTAATGGAATTCCCTTAGGACATATGACCTTTTTCTCTAGCTGCTTTCAAGGTTTCTGTCTTTAGCATTGACCTTGGAGATTCCTGTGACTATATGCCTTGGTGATATTCATTTTGTGTAGTATCTCATGGATGCTTTCTGGATTTCTTATATCTGTATGTCTACCTCACTAGCAAGATTAGGGAAGTTTTCTTGAATTAGTACCTCAAATACATTTTCCAAATTGTTTGATTTTTCTCCTTCTCTCTCAGGAATGCCAATAATTTACAGGTTTGGTTGCTTTACATAATCCCATATTTCTCAAAGACTTTTTTAAATTCTTTTTTTCTTTTTTTTTTTTTTTAGATTGGGTTAATTCAAAAGACTGGTCTTCAAGCTCTGAAGTTCTTTCTTTATTGATTTTGTTATTGTTGCTGGTGGTGGTGGTGGTTTGCAGAAACCTTTGGGTTTAATATAATCCCCTTTGTCTATTTTTACTTTTTTTTCAAGACAAGGTCTCACTCTGTCACCCAGGCCAGAGCACAGTGGTATGATCATAGCACACTGCAGCCTCAACTTCCTGGGTTCAAGTGATCCTCCCACCTCAGCCTCCCAAGTAGCTGAGAATGTTGGCACATACCTCTAGGCCCAGCTAATTTTTTTATTTTCTGTAGAGACAGAGTCTCACTATGCTGCCCAGGCTTATTTTTGCTTTTGTTTCCTATACTTTCTAAGTCTTACTCATAAAATCTTTGCCCAAAACAATGTCAATAAGGTTTCCTCCTATGTTTTATCCAAGTAGTTTTACAGTTTCAGATCTTACATTTAAGTCTTCAATTCATTTTTTATTTGATTATTGTATACGATGAGAAATAAGGGTCTAGTTTGATTCATCTGCATATGTATAAGTAGTTTTCCCAGCACCACTTATTGAAGAGGCTATGCTTTCCTCAATATATGTTCTTGACACCTTTTTCAAAAATTGGTTGACTGTAAATATGTGGATTTATTTCTGAATTATCTATTCTGTTCCATTGGTCTATAGTCTGCTTTCATACCAGTACCATTCTGTTTTGGTTATTATAGCTTTGTAGTATAGTTTGAGGTCAAGTAATGTGATGTCTCCAATTTTGTTCTTTTTGCTCAAGATTGCTTTAGATATTTAGGGTCTTTTGTGGTTTCATTCAAATTTTATGATTACTTTTTCTATTATTTGAAGAATGCCACTGGTATTTTGATAATGACCACATTAAATCTGTAGATCGGATTTGGGAAGTGTGGTCATTTTCACAATATTCTTCCAATTATAAATATTGGACATCTTTCCATTTTTCTATGTCCTTTCCATTCTTTCATCAGTGTTTTATAATTTCCATTGTAGAGATCTTTCATTTGTTAAATGTATTTCTAGATATTTTATTTATTTATTTGTAACTATTTCAAATGGGATTGCTTTTTAGCTAGTTTATTACAGGTGTATAGAGATGCTGGTTTTTTTTGTATAATGATTTTTTTATCTGCAACTTTACTGAATTTACTTATCAGTTCTAAGAGTCTTTTGGTGGAGTACTTAGGTTTTTCTATATAGGAGATCCTGTCATCTAAGGATCTGAATACACATTTATCAAAAGAAGACATAGAAATAATTAAAAAGTATATGACAAAATGCTTAGTATCACGAATTATCAGAGAAATACAAATCAAAACCACAATGAGATATCATCTCACCCCAGTTAGAATGGCTACTATGAAAAAGACAAAAAATAACAAATGTCAGTGAGATTGCAGAGAAAAGGGAAGTCTTGTACACTATTGGTGAGAATGTAAATTAGTACAACAATTATGGAAAACAGTACAAAAGTGCCTCAAAAAACTAAAAAATAGAAATACTGTATGATTCAGCAATCCTACTACTGGATTTTTACCCAAAGGAAAGAAAATCTGTATATCAAAGAGATATCTGCACCTTCTTGTTTATTTGCAGCACTATTCACAGTGGCCAATATATGGAATCAACTGTGTTCATCAACAGATAAATAGGTAAGTAAAACGTGAGATACACACACACACACACACACACACACACACACACACACACACACACACACACAATGGGATATTATTCAGCCATAAAGAAGGATGAAATCTCGTCATTCACAGGAACATGGATGAGCTGGGAGGACATTATGTTAGGGAAAAAATGTCAGGCACAGAAGGATAAATATTATGTGTTCTCACTCATACGTGGGAGCTAAAAACATTGAGCTCATAGAAGTAGAAAGTAGAACTGTGGTTCTCTGAGGGTAGGAAGAGTAGGAGGAAGGGGAAAATAGGGAAAGTTTGGTTAATGGACACAAAATTACAGATAGTTAGAAGGGTAAGTTCTGGTGTTCTACAGCACTGTAGGGTGACTGTAGTTAATAAAAATCTATGGTGTATTTTCAGATAGCTAGAAGAAAGAATTTTGAATGTTCCTAACACAAAAAAATGATAATCTTTGAGGTGATGGATATGCTAATTACTCTGATTTGATCAGTATACATTGTATATATGTACAAAATACTCCTGTGTCCCCAATAAATATGTACAATTATTACATGTCAATTTTATGTGTTTAATTAACTAATTAATTAATTAGCTTTAAAAATGAGGAAATGGAAGCTTTGAGAGGGTAAGCAACTTGCCCCAGATCACGCAAGTCGGGAAGGGGCAGGACCTGAAGTCTACCTTCAACCACTATCCTCCTTTTGCCAAAATAAAAAAAAAGACCGGAGAGGCCCCAGGGAACTGTAGCCTGAGCCTGGCCCTGAATGCCCATCCTGGCTCCTGGCCTACAGCTGCCTTCTCAGGCAAGTTCCCCTCTCTGACTGTGACCCAGTTTCTTAATCTGCAAAATGGAGAAAATGTGACGTCCCCTTCCTCGTGCACAAGGTTGGGATGAGGACCAGATGAATCACAGACATAGACATCTGTCAATTGTAAAATATTGTTTGATGGGCCTATAGTCTATGCACTTGTGTCTGAATGAGGAGAAGATACTCCCTGTGGTTGGCCCACGATGATATCAAAGGCAAAGGTCACAATCTTCCAATCAATCTAGCCCAACAACCCAGTTAATCAATTCTACCTCAGACGTACTTCCTTGTGTTTACCTTTCTCTGGGAACATCAGCCCAGCCTAGTTCCCAACCCCTGCCAGACCTGTTCTCCCCCAGCTGAGGCCACCAGATCTGTGCCTGCAGGCCAACCCCCTCCCTGCTGGGCTGGCCCTAACCGAATGCCCAGTGTGGGAAATTGAATCCTTATCCTGTTCCACCACTTTAGAACTAGAAACTGCCTTGTTCTTGGCAGAACTCCGCCTCATTGCCGGGACTGGGGTCTGGCCAGAGGCAGAAGCCTGAAATCTGATGCTGCTCCCCAGCTTTGGACTTCTGAGAATCATCCAGCCCCGAGAATTTCTGGCCACCGAACCCTGTCCACTGTCCTATCTGCAGCCTGAGGCTGACTACCTGCTTAGACAGTCCGCTTTTCTTAAAAGCACAAACCTACCTGCTCCTGTGTGCTGCTCCCCAGGCTACTCATCATCCAGCAGCCTTAGCTGGGCTCCCCCACCCCCTGTGTAACACCTGGACATCCACCAGTGCCTGCCCCCTCCAAAGCCTTTTTTTTTTTTTCTACATCCTTCTTTCATATGTACACATTTCCCAAGATTTCACACTGATGTAAATTCTCTTTTCCGGATATTCTGTCCTTTGGCAATCTCACCCACTTCTGGGGTTTCAAGTAGCAGCCTAGGAGGAAGAGGCCCATGAATATAAGGGTCATTTTCAAGTTAAAATCACCAGAGCCCAAGACTAATGGGCAGGAGAGGGAGGAGACAAGGTGGGAGTTGAGAAAAAAGCTGAGCCCCGAGGAAGCTGGCCCCTCCCCACAGCTGCTAAGAGAAAGACCCAGGCTCAGTCATCTCTGAATCCTCCCAGCCTTGGCTGCACTGCCACGTATAGATGGGTACAGAGTCTTTGCTGGATGAATGAGTGAATAAATGAATGGCTGCATAAACAAGTTGCTACTTACCTCTCTGGATCCTAGTGCATTTACTGAAGCTGTCCTCCCTCCTGAAGTGGGGCATACACGAGGCCAGGAGAAGGGGTTAAAGCCAACCAAGTCCAGGGAGAAACCCCTAGATTTCCTGCAGGATTTGCACAGGAACGTGTTGCAAGGTGTCTCCTCCGAGAATTCACTGAGTCCCTTCAGGAGACCCACAGAGCATAGAATGGGCCCCCAGACTTTGGAGCAGCACCCGGCTCCTACTGTCTCCCTAGGAGACCGTGGGTCCCACCAGCTTTTATTTTCTATTCAGCAACACTATTGCCTATGTTTATGGATAGGACTGTGTTGAGCAAGAGTTGACCTTTATTATCTTAATTCAATCTTCCCAAAGACCTTCTGAGATAGGTACTTTTATTTTCTTCATTTTACAGATAAGGAAATTGAGGTTTAACTATGATCCCATAGCTAATAAAAGTGACAGAACCGGGTTTTTTTCTTTTTACTGAAATGGTATTATTTCATCAGAATTTGCCCACATGCTCAACACTGCTGGAATGTGTTATTTTGAAATCTGACAATGAACTACAGAATGGTAAAAGCGGAAGAGCCTTTGAGACAAATTAGTCTAGCCCAGAGTAGGGAAGAAAAAGAGAGGGAGGCTCAGCCTGCAGGCTGCAAACCCTCCCCTCCCTGTTTGTCCTGCTCCTAAAATAAAACAGAACAAAAGACAGGAAAGTCACTAGATTAGAGAATTCAGCATCTCCCTCCTAATTCCCTGTGATGTGATAATTCTAAGACCCACTTCCTGGAGCAAGAAGAAGCTAAGATCCCTCAGCCTGGCTGATGTGGTTTTGAAAGTGGAAGAGGGCAGGAAGTGTTGTGGTCACTCCCACCCAGCTGTGGGCCTCTTCCCAGAGCCCTCCTCACCAGATGCTGCAAACTCAGACTGCAAATCCAGAAGCCTGCAGCCTTCCGGGGATTGGCTCCCTGCGAAGATAACCCTGTCCTTCAACAAACCCTCGCTTCCTATTTGCATTCCTAATTGGCATCTTCTATTGCTTTTCCTGGTGACTTCATTTTTCACTCTTGGCTAAAAATGGGTCTCTGATGATTTATTCTATCCTGGGTGTTGACAAGCTGAAGAAGTTGTGTGGGGCCTGCTGCCAGTAACCCTGGGTGACGAAGCGTGACTCACCACTCCGAGGTCAGTGGGGGGATGGAAGGCAGGGGAGTCAGCTGACAAGATCTGCTGCTTTGTCACCAGGCCTTCTGCCCTCTTCCATGAGGCAGCTACACTCTAGGAAATGTGAGACGCCCCAGAGCCCTGTGAAGGAGACAGGACAGGCAGCCCACAGGTCTGTCACATCTCAAGGCTGATTCTCTGTTTTGTTTCCCACCCCCAGTGCCAAATGCTAAGCTGCGTTTCAGAGACAGCTCTAAAAGGGAACAAGTACCCAGCCTTCCCTGAATCCCCCAGTCATATTTTCACATACACACAAAGGAGCCTTAGAGATCATTTAAATCAATCTTCTCATTTTCTGGAAAAGAATTTGAGGCCCAGAGAGGTCAAGCAACATGACCAAGGTCATAAAGTGAATTAGAGGTGGAACTGGGAATAGAACCTGGGTCTTCTGTCTCCCAGGCCCTCTGCACTGTCTACTCACCACACTATCAGGAGAATCAGACTTGTGCTGCTGAGTGAATGGGGCCAACTCTCTCCTCCATGAATGGAGGCAACAAGGGCAACCTTTAAGGAGAGATGACTGCTGGAATTTCAGCTCTGCCCTTTGTTCTTCTCTCAGAGGGGTTCTGTGTTTGGCAGACTGTCCCCCCTCTACCTGCAGGGATCCCTGCAGTCCTGGGGGATTGGGGTTAAGCTTTCTCTCTCCCAGAAAACATAGATCACTCTGAAGGCAGTTACAAACTGAGGATGATCCACAGATTATTTCTTGGCTAAGACAAGAGGAAGTTGTCTTAAATAAACCAGTATGAGAGTTTATTGCATTCCATCTGGGTGCTTGATGATCCCATGTCCCTTTTTCTCTCTGTTGACTTTCTAAGTAAACAATTTGTTAGCTCAGAGATGACTCAAATTCATAGAATCAGTAAATGAGAAAGGACTACAAAGTTCCCCTAGTCTGAACCCCCTACACTCAGCCAGTAACCACCTCTACAACATTTCTAGATTGACACTACCCTCAGCTTGAATGCTGAGAAGGATGAACAACTCTTCCTCCCTCAGTGATAGCCCCTTTTTTGCAGGATAGACCTAAGCAGTAGGCGTCAGCCATTCTGTGATGCCAGTTTTGCCCTTTAGGTCAAAATAAAGCAAGTATTTTCTCTTCTTTGCACCACAACTTGTGTCTTTGCTCATGACTTACAGGACAAGCTAAAACAGACAAAACCATTCTTGACCCTCAAAGGCTGAGTGTCCCACTGGTGGGCTAGACAGGGCTCTTACTCAGTTTTGTGTTACCACATGATTACCATGAGTCTTTACAAAACCCTTGCCCACCTCCCCTAGAGAAATTGAGTAAGGAAGAATGATGAGTGCCAAACCTGTCCATTTGCTTCTTGCCAGCAATTCCGGTGAAAGGTCTGACTGAGGAAGAGGCTGAACCCATCTGAGGTATTCTATAATTAGCGTCTTTCTTCCTCTCCCACTTACCATTAAGGTAGACCAGGATATTCATGAAAAATTCCTCATTTGCCATTTCATTCCTTTTGGAAACCACATGTGAATTTCATTCAGTTAAAAAAAGTCAATTCCTTACCCGACACCAGGTAGCATTCTAAAGGATATAACAGTGAATGAAACAGAGGAAGCCCTACCCTCATGAAGCTTATGTTTTAATAAGGAAGACTACCATCAACTAATAGTTAAACATTATAATATCGAGAACTTATATGTACTATGAAGGAAAACAAAGCAAGGAGAGGGCAAAAGGTGATGGAGCTGCTATTGGCGAAGGCAGGCCTAGGAGGAGACATCGATTGAGCAGAGACTGGAGTGGAGTGAAGGATTCCTCCTTGGAAATGTCTGCAGGAAGTGCTGTAAGAGGAAATAACTGCAAGAAAGCCCTGAATGTTGTGCGAACGGGATCAACTAGAATGAGTTTCAGACGACTTTTCATAGGTAGATATGATTTTCAAGCCAAATTTTTCTGATAGCTGAGAAAATTCAACATGGCATTACCTGCCTTTGAAATTCTTTAGCATTCCAGAAATCAGGTGGGACCATCAGGATATGAACAAAGTGGTCAAACAATCTTACCTTTGTGAAACACTGTCTCACATGTTATCCTTTTTAATGATCACAACAACCTCACAAGGTGGATATCATTATCCATAACAAACTGAGGCTGAAGTAAGTGAAGTGTCTAGAGAGTGGCAGAGCCAAGACTAATAGAATCTGGTGTTGTGACTCTGGTCAGTACATTGGTTTACATAAGTACCCAGTTTCTTCACCAAATCACATAGTGTGGAGAAAAACACAAGGACATATGGGCTTGTAAATTTAACCTCAAATCTGAAACAATATCCAATATTGGAGATCAATATTTCTCTGATGGTGTGGCAGTGCACCATTTAGCTCTCTTCCAAGAGGAAATGCCAAAGGGAGCAGAGTTGACTGCCAGCCCCAGTTAGCATCCTTGGGGCCTGCCTCCCTATTGGTATCAAGGCCACACCTCCCCTGGGCTGCTTGTGGTGGGAACAAGTGCTAGCCCCTTCCTGCTGGACATAGGCTGCCTGCAACAAGCAGCCTTTGCATTCAGGGACTCCTGTGGACCTGGCCAGGATTCTCTGAGGAATGTGCTGCAGTCCGAGGAGCTCTGCCCAGTTCTTCCTTCCCTCTCTCCTTTCACAGGTGGCAGGTCAGCACACATGGTCTGAAGGCTGTCTGCCATCTCCTGTTTCTACCCCCTTATCCTTCACAGTCTTTTCTCCCAACACGTCTCTAGCAAAATCAACCTTGTCTTGGCATCTGCTTCTCAGAGGACCCAAATTGGCATAATTGCTAATCTAAGTGGTTTTGTTTTTATGAAAGGGCTAGATTATTAGTTCATTTTATCTTTGTCTTTCTGTACTTGAAATCCCAAAAGAAAAAGAAAAAAAAAATGCTTATTTTCAGTTATCAGTGTCAGACTTTTGGCTTCATTAATTGTTGATTTTAGCAAAAACATAAAGGGAATTTCTGAGATTTTGCTGGTGTGAACTGGGGTGAGGTCTTGGCCTGGGTTCTGGTTTTTATTTTAGCAGTTGCCAATCTGCTTTCACAGGTCCTTATATAAAGCAAACACCTCAGCTGTTGCGTTACCTGGCTGTGAATTCCAAGCTTAGAGCTAATCCAAGTTGTCAATGCATATTCTAAAGTATCTAAGTAGTCATAGAAGATTGCTGCTAAGAAGTGCTAAAGGCAATTGGAGGGATCTGGACGACCACTACCCAGCAGAAATATAATGTGAGCCACAGAAGTAAATGCAGGCACACCTCACTCTATTGTGCTTTGTGTTATTGTGCTTTGCAGATACTGTTTTTTAACAAAGTAAAGACTTCTGGCAGTCCTGCTCAAGTCTATTGCTGCCATTTTGCCAACACCATGTCCTCATTTTGTGCCTCTATGTCACATTTGGGTAATTCTCACAATATTTCAAACTTTTTTATTATTATTATATCTGTTTTAGTGATCCATGATCAGTGATATTTGATGTTACTATCATAATTGTTTTGGGGTGCTATGAACTGTACCCATAGAATACAGTGAACTTCATCAATAAATGTTGTGTGCGTTTTGACTGCTCCACTGACCAGCCATTCCCTGTCTTTCTCCATCTCCTCAGGCCTTCCTATTTCCTAAGACACAACAATATTGAAATTAAGCCAATTAATAACCCTACAGTAGCATGTAAGTGTTCAAGTGAAAGGAAGAGTCACACATCTCTCACTTTAAGTCAAAAGCTAAAAACAATTAAGCTTAGTGAGAAAGGCATATCGAAAGCAGAGAAAGACTGAAAGCTAGGCCTCTTACACCAGTCAATTATGAATACAAACGAAAAGTTATTGAAAGAAATTTAAAGTCCCACTCCAATAAACACACGAATGATAAAAAAAAAAAAGCAAAATTTAAAGTCCTACTCCAGTAAACACATGAATGATTTTTAAAAAAAGCCTTACTGCTGAGGTAGAGAAAGTTTCAGTGATCTGGACAGAAGATCAAACCAGCCACAACATTCCTGTAAGTCAAAGCCTAATCCAGAGCAAGGCCCTCAACATCAAGACAAGACCATCCAGCAGCAAAAAGATCACAACTCGCTGAAGGTGCAGATGATCATTAGCATTTTTTAGCAATAAAGTATTTTTAAGTTAAAATATACATATTGTTGTTATTTTAGACATAATGCTATTGGATGCTTAACACACTATAGTATAGTGTAAACATAACTTTCATGTGCACTGGGAAACGAAAAATCCACGTCACTCACTTTATTGCAATATTTGCTTGATCGCGATGGTCTGGAACTGAACTCACAATATCTCTGAGATATGCCTGAATAGCCACATGTGAAAAAAGAAGAAGGCCAGGCATGGTGGTTCATTCCTGTAATCCCAGCACTTTGGGAGGCTGAGGAAGGAAGACTGCTTGAGCCCAGGAGTTTGAGACCAGCCTAGACAACATAGCGAGACCTCGTCTCTAATAAAAAAAAAAAAAAATTAAATTAAAAATTAAAAAATGGAAAACAAAACAGATAAACTTCATTTTAATCTAATTATTACAACTGTAATAATTAATTTTAATAATGGTACATTTAACCCAATACATCAAAAATATTATCATTTCAACATGTAACCATATTTAAGTGTTATTGGTGAAATAGCTTACTTTTTTTTTTTTTTTTTACACTAAGTCTATAGACAAGCTACGTTTCTTTCAATGCTCAATAGCCACATGTGGCTAGTGGCTACCATGTTCAGCAGTGCATATCTAGGTACTCCCAGGTTTGAGAAATAATATTTGGATATGGAGCAGCTGACAAGCTATTTCCTGGTGTTCCCATAAACTGGTTATAGCGCTACACCTACCCCCAATGGAGAATTTGTCAAATCATTACCCGAGGGGATTTTTATTCAGGACTTTTCTCCCATTTGCTAGGAAATCTAAAATATTCATTTTGAAATAAAATATTCCTTGGATGGAGTTTTAGGCACATTTCAGATATTAGCTCCCATAATTATTTTAAATAAGTCTTTATAGCTAATCAAGTGTACAAAACCATGAGGCTATTTTCTTTTTGCAAACATGTCTAATCCTAGAGCTCTGGCAGTTCCTCATTAAGTGAGTCTGATTTCTTCTGTCCCCTTCTGCAAAGTGGCAACTGCCCACCCTCTCCTGGCCATGTATGCCCTCAGCAGAAACCACCACTCTTGACCTTGACTACTGTAAGAAAGTACTATGAAATTAAGATTCTTTTAACTGGAATCATCCATTTAAAACCTACTTCACACGAGGCAAGTATTGGGTAAGTATTTGCCTATGCATTTTCTCACTTAATTTTCAGCCTTACGTTATTATTTCCATTTTATAGTTTAAAGAAATTGAGTTTCTAAAAGCTAAGTAACTTGGCCAGTGTCACATTGCTAATCACTCTACATTCCTTTAAAAGTTGGCATTGGGAGACTGATAGTCTGAACCAATTTACAATGTTGATGGCACTGTAAATTGATTCAATCTTTTCTGAGATTAACTTGGCAATGTTTAACAGCAATAAAATGGTCCATGCCCTTTTATACAATTATTTTGGCATTTATTCTGAGAGTAATACATGCACATCCTCCTGTATACTTTAAGCCATTTCTAGATTACTTTTAATACACTCACATATCAACTTGTGCAAAGATGTTTCTGACAGAGAATTAAACACCCCAAACTTTTTCACTTATTTAACAAATATTTATTGAATACCTGCTATGTGCTAAGCAAGGATTCAGCAGGAGAAAAAAAAATTAAAGAACAAAGATGATCTCTGCTTTCATGAAGAAGTTTCATGCACAATTATCTTGAGTGCAACAGAAGAATGAATAATGAAAGCCAAGTACATAATGTTGAATTGTCTAGTAGTCTAATAGCTACATTAAAAAGGTAAGAAGAAACAAGAAAAATTACTTTAAATAATATATTTTATTTAACCCAATATATTCAAAATATTATTTCAACATACAATCAAACATAATAAATCAATTAATAATATAGTTTACATTCTTTCTTTCATATTAAGCCTTCAAAATCTGGTGGCTATTTTATACTTAAAGGACATCTCGATTTGAACACCAAATTTTCATCAGAAATACTAAATTTGTATTTAGATTTTAAAAAATATACCATTAAAAAATAGATTCATATAACCAAAGTGTTCTAAACACATTTAAAAGTTTCGAAATAAGTCAATCAAACATCAAAAATAATTTTTTTCTTTTTATTTTTTTGAGACAGAGTCTTGCTGTCTTGACCAGGCTGCAGTGCAGTGGCATGAAGTCTGCCGGCTGCAACCTCCACCTTGCTGGTTCAAGCGATTCTCCAGCCTCCTGAGTAGCTGAAACTACAGGCATGCACTACTACGCCCTGCTAAATTTTTTTGTATTTTTAGTAAAGAAGGGGTTTCATCATGTTGGCCAAACTGATCTCGAACTCCTGAACTCAGATGATCCGTCTGCCTCAACCCCCCAAAGTGCTGGGATTACAGGTGTGAGCCACCATGCCTGGACCCAATTTTATTTTAATATTTGCATCTACATTGGCCAAAATAGCTCACCTTTTTTTAGAAGAAAAAGTGTACCCATTTTAAATAAACTTTTGTCCAAGTTAGGTAAATTCACCAACTCTTGGGTCAGCTCAGTCTCACTGGCATGAACTCAAAAGAATAATATATAAATAAATAGGAAAAGAATTCTAAATGTATCAATATGAACAAAATGTCTTCCCAGTTTTTCTAGAAAAGAGACTTTTTGCAACCAATTTACATAGTACTCCAGGACCCTCCAGAGGATATGAATATCTATGGCTGCCCAAGTCCCTGATATAAAATGAAGTAGTATTTGCATACAACCTATACACATCCTCCTGTATAATTTCAGTCACTGATACATTACTTATAATACCTAATACAATGAAAATGCTTGCAGATAATTATTTTACAGTGTATTGTTTTTAAATTTGTATTACTTTTTATTGTTGTATTGTGATTTTTATTCTTTCCCAAATATTTTCTATGTACTGTCCATTGAATCTGCAGATGACATTGTAAGCTGGTTCAACCTGAGAATATAGGCCAACTGTACTTTCTTTTTTGGTTTTAAAATTTTGTTTTATTGTGGCAAGAACATTTACCATGAGATCTACCCTCTTAATAGGTTTTTGTTTGTATTTTGTAGAGAGAGACAGAGTCTGGCTTTGTCACCCAGGCTGGACTGTGGTGGTATAATCATAGCTCACTGCAGCCTTGAACTCTTGGAATTAAGGGATCTTCCTGCCTCAGCCTCCTGAGTAGCTAGAGCTATGGATATGTACCACTACACCACTACGCCTGGCTAGTTTGTTGTGTGGTTTTGGTATTTTGGTAGGGTTTCTTGTTGTTGTTGTTGTTTGTTTTTTCTTTTTGTTTTTTCTTTTTTTGGTTTTGGTTTCTGTTTTTTTGTAGAGACAAAGTCTTGCTCCGTTGTCCAGGTTGGTCTTGAACTCCTGGTCTCAAGCAGTCTTCCCACTTCAGCCTCCCGAAGTTCGGGATTATAAGCATAAGGCACGCGCCTAGCCCCTGTACTTACAGTTACAATTTAAATCTTCTGCACTTGATTTATGTTAGAAAAAAGATGTAAAATTGTTATCATTGGTTTGAATTATGAAAGTCTTCAATTTCAACATAAATTTTTGTGCCTGTCTAATTAGGTCACAAATAAGCTGTTCCTTTACTTGAAACTTCAAATTTAGCTTGTTCATATGCAGTGTAACATTGAAGAGAAAACACAAATCACATTACCATTTTGTGTCTTTGACTATTTGGCAAGTATTCCTTTGGTTTCAAGAAAATCTTGAATTGGATCTAACAGTACAGCAAATCTTTGTAAAACTCTTCCACGACTCAATCAACCAGTATTGGCAAAGAACACAGGATCGTTAAATTCATCATCTTCTATTTCTTTCAGTGGTTCCACAGACTGGTGATGATTCATAGCTTTTGCACATATACTGAACAATCTTAACAACTGCATCCATACAGCTTTCATAGTCTCCTTCAGAAAACTGAGCACATGTAGTTTCAGTAATACGTATTACATCATGGAATTAAGAATTAAGGGAAACATCAATCTCTTATTCCAAGATTCTAATAAATCTACATTTTTAAACTGATGTAACTAGATCACAATTACAACAGAAGCTAATTTTTTCATATCTAAATGAATTTCTTTGATAGCTATAAGAGATTCACGCAAGGACAGAAAACCAAACACCACATGTTCTCACTCATAGGTGGAAATTGAACAATGAGAACACTTGGACACAGGGCAGGGAACGTCACACACCGTGGCCTGTCAGGGGATTGGGGGCTGGAGGAGGGATAGCATTAGGAGAAATACCTAATGTAAATGACGAATTAATGGGTGCAGCAAACCAACGTGGCATAAGTATACATATGTAACAAACCTGCACATTGTGCACATGTACCCTAGAACTTAAAGTGTAATAATAAAAAAAAAAGAAGAAGAAAGTAAAGATTAGAAAGGTGAAGCAAAAAAAATAGAGAGATTCAAAGATATTCATGCCTTGAGTTCAACTTTTTAGGGCACAAATTCACATTTCTTTGTAAATTTGGAAGTCGTTTGAGAAGAAAGTTGTCTAAGTGCTAACTGAACAGTGTCTTTTACATCACTGAGCTCATCGAAACCTGGAGAAAAGTACTTGCAGTTTTTCAAATTTGAATCAATTTATCTTTGATATTATTAAATGGTCTTATATTCTACTAACAACTGTTTGGTGGCTTAATTGAAGATCTTTCACTTTTTATAAAATGGTATTTTTAGTCTTTTCCATTATCATTTCCAACAAATTTTCATAACTGAGATAATTTATTTTACTCTTTGTCCACCTAAAAGTGATTTCCATTTTCGTTCAAGAATCCAAGCCATTTTAAAGATAACCAAAGGCACACACTCAGATAATGCTGAAAAATTTTTAAAAATTTTATTGGACATTTACTTCTTATTTCAGGTGTCTGAGTTCATTGATTCTTTTTTGGCTATTCAAAGGAAAGTTCTTATCAAATTCACTGTGCATTTCCTGCAAATTTCTCTTAATATTACTCACTTTATTATTTTTAAATGTTTTATACAATAATAGCTTTTGCATTTTGCTCTGCCATAGCAAACTGAGACTGCCCTGAAATCTAAAATTTGCTCCAATCTTTTTTTTACTGTTCCAGTCACAATATTAGCTTCTGCATCTCCACTAGATTCCATGACAGTAGTATGTCTTCATTTTTAATTTAAATTTTTATCTATACTTAACTAGAAAACCAACTTAATGATATTACAATTAAATGCAATAATGTTAAAAAGTTTAACAAAACTTATTACTAATTACAGTTTACACTGTAACTCATGTTGCCTGCATGAAATATTCAAATAAACACAAGTTAAATCAGATACAAAGAAAGAAATCATTCAAACTGAATTACCTGCCTGACACCCACTAGATCAGTGAGGTATTTGTGTTGACTACAAGATCTTAGGCGATGTAATGAACTGTCCTACCAAAATAATAAAGTTGTGTTTAACAGAAAAGTATTTGATACTGCTTCAGCTTTTAACTTAGATTAATTTAAATAAAATGAATAATTCTGTTCCTCAGTCACCCCAGCCACATATCAAATGCTCAGTAACTACTGTGACTGGTATTAGGTGGCGCAGCTCTGGTGGGAGGCAGGGAGAAGGTCCGAGCCAGTGGGCGAGGGCTTGCGTTTCCTTGAGGTTCCGGGAGTTGGGAGGGGAGAAAAAGCATTTTGAATGAGGCTTCTGGCAGCCCCCTTCACTTCAATCACGGTTGGCTCCACTTTTATGTTTTACTCGTTGGATGCCCATATAAGATTTAGTTGGAAGAAAGCATTTCACTGTTTTTCTTTAAGAGTTTGAAACCAAACTTGGGTTCTCTATTTCCTTGCTTCTCTGACAGGGAGAACCTCAGCATGGTTCGGAAAGGCAGGTCTCAGGCTCCACTCTAGGTGATTCACGTGCGCATTAAAGTTTAGGAAATATTGGACTACATGTTTTTTTTCAGCCCAATGATCTCCTTTCCCTATGCTTCTTACACACACACACACACACACACACACAGAGAGACAGTGTGTTTTACCGAGGAATTAGCCCATGATGATACCATAGTCAAACTCTGGCATTTTAGAAGCAATCACAAATCAGGGACGACAGCCCTTAGAACTTCCTTCGGCGCTGTGACCCATGCAGAGCTCCCCAGGATCCTGAATCATAGCCCCAGCACTTCCCTCAGACTCCTGAAGCTGCTGTGCCTGATGGAGCCCCCAGAAGCACTGTTCTTAAGGCAGACTCTTCAGCGACTTTACAGAGGGAGTGTGCTGAATGTTTAAAAGAATGAACCCTGGAGCCAAATTGAGCACCTTCAAATCCCAGCTCTACCATTCTAGCTCTGTGGCCTTGTTAATGCTTCGTTTGTCTCATCTGTAAAATGGGAATAAGAATAGAATGTGCATAAAGGGCTGATAAAATAATATGGGTAAAGCATTTAGAACAGCGCTTGGCACACAGTAAACACTATGTACACCATATAAACATCAATCAGCCTCTGCATATTTTTCACAATTTTTAATATAAGGAAAATTAAATTTGCAGGATTTTCCTTAAATAATTTCCTATCTCTGGGCAAAGGAGAGATTTACCTGCTATAAATGGCCCATCAGAGGTGTTTTAAATGCTTGTTGAATAAATGAGTGCATGAATAAACAAATAATGGATTGGAATGGGATGATGATTTGATGTCCACACAAGCTCAGAATTCCAGCACTGTCTTCCAATCTTGAGTCCTTCCTGTGAACCTAACTTTGTTTTATCTGGTTTTTTTCCTCCTGGCTGTTAACCCCTGAGCTTTCCAAGAATCATTAGAGTGGAACTTCAATGAATGCTTTTCATAAATGAAAAGATTCCAAGCCTACAGTCAGCAAAGCTCCCAGCACATGCAAAAGCAAAGCTAGGGGTTTTTTATTTATGTAAATTCAGAATATTGAAATGCAAAGTGAGGCAAAAGTAAAACATAAAAAATGTTAAGAAAAAAAAGGCTGGAGACACTTTGCTGTCACCTTATTAAAAGAACTTTCATTATTCCTTCTCATTATTCTTTCCTAAGTGGCTGTAGTGTAATTCAGCTTTCAATTTCCTCTAATGGGTTCATGATGGCCAAAATGAGGGGAATCCCTCTTCCGTGTAATGTGTCCAGGTCTCTGAAAGCATGTAGCTTGCCCAGTTTGAGGAATCCAATGTCGGTTGTGATATGGGGTAGGTGGAAGGGAAGATTAGGGAGGATTCTCTTTCATGTACACACCTATTCTGAACCATCTCCTGGGGAAGATTCTTCAAAGAAAGAAATTGGAGGTCCCTGGCTCCTCTCTCCAAATTTCCTGAGAAAATTGCAAAGTAGATTGTCTCTGGAAAAGAAGGGAAGAACATGAGAAAGAAGGCTTGTTGCTGAGAACAAAAAAACTGAACAGGAGAATGGGGTTAGGCTGGAATGTTTTAATTCTATTTGCTGGAAGCATGAAGGCTTCCTGGAGCTAGAACTGAAAATAAGCACCAGGTAATCTGGAATGGCCACGGTCAAAGAGCTTGGCTTACCAAAAGTCTCGAAGCTCCCACAAGGATGAAGTAGGGGACATGCTAGCCCTGAAGTTAGGAAGATATCCTAATCACTCTTTTTTTATTGTTTCCTACTAGGCTGTAAGCAATTCAAGGGCAGGGATACATGTCTTTGTCATTTGTATATCCTTTGTCATCTGTATATCCTTTGGTACCAAACACATAGGACATATTCTGAATGCTTTTGAGTAAATGTAAGAAACAAACACACCCATCCAAACCCAAAGAATAGACTCAGAGACCTGGAGAACAGCAGAAGCAAGACTTTTTAATGATGATCTTGCAAGATCGAGTGTCTGGTGGGCAGACATACCCAGCACAGTTACAACAAGCAATTTATGCCCTAGTATGCAGGTCCCTCCCGCAGTTCCTCATAGGCTGAGTACTATGTGGGTCACAATCTTCCCAGATGTTGCCTATTGATTGTTGAGTAAGTGGCTTTAGGTGTTTTCTTTAGGGTTTTCTTGCTGCATTTTGTTGCAGCCCACAATGCATTGCAATCTTAGTTAGCTCAGGGGCTTTTCAAGTATTTGAATTATGACCTAGTTAGCTGGGCAGGCTGATAAGAACAGGCAAAGCGAGCTACTTTGCAAGTTAGTAAACTTCATTTTAGACTAAACTTCTTTGGTCTGGGTGAGGGCACCTAAGGGAGTGGGGCCCGACAAGCAGGCATTGGCTATCCAAGCAGGGCCTAGTATATCCTGTTTCTTCTGTAGTTTGCTGACCTAAGCTGACTCAGGGCACTTTATCTTGGAAATGGACCACTGTATACATTATTTCCTTCCATAAATAAATGACTTAATGTAGACAAATACTCAAGTAGTGTTATAGGTAGTTAGGCATGAGTGGGGCAGGAGCAGGCTCTACCCCCGTGCACTAGAAATGTCAGGTGATGGTTTGGCAATGATCACATGACCTCTCTAAAAGTGACAAATTGGCAGCCAGCTGGGGAGAGGACATTTTCTGATGGTCCATACCTTTTAACATTGAAGTTTTAATTAAAGACAGACCCCAGGGAGAAGAAACTTCCTGGACATGCACATTAGAGACAAAAATGGCAAAGTATAATATTCCGGCTACACTCCACCAGAAAAAGGAAGAAAGCCTCAGATGAGCATGCATAAAACTTCCTAAACACATTGGGTGTGCTCACTTCCCAAGGGTAAGGAGGGCTCTGCGCATGCAGAAAGCCACCCTAGGGGAAGAATCATGGGAAAGAGGCGAGCCTATAAAAGTCCTAGGATCACAGCTAAAAGGGGCATTTAAGCTTCTTTTTTTCTCTTTGACCTTCAAGTGCCCACCTGGATCTCTTCCAAGGGTTCTTTCTTTTCTTTCCTGTACTAAAGCCTTTTTAATAAACTTCCACTCCTGCCCTGGAACTCATCTTGGTCTCTTTTTCTGCTTTCGGCCCCTCAGTTGAATTCTTTCTTTTGAGGAGGAAGAATTGAAGTTGCTGCAGGTGTGTACGGATTCCCCGCTGGTAACTCAGGGTAACTCAGACCTCTTCCACCATTAACAATAGGGCATCAAGCACTGTGAAGGACTGGAACCCTCGGATTAAGTCCTGGGTCTCAAGAGCCAAAGCTGAGCATTGGAGAGGATGCGCTGGCCCTTGGCAGTGGGATTTATGGGAGGAAAACCTGGAAGCTGTGCCCTCTGCAAAGAGTTAGTGACTTGAACAACGTAGAGGAGAGTAGGGAGAGTTAGCGGTCTGTATCAGTCAGGATTCTCCAGAGAAACACAACCAACTATATATATATATGTGTGTGTGTATATATATATATATGTGTGTGTGTGTGTGTGTGTGTGTGTGTGTATAGATAGAGAGAGAGAGAGATGAGAGGGAATGTATTGGGGAATTAGCTCATGCAATTATGGAGGCTGACTATAATATGGAGGACTGAGACAGTGTAACCCTCAATCCGAGGTTGAAGGCCTACGAACCCAGGGAACGCTGGTGCAAGTCCCAGAATCCAAAGGCCAGAGAACCTGGAGCTCTGATGTCCAAGGGCAGGAGAGCTGAAAGATTTCCTACCCCAGCTCCAAGAAAAAGTGAGAGAGAGAATTTGCCTTTCCTCTGGCTTTTTGTTCTATCCAGACCCTCAGCCAATTGGATGGTGCCCACCCACATTGGGTGGGGCTGAATCTCCCTTACTCAGTGCACTGACACAAATGCCAGTCTCTTCGGGAAACACCCTCACAGGCTTACCTCAAAATAATGCTTTACCAGCTATCTGGGTATCACTTAACCCAGTCAAGTTGATGCCTTAAATTAGCCATCACAGAGGTCCCAAACCGCAGATACCCACAGGCCATTGTGTGAGGAGGGAGCCTTTACTGCAGTGTGTGCAGGCAAATAAAGGGCAGCGAGGAGCTGCAAATGGTGTGGGCTGGACCCCAAGGGCCTGCAGAGTGGCTGGGGCTGCCTGTGCTTCCTAGGAATTCAACGCTGAGGCAGAGGAGGGCTGGGCTCCTTGTGGGTATCATGTTGAGATGGCACCCAAAGCAATTGAGTAATCAGGATTCTTCATGCCCATGGGGAACCTTTCCAGGGTTGCATTCTTAAGATTCCTACATCTGTTTGTTTCTTGTAAATTTGTTTGAGCTCTTTGTAGATTCTGGATATTAGCCCTTTGTCAGATGAGTAGATTGCAAAAATTTTCTCCCATTCTGTAGGTTGCCTGTTCACTCTGATGGTAGTTTCTTTTGCTGTGCAGAAGCTCTTTAATTTAATTAGATCCCATTTGTCCATTTTGGCTTTTGTTGCCATTGCTTTTGGTGTTTTAGACATGAAGTCCTTGCCCATGCCTATGTCCTGAATGGTATTGCCTAGGTTTTCTTCTAGGGTTTTTATGGTTTTAGGTCTAACATTTAAGTCTTCAATCCACCTTGAATTAATTTTTGTATAAGGTATAAGGAAGGGATCCAGTTTCAGCTTTCTACATATAGCTAGCCAGTTTTCCCAGCACCATTTATTAAATAGGGAATCCTTTCCCCATTTCTTGTATTTGTCAGGTTTGTCAAAGATCAGATAGTTGTAGATGTGTGGCATTATTTCTGAGGGCTCTGTTCTGTTCCATTGGTCTATATCTCTGTTTTGGTACCAGTACTATGCTGTTTTGGTTACTGTAGCCTTGTAGTATAGTTTAAAGTCAGGTAGAAACAACAAACAACCCCATCAACAAGTGGGCGAAGGATATGAACAGACACTTCTCAAAAGAAGACATTTATGCAGCCAACAGACACATTAAAAAATGCTCATCATCACTGGCCATCAGAGAAATGCAAATCAAAACCACAATGAGATACCATCTCACACCAGTTAGAATGGCAATCATTAAAAAGTCAGGAAACAACAGGTGCTGGAGAGGATGTGGAGAAATAGGAACACTTTTACACTGTTGGTGGGACTGTAAACTAGTTCAACCATTGTGGAAGTCAGTGTGGTGATTCCTCAGGGATCTAGAACTAGAAATACCATTTGACCCAGCCATCCCATTACTGGGTATATACCCAAAGGATTATAAATCATGCTGCTATAAAGACACATGCACATGTATGTTTATTGTGGCACTATTCACAATAGGAAAGACTTGGAACCAACCCAAATGTCCAACAATGATAGACTGGATTAAAAAAATGTGACACATATACACCATGGAATACTATGCAGCCATAAAAAATGATGAGTTTATGTCCTTTGTAGGGACATGGATGAAGCTGGAAACCATCATTCTCAGCAAACTATCTCAAGGACAAAAAACCAAACACCACATGTTCTCACTCACAGGTGGGAAATGAACAATGAGAACACTTGGACACAGGAAGAGGAACATCACACACTGGGGCCTGTTGTGGGGTGGGGTGGGGGGAGGGATAGCATTAGGAGATATACCTAATGTAAATGACAAGTTAATGGGTGCAGCATACCAACATGGCACATGTATGCATATGTAACAAACCTGCACGTTATGCACATGTACCCTAAAACTTAAAGTATTAAAAAAAAAAAAAAAAAGATTCCTACATCTGCATTGCAAGGTTCAATCCAGGCCTTCCACACTCTCCAGATTCAGTTTTGTGCCTCAAGTTCTCACTGTTTGGTATTTCACATTGTCTGCTGCTACCTACTCAATACCTACTGTGTTGCCACCTTCCCCCACTCCCTAAGCTATTTCTACAGTGGAAAGATGAAACCAGAGAAGAGTCAGTAAACACTTTGCACCTGACCCTCCCTCCCTGCCACAACCACTGCTTTGTGCTACGCTGAGAAGCTCCCTGTCTCTGGCCTTGGTTGATAGCAGAAAACAGGGATAATGCAAAGTATTCCTGAGAAAAAGCACCAAAACCTTGTGCTCAAAAGTGGTGAACATGGCCAAGAGAAGGCCAGAATTCTTGAAGCAATGACAGGTGCAGCCTCTACAGGGGACCTCCATAGTGCTGGAGAGAATATTCAGCAGGGACAGGGATTCATTCCCTATTGAATCCATGGCAATCAAGCTCTGTGTCATATGTTCTTTCAATCAAGCCAAGGCCTTATGTCTTTTTGAGACTCTAAACACAAGTGAGATGGGGGACACCAGGATGAGGCAAGAAGAGATTGGCTGAGTCATTTGCAAACAAGAAGAAATTTGCTATATGATACAGGATAAAGTAGCAGGTGCTAAACAGGAAGTAATTGAGATCATTGAAGGGGAATACAAGCCAGACATTTTTTTTTCAAATTTTTTTCTATTTGATTCTGTGTAAATATTATAACTATAGTCTAGAATATCTTTCTAATGTTGATGAACTGACATATGGGGAGGGAAGAGAACTTTCTCATCAAAGGTGAGGAGAAGCCAAAGCCACAGAAGAGCGGCTCCAGCCCCTGGCTGCCCCAGGCTCAGGTGTCCAGCTGTGGACACTCACTCATGACTAAATGCTGCATATTTCCCGGAAACTCCAGGGCCCAATTTGGGTTGATGAATCCCTTTGTTTTGATGGAGGGAACAAGGTGTTTTCATTTTTTCCTTTAAAATTTTTCTTTTCTTTTCTTTTTCTTTTATTTATTTATTTATTTTTTTTGAGATGGAGTCTCACTCTGTCGCCCAGGCGGGAGTGCAATGGCACAATCTTGACTCACTGCAACCTCCACCTCCCAGGTTCAAGTGATTCTCCTGCCTAAGCCTCCCCAGTAGGTGGGATTACAGGCATGCACCACCACGCCCAGCTAATTTTTGTATTTTTAGTAGAGAGGGGGTTTCACCATGTTGGCCAGGCTGGTCTCGATCTCCTGACCTCATGATCTACCCACCCTGGACTCCCAAAGTCCTGGGATTACAGCAGTGAGCCACTGCGCCCAGACTTAAATTTTTCTTTTTCTTTTTTTTTTTTTTTTTTTGAGATGGAGTCTTGCTCTGTTGCCCAGGCTGGAGTGCAATGGCGCGATAGCCCACTGCAACCTCCGCCTCCCATGTTCAAGCGATTCTCCTGCCTCAGCCTCCCAAGTAGTTGGGATTACAGGCACCCACCACCATGCCTGGCTATTTTTTTTTTTCAGTAGAGGTGAGGTTTCGCCATGTTGGTCAGGCTGGTCTCGAACTCCAAACCTCAGGTGATCCACCCGCCTCGGGCCTCCCAAAGTGCCGAGATTACAGGCGTTGAGCCACTGTGCCCAGCCTTAATTTTTTCTTATCAATTTTTAATCAGTAAAGTAACTCACGCTTGTGGCAACTGAAACAAATGTTGATATTTATCGTTCCTTAAATGTCTATAGTTTTATTTTCTTTAAAACAGGGTTATCTACACATATGACTCTACATCCTACTTTTTCCATTTAACTCCTGCAAGTCAATGCATACAGATCAAACTCTTTTTAAGTAGCTACATCCCAGTGTGTAGTGTGAACTTGATATTTTATTCCATTATTTCCGATTTAATGAATACTCCAATTATTTTCTGCTGTGTTGTGGTTTATTTGATTTATGTCTTGGCTACTACACACATTACTGGATTAAGCATTTTTATAGATACATCCTTACACAAGGGACCTTTCTTTTCTGAAGAAAATCTACAAAAATGGAATTGCTTGGAAATGGTGATGTGTTCTTTTTAAAATAGATATTACCAAATTACTTTCTGAAATTAGAAATCCAACCCCCACCAAAAGCAAAATACGAAAATGTCAGTCTTCCCACATCTTCATCAGTACTCCCCTTTTATTATGACTTTGGCTGTTTTCTAAAGAATTTGCACCCAGGGAAAAATAAGAAAGTGGGTTACCCCTCCACCTCAGCCCGCAGTGCATCAGCTTCATCAGCTTCTTTACACACAAATATCACCCAAGGTCCACTGTCTTTCCAGAAGTTTGAAAAGCCATTCAAGGTCAGGCATAGTGTAATCCTAGCACTTTGGAATTTCGAGGTGGGAGGATTGCTTGAGCCCAGGAGTTCAAGACCAGCCTGGGCAACATGGCAAAAACCCATCTTTACAAAAAATACAAAAATTAGCCAGGTGTTGTGGCACACACCTGTAGTCCCAGCTACTTGGGGGGCTGAGGTGGGAGGATCACTTGAGCCCAGGAGGTCAAGTCTGCAGTGAGCTGTGACTGCACAACTGCACTCCAGCCTGGGCGACAGAGGGAGACTCTGCCTCCAAAAAAAAGAAAAAAGAAAAGCCATTCAAGCGCATATTTTGTAGTGGACCCTATGATGCAGCCCCAGATCCTTTTTCCAAAACTAAAGACCTTGTCCCCCAGCTTCTGAAAGTGACATGGAGGCCAGCCCCAGCAGTCAGCCATTGGGGAGATGCCTCAGCTGCATGAAAAGTCCCCTCCTCAAGGTCAAGTCATATCCCTGCTTGATACAAGGGTATAAATGCCAGGTTCTCTGGTTTCAACTCAGGACAGTTCTGCAGGGTCACCCCATCTTTAGACCTGCCCATAGGGTCTATGCTACAGCTTCCCTGAGACTACCATGGTTGGACAGTCCCTAATAACCTTCCCACATGCTAGTCTCTGTCTCAGAGTCGGCTTCTCACACAACCCAGAAATGAGATGCACATTTTAAAAGAAAGGAAGTCCCACACAGTACTCATTCGGAGTATCCAACTTATAGAATTCATGACATAAAGTTCTTTTGATTTTGGTGGGCTGATTCTCCCATCTGATGCCTCTGACAAATGAAGACCCCACACGTGTATACCTCTATATTTACTAGATTATACCTTCCCAGAATAGTCGTGTTCATCACTATTGTAAAAGAAACTTGATAGTAGTAGGTAATTCACTAGAACTCTTTTTCATTTTTGCCAATCATTAGGTGAAAAATTGGTTTTCACAGTGTTCTTTTAATTGGCATTACCCCAACAGCTATGGGATGAGAACGTTTTTAAGTGTTTATTTTATTACCTGTTCATATACTTTTCCCATTTTTCCTTTTGTTTCACCTATAATTTTTCTTATTAATTGGTAATAAATGTTTGGATATATGTTGCTTTCTTGACTTTTTAAATGGTGACTTTCATCCCTTTTAACACATTATATGTTGGTTTTTCCAGAATTACTTTAGTTTTAGTTTTAAAAATCCATATATACAGAAGCATATAAAGAAGAAAGTAATAAAAAAATTTTTCTGCTTTGAAGTTCTTAATTTTTCCTTGCAATTCTTCCATTCTCAATTTTCATAATTCAGATAATCTTATTTCAAGCTTTACATATGGTTTTGAATTCTTGGTTTTTCACACAATATCCTATCATAAGCATTTCCCTGGCCCATTAAAAGCCTTAATAAACATATTTTAAATGTTATCATATGAAAAACTATTATTTAATTTAATCCCTTCAAAAGTGTCAGAAATGTGGGTCATTCCCAGTTTCTACCTATTATAAATAATATTATTATGAGCTTCATGTGCATAAATATATTTGCATTCCTAGTTGTTTCCTTACAATTCTCAAGAGTGAAATTAAGTTAAACCTATTAAGAAAGTAAAGGAATAAAGAATGATTACTCCACAGGCAAAGCAGTGGCATACACCACTGTCACTCATTTTTATGATTATTTCTTGACTATATACAAAACAAGGGGTGGATTATTCATGAGTTTTCTGGGACAGGGGCGGGCAATTCCTGGAACTAAGGGTTCCTCCCTATTTTAGACCATATAGGGTAACTTTCTGTCATTGCCATGGCATTTGTAAACCGTCATGGTGCTGATGGGAGTGTATTTTAGCATGCTAATACATTATAATTGGCATATAATGAGCTGTGAGGATGACCAGAGGTCACTCCCATCACCATCTTGGTGTTGGTGGGCTTTGGCTGGCTTCTTTACTGCAAACTGTTTTATCAGAAAGGTCTTTAAGATCTTTATCTTGTACTAACCTCCTATCTCATCCTGTGACTTAGAATGCCTAGCCTCCTGGGAATGCAGCTTTGACCCACCCTCTATATGAGATGGAGTCACTCTGGTTCCACAGCCTCTGACATTTCCCCCTTCCCTTTTATAAGAGAACCCTTAACCCTAAGGGTTGTAGAGGGACAAAGATCCATCTTCTGTAACTTCTTCAGGCTGAATGGGGCGATCATATTCCTGCCTAACTGTTAGGGTCTCTTGTATTCAGGGTAGACAAGAGCTCAGTCAGAAAGCATCAGTATGTCAAGGGCCACTCATAACTCAAGTTCTGACAAAAGATGATATCCAAAGTTGGCCAATCATTGCTGCAGTCTATTTCCTTTGGGTTGGAGGTCTCAGTATCATCCTTTCATGGTTCGCCAGAAAGATGTTATCAGAAAGGGGTCCAGATCCAGACCCCAAGAGAGGTTCTTGGATCTCACACAAGAAAAAATTTGAGGCGAATCCACAGAGTAAAGTGAAAGCAAGTTTATTAAGAAAGAAGGAATAAAGAATGGCTACTCCATAGACAGAGCAGCCAAAACATAGAGACATTTAAAGGCTTTTGTTAATATAGCTCAGCTTATTTTGAGGACTCATTTGCAAACCAATGTTTTACATCTGAAAAGAAATAGTGCAGTGAAAGCATCACACTCAAGCTTGTCCAAGCTTTGGTGGTTGTGGTAGCAGTGGCTTGGGATATTCAATATAAACATATTACATTTACTGTCTATAAGCGACTATTTTGGGTACAAGAGGAATGTGAATAAGGGTGACAGGATCCTGGCCTCAAAGAGCAAAGGATCTGGGAGAAAGATGAACAATCACTGATCAGGTATGACACACAAAAAAATTCAAACAAATCCTTAACAAAATTTTAAGTCGGTTTGTGGAGGGGGTACTATGGTAAAACAAGGCAGTTGGGAAGATAACTTCTTATACTGTGGTCTCAAAAACCTCCTAAAGGGCAGTGGCGCCTTGTTTTTATAATCAATACTAGCAGTACCGTACATTTATACCAAGTCTAGGATTTGGAAAGTGGTTTGAGGATTTTCCATAATTTCCTAGGTTTATGGGTTTTGCATCTTTGCTTTTATGATCTCCTGTTGGCCACCACTTGGTTTCCTTGTTACCAAGTCACTGGCACGCAGCCGCCATATTTTTCCGGTAGAGTTTCATTTTACAGCAGCCCATTCTGCACCAGGGGCTTGAGGACTGCACTGTGTCTTCAAGGCGGGGGCCGCTTACATTCGTTGCTGTTTAGGCTGTTTGCTACTGGCCCCCGGAGGAGGCTCTAGGGGATGGAGGGAGACCTGCCTTGCTGGCTTCCAGCAGCACACGCTTTTTCCCCTACTGAAAAGCTGAAGGGACCTTCAACACCACAACCAAACTTCAACAACTTAAAGACAGCGCTGTGTGACGGCCCTAGAGTCAGAAGTTCTGAATTTGACCTTGGTTTCACCACTTAGCAGCCATCTGATCTGGACAACCTGCTTACACCTCTCACCTTTCTTTCCTCAACTGTAACACAGAGCCAAGAAGGATCATGGAAAGACAAAAAGATAATGGATAGGAAAACACTTAAAAAGAGGAAATTGTCTTTGAAATATCAACATTTATTATGTTTTTAAAAATCTAAATGAAAGATTTTGTAGTCCCTCCTCTCTGAACAAATTCTGATGTCCACACTAGGGGCAGTGGGGGACACTGATGTATTCTTTGTCAATTTTAAAATGCATGGTTTAAAGTGATGTGACAGAAGAACCATTTCTCGAGCTTCATTCTGTCCCTGGAGAGGCAGACTTTAGCTAGCTAAAAACACATTTGAGTGTGTGGCTAAGGTTTTAAAAGTTAAGGGGAAATACGCCGGGACACAGTGGCTCAAGCCTGCAATCCCAGCGCTCTGGGAAGCCGAGCAGGTGGGTCACCTGAAGTCAGGAGTTCGAGACCAGCCTGGCCAACACAGTGAAATCCCATCTCTACTACAAATACAAAAAATTGGCCAGGCATGGTGGCATGCGCCTGCAGTCCCAGCTACTTGGGAGGCTGAGACCAAAGAATTGCCTGAACCCAAGAATCATGCCATTGCACTCCAGCCTGGGCAACAGAGTGAGACTCCATCTCAAAATAAATAAATAAATAAGTTAAGGGGAAACTTGGAAGGATAGCTAAGTGGGAAAGTTTCTTTAGGGTTTACAAGTTGATACCAGGCTTCTCTCCTTAACCACACAGACTTCCAAGCCATCGGCAATTATCTTCCACTCCTTGGTCTATAAAAGGGGCATTCAGGGAGCAGATATTGACATGGTTGGCGGAGGATCAGATACTCAGCCAGGCTTCTGGACAAATGAAGTTCAAAGGATGTGCCAGCAAAGATTTTCAAATAAGAGCTTCTACTTTGTGAGCCTGAGAAGAAACCCGCAGACTTGTTGTTTTATCCCACTTTCACTGGATAGAAAAAACACACATAAAACATACACTTTCTACACACCAAGAGAAGGAAATATTACCCCCAAGTGATTTAGTTAGGCACACCTGGAAGCCAACTCAAAGAGACTACATTTTCATCCAGAGAAGCTCAGGGAAGAGAGAAAAGGGACTAGAACATGCTCCCCAATCAATCTCCCGACCCCGTTGCCACCCAGCCATGTCATCTGTTCCACCACAGTCCCTGAGAGCAAGACCGAGGCTTCCATCCCCACCCCTCCCTCTCCATCCTCACACACATGCCCTGGGCCAGGCTAAGGAGGCGTTGCATGGATCGGCCTCCCTGGCTGTTCACCCCACTCCACTCCCCATCTGCCTTCAAGGATCCTCCCCTGAGCTTAGCAACCTCTGGAGACCCCTACCTGTTCAAGAGTGAAGCCCAGGTCCCCACATCTAATGTCTTCCAAGCACTCCCACCCGCCACTAGGCAGTGCCCAGCCCCCAGCTTTGCTCTCCCCGGGGGCTTCCTCTCACAGCTCTTTCCTACAGATCCTCTTTCTACCTGCAGCCCTGAGATCCCCACACCTGCCTGCACTTGAAAGAGGGTCCAGGCAATTCCCAGGACGCCCTATATATAACTCAGCTCCTGCTCTGTGAATTCACAGCCCTGGTCATGCGGAGCATGCGGAGCCCTGCCTGCTCCCCGCCCAAAAGAAGTGGTATTTTTAGAGGGACTGCAGAGTGAAAAGGGTCAGCACAAGCTGCAGTGGCAAATCCATTGAGTAAAAACACTTAAGTGGAAAATAATAATAATGATGAGAGCTAGTGCTTTCAAAGGCGCCTTCCTATTTGCATGTGCTTTCACATCCATCATCCCTCTGACTCAACATCATTCAGTGGGGAAAGGAAGCAGGTGTTCGCTCCATTTTACAGACAAGAAATATAAAGCTGGAGGAAGTTAAGCGCCTGTGGCAGAACCCAAAACTTGGGGGTTGTTAGTGCTCAAGGCCTCCTTAGCTTCTGGCAATGAAGAGCGAGCACTGGTGAGAGCAGGGAGTTTGAGCCCACCCTGCTGGCCTCCTTTCAGGTTCCAGGCCACCCTGCCCAGCACAGTCAGCCAGCAAAGACAGCGGGCCCACCTGCAAGAGACAGCGCAAGACTCACCCCTCAGCAAACGGGAGCGTGTTGTAAAACAGAATGTCCCAGAGAACAATGTGGAGGCTGGCATCCTGATTAGAGACTCCTACGGAGTGAGGCCTGGCTACCACTAACAACAAACCATAAAAGCCGAGCCGCAAGAGTTATGACCCTCCATCCTCCAGGAAAGCAATAAAACCACGCTCCACATCCTCTGAACTGGGCACAAATGGATGGCCGGTATTGATTATAGACAAAACAAATCAGCCACATACCTTCCCTGCAGCATTTCCCTCCTCCTCTCCCTGACACCCTAAGAGGCGGGTTTTGCCATGTGTAGCTGGCTCTTCTTTCTTCCAACAAGTGGGAAGAACCTGGTCTGGAAGGTGGCTCCTGCCAAGAGCAGAGCCAGCACATGGACCTGTGGATGGGGGTTCTGAGCAGCTGTCTGTGGTGAGGGGCTTATACCAGATAAAAACGCTAGGGCTGCCCTCTTTGGCAGAAGGAAGGGAGCCAGGGTCCAGACACGGTGGCTCACACCTGTAATCCTATCACTTTGGGAGGCCAAGGCAGGCAGATCACTTGAGGCCAGGAGTTCGAGAACAGCCTGGCCAACTGGTGAAATCTCATCTCTACTACAAATACAGAAGTCAGCCAGGTGTGGGCGCACACACCTGTAATCCCAGCTACTTGGGAGGCTGAGGCAAGAGAACTGCTTGAACCCGGGAGGCGGAGATTGCGGTGAGCAGAGATTGTGCCACTGTACTCCAGCGTGGGCAACAGAGCGAGACTGTCACAAAGAAAAAAAATAATAATAAAAGGAAGGAGGGGAGCTAGGGAGGACACCCCTCCAGCTCTTCACCTTAGGCGCAGCACCTCTCTCCCTCAGGCTGCACCCCCTCTGGCAGATAGAGGTGGGGGTCAGGGGCTCTGACACTGCCCAACCTCACAGGAACAAGAAGGGGATTTCCTCTGCATCCCACATGAGCCGGAATGTGGGGGCCCACTTTTCAGGGCCATCTGACTGTTTTCTCCTTCTATTTCTAGCTCCAAAGCTTCGCTGTCTTCTTAGGAACTCACTTCTCCTCCTAGGAAGAGAAAGGTGGGCAACTCTTACGGAGTATTCATCAAAGGAAAAGGGCCCTAAGATGGGAAGGAGACTCCAATATCACAGTACTCCTGCAAACACTGACTCATCTCTCCTGAGGTAGCCCTAAGGAGCAAATGGAAAAACTAGAATTAGGATTAGGGTTAGGATTGCTATGGGTATTTGAGGTAGAATTGGTATTGGCATTAGTATTTGGATTCATATTAGTATTTGTATCCATATTGGTATTAGTATGAGTCTTAGCACTTTATAAGGACAAATAGTGGGTATCACTAACAGCTAGGAAGTCCAGTGCTGTCCCATCTTGTACTCTACTCTCCATACAGACTGGAGATTGTCTCTGGCAGTAAGCACAAGCATGAAGGCTCTTGAGTTCTGTTTAACCCAGGGCCAGCATGGGATGGCAGTGCACCCTCCTGGGGCCCCAAGAGGAGAATGGTACAAGCCAGGTCTTAAGCACAGCTCCCAAAACTTGCGTCAGGTCAGGGTTACAGCAAGACAGTGGGAAATATGTCCAGATATGAGGACAGGAGGCCAGAGTCAATTCTGAATGACATCATAGGATATGATAAGGATTTTTCCTACAAAAATGAGTCACCATTCAGGTCCTGGAAGCTCTCTTAAGTCCCAGGATCCAGGGCCAGGACCCTTTCTCTTGCCCCCACTGCACTACCCCTCACCTGCATGCACACACACACACACAACCACACACATTCTGCAGTGAGCCTCAGTCACCTAACATCACTCTATTGCTTTGAGAACATTCGCAGAGCAGGAAGTCAAGCTTGTTAACTTAGCCAGGGTGAGCTTGAGGCTTGTTCCACAGGCGTCTGTCCCAGGCTGGCTGGTAATACCTCATTCACGGAGACTCTACACCACCTCAGCACTTTTTTGTGACAAGAAACCAAAGCTTCCAGGCTTCCCAAAGCATCAACAGGCCTGCTCTTTATGGGGCCCTTTAGCCTGTGATCAGCCCCGAAGTGCAGAGGTCTTTTGTGGGTAACAGGGCCCAACGTACCTTAGTCACCTTCAGTATCAGATGTCCTCCCAGGAAGGGCCAGCACCTCCCATCCAATCTTACTCTCACCTCACATCATGCATGGGAGGCCTTAGTATGAGACTTCACATCTCTGGGACTTTCCACCGCAGGAGGCCAATCCAAAGCCAAGGGTTTCCTTCTTTCATGTTATTTCATGACATAAAAGAAATCACCCACCCAGCGAGCTAGAGTCTGAAAAATCTGCATATTCCCCTACATTAGCATCCCTTTGATCTGTAAGGATGCAGAGGGAGGCATACCGCACTAGACTGTGGCAGCAGCTTCATCCTTTCCAGTTCATTTCCTACTTCCTGCTTTGTGGGCATAGATTCTCACACATACCTGGAAACCAGGTAAGCATCTGGACCAGTGAAATATGTGACTTCTGGAAGCCCATTAGCAATCAAGCTCTGGTATTAGAGTTAAACCTTTGATAACACAAACAAAGCTGCTTGTGCTTCTATTTCACAGCACTGGAAAGAGTTCTACAATTTCCCAACAAATGATATCTGAAAGCATCATTTTACAGGTGAGAAAATGTAGGGATTCATTTCTCAAAGTACAATCCTCTGGCCAGTGGCATCAGTACAACCTGTGGGCAGATTCTTTCGCTTGCTCCACCCCAGGTTAGCTGAAGCTGGATTCGCAGTGGAAAGGCCTAGGAATCTGCATTTTAAACACACTCCATCCCCGCCCCTAGGCAATCTGTACACCTGACAATGGTCTAGAAGTATAGCTGGCTCATACAGTTCTGAGACCATAACCACCACAATATTGAGGAGACATCAATCTGGATAGCCTCAGAGGCTCTTTTCCTCTCCACTTTGAAGCTTAGCAAGGAGCTAGAGCAGCAGGTCTGTGCTAACCAAGAAAAGACTCTCTGTTCCTGGTCACAGAGCCCCAGAGGTGCCACTTCCTCAACCAGGGAGCTCCACTGATCCACAGAGGTCCCTTGCCCTTCAGTCCCCAACACAGGCAATGAACATCGTGCTACTGGAGCTCTTTCCATGGTGTATAGTCCTGCAAGGTCCAGCCCAGACAGGCCTCTCATTTTATTCCTTCAGCAAACATATATCGAAGGAGCTCTGTGCCAGGCATCGTGCTAGGTACCAGCAACATGATGAAAAAATGGAATGGCATCCAAAAGTGGGGCTCAGTATAGAAGAGCCTGAGAATTGCTTCTCTAGCCCATGGATTAGAGATTAGGTTGGAAAAGGCTTCAGAATTGGGAAACTCCCAGACAGGAGATGGAAAAGGAAAGAGCTCCTCTCAGGATGGCCCTGAAGGGAATATCAGGGAACACAGCCTTAAAAGGGTCTTAAAACCCTGTCCTGGCTAATGACCGTCTGTATGGCCTCAGTCTCATGACCGTCTGTATGGCCTCAGTCTCGGGAAATTGCAGGGGGAATGGTAGCCAACTTGGAAGTGCAATCATGTCCACTTTCCTGCTGTCTTGCCAGCCGCACAGCAGCCATTTAAGACGCAGAATTTCTTTTTGCAGCACATCTTCCCTAAAGTCTGAGTCAGCCTCACCCACATCTATACAACTGCATCAAGCTTTCTGGTAACACACACACACACACACACACACACACACACACACACACACGTCCGAGTAACCCAGAGCCCGCTGCTGCTGCTGTGACCAGGGACTTCCGCACAGAGCTCCATTCCTCCTCCTCCCCCAGTCTCATGTCCATCCTTACGCCCCCACTGGGGGAGTTAGATTTCTGCCTAACATGACCGCTCTGGCACTGCACCTCTCCAGGGTCTAGAGATCTATCCCCAAGCTACTAGTTGACGTCTGCTCCAAGGGGACTCTGGCACCGGCTGTGTGCCTGGTTCCCTCTGCTGTCCTGGCTACTGATGAGAGCAAGGGCTGGAGACTCAGACAGGCCTGAGCTACAACCCACATCTACCACTTACTAGCTGTGTTACCTTGGGCAATTTTCCTAATCTCTCTAAACCTCAGTTTCCACTCTGTGACTTAAGAAAAATGAGACCTACCTTGCAGGTTACATTGTAGATTAGAGATGATCTTCATAACACCAAATATCACAGCTACATACCAGGTGCTGACTACATGATGGCTATTGGTTTGTGTCCTCTGGCTCAAATAACCTCTCTATATCCCCCCAAAGGATCCAGGCATTGAGCTAAATACTCCTTAAGCCCCTACTCTGTGCCAGGCACTTTTCCAGGCACTGAAAATATGCCATGAACAACACACAATTCCTGTCTTCATGAAACTTAGATCCATAATAAAAGAGATAAAGTGCTTGTACTCATTCGCTAGGACTGCCATGACAAAGCATCATAAGTTAGGTGAGCTTAATGACAGAAATTTACTGTCCCCCAGTTATGGAAGCTAGAAATGTGAGAACAATGTGCCGGCAGGGTTGGTTTCCTCTGAGGGCTGTGAGGGAGAACCTGTTCCCTGCCTCTCTCCTGGTTTCTGTAATGACTGGCATTCTTTGCCTTATAGGATGCATCTCCCTATCTCTGCCTCCATCTTCACGTGGTGTTTTCCCTGTGTGCATGTCTGTTTCTGTGTCCAAATTTGCCCTTTCAGAAGGACACCAGTCATACTGGATTAGGGTCCATCCTAATGAACTCATTTTAACTTGATTACTTCCATGAAGATTCTATTTCCTAATGAAGTCACATTCTGAGTTACTGGTATTTCTATTTCAACATCCCTTTCCAGGAGGAAAAAATTCAATCTATAATGGTGCCCCTTTCTGTCCACTTACTCAGTCTCATTTGATTTGTGAGTTGAGTTGATTCCACACAGGAATCCTTCTAAGCCACCTTAATCTCCTAGAATTGGACATATCCAGCAAGTTCAGTTCACGCTATCTCCAAGAACCATCTCTGTCTCTCTTTCATCTGCTCTCAAGAAGGTAAAAGACCCCAACATGGACCTTTCCCTGTCTCAAAAGAGGGACTACATGACCTCCCACAGGGGCTCAGGCCATAGCCCAAGCTCCTCTTCCAGGGTCTCCAGCTCAAGCCACCTGCCCACCACACATGGTGCCTGATGCATGTGCCCTTGCCCCAGGCTCTAGATAAACGGTTTTACTCCCTGCACCCCATATTTCCTCTTACTCAGTCATCTTATATAAATGGAAAAATCATCTCTTTGTGAAATTGACTATCTCCTGCAGCTTAACTTGGAAGAATGTTTACATATTTGGCCCCAGGGAATCATAAACATCTTGCGGCGTATGTTAACAGTTACTACATGACACCATTCATTTTTACGATCTCAAATTACTAAGTGTTCCCACCAGGATCCTCCTCCAGTGGTTAAAAGACTGATGGGCTCAGTTTTCCTCATCAGGCCTCAGAGAAATGACATCATTGGTTCTGGCTTCTCCCCTTCAAAAAAAAAAAAACATCTCATAATGGGAAAAAGCAGAGGAACCAGCCACCAGGAGCAAGTCTTGTTGCAAAATGTCCAGAAATGCCCAAACAGAGGAAGTGTCAGTTAGTACAACTGATCAATGGTTGCAAGGGGTTGCGAGGAGGAAGAGAGGAATATGCCGTGCCCACAGAGGCATTTGGGGCAGTGAAGCTACCCTGTATGATCACTGCAGTGGTGGATAAGTGTTATTATACATTTGTCAAAACCCACGGAATGTACAACATCTACAATGAACCCTAATGTAAACTATAGTCTTTGAGTGATACGGATGTGTCAGTGTAGATTCATCAGTTGTAACAAATGTACCACTCTAGTGTGGTTCGATAGTAAGGGAGGCTGTGCGTATGTGGGAGCTGGCAATACGTGGAAAGTCTCTGTACCTTCCTCTCAATTTTGTTGTAAACCTAAACTGCTCTAAAATATAAAGTGTATTTTTAAAAAGTCAATTACTATAAAAGAATGGCAATCATTAGATTTGGTTTAAAACAGTGGTTTCTAAATACCGGTGAGTAAACCTGAGATGGATGTCAAATACAGACACCTGGAGCCTACCTACTGTCTCAGTCTGTTTGTGCTTCTCTAACAAAACACCTCATTCTGTGTAGTACTTTATAAACAATAGAAATTTTTTTTACAGTTCTGGAGGCTGGGCCAGCAGGTTTGGTGTCTGGAGAGGGTCCCAACTCTGCTACCAAGATGGCACCTTGCTGCTCCATCTTCCACAGGGGAGGGACACTGTCCTCACATAGGAGAAGATGGAAGGGAAAGGGGACAATCCCTTCAACCTCCAGCTCTTATAAGGGCACTAATTCCACTCGTGAAGACAGAGTCCTCATGACTGAATCATCTCCTGAAGGCCACACTTCTTAATACTGTTGCATTGGGGATTAAGTTACCACAAAAATTTTGGAACAGACACCATCATTTAAACCATAGCACCTGCTGAAAATCAGAATCTTATAGTAAAAGGAGAGAATCTGTATTTTAAAAGAATGCAGGGAGACAGGCTGGCAACATGGCCAAATGGGAAGAGCTCTGGTCTGCAGCTCCCAGCGAGATCAACACAGAAGGCGGATGATTTCTGCATTTCCAACAGAGGTATCTGGCTCATCTCACTGAGACTGGTTAGACAGTGGGTGCAGCCCACGGAGAGTGAGCCAAAGCAGGGTGGGGCCTCACCTCACCCAGGAGGCACAAGGGGTTGGGGAACTCCCTCCCCTACCCAAGGGAAGCCATGAGGGACTGTGCCATGAGAAACGGTGTATTCCAGCCTAGATACTACACTTTTCCCACGGTCTTCACAACCCACAGACCAGGAGATTCCCTCAGGTGCCTAAGCCACCAGGGCCCTGGGTTTTAAGCACAAATCTGGACAGCCATTTGGGCAGGTACCAAGCTCGCTGCAGCAGCTTTTTTTTCATGACCCAGTGGTGCCTGGAACACCAGCAAGACAGAACCATTCACTCCCCTAAAAAAGGGGCTGAAGCCAGGGAGCCAAATGGTCTAGCTCAGTGGATCCCACCTCCGACAGAGCCCAGCAAGCTAAGATCCACTGGCTTGAAATTCTCACTGCCAGCACGGCTGTCTGAAGTCAACCTGGGATGCTTGAGCTTGGTGGGGGGAGGGGCGTCCACCATCACTGAGGCTTGAGTAGGCAGTTTTCCCCTCACAGTGTAAAAAAAGCCGCCAGGAAGTTTGAACTGGGTGGAGCCCACCACAGCTTGGCAAAGCCACTGTAGCCAGACTGCCTCTCTAGATTCCTCCTCTCTGGGCAGGAAATCTCTGAAAGAAAAGCAGCAGCCCCAGTTAAGGACTTATAGATAAAACTCCCATCTCCCTGGGACAGAGCACCTGCGGGAAGGGGCGCGGCTGTGGGCGCAGCTTCAGCAGACTTAAACATCCCTGCCTGATGGCTCTGAAGAGAGCAGCGGATCTCCCAGCACAGTATTCAAGCTCTGCTAAGGGACAGGCTGCCTCCTCAAGTGGGTCCCTGACCCCTGTGTCTCCTGATGGGGAGACAGCTCCCAGCAGGGGTCAACAGACACCTCATAGAGGAGAGCTCTGGCTGGCATCTGGCAGGTGCGCCTCTGAGATGAAGCTTCCAGAGGAAGGAACAGGCACCAATATTTGCTGTTCTGCAGCCTCCGCTGGTGATACCAAGGCAAACACGATCTGGAGTGGACCTCCAGCAAACTCCAGCAGACCAGCAGCAGAAGGGCCTGACTGTTAGAAGGAAAACTAACAAACAGAAAGGAATAGTGTAAACACCAACAAAAAGGACATCCACAAAGAAACCCCTTCCAAAGGTCACCAACATCAAAGACCAAAGGTAGATAAATCCACGAAGATGAGGAAAAACCAGCACAGAAAGGCTGAAAATTCCTAAAGCCAGACACCTCTTCTCCTCCAACGCATCACAACTCCTTGCCAACAAGGGAACAAAACTGGACAGAGAATGAGTTTGACGAATTGACAGAAGTAGGCTTCAGAAGGTGGGTAATAACAAACTCCTCCAAGCTAAAGGAGTGTGTTCTAACCCAATGCAAGGAAGCTGAGAACCTTGAAAAAAGGTTAGAGGAATTGCTAACTAGAATAACCACTTTAGAGAAGAACATAAATGACCTGATGGAGCTGAAAAACACAGCATGAGAACTTCGTGATGCATACAAATATCAATAGCTGAATTGATCACGTGGAAGAAAGGATATCAGAGATTGAAGATCAACTTAATGAAATAAAGCATGAAGACAACAGTAGAGAAAAAAGAATGAAAAGGAACAAACAAAGCCTCCAAGAAATATGGGACTATGTGAAAAGACCAAACCTACGTTTGATTGGTGTACCTGAAAGTGACAGGGAGAATGAAACCAAGTTGGAAAATACTCTTCAGGATATTATCCAGAACTTCCCCAATCTAGCAAGACAGGCCAACATTCAAATTCAGGAAATACAGAGAACACCACAAACATACTCCTCGAGAAGAGCAACCCCAAGACACATATAATTGTCAGATTCACCAAGGTTGAAATGAAGGAAAAAATGTTAAGAGCAGCCACAGAAAAAGGTCTCGTTACCCACAAATGGAAGCCCATTAGACTAATAGCAGATCTCTGCAGAAACACTGCAAGCCAGAAGAGAGTGGGGGCCAATATTCAACATTCTTAAAGAAAAGAATTTTCAACCCAGAATTTCATATCCAGCGAAACTAAGCTTCATAAGCAAAGGAGAAATAAAATCCTTTACAGACAAGCAAATGCTGTTACCACCAGGCCTACCTTACAAGAGCTCCTGAAGGAAGCACTAAATATGGAAAGGAAAAACTGGTACCAGCCACTACAAAAATATACCAAATTGTAAAGATCATAGACAGTATGAAGAAACTGTATCAACTGATGGCCAAAATAACCAGCTAGCGTCATAACAACAGGATCAAATTCACACATAACAATATTAATCTTAAATGTAAATGGGCTAAATGCCCCAGTTAAAAGACACAGATTGGCAAAGTGGATAAAGAGTCAAGACCCATCAGTGTGCTGTATTCAGGATACCCATCTCATATGCAAAGACACACATAGGCTCAAAATAAAGGGATGGAGGAAGATTTACCAAGCAAATGGAAAGCAAAAAAATGCAGGGGTTGCAGTCCTAGTCTCTGATAAAACAGACTTTAAACCAACAAAGATCAAAAAAGACAAAGAAGGGCATTACATAATGGTAAACAGATCAATGCAACAAGAAAAGCTAACTATCCTAAATATACATGCAACCAATACAGGAGCACCCAGCTTCATAAAGCAAGTTCTTAGAGATCTACGAAGAGACTTAGACTCCCACACAATAATAGTGGGAGACTTTAACACCCCACTGTCAATATTAGACAGATCAACAATATAGAAAATTAACAAGGATATTAGGACTTGAACTCAGCTCTCTGGACCAAGTGGACCTTACAGACATCTACAGAACTCTCCACCAAAAATTAACAGAATATACATTCTTCTCAGCACCACATCGCACTTTTTCTAAAATTGACCATATAATTGGAAATAAAACACTCCTCAGCAAATGCAAAAGAATGGCTATCATAAGAAACAGTCTCTCAGACCACAGTGCAATCAAATTAGAACTCAGGATTAAGAAACTCACTTAAAACCGTACAACTACATGGAAACTGAACAACCTTCTCCTGAATGACTACCAGGTAAACAACGAAATTAAGGCAGAAGTAAATAAGTTCTTTGAAACCGATGAGAACAAAGGCACAACATACCAGAATCTCTGGGACACAGCTAAAGCAGTGTTTAGAAGGAAATTTATAGCACTAAATGCCCACAGGAGAAAGCAGAAAAGATCTAAAATTGACACCCTAACATCACAATTAAAAGAACTAGAGAAGCAAGAGCAAACAAATTCAAAAGCTAGCAGAAGACAAGAAATAACTAAGATTAGAGCAGAACTGAAGGAGATAGAAATGTGAAAAACCCTTCAAAAAAATCATCGAATCCAGGAGCCAGTTTTTTGAAAAGATAAACAAAATAGAGCACTAGCCAGACTAATGAAGAAAAAAGAGAAGAATCAAATAGACACAATAAAAAATGTTAAAGGGGATATCACCACTGATCCCAAAGAAATACATACTGCCATCAGAGAATACTATAAACACCTTTACGCAAATAAGCTAGAAAATCTAGAAGAAATGGATAAATTCCTGGACACATACACCCTCCCAAGACTCGAGCAGGAAGAAGTCAAATCCCTGAATGGACCAATAACAAATTCTGAAATTGAGGCAGTAATTAATAGCCTTCCAACCAAAAAAAAAAAAAAAAAAAAAAGCCCAGGACCAGATGTGTTCACAGCTGAATTCTATCAGAGGTACAAAGAGGAGCTGGTATCATTCCTTCTGAAACTATTTCAAACAGTAGAAAAAAAGGGACTCCTCGCTAACTCATTTTATAAGGCCAGCCTCATCCTGATACCAAAACCTGGCAGAGACACAACAAAAAAAGAGAATTTCAGGCCCATATCCCTGATGAACATTGAGGTGAAAATCCTCAATAAAATACTGGCAAACCAAATCCAGCAGCACATCAAAAAGCTTATCCACTGATGATTAAGTCGGCTTCATCCCTGGGATGCAAGGCTGGTTCGACATATGCAAATCAAAAAAATGTAATCCAATCACCGTAAACAGAACCAATGACAAAAACCACATGATTATCTCAATAGATGCAGAAAAGGCCTTCAATAAAATTCAACACCCCTTTCTCCCAAAAACTCTCAATTGACTAGGTATTGATGGAACGTATCTCAAAATAATAAGAGCTATTTATGACAAACCCACAGCCAATATCATACTGAATGGGCAAAAGTTGAAAGCATTCCCTTTGAAAACTGGCACAAGATAAGGATGCCCTCTCTCACCACTCCTATCCAACATAGTATTGGAAGTTCTGGCCAGGGCAATCAGGCAAGAGAAAGAAATAAAGGGTATTCAAACAGGAAAAGAGGAAGTAAAATTGTCTCTGTTTGCAGATGACATGATTGTATATTTAGGAAACCCCATTGTCTCAGCCCAAAATCTCCTTAAGCTGATAAGCGACTTCAGCAAAGTCTTGGGATAAAAAATCAATGTCCAAAAATCACAAGCATTCCTATACACCAATAATAGACAAACAGAGAGCCAAATCATGAGTGAACTCCCATTCACAATTGCTTCGAAGAGAATCAAATACCTAGGAATCCAACTTACAAGGGATGTGAAGGGCCTTTTCAAGGAGAACTACAAACCACTGCTCAAGGAAATAAGAGAGGACACAAACAAATTGAAAAACATTCCATGCTCATGGATAGGAAGAATCAATATTGTGAAAATGGCCACACTGCCCAAAGTAATTAATAGATTCAGTGCTTTCCCCATCAAACTACCATATACTTTGTTGCCAGAACTAGAAAAAAAACTACCTTAAAGTTCATATGGAACCAAAAAAGAGCCCATATAGCCAAGACAATCCTTAGCAAAAAGAACAAAGTTGGAGGCACCACGCTACCTGGCTTCAAACTATGCTACAAGCCTACAGTAAACAAAACAGCATGCTGCTGGTACCAAAACAGATATATAGAATAATCAAACAGAACAGAGGCCTCAGAAATAATGCTACACACCTACAACCATCTGATCTTTGACAAACCTGACAAAAACAAGAAATGGGGAAAGGATTCCCTATTTAATAAGTGGCCTTGGGAAAAATGGCTTCAGAAAACTGAAACTGGACCCATTCCTTACACCTTATACAAAAATTAACTCAAGATGGATTAAAGACTTAAATGTAAGACCTAAAACCATGAAAACCCTGGAAGAAAACCTAGGCAATACCATTCAGGACATAGGCATGGGCAAAGACTTCATGACTAAAACACCAAAAGCAATGGCAACAAAAGCCCAAATTGACAAATGGGATCTAATTAAACTAAAGAGCTTCTGCACAGAAAAAGAAACTATCATTAGAGTGAATAGGCAACCTACAGAATGGGAGAAAGTTTTTGCAATCTATCCATCTGACAGAGGGCTAATATCCATAATCTACACAGAACTCAAACAAATTTACAAGAAAAAGACAAAAACCCCATCAAAAAGTGGGCAAAGGATATGGACAGAAATTCCTCAAAAGAAGACATTTATGTGGCCAAAAAACATACGAAAAAAAGCTCATCATCACTGGTCATTAGAGAAATGCAAATCAAAACCACAATGAGATATCATCTCACACTAGTTAGAATGGCAATCATTAAAAAGTCAGGAAACAACAGATGCTGGAGAGGATGTGGAGAAATAGGAACACTTTTACACTGTTCGTGGCAGTATAAATTAGTTCAACCATTGTGGAAGACAGTGTGGTGATTCCTCAAGGATCTAGAACCAGAAATACCATTCGACCAAGCGATCCCATTACTGGGTATACACCCAAAGGATTATAAATCATTCTACTATAAAGACACATGCACACGTATGTTTACTGTGGCACTATTCACAATAGCAAAGACTTGGAACCAATCCAAATGCCCATCAATGATAGAATGGATAAAGAAAATGTGGCACATATACACCATGGAATACTGTGCAGCCATGAAAAAGGATGAGTTCATGTCCTTTGCAGGGACATTGTTGAAGCCGTAAACCATCATTCTCAGCAAACTAACACAGGAACAGAAAACCAAACACTGCATGTTCTCACTCATAAGTGGGAGTTGAACAATGAGAACACATGGACACAGGGAGAGGGACATCACACACTGGGGCCTGTCAGGGAGTCAGGGGCAAGGGGAGGGATAGCATTAGGACAAATACCTAATGTAGATGACAGGGTGATGGGTGCAACAAACCACCATGGTACGTGTATCTATGTAACAAACCTGCACGTTGTGCACATGTATCCCAGAACTTAAAGTTTAAAAAAAAAAAAAAAGAGAGAGAATGCTAAGGATGCAGTGAAGTACAACAGGTTTGGAAAGACACTGTGAGAGTCTCAAGGCAAATTCTCCCATATCCCACGTGTCTCTGAAGTCCCTGTGTCCCCAGTCCCCATGCCCACTTCTCTCCACGCCTCCTTCCAGCTCACTTGTACCCTCATGGTGCCCCTCCTACAGATCTACCTGCCACCTTACATTATCACTGCACTGCCTCATATATCCTACTAAATCCTCTCTTCCTCCTGGTGCTCAGTTGGGTCCATCACCTTTCTCTGGGGCCCTACAGCACCCCTGGCTTCTACAGTAGCACTTGCTATACTCACTGTAATCCTTGTTGGCGCATATATCTCTCCAGCTAGACCATCAATATCTGCAGGAATGTAGCCTTTTTCCTGTACCCAGCCCAGATTCTGGTTCACCACATCCTTGTTGCCTGAGTAAATAATGAACTGAATCCTCCCAGGCCCATCCAAGCTTCTGTGACCACTCCAGTGAACAAGCTCACTCTCACACGGACTCTCCCCCGTCTCCCCTGCTTGCTTGCTTTCTCTTTCTCTCTCTCTCTCTGTCTCTGTGTGTGTGTGTGTGTGTGTGTGCGTGCATGCGTGTGTGTGTATCTCTGTTAGCACTGGTCTGGAGTTGTTACTAGCAGCTTTCTTATATAGCTGTAAACTGGTATTTTTCTATTTTTCTATTTGTATCTCCTCCCACCCCAAATGTCTGGGAGCATGCTTGCTAACCAGTAGATTCCTGCAGATGCTTGTAGATGGTTTGGTTGATAGAGACACAGGGTTGTACAGAGAAAATGACAGGAATACAGAAGACCTGGGTTCAAGTTTCAGCTTCACATTTAGAGACTAGATTTGCTGCATAATCCAGAGATCATTCCTTGACAACTATGATTCTAGACCTCTTTATTTGTAACTAGGGGTTTACTATTCTTCCTGGGATGCATGTAGGTTAGATAGAGTAAGGGAACAGTCTTAAACCATTGATGTTCCCTATATCTGCAGGTGAAGATGTATCCTGGTTGGAATGAAGTCCAACCACAGTGATACCGTTCCACAGAGCAATGTAATCACCCACAGATCCCAGAGCAAAGTGGGAGGAAGGGCGAGAAGGGAAGAGGCACAGCTTATCACATCAGCAGTAGTCCAACCAAGGGCCTTACATCAAAACCTGTTCACTCTCAGGTGCAGAATCTTGGTCACGCCAAGGTATTGCTATTGTAAATCAAAAAGTGGCTGAAGCAGATCTCAATTTGAAGGTTATTTTGCCTAGGTTGAGGATGCACCCAGGAAAAAGAAACACAAGTTACAGTAGGATCTGTAACCTGTATTTTTTCCAAAAAGGGTTTTAGGAATTTCAATATTTAAAGGCAAAAGAGCAAGCAGGAGGGAAGGAGAGGGGAAAAAAAAGGGAGGGTAAGGAATGGGGCAAGTGTTTACATCCTTGTAAGGTTTTGATTAGCACTCAGTGAAAAGAAAGGAATGGGGGAAACAGTCAATTATACATTCACCTCAAGCTCAGTAATTCTACATTTTACATAAGATAAAGTAAGCATGTGAAATTACAGCTATCCATTTGGGAATAAAAGGAAGGTAGTTTTTTGTGTGACTCCAAAAAAGTTTCCAACCTTAACTTTTCCTTTGATATAGTGAGTTTGGGATCCCGAGATTTTGTTTTTCTTTCACATTTCCCGTTCTCCGAAATCTTTAGGAGAAAGCATTGTAGAAGAAAATGAGTCTGCGGTCACAGGTTCAGTCATATTCCTCAGATCTAGAATGGTTTAATTTACTCCTAGAAGGTGAGGTCTCATATGGCTAGGAGGGCTTACTCCTAAGAGGACATGAAGTCTCCTGTCCCACACAGCAAAACAGAAGGAGGAAGAAAGAAAGAAAAAAGGGCAGGGAAAAAAGGAGGACAAAAAGGCCAGATTATAACAACAAAGGGAAAGCAATCCTGAAAACATGATTCAGGCTATATTACCAAAAAGGCCAAGAAGTCCATACATCTGTAGGCAGACAGGAAGGTGATATAAATAAATAAATGCACACACACATACATAGGTTACATGTATGTGTATGTGTATACATACAGTGTATGTGTATATGTGTGTGTGTATATATGTATATGTATGTGTGTGTGTTTGTGTGTGTGTGTATACATATAGCTGTTATTTCTCCCAAAGTCTAAGTTGCCTAGCTTTAGTGTGTAGGGCTTTAAGAAAAGCACAGTCATAATTTCTAGTGATTTCAAGTAGTTAGAAAAATGGGAGAAAAAAATAATTTGAAAATGTTAGCTTGGAGACTTGTAGTCAGGAAAGAATGCAAGGTACAGTCCAGATAAATTGTAGGCAAATAATAAAAACTGAAAAACAGACAAGGCTAGAATCTAATAACAGGTTTACTATAGTTTCTTTTGAAACATGATTTTTCTCTCTCCAGTTCCCCATTTTTACCAAAGATAAATTATAGTAGGACCAGTTTATTTGCAAAATAAGTTTTAGTCTTATTATACTTAGCCTGATCATTTGCATCAAGTGCAGCCAGAATAATTATTGATCAATAGGCTCTTTTTGAATTGGCTTTGCTGGAGCTTTTTCATAAGGAATCTCAGATTAGATTTTTAAAGGCCTCTCAAGCCCAGCTGAGAATTTATCTGTATCTGTATGAATTGGGTAAATTCCTCTCTTCTCAAGATCCCAAAATAACTTGAGTTTCCCGGGCCTGTCAGAAAGTGAGGCAGGGAGAATCGCTTGAACCCAGGAAGTGGAGCTTGCAGTGAACTGAGATTGCGCCATTGCACTCCAGCCTGGGTGACAGAGCAAGACTCTGTCTCAAAAAAAAAAAAAAAAGAAAGTGACATTCTTTACTTATCACAGGTCAGGAACCCTGTGAAGGAACTACATAGACAAAATATGAGGCCAGTAGTTCTGAGGGGCTTTTATCAGCTCCATAAAGTCAATTTTAATTCCTCAAAGCAGTCTGTTCGTATCTGAAAATATGCCATTCAAGTCAAAGTCTTGGTAAAATAACCAGTGTCTCCAATTGTGTCCTATTACAAAGAAAAGGCTCTCATTGAACTTATGCAAATAAATATATTGCCAAAAATTAAGAATACTCACAAATAGTTTCCAAATTCTGGAGAAATCAGGTAGAGAAAAAGAACATGATTCAAATTTTGCTCACAAGAGTATACTTTACTCAATTGTTAAAAAGTAAATGACTCAAAAGAAAAAAAAAGCTTTATTGACTCTGAGAAACAAAATGAAAAGAATCAACCATGTTTCAGACAAAGAAAACAGGTCATAAAAATTATTTCAGTCCTCTATTAGTTTAGTCACATGCAATTAACTCATTCCATTTTATATTGAGGTTAGTAAACCTCACGAACACATTAGTTCTTCAGTGAGAGTTCTGTAAACATTTTGTTTTCCTCAAGTTCAATGGCACACTCACCAAGGTTATAAGAAACCCGCATTTAAGAGCACCCAACAGAATCCTTTCTGTGGACTTCCCTAAAGAAGCAAGTCTTGGACAATAGTTGATTATACCACTTTTTGAGAAGGATCAAAGTAAAACAATTGTGGATGATAAAACTCTTAGGATGGCCATGATCAAAGACACAATTGACAAGGAAATTAGGAAATTTCTATGGCATACAATAATTTAGCATAATAATCATAATTATTATTGATGACATACACTAAGACATATCAGAATTATAGAAATCCCATATAATTTCAGAATACATATTAACAATACATTTACATAAATAAAATTCAAAGAAAGTTAAATTAAACACCATATAATATTTGTCAATGCTTCCTGTATGATTTTAACATATCAAGTAAGCCGATATATCTGTTTCGGACTTCAGGGGACCTAATATCTAAAAAGAAGTTAATGAAGTCAAAAAGGCTAAATTTAGAACTTGAAATTTTGATTTTGGAAAATTTGTCAAATATCAAAGGTTTAAAACACTTGATATGCAAAATAGAATCACAGGTCACTGTAAAATAAGTCATTCATTTAGCCAAAATGATAATTCAAAAGATTTTTAAAGCAAAATCTTTTTACTTTTTGGCAGAGAGGAGACTCAGTGTCCTAAACAATAAGATCCAGTAAAGACAGCTGAGTGAATCTGACTCCTCTCCAAGTTTTTTTGCAGCTTACTCAAAAGGTAAACAAAAATCTTTTACTATGTCTTAAAATTACATGAAAATCTTGTTCAAAAGAGAAAACCAGATTTTACCTTTGCATAGTGTATTATTAATGCTAAAGCTATTTTTTAAATGAAATCTTATAAACAAATCCATCAATCTCAGTTTGACTATAAGATTTCTATAAAGCTTTTATAACATTTTATCATCTGTTTCTATTTTCTTTTTTTCAACTTTCTACATCCAATCACTTTTATCCATCATTTCTTTATTCCTTCAATTTAAAAAAATACTTAAAAACCTCTGGTCTAGACAAAATTACTTTCCCTTTAACAAAAATTACATTTTCATGTATTTTTATAATACTTTTACTAAAAGCACATCCTACTTTTCTTCTATATTTTGTGTACAGAATTATTTCTCTTACGTCTAGTGCTTTAAAAATATATATTGATTTCAGTGTTAACTATTAGTAACTCTCATTTTTAGTGAAAAGCCTACAAAGTAAGAAATTTTAATCTTATATCAGTTGTAGGGCCCAGTATAAAGGACACTGCCTGAAGCTAGGTTTCATCATGGCCCCTAAAGTTTCAAATCTCAAGACCCTAAGTTTGTGGACAGCTTAAGGATCTGTGACTTGTGCTTTTTCCAAAGACGGTTTGGGGAACTTCAATATTTGAAGGGGAAAGGGCAGAGAGGAGGGGAAGAGGGAAATAAAAAAGGAGGGAAGGTAGGCAGTGAGGCAAGTGGTTACATTCTCCTGAGGCTTTAATTAGTGCTCAGTGAATCTGCATTTCACGTATGAGAAGAGGGGAGTGGGGGAAAAGTCAATTATGCATTCATCTCACACTCAAGTAAATCTGCATTCCACATAAGATAATGTAAGCATGTGAAATTATAGCTATCTGTCTGGAAACAAAAGGAAGGTAGTTTTTTGTGTAATTGGACTCAGTTCCCAAGCTTAACTTTCCCTTTGGCATAGTGATTTTGGGTTCCAAGATTTTAGGTTTCTTTCACGTCATCACCAAACCTATGACCACATTGGCCCTTCTGTCCAGCAGAATGTTGGCTACATACTTCAGTAGCCAAGACCTAAATTTACTGCACATCTGCTTGAGCCAATAAACCGCAAAAAAGAAGCCTGCCACCAGCCCTCACAGTCCAGTGGGTGTTGGGATCTTCCGTGATTCTGGGCCCACATCATGCATAGTAGGAAGGTGTCAACTGCTTCCAGGAGAGGGGTTTGCTGGCAGAGCTGGCCCAGGGGAAATCACTGGCTGAAAGACAGTTGTAAATTAACCAGCCCTACTCAAATTGCTGAAAGGGGTGACATTCTTTTCTCAGAAGCAAGACTGTCTAAAGGAAGCTCCCCCTACAGTGCCCCTACCAGGACCTTGTAAGGATTCCCAAGAGGATGATACCCTTATTCTACCAGGATAGAACAGGTGAATACACTGGGGACTTTGCAAAACACCCGTTCCCCGCAGCCCCTCTCTGGACATGCCTGGTATTAATTGCTACTGCTGCTTGCTGTCCTTATTATTTTTCTACCTATGCTAACCTTTGTGTGGACCATGGGAGAGAAGCTGACACCAGGGTTTGCAGAGTGGTAGCTGTCTATTTGCTGTGACTTTATTCAATTGTCCAGCAAACACCAATGTCTTAGGCTGTGGCAGCCTCCATGCCTGGAAGGCTCCCTGACTCTTAACTTATCGGGCTGATTTGTGAATTTCACAATTCAAAAACAGCCTTTGTTACTGTGGGGGCTAAGGGAAAATTTTCCCTTCGCCTTCTGAAGGTCCACTGAAAATCACTGACAAGAGGCAGATTAATAGTAGAAAACGAACAGAAATTTATTTGATCAGAGTTTTACATGACATGGGGGCCTTCAGAATGAAGACCCAAAGATGGAGGGGAAATTGTTATTATGCTTAGGTTCAATAAATTATGAACAGTGTAGAAATATGATTGGACAAAAAGGCTATAATCTCATGCTAATAGACTAAGTGGGGGAACCCAGCAAGGCCTGTCTGTCTGGATTCTTCTTAGCCCCTCTGAGCATGCATTCCTTCCTTCTGGGTATGGGCAGAACCCTCTCTGGAGTGAGGGTCTTATGACCTACAGCCAAACAAGCTAGGTCAGATAACTTCTTTGTGCCCGGTTTTTACACAGAAAGGTGGGGAGAGATAGAGTAATATTTTTAGTTTTCCTGTCTGCCTTTGGGGAAAAGGGGTTCTGGTTTCTATGACCCACCTTGGGAAAGAGACTAATTTCCATGGGTAGCCTTTGGGGGAAATGGGACTGAGAGGCAAGAAGACAGGAGGTCATAGAAAAACTTCTGCTTCTGAGGATTTCATTTTTGGATATTATTTTCTGAGCCCCAACATTGCAATGTCAATATTCTATCTCTGGAAGATAAGGAACAGGAGGTCTCTATTAATCACTTACACCCCAGTTAAGTTATCTGCTCTTTTTCAGAGTCAGCTTTTCTTTGGGGGTGAGGAAAGGGAACAAAAAGAAAACTGTTCCTAACTTTTCAAGGAATAATTCAAGTGTGTCCTTGGCAGAGGTTAGCTTTCTCCTGGAATGAAAACAGCACGTTAAATTTTCATAGGTTGTTTTTATTGTCAAAGCACAATTTTTTGTGTTGTCTTCAGAATATTCTTATAAGTTAACCACGGACAGCAATGATCACACCCTTACTCAACAATCTAAAAAACAAAAACTATGAAGGGTCACGTTTAAGAGAATCGGATGTTTTTTACTTTGATTTTTAGCTGAAAAGCATAGGAGAATTTTAAGTTTATAAATAGTTGTGGTACTGTTAAGCAAACTTGATTTACTATAATTACATGTTTAGTGGATACAAGAGTAATTTAAATGCTTAAGAGGGTTTTGCTTATTACTATTGTAAGTTTACCCTGCCAGGCATGTGAATGTTTAAAAAGCAAACACATTAATTTACAAATGTTGATGAAGATGTTTAAGGGAGCTGAATTGTGTCCCTTCTCCAAAAATTCGTATGTTGGAGTCCTAACCCCCAGTACCTTAGAATGTGACTGGATTTGGATATAGGGTCTTTAAAGAGGTAAAATGGGGTTATTAGGGTGGGACATCATCCAATATGACTGGGGTCCTTACAAGAAGAGAAGAGGAGGACACACACATACACAGAAAACCTTGTAAAGACAGAAAGAAGGTGGCCATCTACAAGCCATGGAGAGGGACCTCCAAAGAAACCAGCCCTGCCAACCCATTGCCCTCAGACTTTAAGCCTCCAGAATTACAAGCAAATGTCTGTTGTTCAAGCTATCTAGTCTGCGGTACTCTGTTACAGCAGCCCCAACAAATTGATACAGCCGTAATTAGCTAGACTTGAGATGAGATTATCCTTATAGGGGAGGAAAAATAATTTCCCTCCCCTTTTTCTGAGTTTTTATTGGCATGGACCCTTGTAACAAAAGAGATTAACAAGAGACAAACAGAAGTTTATTAACAGGTCTACTATATATATACAAGAAAGATACCCAGGGAAAAGTGAGTAAATCTCCAAGAAGTTGCTTTTAGTTCAGGTCAAATGTCATCTTCAGAAGAAAGGAAGGAAGGAAGGAAGGAAGGAGGGAGGGAGGGAGGGAGGGAGAGGGGGATGAGAGGGGAAGGAAGGGCGCCAGTTTTGGGGAGGTCAGGAAAAGCACAGTAATAAGAGCAAGGTTTTTCCTGTGGATTTACTCAGTGCCTTCTCCATTGAGAAAAGTCTCTAGTGATTTGGAGGATTTCTTCTCTTCCTGGTACAGAGCAGGTACCTTACAAATGGGGATTTCCTTTAGAAAATACAATTCCCTTACAAAAGGGTAACTTCTACTCTTTGTTTTTAGAGTTACTCTGGTGTCTACAGTTTCTTAGAATAATTAGCTCAAAAATAATCCTCATGCTAAAGAGGCATATTTTGGAGTAGCACATTCTGGCCTCCTACAGTCGTATTTTGGAGTGGCATAGTTTTGGTATTCTACATCCTGGAAGATCTAAGGGGGCCCAGTGAAATCACAAGAGTCCTTATAAATGGAAGAAGGAGGCAAAGGAACAAGAACTAAAAAAATGACAGTGTGAGAAGGAGTTGGCCTGATAATGCTGGCTTTGAATATGGAGGAAGAGGCCACAAGCCAAGGAATGTAGCCTAGAGACACTGGAAAAGGCATGAAAATGAATTCTCTCCTACAGCCTCCAAACGAAACACAGCCCTGCTGACACCTTAATTTTAGTCCCAGGAGCCCAATTTGGGACTTCTCACTTCCAGGATTCTAAGAGAATAAATTTGTGTTGTTTTAAGCCATTAAGTTTGTGGTCATTTGTCACAGCAACAATAGGAAGCTAATACACTTTCGTACAGGTCATTTTTCTAATACAGTTCTCAATGCAGCCCTTTAGGACTTCCCTACTTAAAATTGAACCCCTCCCCACTCCCCTTTCCTGCTTTATTTTTCTCTAACACACAATATAGTTAGACTTATTTATCATGCTTATTGTCTCTATCCTTTGTTTAAAACATAAACACACAGCTGGCAGGGTGGCTAATGCCTGTAATCCCAGCACTTTGGGAGGCCAAGGAGGGCAGATCACTTGAGGTCAGGAGTTTGAGACCAGACTGGCCAACATGGCGAAACCCCATCTCTATTAAAAGTACAAAAATTAGCTGGGCGTGGTGGTGGGCGCCTGTAGTCCCAGCTACTCAGGAGGCTGAGGCAGGAGAATCACTTGAACCCAGGAGGCAGAGTTTGCAGTAAGCTGAGATCGCGCCACTGCACCCCAGCCTGGACGACAGAGGAAGGCTCCATCTCAAAGAAAATAATAATTAAAAAATAAAAATAAAACATACATACACAAGGGCAGAAATCATTGCTTCTTTGGAATAGTCCTACCACACAGTAGGTGCTCCATAAAAATTCAGTGAATTAATAACTTAACTTGAATATAGTATTAAGACTAATCCTTTATCCACATAACAGATTCCCTCCACCAAAAAAATTAGCAATTTTGTGGTTATCTCTTTATATTTTCCTCATATAATTTTAGAATCAAACAGAGCCTGCTCCACCCATAATGAAAGTCAAGGAGGAAAGTACATTGGAAATGAGGAATAATTAAAACAACTGTATTAGGCAGGGCTCTCCAGTGAAATAGAACCAATAGGAGATTAGATAGATAGATAGATGATAGGTAGATAGATAGATAGATAGACAGATAGATAGATAGATAGATAGACAGACAGATAGATAGACAGATAGAGTCATGCATCGCTTAACTACAGCACTGTTTTCTGAGAAATGAGTCATGAAGGCAGCTTTGTCATTGTAGGAATGTAACCAAGTACTCCCATTCGTCTAAGAAAAACAGAATGATTTTTTTCTTTTCTTTTCTCCTTTCTCCTTTTCCCCTGTTCCTCACTTCCTACTTAGACCTCCCCATCACCAGACATTCCCTACAGGGCAAGTTCATCTAACTATATGCTTAGGGGCTCCAGAGTGGAACTCTCTCCCGGCTGAAGATTGCCTCGAGAGCAACACTCAATTTACAAGCCTAAGTATGCCCACTACAAAATTCTCTCCCACCTGGAGAGTTTCAGACACTTTTAAAACCTAGTTCTGCCCATGAAGGCGCCAGCTCAATGGCCCAGTAGATAAGGCACTGAAGCGAATTATGTGGACCTCCATCCAATTGCTTTCTCCCCTGCATGCCATTCATGCCAAGCCCCCTTTTAAAATAATTCCTACTTTCTGCACCTGCTACCCTTAAGACAAGAAGCCTGTACTTCTTCCCCTAAGCTAGCTTTGAAATATAATATATCACTTTTTTTAGAACTAATAAACAAATTTATTAACGTTACAGGATACAAAATCAAGATGCAAAAATCAATGGTGATTTTATACACCAACAACAATCTCATTTATATTAGCAACGAAAAGAAACCACTTAGTAATTAACTTAGCGAAAGAGATGAAAAATTTGTACATTGAAAATTATAAAAGATCGATGGAGGAAATTTAAAAGACACAAATAAATGGGAAGACATCTCATGTTCATAGATTGGAAGAATTTTTTTTAACTTTTAGTTTAATTTCAGGGGTACATGCGCAGGTTTGTTATACAGGTAAATTTGTGTCATGGGAGTTTGTTGTACAGATTATTTTATTACCCCAGTATTAAGCCCAGCATTCACTAGCTATTCTTTCTGATCTTCTCCCTCCTCCCACCCCCACTCTCCAATAAGCCCCAGTGTGTGTTGTTCCCCTCTGTGTGTCCATGTGTTCTCATCATTTAGCTTCCACTTACAAGTGAGAACACATAGTATTTGATTTTTTGTTCCTGCATTAGTTTGCTAAGGATAATGGCCTCTAGCTCTATCCATGTCTCTGGAAAGGGCATGACCTCACTCCTTTTTTATGGCTATATAGTATTCCATGGTGTATATGTACCACATTTCTTTATTCAGTCTACCACTGATAGGCATTTAGGCTGATTCCATGTCTTTGCTATTGTGAATAGTGCTGCAATGAACATACATGTGCATGTGTCTTTATAATAGAATATAAAGCAGTTCCTTTATATCAGACCTCACTCTTGTTAATTGGACTCTGCAAGCAGTGAATGACTGGATCTGCATTTCAGTTACAGGAACAACATAAAGTGTACTTACACAAATTTACACGATACAGTCAAATATACAACTAGGCTATATGATAGAGCCTATCGGTCCTAGGCTAAAAACCCTGTACTGCATGTTACTGTACTGAATACTGACAGCAGTTGTAACACAGTGGTAAGTATTTGTGTATCTAAACATATCTAAACATAGAAAAGCTAAAGTAGTATAATCTTATGGGACCACCATTGTATATGTGATCTATCATTGACCTAAATGTCATTATGCAGAGCATGACAGTATACATATATAAAATAAGGAATTGGTTCACAAGATTATGGGGGCTGAGAAGTCCCGAGATCTGTGGTCAGGCAGCTGGAGACTGAGGAGAGTCAAAGTATAGTTCCAGTTTGAGTCTGAAGGCCTGAGAATCGAGAGAGTAGATGGTGAAAGTTCTAGTCCAAAAACCAGCAGGCTTGAGACCCAAAAACAGCCAATGTTTTAGTCTGAGCCAAAAGGCAGAAAAGACCAGTGTCCCAGCTCAAGCAGTCAGGCAGAAGGAACTTCCTCCTACTTGGCCTTTTTTTTCTATTCAGGTCTTCAACTGATTGGATGAGGCCCAGCCCCATTAGAGAGAGCAATCTGTTTTACTCAGTCTGTCTATCAATTTAAATGTTAGTCCCATCAAAAAACATCCTCTCAGATACACCAGAATAACGTTTAGCCAAAAGTCTAGACACCCAAGGCCCCGTCAGGTTGACACATAAAATTAACCATCACAACCACCAATTTGCATCAATAACATTGGACAAAATGGTTTAGGACATCTAACAAGTGAAATAGAGGAGTTGCTCTGCCCCGACCAAGCCTGAGCCTTGGCTCCACTCCAGCTGGTTCCTGTGCTTGGAGAATAGGAAATCTTTGGAAATATTAGTCAGTTCCCTAGAATATTTAGAAATCCTTGTCCTATAATCAGCCATTTCTCCATAAATACTCCATCAGTTCTCACCTGGATTCCAGACTATATCCACACAGACCATGTATGGGTGAATTCAATAATTCTTTACAAAATAAGTGTCTGATGACTGGGTGCCGTGGCTCATGCCTGTAATCCCAGCACTTTGGGAGGCCAAGGCGGGCAGATCACTTGAGGTCAGGAGTTTGAGACCAGCCTGGCTAACATGGTGAAACTCTGTCTCTACTAAAAATACAAAAATTAGCTGGGGGGCGGCAGGGGGCGGTGGTGTGTCCCCGTAGTCCCAGCTACTCAGGAGGCAGAGGCAGGAGAATCGCTTGAACCTGGAAAGTGTAGGGCGCAGTGAGCCAAGATGGGGCCACTGCACCCCAGCCTGGGTGACAAAGTGAGACTCTGTCTCAAAAGAAAAAAAAAAAGTGTCTGATTGTGATTACTTATTTCATTGTTAAGACAAATGTTCTGGGCTGATCCATCTTTGGCCCAGACTTTCTAGGAACATCAGCTTTTTACTTGTAGCAAAACTATTTACCTGTTTTTGTAGACTAAATTATTCCCTTAACATAGGTAACACAGGCCTGGTCTTGACCCTAGGGAATTTGAACATTTTCCTGAATTATTTCTATGTTCTTATTGATATAATCATGGTAACACTTCCTTCTTTTCTTTCTCCTTCAGGAATTTATTGAGCACTTATTATGGGCTAGTCTTAGTGATTAAAAACACAGTATTTCTGCCCCCAAGCAGCTCAGTCAAATGAAAGGAAGAGATGTAAATAAACAATAATAAAATGTTGTAAGTGCTGTCACAGAGATACACAGGTTCAGAATAGTGTACCCTTAGTGAGACATGGGCTCAGGAGCTGAACTACTCAGATTCAAATGCGGCTTCCATAACCATCTAGACACACAACCTCACATATGTTTAGGCAGCTTGTCTCATTTCCTCAACTGTAATGGAAATAAGGAAAGTGCAGACTTCATAAGGCTCTTGTGAGAATCAATGAGACGATGCTTGCAAGGTGTCTGGAGAGCTCTCAGCCTATGGAGAGAGCTCAGTAAGTATTCAGGGATCTCCGTTATTATGCAATGGAAGCACAAAGAAGGAAATAACTAAAAGCGGCTAACTCCTACCCAGAGGGGTCTGGGAAGGCTTCTCAAGGAGGTGACAAAAGTTGAATCCTCTTCTGGGAAGGAGGGAGGGGAGAGGCAGTCCAGGGGGAAGGAGTGGATAGCCAAAAATCCTGAGGGTGATGGGGAACCCAGGGAAGTTGGTGAGCAAGAAAATGACACAAACTGATGTGTGTTTTAGAAGAATTTCTTGAGTAGCCATGTAGAAAACAGATTGGAACAGAAGGAATCTGAAGGCAGAGAGAGGAGAGGAGCTATGATGCTGTCACAATTATACAAGGGAGAAGTGAGAGAGGCCTGGATGAAGGCAGGGGGAAGGAGAGTAAGCAATGGCTTCAGAGACAGAATCAGTAAAATTGATGACACCTGGTGAAGGCAAGGGGCCAACCAAAGCAGAAAGAAAACGTTTGTTCTTAGAACCTGCAGGGCTTCTTTCCCAAGGCTGGCTGGGATCTCACTGAACAGCCATCAGCCCCTTAGCTGGTAAAGCTGTAAGATTATACCCTAAGTGGAGGGACCTCTGGAGTTGATGGTCAGATTCACAAGGTCTCTGAAATACAGTCTTGGAGCAAGAGGGAAAACAAAGCCTGCCCCAGACTCAGGGGAAGCTGAAGGAAGGGTCTGGGAAAACAAAGACAGCATCTGCATTGTCCAAGACCTGAGGCCCCTGGGTCTTTCTCTGGACACTTGGTCATGGTTGGTGAGCATTTGTCAGACGTGAATGAAACTCAGTGCCGGGCCCAAAGGAAGAGAGCAACTAGCAAATCGTAAGAAAAAAAGACATCCTCCATCCCTACTCCTTGGCACTTGCTCTTAATTCCTCAGCAAATTGGATGGCAGGCCAAATAGTCAGGGTATTTGGAGCCAGGGGCTTTATTTACCATTGTTTCTTCCTAGCCCATCTCATTCCCCTCCCTCTAAGACTCCAGGAGAACTTCCCTAGTAGCTTACAAAGATCCATCACTCAATCGCAACATGCACAACAGGCCTGGTTGGGGGTTTTTTGTTTTTGCCTTGTAAGTCTGTGTAACAACAAAACATAAACTATTAAACATTAAACCTTTAGATCTATATGTCCCTGTTGTTGTTGTCACGGATGCTGCTGTTTGTAAGTGCCAAATATACAAATCTCCAAACAGCTGAACACTGTGCCTCCAAGTATAACTACTCTTCAGAATTTAAATGAGGTTTCCATCTAGAATTTTCTTTTGTTCTTGAGATGCCAAGTCTGAGAGTTCTGAAACCAAGTGAAATAAAGGTATTGAGTTTTCTGCAAAGACTGTGGCTGTCCAGCCACTGTACAGAATCTGGATGTGGCCGAAGTGGCTGCTCCCATCTGCCTCAGCTGGCCTCCACCACCCAGGAAACAGGAGACCCTGGCTGCCCTGGGGAATCAACTGCTCCAATATTTCCTGAGGCAAAACTTAGCAACTGATTTTTACTCAAATGTACCCTGATCAGGCCCTGCCTTCTGGATTAGCTCCTGAGTCTCCTCCTTCCTATGAATAGTTTTTAAGACAAACAAAAAACCCTAGAGATGTACACAGTTCAAAGGGCAGACAGGAACATCTGATTTCCCCGTCCCAAGCTGAGGTCTGGTGTCCAGTTAGTCCACCTCATCACTGTTTCTCCCTGCTATTTGGTGTTACTATTGAACATGGTCCTCAGAACTTGGAGAGGAGCATGCACTCCCACAGAGCTAAGACCAGCCAGTGAGGCTGCTTAGGCTTCCAGGTCACAGCTCCCAATGCTCAGCGATTCCAGCCCCATGCCACACCTATGTGCCAAGGAGCTAGTTACCCTATCCCTCTGTGTCAGAGACTCTCAACTGCTCTCCTCACCTTCCCTTTCTGCCTTTCCATCCTCAAAGAATCACACTTCTTTTCAATCCCTGAAACTCAAAGGGTTTCATCACAAAGGGCCTCATCACAAAATGCCTCTTTCTTCGAACAATGGAACCATCAGCCAAACTCTTACAGATGGGTTCTAACAATAGCCTCTAGGGGTCTGTCTTACTCAGCTCAGGCTGTGATACAGTTTGGATGTTTGTCCCCTCCAAATCTCATGCTGAAATGTGATCCCCCATGTTGGAGGTGGGGCCTGGTGGGAGGTGTTTGGGTCACGGGGGTGGATCCCTCACGAATGGCTTGGTACCCTCCCAGTGGTAATGAGTTCATGTGCGATCTGATTGTTAAAAAAGAGACTAGATCTCCCTCTCTCGTTTCCTTTCTCACCCTGTGACACACCTGCTCCCCCTCTACTTTCTGCCATGAGTAAAATTTTCCTGAGGCCTCACCAAAAGCTGAGCAGATGCTGCCATTCTTGTACAGCCTGCAGAACCATGAGCCAAATAAGCCTCTTTTCTTTATAAATTGCCCAGTCTCAGGTATTCCTTTATAGCAATGCAAAACAAACTAACACAGGCTGCTATAATAAAATATCATAGACCAGGTGGTTTACACAACAGATATTTATTTCTCATAGTTCCAGAGGCTGGGAAGTCTGAGACCAAGGTTCCAGTAGATTCAATTACTGGTGAGGGCTCTCTTCCTGGCTTGCAGATGGCCACCTTCTCACTGTATCCTCATATGATAGAAAGAGAACTCTGGTCTCTCTTTCTCTTCTTATAAGGGCATTAATCTCATCATGGGGCCTCAACCCTCATGATCTCATCTACATCTAGTCACATCCAAAGGTCCCATCTCCTAACACGATCAATTAGTGTTAGGACTTCGACATATGAATTTAGGGAGACACAAACATTCAGTCCATAACCAAGTCTGAAACCTAATTGTCTCTTTCCCCTTGAGGAAGGAGCTTCTTTGCAGTGAAAAGGAGACTGCATTTCCTCCAAAGCTGACATGTAACTTGCAGAAACTTCCCTCTGTAGAACAAATAAACGGGAACGCACATATATCACAAGTTAAATCTTCAGCCAGGTGAATTGCTACACGTGGTGGTAAGCTATGGAGTGATAAGGCCCATGGACCTTGCTTTGCCCATTTTCTACACAGATGATTCTCTTCATACAATGTGGAGCGTATGTTGCAAAGACTTCCAAGAGAAGGAGAAGGCATGCAAATTCTACTCATGTTTTCATAGAAGTGGAATCTCAGTGTTGAAAGGGATTTTGATATCACGATCTAACCCCTACTCAAGGTTTTAATCCCCTCTTGATCTCTGCCAGTGATTATTCAGCTTATTTTTAAATGCCCAGTGACAGAAAACTCACCCACTTCTTTCTAAGTTCTCACTTGCTTATTTGCTTACTCACGTCTGAAAACACACACATATACACACACATGCATTTTTGGAAAACTGGTAAGTACAGTGTAAGAGAAAGCTTTGTGTTGAATGGATCTAAAATCCCAGCTCTGCCACTTTCTGTCCAGATTTTAAGGAAATGTTCTAACATTTTTTAGCTCTAATGTCATCGCCTGATAAAAAGAGAAAGAAGAATACATACTTCCTGGATTGTTTTGTGAATGTATTAGATAATGAAGTGCCCAGCATAGGTGTTAGTTTCTCTCCCATTCCTTCATCGCCCTTCCCTTTTAGCTTTTTGTTCATTTCCTGCAATGTGGATATCTTGACTGATGATTTAGGTTAATGTCAAAATACTTTAGCCAATAGGCTATTGATGAAAACGTCACAAACAGCCATAAAAAAAGTTATTATGTTGACAAGGGAGACCCTTGCTTGGCAATTAGACTCATAAATCCAAGACAATAATTAACGTCCTCACTTGATTTCGAATTCTTCAAGGACATGGATCTTGTCTTATATCCACCATAGAATCTACCATAGGTCTTTGTGCATAGTAGAAACTCAATAAATGCTTCAAAATTGAATTACGCTTCCTGCTACAAATTTAATTTCAGGAATGTATATAGATCATGGCAAAAATACAAACAGTATTTGGATGTCTGTTATTTTTGGGTTATCAGTTCCTACATGAGGGTATAGAGGTTTGTTTCTGCATTCAAGCTAACAAAAAGAAAGTTTACGGTCTCCAAGACTGCTATAACCTTGAGGGCTATTGCATTAGCAACTAGTCAGTAAGTACGAATCAAACCTCTCCAAATGTGTGATTGGATTACATTTCTCCCTTTAGGAGACTAGAGCATTTGAAATTTTTTCTTTTTTTTCAGTAGAGACGAGGTTTCACTATGTTGGCCAAGCTGGTCTCAAACTCCTGACCTCAAGTGATCTGCCCACCTTGGCCCTCCAAAGTGCTGATGTGAGCTACCATGCCTAGCCAGAGACTAGACTATTTGAAAAGTAAATTCTCAGTTACCCTATAACCCTAATGCCTGGCACAGTGACGGGCAGACTTGCAACATTTCATGGGTGGATGCACTGAAAGATTGACCTATGGGTTCCAGAGTTTCCACTTCATTTGAGTGTTATTTGCTAAAAAATACAATGAAAGTAGAATTTACGACTGAACTTAAAGATCTAGTGTATGCATTACTTACTTTAATGTAATTTAAATATTCACATTATCACTTAAATTTTAATATTGCATTCTGTTTCACTGGATTATTATATAAGGTAATATCAAAACATAAACGGCTCCAAAATTATCAAGATAAGTCAGTCCCTGTGAATGAACTTGGTACAAATCGACATAGAATCATGAGCTTAACCTTGTAGAAATAACTCTTCCCAAGAGCTAGTTTGTAAACGAGTTGCTGTTACAAACTTAGGAATCAGCTAAATCAAATCAAGATTATTAAAATGTGACTTTAGAGAGTTATTAGAAAGAAAAAAATGTTAGTAGAAAGAGATGGCCAGCAAGCAGCAAACAGCCTTCTTCGGTACACTGTAATTATCTTAATATCTGTGCAACCCCCAGTCGCATCCCCATTAAACTACAAGCTCTAAGAGAGCAGGGACATTTCTTTTTTCTCTTTGGCACCCCCAGATCCTAGCATACCACCTGACATACCATGCTTGTTGGGGTTTCTGGAAGAGCCTAGATGTTCTCCTCTTATCCCTTCCAGATTCTAAACCAGTTGAGAATCAAAACATCAGCTTTCTTAATAATAGAGTGGAAGCAAAAACAGTTTTTACTATTTCTTGCCTCAATGAGATCTTGAAGTAGGGAGAGTTTGGTCTCTAGGACAGATCCCACTCAGCTAGCTTGCTTTGCATGGAGAGGATGGTAAAGCTGGGAGTATAGAACAAATATTGTCACCTGCAGGGAATCAAGGCCTCTTGCTGTCAAGAATTGTGAAGGGTCTGAGACTGTAGCCTACTTGCAAGCTAACAAGGAGCTTGTAACTGTTTTTTGGATGCTGGCAAAATACATAAGACTCCTGAGTCAGAGACACATGAGTGTATTACTCACAGCAAATGCCGTAGCCAAACTATTAGTTTGATGGTCACACCAATTTCCCATTTTCTCTCACTAGGTCCCATAGGGAAAATATACGTGGTCCTAGATGAACCCTGAACATGCAGAGAGTTGTGTTACAAGAAAGTCTCTACTTGGGTGGTTCACTGCTTTTATAGCAGGTGGAGGCAAAGCCTGCTCTGTGTCCAGAGAGAGATGTTACCTTCTCTCTGAAGGTTGCTGCTGAAAATGCAGACTTGGGAAAGAGTACTCACAGTCTTACATTCGTGGCATACACAGAAGAACATGTAGAGATGCTCAGGGCCCATAGTAGATTGCCCCTTCTAACACCAATCAGATCAGGACCCCCTTCCCATGGGAGAGGAAGGAGAGGTTGAAGAGAATGGGGAGGAGTTACTCCAACACCTCTCTCCTGGAAAATAGAGCAGCAGTCCCCTTAAAGGGGAACTTCCCAGATATTTGCTCACTTAACCCTTGGGGTTTAACAAGCAGGTCAACTGGGCTATGGATGCTTCTCTTTGGGAAGAGAACAGAAGTTTATGAGGGTAATCCTGCTGCCACATTTACTAGGATATGTCCAGATCCACTATTGTGCCTCGTATGGTCCTCTAGGGACGAGTTGTGGGCAGTCCTAATTTTGCCCACTGTGATGGCTAGTTTTACGTGCCAACTTGGCTAGGCTATCATGTCCAGCTATTTGATGAAACACTAATGTGAGTGTTGATGTGAAGGGATTTTGTAGATATGGTTAACATCTACGATCAGTTGACTTTAAGTAAAGGAGATTACCCTCGATAATACAGTTGGGTACATAGTTGGGAGATTACCCTCATCCAATCGGTTGAAAGGTCTTAAGAGTAAAACACGTTACCCTGAGGAAGAAAAAATTCTCCCTCAAGACTACAACATTCACTGCTGCCTGAGACTTTCCAGCCAGCCAGCCTACCTTACAAGTTTCAGACTTACCAACCTCCACAACTCCATGAGCGAATTCCTTGAAATACAACCTACTGCTCTGTTTCTCTACAGAACCCAGACAGATAAACCCATGTATCAGAAATAGGCCAGAACAAGATATTAAATAAATCAGCCGACAGCTCTACTGCGTTCTTGCTCACCACACAGCCTTGTAATGGCTTACTCAGGGTCTCAAGCCTCCGGATACCTGAGAAAAAACAGACATCAATAGTCCAGCCACTGGGAGATAACAAATTGTCATCTTTGCTGTGCAATTCATATTTTCTGAACCAAAATACGAGAGCACACGGTCAAACGGATACGAATGTACTTTTGGGGAAAACAGAGGGAATATTTGAAACCTGTTTGTTCCAAAAAGTCTGGGACATAGAGTCATTTTGTTTATATAGCATATGGGCTTGCTTCACCCTATTTCTCCCCACCAGCCAGATACTCTAAATATACCTCACAATGTTCAATTTCTGGACACTGTAAGACCAAGGATCTCCCAATTACTCAACAAATCTCCACTGAGTACCTCAGAAAGCCCAGGCACCATCTCGGCATTTTGGATTAAAGGAAGAAGACGCCACTACTGCTCACTGAAGGTGCACAGCTTGATGGTGGGGGGCAGAGGGCAAGTGGAAGGACAGTCACAGAACAGGAATACCCGTGTCCCAGTAAAGCCCAGTCCCTGGTACCCACACAAGTTTCTACCACCCCACCTCGGAGGCCACATGATAGGGGCCTTCCTTCTGTGCCATTTCATCCCTTCCTAAACTCAACAAAGGCTCTCTGTACTGTTCAGAGTAACTAAACTCATTTCTCTACAGGATCACCTCAGCTGCCCACATCCATGACTTTCAGTCCACCCAAAGAGAAATCACAGGGACAAGGTTCACCCCAGTGGCAGCGTCCTTGGTCAGCCTGGCCCTTTGGCCTGCTCAGACAGGCCTCAGAGGCACCAGAGCTTGTCCTAGGCCCTAGGTTCAGGGCTCCCTTCCTTATATGCTGCTGTTTTGGGTTTTTTTGTTTGTGCGTTTGGGTTTTTTTTTGAGACGGATTCTCACTCTGTCACCCAGGCTGGAGTGCAGTGGCGCTATCTCGGCTCACGACAATCTCCGCCTCCTAGGTTCAAGTGATTCTCCTGCCTCAGCCTCCCAAGTAGCTGGGACTGCAGGCACCCGCCACCACGCCCTGCTAATTTTTTGTATTTTCAGTAGAGACGGGGTTTCACCATGTTAGCCAGGATGGTCTCGATCTCCTGACCTTGTGACCCGCCCGCCTCGGCCTCCCAAAGTGCTGGACATGCTTCTTCTGAGAAAGACTGGAGCTGACAAACATGAACTGCTGCATTCCTCTGTCCTGGATTTGCCTCCCACACTGCACTATTAGCTCTGGAATGCAGGAAGCTGCTTTCCCAGACCCTGATCCAGCTGAAGTGTTCAGTGCCCTTGTGTTGAGGGAAGGAGGAAAGAAGGCAGAGAAAGAGTGAAAGAGGCTTTACAATGAGAAACCCCAGTGGCAAAGTCAAGAGAGCATGAAGAAGAATCCTGGGATTGAATACTGTCAGCTCTTAACTTTTAGTGTGACTTTGGGCAAGTGACTAAAATTTCTGATCATCAGTTTCCTCATCTGTAACAATGGGCTCATAATAGTTCCACTTCCTAGGGATAAAGTGAGACGATGTCTGTACAGCACTCAGTGGAGTATCTAGCAAACAATAACACTCTGTGTATGTTAATTTTTTAATTATAATCATTGTATCATCACTCTTGACCTGCAATTCCTTGCTCACAAAATGAGGAGTTCAACCAGGTAACTCCCAACTCCCTTCCAGTCCAACAGCTCTGTAACTTGCTAAGGCAGAAATAAACTCTTTTAACTTACATCAGCCCCACTTCACAAATGACAATGGACACTAGGAGAGTGGAGGTGCTGGAGCCCAAGTTTGAGTTCTGCCAGATCCAGCAACCAGTTTTGGATGATTGCTAAATCCAGTTGAAAGGCTTCCATCCCTAAATTGACTTGTGTCTTGCATCTTGTCGCAACACTAAGCTAATATTAAATCTTTCATTCAGCACACATTGAATTGCTACTGATTGTCACATTGTGTCTCAGATTAGCTTTATTGCATTATATATTCAGCCACGTACAGCTCGCTGAAACCAGCATCCAGAGTCACCTCTCAGCTCTCTGCAGGCTTTAGAATGTTTTTGGGATTGTGAATTTCTTATAGAATGGGACAAAATTTTCATTGAACAACTGGCAACTTTCATTGGACAACTGACACTTCACAACTAAGGAAAAGAACCTCAAAAGCACTGTCTGCCAGGAATATAAATCACCACTGATCAATTTCAATGACTTCCAGTGCATGAATCATTTTAGTAATAAAACTGTTTGGGAAAAGACTGAAGGATTGTGTCTCTTAATCTTACACACCCAGAATCTGCTATTAAATATGTCCAGGGCAACACTGGGTTATGGATTCACTTGAAGAACCGTTTAATTCCTCAAAACGATCAGGACTCAAGTTGAATTTATAAACGGAATTAAACAGAAGATTTGTTGCTCACTAGAGTAAGTCAGTAGAGCTGAGATATATGGGTGATTTTTCTCCCATTAACGTATCTCTCAATACTCAAAAAGTAATAACTTCTGAAGAATTGCACTTATCCAGGACAAACCGGATAGAGTAACTACAATTCTTCTTCCTTCAATATTCCACATGCTTCTCCTTCCCCAATGAAAGCAATCTTCTTTTTCTAATAGAGTTTGCTTCCATTTCTGTCTACCCCTCCCTCAAAAAAGAAAATTACAAGATTAGCTAAAAATTAGATTGCAGTATATTTCACAAGTTAGTACTTAACTGACCACGTATTGATTCATGACGGTTAATATTGACTCCTAAGTACACTACGAGACCCTTAGCAGTAGAAACACCATCCGGAGTTTTCCCTGTGTTCTCCCACATATCCAGAACAGTGTTTCTCAATCAGGGCAACTTTGCCCTCGGGGGGACATTTGGCAATGTCCAGACACATTTTGATGGTCACGACTGGGTCATGGTAGATGTTACTGGAATCAAGTGGGAAGAGGTCAGGATGCTGTTAAATGTCTTACAATGCTTGGGACAGCCCCCACAACATAGGATTATCCTACCCAAATTGTCAATAGTGCTGAGGTGGAGAAATTCTGATCTGGAATCATTCTGGGCCCATAAAAAATGCTCAAAATGTTTGTTGATGGAATACAACTGGCTCGTGTTCACAGGAAGACAAATGACAGCTCAAAGGGGTGTGGGGTAGTTAGGGGGTTCATGGAGGAGATGGGCTTAGTAGACACTTGTAAGTATGGGTAGAACTCGGATGGGCAGGGAGGAGGAGAACAGGAGACATTTCAGAAAGGGAAAAGCTACAGAAGTATGGCACTCACGAGAGGTCCGAGAAGACTGATCTCACTGGCAAAACCTAAAGAAATGCTTCAGACCAAGGAGATCTTAGTAGAACAGAACTCAGTATCAAATTTGACTGAATAATGTAGTTTGGTTTCAAAAACAACTGACTATATGTTTTGGGGAAGGGGAGTAGGAAAAAATTGTATTTAGCACCATTTATATTTATATAAATAGCACCACTGATTTATATTAGCACCATTTTACAGATAAAGGAAATGAGACATGGAGACGTTAACCATAAACTTGGGGATATTTTTGCTTAATACTTTGGTAAATCTGCTTACTTATTATACCTTTTGACATGGGCTGGGTGTTATTATAGACAATACCGCCAGTGCATGGTAGCCCATGGTGTTTACAGCATGGGCTCTGGTTGAGAAACACTGTTCTGGGTGTGTGGGAGAACTCAGGGAAAGCTTCTGATGGTGTTTCTGTCACTAAGCATCTCACAGTCTACTATAGGCTCACACTGACTCCACCACTTATTAGTTCATGACCTTGGGCAAGGGGCTGGACTTGTGAATATTAAATTGGCTTGTAAGGGTAAAGCAGACAGGACAGGACGAGGCACACAGAATATGCTCAGTCATGTTGGCTGTTTTTATTATCGTCATCCTTTTTAATGAAGGTTCCTTAGCCCTAGCCTACAGGTTTCTGCTGAATTCACCACCTGAATAAGCAGCATCAACTCATCTGGGGGTGGCAAAATGAAAGGGGAATTAGCATACGGCCCAGGGGAAAACTTTCCCTTTGCCCTCTAAAGGATTTCCTGAAAAATCCACTCACAAAAGGCAGATTTATTGAAAGGCATATAAAATTTATTTGATTACAGTTTTACAATGACATGGGAGCCTTCCCAGTGAAGACCCAAAGATACAGGGGAAATTGTCTGTTTTTATGCTTAGGTTCAACAAAGGACGGACAGTGTGTAGAAATACGATGGGATAAAAAAGCTATGATCTAATGCTAAAGACTGCTTGGGGAAACCTAGCAAGGCCTGTCTGGATTCTTAGCCTCTCTGAGCACGCATTCCTTCCTTCTGGGTTTGGGGCAGGGCCTTCTCTGGAATTGCGGTCTTATGACCTACAGTCAAACAAGGTAGATCAGATAATTTCTTTGTGGCCAGTTTTTATGCAGAAAGGTGGGGAGAGGGGAAGCGGGGAGTTAGAGTAGTATTTTTAGGTCACAGGGCTGCCTTTGGGGAAAGGGGGTTCTGGTTTCTAGGACCTGCCTTGGGGAAGAAGCTAGTTTCTATATCTAGCCTTGGTGGAGAAGGAGACTAAGAGACAGGAGAGCAGAAGATCAAAAAAAAACTTTTGCTTCTGAGCTCTTCATTGTGGGGTATCACCAACATTAGCAAGCCCCTTTCAGGACTTTCCCAACTCTTTTCAATAGCCTGTTTTCACAGATCTCTCAAAACTCAAGGATTTCAATGTCACTATTCAAGCTGAAAACATTTTCCCCTGCAACCTCCTTGTTAAATCTGTAGTTTGGACAAGGAAGCAATAAAGCAAGCATGTGCAGGCTGCTGCTTTGAGTAGCCAGCTGAGAAATGATTCCCACTAGGGTGGGTGTGGGTGTGTGTGAGTGTGTGTGTGTGTGTGTGTGTGTGCGTTGTAGGGAGAGAAAAAATGCAATGTACACAGCAGGATGACCCACAGATTCTGAGAACACAGTGTCAGTCTGCAGAAGGCAGGCACTTTTACACTTCTGAGCAATCAGCACCTTTATGTGCAATTTATTTCCAGTTTTAAAAAAAATGAGGTGGGTGGTTCCTCCGTCAAAGTTACCTCCCTGACTTTTAACGGCTCATTAAACGGGAAAGGATTGAGAGGATCCTTAATGGTGAATGGGGCTGGAGGCTCGGCCACTGAAAAGGACTGGGTAGACTGAACCTAGAAAGGAGAAGCTAATAGGGCCCAGAGTGGCTGCCTTCAAATATCTGCAGGGCTGACAGTGTGGACAGGAATTAAATATGCTATGTGTAGGAGCAAGTTGCAGAGAGCAGGTTTCAGTGCAACATACCAAATGTTTTTCTGCTACTTAGAATAGTCTAAAAATATAATCCCCTGTCAAGGAGTAGTGAGTTTCCCATCATTAGAGTTATGCAAGCAGAGGCTGCATGACCATTTTGCAGGGATGTAGTAATTATTTCAAACATTAAAGCCATTTCCAATTATATAGTTCCCAAATTTAAAACTTCCATTGCCTATTTGGACATAAGGGGTAGATTCAGCTTATTTGCTTTGCCTTCTGCAGGCTTGACTCCATACCAGTGATAGAAAGAGTTTCCATCTCCAAGGTGAGCTCCTGTCGATTGTTACTGGATGACTGGACCACTATGTGGAGGTTTCCGAGGCTATGAAATGTGATCGATTAGTGATGCTAAGGACAAAAGGAAAGAGCAAAGGAGGCCCACTTTTCATGTGTATTGTATATGCAGCAGCTATATATAGTTTAGGATAAGATTTTTAAAACATTTTAAATCTAATTTCCCTTCTCGATAAGCAAAATTCTTTCCTTTCCACCATTACGGTTAGGGCATGAGACTTATTGCCTCAGGGAAGGGGCAGCTGGATCTCCCTAGAAAAAGGAGACTATGGGGTAAGGAAGAAAGATATAATGTAGGGCAATTTCCAGCAGACAGAAGGGTAAGTAGCAGCCCTTCTTCAGAGAAAGTGAAGAGGACCGGAGAGGGTGAAATGGGAAGAAGGAGCTTCCAGAGACCTCCCTGCCCTGCCTCCGAGCCTCACTCAGGGCAGGGAGTAAGGACAGATGGAAATCTGGGGTAGGATGAAGGGAAAGACGAACACCAAGGAGGATCCACAGTGCTTCTTGTTTGGCCATCTCATGCTGCCCTACGCCAACCACACAAGGCAGCCACAGCAGGTCAGAATGACAGGGTGGTGTGTGTGAGAGAAGAGGGCCACAGCAGGGGTCCAGAACATCTCTGTTCACAGGTGGTGTGGAAGTGTCTGGAGTTCTCAAATGTGCTAGTGAGGGATACAGAGTTGAGAGCAAGGGGCTGGGCTTGAGTGGCCATTGTGAGTCGCCAAGTGACACAGTTGATTGCCAGAGGTTCTATAAGGCCATTGAGGTCAGAGATGGACATCACATCAACAAGGAAGCCACCAAGCCCGGAAGGTGCTAAAAGAGCACACCCAGGGGACCCCACCATGAATGTGTCAGTAGCAGGTGCACAAGGACAGAGGCCATGGCCAGAAAGAGTCCCGCTGGAGGTCAGAGGAAGCTGGGACACACAGCACTCTCACCAGGAACCTCTCCCTGAAGCAGAGAGGATGCAGAAGCTTCTCTTGTTTGAAGGCACTGAGGAATGTCAGAGGGAGGGGAGACCCTCTGAAATCACCCACAGGGAGTCTGAACTTCAAATTGACTAATTGCTACAAAGGCCATTTTAACCCAGAAAAGACTGAGTTGTTTTTAATTCACAAGTATAAGTCATAGTGTGTGGCATGATGGAAGTGGAACTGACCTTTCCAAATCTGAGTATGGCCACGGCAGCATCTCCACCGTCTCCCTCACACACACATGCTGTAAGTTCATGTGCAGTCAATCATGAGCGCCTGTCAAGGTGTAGCTAGAGCAGAAAGATCTGGAAGCCTTCTTGAAAGCAGAAGGAAAGAAGGAAGACGATTAGGTGGGCGAGAGCATTGGGGGTGTGGTAGGAAAGAAAAAGAGGGAGAAATCCACCTGAAGGATAGCAATAACTAACACTATCGAATGTTTCTCACATAGCAGGCACTTTGCATCCTCATAACTCCAAGTGTGGCCTGGAGACCAGCAGGCATCACCCAGAGCTTGTTAGAAATACAGAATGTCAGCTTACTCCCTAGACCTACTGACTAAGAACCTGCGTTTTAATGTGATCCCAGGTGACTTGTGTGCTTGTTAGAGTTTGAGAGGTGCTACATTACATGATTTAATGTCATTAGTTTAATTCAACAATTCTATCCATTCAAAATGATTTTCTCATTTTGCAGATGAGGAAGCTGAGATCCAGCCAAGTTCACATATCTAGTAAGTGACAGAACCTAGATACCAACCCAAGCATCCTGACTCCAGAGCCTTCTTCGCTGTACCAAAGGCTTAGGTCACTCCACTTGTTTGTTTCTGGTCAAACATGTGTTGACAATTGTGTGGATGCACACCTAGAATGTTTTGGAAAGATCTGTGAAAATATGGCAGTGACAAGATTTCCTTTTCCAATATGTTTTCCAAAGTAAAACACCAGACATTCATGATTCAACCCATGTCTGGGATTCTGCACGATCAAGTGCCCTCAGTATTTTAAGCTTTTGGATAATTCATAGCTATCATGTCTAAATTGTTCTGCTTGTTCTAAATTTGCCCTGCATGTGTACCTTTCAAGATAAGTTCTTTCAGCTGATAAACTCCTGTTTTTAAATGCAAATGTGTTTTGAAATGTATCTGTTCCATCATTTCTCCCTCAAAATCATACTATAGCTGAATTACTCAAAAGGAATTCTAGCAAAGCACACAACATTTTCGAGCATAAGCCTGTGATGCTTTTCATCTAAAAAGGTGACTAACAGCTTGCATAAGCTTATAACCAGACTTAAAGCTTAAAATCCCTGTGGAGTTTGCAAAGGGCATTGCGAAAGCCAGCCAAACCTGGGAGACATAAATGTCTTTGCATGCTGACTTATCTACCAGTCACGAAACCAGTCTGGTTTAAAATTGCTGTTATTCATTTCAGCTCCACAACCTTTATTTTCATGACAGTGAGTTGAAATAGCACTCTTACCTCTGTTAAGAAAAACAAGAAATGACTTCTATCTAACAAATGTTAATTAGGGCACACGATGTGGTGGAAAGAGTCATGAAGTGAGATGAAACCTGTGCACTGATATGTGGCATCGGGTGGGTAATTATAAACATACACTTGAAAAAAAAATGAATGACATGGAGTCCCGGGTCCAGAATTAACCAGTTTTGTGGCCCTGGGGGAAGACACTCTCCTCTCTAAGTTCATTTTCCTTGGACTCAGTGATTTCCTAAGATTCCTTCTCACTTCGCAGTCTCAAATTTAAAATCAGATCTTAATTATGTACTAAGTAAATATAGCATACTTAATTTGAAGGATGGCATACTGATAAAGATAGTTAAGAAGATGACAAGGCAGCATGGAAATTAGTCGTTACATAATACAGAACACAAAATGTTGTTTATGATCTCCAAAACTACGTAAGATGCTGCATGCATTTGAACAAAAGCTGAAAGGAAAGAGCGGGCAAAGAAAACAGAGTGAGATCACAGGTGGGTCACCTTTCCTTATATTTTGATGCCACTATTTGCTTTTTGTTTTATGTTTAAAAGCGATACTTTTAGGGAAGCATTTCTTCATGTTTTATGGAAGAACTGTTTGCCTGGCAGTTTGCTGTCATTTATTTTCTCAGCTTCCAAAATAGTGTTAGCCAGGTTGATCTCGTTGCTATTTATGGACTGTGTTACCTTCCAGAGCTCAATATTGTTTCCAAAGTTGTCACAGCAAGGCAGCCCCCATCCTCTCAGCCCAAACCCGCAACCACAGCCACGGGCTCTACCCTTGCTTTTCCCTACACTGCTGATGGGGAGAGGACAAATACTGAACAGAAAGGTCAAACTGGAGCACCTCAGGTGGGAAGGGACCCCAGAGTTTGTGCCATCCTTCCTCTGGGGTAGCCCATGTACTATCTACCTGGTTCATGAAGAAGCCCAGCTCTGCCCACTTTGATCCACCCCGAGGGCCTCTGCAGTGTGTCTCTGCTCCCCACTGTGGCAGCATTGGATTGAACCAGTGCCAAGCCCCTGACCCCAGATGGCCAGTCAGAGCCTCTTTCCTGGACATCTGAAATTGGGACTAAGAAAGAACCTCTCTCGAGAAGGTAAAATCAAAAACGTGTCAGCACATCAGCTTGGGTGCTATGGGATAGGCTATTGCCATGTGGACTGTAAAAGCAGAGAAAGTTCTCATGAGGGGCAGCATGCCAGTGAGGAGAGAAAGTGTCTGGATGGCTTTTTGCACCCTGTTCCAGCCTCTTCCTGCGGGACTGCGGCAGCCTGTCCTTGGGTTCTGTGAAACAGACTGAATCCCTATAATGAAGTATTTTTTTGAGCTTAAGCTAAGGCAAGTTGGTTTATGTTACTTGCCATCAAAAGCGTTCTGATATAGCTTCCCTCCCTCCCTCAGTTAACTGAGGGACCCTCCGTCCCACATGCCACTGGAGGCCCTGTGTGACCCTAATGCCCTTCCTGGCCTCCCACTCCACATTTCAGCCACGCTGGACCCCATGTGGCTGTGCCACAGGCCTCCTTACCTTGTGTCTCTGGGCTCTGCTAGCTGCTTTGCCTGAAATGTTCAGCAGCCCACTAATCTCCCTCTCCAGCCTCCCCAGGCAGGTAAAAAATTCCTGGCTGCAGGGGCTGCTTACCTCCCTTGACTTTCAGCCTTGCATGTGATTAAAACACTCTAGACAGAGAGCTGCCTGGGATGCTGGGAACCACTCTTTCTAATCCATGCTAGCCAGAACAGGCTTTGAGCTTACAGAGAGCAGGTCCTCCCAGGGAAGCTGAGGGAGACAAACCTCCTTGCTGCAGCCTGAGATGATGTTGTACTCATTAGGTTTGGCTGCGTTCTTTGTTTATAAGGATTTCTTGTGCACCCAGGTTAAAGGCAGGCAGTGCTCAGCAGCCATGTGCTTACTGAGGAATCAACACCATAGTGCAAAAGTAGATGTGGGGACTTTTTACCTTCTAGGGCACAAGTGAACGGAGAGAGGTTCTCCGGATATGCCTGGGTAAGAGGAAGACCTCACCCCCAAAAGATTGTCTGAAGAGCAGAAAATGTGCACATTTTAATCCCTGAGTTGAAAGGAATGGCAAATAATAACATTACACAGTGCCTACATATAGAGCATACACAGTGCTTCACAAAAGCCCTCTAACATCGGTGGTATTATTATCCCTGACTTAAAGAAAGTGAGGCACAGAGGTTAAGCAACTCGCTGAGGCTACAGAGGGACAAAGCGGGACTCTAGCTGCAAAGCTAGTCGGCCTGGCTCCAGTGACTGCCTCTAAGCCAGTGGTTCTCCATGTGTGCTCCCTAGACCAGCAGCATCAGCGTTACTGAGAAGGCACTTGTTAAATGCAAATTCTTGGGCCGCAACCTAGACCTAACTGAATCAGACACTCTGTTCTCAGAGCCCAGCAGTCTGGGTTTTAACAGGCCCTCTGGGGGACCCTGAGGCACACTCTGCCCCCTCATTACTCAATGCGGGACTCCGTCCGGTGGCATCGGCATTGCCAGGGAGCTTATTAGAAATGCAGACTCTCAGGCTCCACCCCAGACCTCACGAACTGGAATTTGCATTCTACCATCTCCAGGTGATTTGTATGCACATTAAAGTTTAAGAATTAGGCCGGGCACGGTGGCTCACGCCTGTAATCCCAGCACTTTGGGAGGCCGAGGTGGGCAGATCACAAGGTCAGGAGTTTGAGACCAGCCTGGCCAACATAGTGAAACCTCATCTCTACTAAAAATACAAAAAATTAGCCGGGTGTGGTGGCAGGTGCCTGTAATCCCAGCTACTTGGGAGGCTGAGGCAGGAGAATCACTTGAACCCAGAAGGTGGAGGTTGCAGTGAGCCAAGATTGCACCACTGCACTCTAGCCCGGATGACAGTGTGAGACTCTGTCTCAAAAAAAGAATTAAAAAGTACTGCTCTGCACTGTGAGGAGCAAACAGCTGGCATTTAATGCAGTATAATTTTAATCCTGTTTAAAGTCCAGAAGCGGAGGGGAGAGTGGAGAGATCCACTGTGAATTAAATTGACAAAACACAGATTGACAGGAGAAAAGGCATACAAATTGTGTTAGTATTTTTTCATTCTACATGCATGGGGGCTTCACAGAAAAGAAGTGAGAAACCCAAAGAATCAGTCAGGCCCAGGGTCTTATATATGATTCTAACAAAAGTTGATAAATTGTGGAGAAGTGACTAGACAAAGAAAAGAGGGCTGATAAAGTTTGGGAAATAGGAGTAACAAATTGTGGGAAAGTGATGAGGAAATATATGGGGGAAACTGATGAAAGATCAGGGTTATTTTAATAAGGTCTGTTTATGCAGACTCATCCTGGTGCCAGCTCTTCAATTCCAATGATAAGGGTTGCACACGTTATCGTGGTACAGAAGAGGGGAGGAAATTTATGCTCTGCTTTTAGGCAGATAACAAGAAAGTAGAGAAGTTTTCCTTTATCTGTTGATTCACAATTGCTCAAAATAATCTTTACGCCAAAGTGGCATATTTTGGGGTGGCACATTCTAGACTCCTTCATGAACAAGAAGCAAACAACCAGTATGGCTCACAACGGCAAAAAGGCCCAGCTTTGCAGCTTTCAGTACTACTACCACAGCAGTGAAATTGTCTAGTGGTGATTAGGATAGAAGTCATCATGCCCTATTGGCTCATAATGATCACAGATTTATTTTCCAAATATTTCTGTGCAATATACACTTTTATAAATAATCAATTACCACAGCCCCTTGGAAGACTATCCATATTATGAAATACGAACAACGTAACCTCTAAAATGATGCTGAGGTGGTTTACTTATTAACATGAAAAGTTTCTTGTCTGTGTATTAAGTGGGGGTAAACTCAAGTTACTTCTTACATATTTCTTACAACTAGTTATAGATGGGTATGCAGGCAGACGACAGATTGATAAATGGTATAAATATACAAATACATACAAAGAGAGAACAGGAGAGCCAATAAGATGCTAACACTTGTTATATTTTGGAAGTAAGGGTTATAGCCATGTTTTATTTTCTTCTTTTGGCTTACATTTTCTAAATATTCTTCAATAAACCTACCTTATTTTATGATAATGAAAAAAGTCTTTGCAAAAATCTTATGTAATATTTTAATTCACTCTACTCCTGGTTATATGATTTTTCTCAAAGAACCGTTTCATTCCTGTGTGTCTTTCTATTTTAACCATTTGGAGAGGACATCTCTGTAATGTTTAACAGAGTCCCTGCCCCTGAAATGGTCTGTACTGATCATAATGAACAGTGCTGGTGTCACAGGTTTGTAACTCCAGACTTCATTATTGTACCGTGGTGTCCTCAGGTAATACTGAAGGGCTATAGCGCACTTTGCCTCTCACTCAATGACCCCAGTTTGCTGTGCTCTTAGCTCTTGGATCTTACATCTGCTTAGTTTCAGCATCTTCAGGCAGTCCACATTATCTGTCAAAGCGTCTGCTGTTACATGCTCTCTCCTCTCTTCTAATCTGTGGCTTCCAAGATACTGAATCCTTAGAAATTAGAGGACCTCTATGATTATCACTGAATGTAAAGTAAGAGTAAGTATCTTCCAAGTCGAAGCTCAAGTAACTTTCCCAAGAGGAAGGCATGTGAGCTTTGGTACATGAGCTTCCCTCCGGTCTCAGCTGCACACAGCCTTTTTGGGTTTGTCTTCCGGTTCCTGAGTCTATTCTAAATTGGTGGAGTTGCTGGAGAGCAGAATTCTGAATACCTGAAGTGGCAGTGTTTCTCATGGCAAATAGCTGCTTGATGAAGAAATCGCATGGCTCAGATGCTCTGGACATCTCCCTCCAAGAGAAGGAGGCCGCAGATGGCAAGAACAGAACCAACTGGGGTCCCCTCTACCCCCACCCCATCAAAGTGAGGTTATTTAGGGTTACCACCTGGCTACTAGATTTGCCAGATGGCAAGCCTGAGTAACTGCTCAGAAAGAGAAGAACTGCCCAATCCATTACCCTCGCACAGCAGACACTGTTAATTTAACATGTGGTGGACATCATAGTACACAACATGGGGAATGAGGCGGCATAGAGCCGTCATAAAGGCAGCCATCTGGGATCACGTTGGACAGCCCTGCTCACAGTGGCCATGGGAACAACCCAACTGAGTTTTGTGGGGGCAGGGATGAGGGCAAGGCGTTGGCAATGGGGGATGTGTGGAGAGTTGGGTGGGGGAGGCGGGAAACAGGGCATGTGCCCACCTGTGCCAATGGCCTCAGAACGGAAATGGTTTTGGCCACGGGAAAGCCAGTTGCTTCCGTCTCTGAGACATCACTGACTCCTGCCCAACCTCATCTTATTCTGAGTTTTTCTTCATTATTTTCAATTTTGATGAAAAAGTAATATTTTTCCACCAATTCAGGAAAAACAAACATATGACTAAAGGTCGTTTTGAATACTTTGATAGTACTAGTCCAACTCTGATAGTGACAAAAATGGCTTTCTCTTAGGAAATGGCTTGTGTGTCTGGTGGGGTGAGGGCAGGGCAGGGAGGGTTCATGCACTTTGCCTCTCCTCTCGAACCAGCTTGTGACAGAAAAGCTCCAACAGGTCCCAGCAGGGCTGTCAGTTGTGGGGCTGATAGACACAGGACTTTGGCACCACAGAGAGTGATGCCCAGAAAGAAAAGCAAGTAAACCGGACTGTGCCCCGTGTGAGGCATGGTAAGCTACATGGGGACAGGAAGCTTCTTGTCATCATTCAGATCCCTTTATGTTGCCTCTCATTCCCCACAGTGCCCAGCTGCCCATGCTGGGACATGAAGAGGGAGATGGAAGCAGCTGGGTTTCAGCAGCCAAAACGATCTCAGTTCTGAGGCCAGTAGTACATGTGGACACACGCCCTGCTTCCTGCCTCCCCCACCCAACTCTCCACATCCCCATGCTGCCAAGATCAAGCAGTCTGTTTTATGTCCGTGGTAGTAAATTCATGCAGGCATCAAGTATTTACTAGATTAAGACCAGCTTCATTCTGCGTCTTTAACCCTGCTCTTCAGACCCTGAGTACTTTGCATGACTTAACTTCTGAAACATCAGTTGGGGTGGGGGACGCTCCTGTGACCCAATGTAAGGAGCTGTCACCATTCCTGCTGCTCTCTAAGGAATGTCCTCAGCCAAGAACTGTCTTATGTCCTCCTCAAGGCCGTGCCCATTACTGCCATGACTGTCACATGGAAGGAGAGGCAGTAGCTTAGGAGTGAAAATGAAGAAGACTCTTCACCTGTGTTTTAGAACAAATATAAAGAAATAAACCAAAAACACCATGGAGAATTCCACATACATTACATTTTTATCACACTTTTCTATTGCCCTGTACATTTGTAGCTCATCTACAATGCACAATAACCCTGGGAGCCCAGAACCTGGGGTGGCCCTTGGCATATGAGGAGACTGGGGTACAAAGGCTCCTGGATCACAGAAAGAGTGGGAGACAGAGCAGGTCTCGAATTCCTGCTTCTGACTGGGGTGCCTGTTCTCTCTACAGCAAACCCCACTGCTTGCGCCCATGTATTGCCTTCTATCAAAATGTTCTTTGCCGCTCCTCATCTTGGCTGTGCCCTCTTCGTTGACCCCATACTCTCATTTTATTTTCATCAGCATTATACCATATGTGTCTCAGTTCTTAAATGTTGTGTTCATCACTCATTAAATCACAGAGAGCAGTAACATCTCAGTCTCATAGTCTGATGTTTTCTAGCTCCTGGGCAACTGGTCTTGCTCCAAAATAATCCCCTTTGGTGAGGAACCTACAATGAGTCTTTCTCAGATGCCAAGGTGCCCGCTTCTAGTGGTGTCGTGTCACACATCCAGGGTGGCATGGAGCAAAGCAAGACAAAAACCAGGGAGAGCTTCATGTCAGACACCTAGCATCAAGTGGCAGTCCCATGAGTCTAACTGGGAGAGGCCAAAAGTTGACAAGACCCATGGGGGATGCCATAAAATGTGAGTCACAGATGAAGAGATGGGAAAGTAGATGATATTACAAGGGGCAAGCCTGAAAGAAGCAAGCCATTTCCTGGTTTATTTGGCACAAGGAAGCCTTTAAAGGGTCCAGGTAAGACTGTCTCCTTTTGCTCCCCAGTGTCTCAAAGGCACCACCTGTCACCTGGCGGATGACTGACTCGGCAGCCTGAGAGTTCACGGGGGGCCAGCCTGCCTTGGACACAGCCCTGTTGAGTGAAGCCAAGGCATCTCACACAAGAGTGATAGGTTAAAGCCAACAGATGTCTTCACACCCTACATCATAGAGAAAGTCGGGCTGAGAGAGGAATAATTGACAGTGTCCCTGATCAAAACAGACATCTTGTCACAGCATATTTAGTGGAAAATACATAGGAAACAAATGCTAAATTCTCCATCCAGGCTGCAGTACCTAATATACCACTGCCAAGAAGAAAGCATTTAATAAAATCCTTTAAGTTTTATCTAGAGTAGATGCAATATGGAGCAATTAGTCAGACAGCAAGCTCATGGTGCAGTGCAAACAAAGCTGGTATAGACAAATAGGCACGGCACAGTAATCCAACAAATATGTAATGAGCACACCTACTATGTGCCAGACACCAAGCTAGGTTCTGACATCACACCAAAGCTGTTCTTTAAAGCTTCCAAAGCAAGTTCACGTACACACTCAAATCTGATTCTCACAAAACCAAGTGACGTAAGGGGTTATTATCCTATCTGCACTCTGCAGATGAGTAAACTGATGCTCACTGGGGTCAGAGGAATGATCCCAGTCATAAGACTAAGGCTTAGTATATCATCAGTCCATGACCATCTGTACTTTTCCGCAATGGGCAAGAATCTCAAAAAATAGAAAACGGAGAGTCAGAGAACATCTTGAGATGGAAGTCTCCCAATGTGTGAATTTCACTAGTTTTTAATAGTTCTAGATGTCACCCAAAGGCGACTTGTCTTCATGCCCCTGAATACCTACGTAATTTTTCTTACTTGTGCCAAAAGCCTGATCCTCAACTCTGTACTCGCTCTACCTCAGATGTCTCTGCATTTTGCCTTCTATACTTTTTGTTGGGAAGGGTAATGTATTAGTAAGGACATGTTCAGTTGCAAGCAAGAGAAAACCCAACTAACAAAGACTTAAGCAATAAAGACATTTAATTATCTTATATAACAAAAGATGTGAATGCAGGCAATTCCAGAGATGGCACCTTAGCTCAAAATTGTCATGAAACAAACAAGACCTTCCTTTCTTTCCACTCTACCATCCTTAGACTTGTTGCCTCGTGGCTATAAAATGGCTGCTACAGCTCTAGTCTAGTGTTCTCAGAGGTCTGTGGCCAAAGGCATATCCCAGTCACATGACCACTCCAGCAGCAAGGGTAGCTAGGAAAGCAAGAATCCAGTATTTGTGACCTTCATAGTGGGTGTGTGGTGCTGTGCATAAGGAAAAAAGTCAAGAGGGTTATTGGATAACTAATCCACCCCTTCTACCATAGGTAACTTTCTGATTCCTGGTCAGGGTCAGAGCTGAAAACGAATTCCTCTTGAACAGAAATATGGATTGGATTTCTTGACACTATATATCTGTTGCTCTACTCGTTTGCTATTGCTGCAAAATAAATAACCACAGACTTAGCAGCTTAAGACAATGCCCACTTAGATTCTCACAGTTCTATATAGGTCAGAAGTCCAGGAAGGCTTGAGTGGGTTCTCTGCTCATGTACTTACAAGGCTAGAATCAAAGTGTTAGCAGGGCTAACCTCTCATCTAGAGACTTGGGAAGAATTCACTTCCACACCCAATCAGGTTGTGAGCAAAATTCAGCTCCTTGCAATTGTAGGACTGAGGTCTCCATGGCCTTGCTGGCTGTCAACCAGGGACTAGTCTCAATGCCAAAGGCCACTCTCAGTCCTGGTACCTGGCACCCTCCATCTTCAAAGTCAGCAATGATGTACTGAATCCTTTTCATACTTTGAATCTCTCTGACTTCCCCACTTCTGCCACTAGCCAAAGAGGGCTCATGTGATTAGATAATAATATAGATAATAAGCCTTTTGCCATACTCATGGATGTGACACCAGAGGGTAAAGATCATAAGACCATCTTAAAATTTTACCTACCACAGTTACCACTAAAAAATATGTAATTAGGACTTATTCCTGGAGTTCAGGATAGGGTCAAGTTTCCCTGAATCATGACAGGGACAGGTGGACTGCCAATCAAAAGTAGGACTCTGCAAGTGAAAAGTTAAAGGAGAGAAGGGCTGTTGGGTGGGCAAAAAAGAGTGTCTGATTTAATTTTTTTCTGTGAAATTGAGTTATTAACCTGTCAACATAAATTCACAGAGCTATAATATTGGAGAGGAGAGGTTTGTTTTTTATAAAGGGTTGCAGCCTGCAGGCTGGAAATCCCACAGGCTTGGAAGCACAGCCTCCAGCAGAAACCAAAAGCAGGCACTTTGAGGGAGGAAAGAGTAGAACAGGAATTTGTGATGAACGGGTTAGCTAAGTACACATATTCAACAGGTTATAGGAAGAGCTATGAATATTCCCGAAGGCAGGTACACACATGCCTAGTAAACAAACATGCATGTTACATGCGTCCCATGTTCACTTTGGGGTACAGACTTAACATTTAAATTCCTTGCAATTAGGTCCTATAGGTCAAATGGTGAAGCAGGGGACAGGAAGGCACTCTGTGCAAGCCTCTGTAAACTGGCCAGAACCAGTCTATGGTCAGTGGACTCTTAACCAGGAGAAAGTTACTGAAATCAGTCTCTTATCCAATCAAAGTAGTAGTTATGGCTTGCAGAAAAGGGGTAGGGAGATGGATGAGTTAGTGTCTGGTGGTTGGTGAGCTGCAATTATTTCAATATTGCTTCTCCAGAGGCCAGTGCTTATTTAGCGGCTAGAGAAAAAGAAAAACCTTGCAGCTATTAGAACCTAGTTTATTCTTTAAGTGTTGGGATGTGTGACTTAACCCTACCCTGGCATGGCCTTGGGTCTTGTTTATAATTTAGTATCTTTTTGCCACAAAGAGTCCATTCCGTCATTCTTATGATCTCTATTTTAACACCCCTAATTTAGTTAAACAGTAGAACATCATCTAGCTGGTGAAAATTATTTTTTTATAAGAACATAATGTATAAAAACCACTGATCAGGACAAGGATCCCTGCTTCATTTAACTTTCCCGTCCTCTCCCTCCACCCTCACTATCCCCACCCCATCTCCTCAGCCTGCACCACGCTCCCCCACGGACTATGAAGAATGCAGACTCACAGGGAGTTTCATAGTGTTTTCTTGCAAAAGTACTGAGTATAGCCAGATTTCTCATGTGGATTTTTCACTGGTTTGTTTCTGTTAGGCAAAACGGAAGGACAAGGGTTGATGGAGAAGGGAGGCACATCTCATACAGCTTCCTCACAGCAGGTCCTAACACTGTCCATTGTGTTTAGAATGAGCCTTTATGTGGCTTTCCATGGGTTTCTGGTGAAAAATCACAACCCTCTCTGAGACGGAGATGCCCCATCACCTGTTCTTTCACTGCATTATTTTCTGTTTCACTGCCTCAAACCAGACTCAGACCTCCAGTGCTCTTTATTTCAATTACTTTTACCTGTTTTATGACATCTATTTGGGTTTAACTTTTGGTTCCTCCACCAAAAAGTCTGAAATTCCAGGTCAGAGTTCTCCAAGGAGCTTATATGTGTTTGCACAAACATGTGGAAATCCTTAGGAACTACCAATTATCAACCACTCAGAACTCAGTGCCTTGGTATTTTTTGCTGTTGTGGAGGCTTGTGTTTACCTTTTATTTTAAGCACTTTCCAGCCCATCCTCTTGAAGCACCTGGCCTTACCAGGGGCCTTGCTCATTTGTTCTTGCTGCCTCCTCCATTCAGAAGACCCATCAATCAGTGTCTGAAACAAGGACCTTCTGTGTAGAATCAAAAGCCACCACATCACAGCTGAAGGCAACAGAATGCAGTGGGCATTGTTGTTTGTACACAGGCCTTCGTCTCTTTCAGAAGTGTCTCTGTTTGAAATGAATGAGGCAGACAAGAGTGTGGCTTCAAAAGCAACTCTCCCCCTCTGGGCTTTGCTTATTGAAAGTCCTGTGAGCACTGTTACTAGAAAGTAAAGAGAATAAAAGGCAAACCTGAGGCAGGCTACAGGTTCCCAGGCAAGGCAGTCACATCCAGCCTCAGCCAGGCAGTACCGCCAGTCATTGGCCTTCACTTTGTCTATTTGAGTTTGCAAGGTTAACATGAAAGAGGCTGTTTATTTTCTCCCAACGATTATGCTTAAAAATTACATGAACTTCCCTCACCGAGACCCTTGCCCAGATGTACAACAGGCTTCTCTCTCTGCCGGTACCTCTTAAGGGTGTCATTGCTGATGGAACTAGAGCTACCTTCACTACTGTTGCCATGGTTACACTTTCTGTACCAGAAAATTGGCTGATCCTTGGCCCAGCTCTCCCACCTGGCTATCATCTCCTCTGCAGCAGGAGGCCTCCTTATTCCCTGATCTATTTTGTGTTTGGCTGGAAGATTGGCGAGCACATAGTTTTCCATGGTACTCATGACCCTTCTGTAAACTCTTAATGACCCTAATGTTGATTAGGACCCAAAGTCTTGGGCCAGTGGAAAAGTTAAAACAAAGTTCAAGACTCATATAGATGATGATCCCAATAATCATCTACATGGCTTGAGAATCATCACCTCCATCTTTTGTCTGCAGAGGGTTTGCAATGAGAGCTAGAGAGTTCAGAGCCAAATATCTGGCCCATCACTGGGAAGTATAAAAGACTGTACAACATATATTTGAAGTGTAATTTCATTTATCAATTCACTATATTTTTCCCATCCTTTTTTCCTACTTAATTTTCCTCTTAATGTCTTGCATTGTTTTTATCTTTTAAAAGTGCTTTAAATTCTTTTGAAGCAAAACTAAATATAAGGAAAACATAGGCATAATCATCAAAAATCCATTGGATTCTTGCTATTATGAGGGGAGGGGGAAAAGTACAAAGGTTTTTCTGTCCAAAAAGAGACAATTCACTTAATGCAAAGTACCTGGAACATATTCTGTGTAAAATCAAATCGAATAATTTTATATATATTTTCTTTTGAAAAAAATACACGATTAGATTCAAGAAAAATTGAATTTCTGGTACAAAGGAGGAATAAGGACATGGCCTTCCTAATCCAAGAAGCTCCATGAATAACTAGGGGCCTGCTTTCTTTCACACAAGAAAGCTGGGTAGTACTTTCAAAAACCTGAGATGGATGGGGCACAGTGGCTCATGCCTGTAATCTCAGTACTTTGGGAGGCTGAGGCGGGCATATCACTTGAGATCAGGAGTTCGAGACCAGCCTGGCAAACATGGTGAAACCCCATCTCTACCAAAAATACAGAAATTAGCCAGGCATCATGGTGCATGCCTGTAGTCCCAGCTACCTGGGAGCCTGAGGCAGGAGAACTGCTTGAACCTGGGAGGTGGAGGTTGCAGTGAGCCAAGATCGCACCACTGCACACTAGCCTGGGAGACAGAGCAAGACTCTGTCTCAAAAAACAAAAACGAAAACACAACCTGAGATGGACCATGTGAGCAGGTGATACCATCAGGGAGTGCTCAGTGTGTTCTAAAAATCGCAGTGTCTGGCACACAGCAAAAGCTTCACAAATATACACCAAATAAACAAGGAAAATAAGTAAAAAACATTATGCCTGCATGCTAAATAAATTCACAGATAATCTTCAAATTAACCTGGGTAGAAATGATTTAGCAATACTGAGAAAAGTGGATGCTATCAAGGGTGTTAGTTATTTTAATCCTCTTGACAACACTTTTAGATATTTTTATCTCCAGTTGTTTTTCAGATGAGATTGAGGAAGATTAAGTAATTTGTGCAAGACCACATAACGAGCAAGTGAAAGACCCAGGACTTGAGCCCAAGGCTTTCTAATTGTAAAAGTAGAATCTATCCCCTCAGTCTACTCCACTGTTGCCCAAGCTAATGTTAAGAACACAAATCCGGCTGGGCACGATGGCTCATGCCTGTAATCTCAGCACTTTGGGAGGCCGAGGTGGGTGGATCACTTGAGATGAGGAGTTTGAGGCCAGCCTGGCCAACATGGTAGAACACCGTCTCTACTAAAAATACAAAAATTAGCCGGGTGTGGTGGTGTGTGTCTGTAGTCCCAGCTAAGCAGGAGGCTGAGGCAGGAAAATCACTTGAACCTAGGAGGTGGAGGTTGCAGTAAGCCAAGATCGCGCCACTGCACTCCAGCCTGGATGACAGAGTGAGACTCTGTCTCAAAAAAACAAACAAACAAACAGAAAAAGAGACCACAAATCTGAGGCCCCATCCCAGACCCACTGAAGCAGAATCTCTAGGGAGGAACTTAGAAACATTTGTGTAACAAGACACCAGATGATGATTATTATCAGAGAAGTTTAAAAAAAAAAAAAAAAAAAAGACACCTCTATTGCATCAGATGGGAAATGGACCTACAGCATCCTCTGAGGGATCAAATAAAAGCCATCAGATTTGAAGTTCATACAAGTAAAAATAAATCAGGTCAGTCTGGAGCATATCAGATTATGATATTATAGACTATTCTTCAGTTTGGTAATATAGAATTGTCTGATTTAAGGTTTTCTGGATCTTAAAATACCAAGAACATTTGAAAAGTTAAAAATGGGTTCCAATTTAAACCTCAGACTTTTTTTTAGCTTTCCTCACTGCCTCTGATCCTGAGGAGCAGAAGTGAATGTGAACGCACTTTGAATTCCTAGCAGCTTTCACTGATGCAGAGGTTCCAGCTGTACAGGGGCTGGAGGACTGCTGAGGAGAACAACAAGCTGAGAATCAGTCCTCATCTCTGGTTGCCCCCCACCCCACCCTCATTGCCTTTCATTGGATGAGCAAGTCACACAATCCAGGAAGTGGAAAATCTATCATCGCTTGGTTGGTTTTTCTTAGTTTCAGTTTTTCCACGCCTGATGAGAATTGCCAAGGCACAGCAAAGCCTGCAGCTTCCATACCCGTCATGAGAGCAAATAACTTATTTGTAAACCTAAGCACTTAATTAACTAAATGGAAAGCAAGGCAGTGAGTGATTCCTGACATGGCCGAATTTAAGTCAAGCTGTGAAGCTCCAGGTGCAGCCAGAAATGGAGATGGACAACTTGAACTGAACCCTGAGAGCTTCTAAAAAGGCTTTGGACCACTGCTTCTCAGCAGTTTTTCTTGTAAGTTATTCCCATTATCTCAAAGAAAAATTTAAAATATGGTTGGAGAAAAGTATAGAACTGATTATCCCCATTTTGAGCATAGATCATCGTTTAACCAACTTGCTTTCTAACTGCCAAGAAACTTGCTTTGGATGGTATTTCCAGACATAATGTCTATCATAGCAAATATTGACAATTGCATTTTACAAATAATCAGTTTAATATGCTTTAATATGCTTCTATTTCTGATTGCTCTTGATCTCATTTAATCTTCGAAGCAACTCTATCACGTTGGTGTGCTTATTAACATTATTTTACAGATAAAGACGCCTGTAAGTAGCTTCCTCACAGGGTATTTAAGGAACTTGTAGAAAGTCCACAGCTAGTAGCTGGGAGCCCATCTCATATCAATACACTAGCTTCTCCCCAAAGAACTTTATATATTTAGGCCATTGATTTCTTTTTTTTTTTTTTTGAGACGGAGTCTCACTCTGTCACCCAGGCTGGAGTGCAGTGGCAACATCTCGGCTCACTGCCACAGCTCCACCTCCCGGGTTCACGCCATTCTCCTGCCTCAGCCTCCCGAGTAGCTGGGACTACAGGCACCCGCCACCAGGCCCGGCTAATTTTTTGTATTTTTAGTAGAGACGGGGTTTTATCGTGTTAGCCAGGATGGTCTTGATCTCCTGACATTGTGATCCGCCCACCTCGGCCTCCCAAAGTGCTGGGATTACAGGCGTGAGCCACCGCGCCCGGCCTTAGGCCATTGATTTCTAAAAAGACAAATTCTCATATTGGATTAAAACATAAGACCCAACAATACGTATGTTGCTTAAAAATAGGAATCTGTTACCCAAAAAATGCAGAAATGCTAAAATAAAAAGGTTTAATGAGGAAACTCATACGACAAAAAGAAAATAGTTGGTAAAGTTGATAGCATATAAAAGAGATTTTGAAGCCAAAAACACAGGGAGAGGATACAAAGAAGCTCCTGATTATGATAAAAAATAGAAAATCAACTGTGAAGACAGAGGTTACTAAAGTCAGAAATGCAAAGAGAAATAGAATAAAAAACAAGCAATTGTAAAGGGAGAGTTTAATTCATTTCAAGGCTAAGAAAAAAATAGACAAGAGTAAAAAATAAAGACAAATTTAAATAGACAAAAATTTAGAAGACATTGAAGACGTGACAAAAATAGACAATAGAGGTTATGTTATACAATTGATAAGTTAGAACCAATAGACATACACTGAACTCAATACCAACATAGATTACACATTTTTTTCCATATGGGGGCATTGGTACATATATACTAACTCTCAAATAAGGCCCTAAAAATTGAATCAAGAGGAAAAAATATACATATTTTCTCACCACATGCAATAAAGCTAAATGTGAATAAGTAAAAGCAATGAAAGGAGCCTTGGGCAAAAGAATAATCTAACCAAGAGCCTTTGCAGCAAACAGTTCGGGGTTTAGATTATAAACTACATTCCTTACTGCAGTGTGACCTGGGCAGTTTACTGAACCTCTCTGAACCTTGGATTCCTCATCTAAAAATGAGGCTCTACCTTGCAAAGTTGTTATGAAGATTACCTATAAGTATGTCAAATAAACTAAGACTTAAAAGAGAGTTAAAACCGTAAGCCGTACAATATAACTCCATTTTTAATGTACTCATATTTAACTAGAAAAAGTATCTAGAGTTTTTGTCGATTGAAAGCAAAAGTCTATAAAATATTCATCTAAATACTAACAGTGGTTATCTCTGTGCACTGATATTTCTGCCAATTTTTGTTATATTGCTTTATCTTTTCTACTATGAATATATAGTATGTGAATAATAAAAAATAGTAAATTTGAAAATAAACATGAACTTCTGAAAAACAGAGTACAAGAAGAAAATAAATATTTACTCTTGGGTGGCCTACAGATGGTGGTTGCGGTAGGCATACAGCCATCTCAGTTTCTTGTCTGTCATTGTAAATTCTAAAATACCCTCAATTTCTGTCTTTCTACATATATACACGTATACGCACACACATATATAAAACACACATATATTTTATATTTATATATGTTTTATATATATGTTTTTAATATATGTTTTATATATATTAAAAAACACAATATTGGGATAACTGACAATTTGAATGTGGATGGTGGGATTAATCATATGGTATCATGAAATTTCCTGATTTTACTGTTAAATTTCTTGAATTTTATAAAAGAAAATATTTGTGTCCAGAAATATATATTGAAGTATTTAGATATATATGTATGTATGCAGCTTACTCTCAAATTGTTCAGAAAAACATTCACATATCCATAAAGACAGAGTGAATGATAACTAGGGAAAAATACAAACCAACAGTGCACCTAGGTAAAGGGTGTATAGGAGTTCATACTAGTCTTTTAACATTTCTGTAAGTTTAAAATTATATTAAAATATTAATAAAAAATTACAGCAGCAACAAATTAATGGGTATCAATGTCTAACAACCACAAAAACTTTCCTAAACTACAAGTTCAAGTAGAACAGGGGTCTCCAACCCCCAGTACCAGTGTGTGGCCTGTTAGGAACCTGGCCACACAGCAGGAGGTGAGCAGCAGAGCTTTATCTGTATTTACAGTCGCTACGCATCAGTCACATTCACACTAAACTCCGCCTCCTGTCAGATCAGCAGTGGCATTAGATTCTCATAGGACCACAAACCCTATTGTGAACTGTGCCTGTGAGGAATCTAGATTGCATGGTCCTTATGAGAATCTAATGCCTGATGATCTGTCACTGTCTCCCATCACCCCCAAACAGGACCATCTAGTTTCAGGCAAACAATCTCAGGCCTCCCACTTATTCTACATTACGGTGAGTAGATTATAGTTATATCATTATTTCATTATATATTAACAATGTAATAATAATGGAAATAAAGTACACAATAAATGCAATATGCTCAAATCATTCTGAAACCATCACGCATCCACCCCCATTCATGGAAAAACTGTCTCCCACAAAACTGGTCCCTGGTGCCAAAAATGTTAGGGACCAGTGAAGTAGATAATTAAGAACATGATAACAACTTTTGAGATGTTTATAAAATTGAAAACACCCCATATCAAAAGGGAGGGGGCTTTGTATAAATCAGAGCCCAGAAGTTAAGGCGTAAATCTATGTGCTTTTATTTTAGAAATATGAAATAAACATTTGACTTAAAATCTTATGAAGACAGTCAATATAAAGGAAAATAGATAATAATAAAGAGTAAGGACAGAAATAAACTAGAAAAGAGGAAATCAGTGGAAATAATACATAAATTTAGATGCTCATTCTGTGAGAAGATTATAAGATAGATCAATCCCTTGGAAATACAATAAATAAAAGAAAAGGTATAAATCAACAAAATTAAAAACAAGGCTAGTGATTTAACAACCGATACAAAAGATTTTAAAATATAAATGATTGCAATGCAAAATTTATGATAATCAACTTGAAATGCTTAGCCAAATGGACAACACAAAATATTAACTGGCAAGAGAAAATGTAGATAACATGAAAATAATGATGAAGGCAAAGGAAACTGAAAAGCTGTTATTTAAAAAAATCTCATCTACCACAAGAAATATTATGACCTCAACAAATTTACTGAACAATATTACTACATACTCAAGAAACAGATTTTTCTGTATTATGTAATCAGTTCCAAATCACAGAAAAACAAGATCTGATACCCAATTCATTCTAAGAGATGAGTATTATCCCCATCCACAAACCTGTGAGAAATACCACACAGGCGCACACACACATAAACACACGGTCTTAGGATGGCAAATGTGCACAAGTGCCAATTCCTATAAAACTGGCTCGAAATGATTAGAACCAGGCTCAAAGATATTAGCAGATTTTCCCAAAACAGCTGCTGAATAAGTGAATATATGAATACACAGATGAAGAAAATAATGCAGGCAATTAGCAACATCTACTAAAGACCTAAAAGGCAGGAATGGCTTGTGCATACTGTCTATTTGCTAAATTTTATTGATCAATAAATTTTATCTATCCATGGGTTACTCAAGGAGCATAGGCAGAAAAATCATTTTTAACTGAGCTTATAAAATACAGCTATAAATTAAAACAATAGCATGTAGCCACTAATTAAGGTAAATTCTACTGATGCCAGAAGATTATAACAAATCACAGAATATCTTTTGTAAAGGAATTACTATTTGGGCTGGACCCAGTGGCTCATGCCTGTAATCCCAGCACTTTGGGAGGCCAAGGCTGGTGGATCACAAGGTCAGGAGTTCAAGACCAGCCTGACCAACATGGTGAAACCCCGTCTCTACTAAAAAATACAAAAAAAAAAAAAAAAAAAAAAAATGGCTGGGTGTGGTGGTGCATGCCTGTAATCCCAGCTGCTCACGAGGCTGAGGCAGGAGAATCACATGAACCCGGGAGGTGGAGGTTGCAGTGAGCAGAGATCACGCCATTGCACTCCAGCATGGGCAACAGAGCAAGACTCCATCTCAAAAAAAAAAAAAAAAAAAAAAGGAAAATTGAAGAAATGAAGACATTAAGGATATTCCTGAAGGGAAAGACTGTGTAAATCTCATTAAACAAAAATGTAAACTCTGTGAAACAAGACATTACAGGCGATATGAAAGATAAAATGCAAACTGGGAGGATATCTGCAATGAACTAATAGAAATAAGGACAAAAGATATGAATAAGCTATTCTCAGCAACAGAAATTTGAATGAACAATCACACACGTAAGAAAATGTTCAACCTCACCAGTAATCAGAAAATTTAAAATTAAAACAATGAGATACCATTTTACATCCATCAAACTGGTGAAAATTAAATAATCTGACACTCCTCAAGTGTTGGTGATGAGGTGGAAAAACTGAAGGAACACTCACATTTTGCCAACGATACTTTCACGGAAGTAATTTATTTGAAGAATAAATTGTCAACATCTTACTAACTCTGATGGGACATATATCTTACAATCCAGCAATTTCACTTCTAGGAATAAACTCTAGAAGCTTTCACTTGTGGATGATGCAATGTCTACTGCAATATTGTAATAGGAAAATGAAAAAACTAAATAACACAAGTATCCATCAACCCAATGAACAAATTCTGATACTTTCTTAAAATGGGACCATTTGTAGGTGTTTTATCAACAGAGATAAATCTCGAAAATACACTGCTGAGTGACAAAACAAGTTGCAGATAGATGTGTAGAGTATAAAAGTTTGAAAACATACAAAATAATGGTACAATCATCCCTCTATATCCATGGGATTCCACATCCATAGATTCAATCAACCGAGGATGCAAAATATTTGGGGGGAAAATTATACAAAATTCCAAAAGGCAAAACTTGAATTTGCCACATCCTGAGTACCATGTTAAAACCAGGCAAATGAAGGGATGTATAGGCATTGTATTAAGTATTATAAGTAATCTAGAGGTGATTTACAGCATATGACAGAATGTGCATAGGTTATATGCAAACACTACACCATTTTGTATCAGGGACTTGAGCATCAGTGGGTGGTCCTGGAACCAATCCCACACAGATACTGAGGAACTACTGTATATTTTTCGTAGCTACATACATATGCTGCAAACATATACACACAGAGATGAGAATGAAAGACACCAAACTCAGGGTGGCGTTGCCTCTGAGACAGGAAAAATAAGATCAGGCTTGAGAAGAGATACACAGTTATACAGGTACAGCACTCTATTTTTTAGCAAAAATAGGAAGCAAGTACAGCAAAATATTAGGATTTGATGGAGCTGGGAAGTAGGTGGTATTCAAAACTATGCATTATACGCATGCGTGTGTTTGAAATCATTATAATTTCTTAAGTGAGCACCTCAGTTTTTACATATAAAAACATATAAAGTATGTAAAATATATAAATATCATGAACAGATAATTCATAAAGAAAGAAAAAAGGCAATAAAAATGGAAGTGGTGGTAAATTCAACTTCAACCCATTGGTTTTAAAGAAAAATTTAAAAATGCACATACCATTTTGGCTTATCAATTTAGCATAAAATTACAAAAATGTTAATAGCTAATGTTAACAAGGGTGGAGGATAGGACAGAGGAGGAGTACACTCACTGCTAATGAGTACTTAAAATGACAGAAATTTACTTAACGTAGCAGTGTATATGTAAAGGCAAAATATATAGGTAGATATAGATACCTAGATATAAAACCTTTGCCTTAGCAATTCTACTTTAAGAAATTTATACAAAGGAAAACGTGGTACATATATGATCTGTAGTATTATTTTTAAGGAATACTACGCAGCCATAAAAAAGAACAAAATCACATCCTTTGCAGCAACATGGCTACAGCTGAAGGTCATTATCCTAAGCAAATTAACACAAAAGCAGATAAACACTGCACGTTCTCACTTATAAGTGGGAGCTAAACATTGAGTACAAGTGGACATAAAGATGGAAATAATAGACAGTGGCATTCTAAAAGGGGTGAGAAGGAGAGGGGGACAAAGGTTAAAAAAACCTATCGGGTACAATATTCACTACTTGGGCAATGGAACCATTAGAAGCTCAAACCTCGGCATCACACAATATACCCATGTGACAAACCTGCACATGTTCCCTCAGAATCTAAAATTTTTTTAAGCTACTAAAAAAATAATTTATACAAAGAAAATCATACATGTGGACCAAGATTTATGCATATGTTTATAATAGCATTGTTCATAATAGTGTTATCTTAAATACAGTTAATGAAAAAACAATAGGGAATTAAGCCAATTATGGTACATCTATAGAGTGTAACTGTACTCTGTAGCTATTTCAAATAATGTTTTAAAAGAATATTTAATGCCCCTGAAATATGCCATTAATGTGTTGTTAATACACAGGTATTTAAACACTTTGTACAGTGTGTTTACAGTTATTTTTTTTAAATAATTGTATACATAGAAAAAATGACTTGGGGATATCCACATCAAAATGTCAACAGTGCTTATCTCTAAATGTGAAATCACAGACCTATGTATGTTTTTCTTTTTGTTCTTCTTTATTTTCCTATTTTACAATAATAAACATTTATTGATTTTATAATAGAAAAGTTATTAAAAATAAAACGTGCAACAAAATAAGCTTTGGTTGATTAAAGATTTAAATATAAAATCAAATTATGATAGAACTTGCAGACAACTGGAAAGAGAGTTTATCAGCTCTCTGGGGTAATTTTAACTTTCTCAGCTTTGAAGCAATTGAAATGATTGCACTATAAAAATTAGCATTACTGAAGATTTTTTAAGAGGGAAAATATTTCTATCAAACATTACAAAGAATTAAGATCCATCATAAATAACTAATTCAAATTTGTAAAATAAATGTCAAGATTCCAAAAGATAAATGGGTCAAAGACTGGACAATTCCCATAAGGGGCATACAATTAGTAGATAAACATAGTGGGGAAATGTTAATTCTTGCCAGAAATCAAAGACATGTAAATGGAAGCAGTCTGGAGATGCCAGTTTACATATTCTAATGGAACAACAAGAAAAAATGTCAAATGCTAATATCCATTGATGGTGGAGCTACCCAGAAATTTATCCATACCTTCATTTATAACCATATTGTTCATGTCCTTTTACCAGAAATGTTACCACTAAGAATTGATTCTTTTTTTTCTTTTCTTTTTTTTTTTTGAGACAGAGTTTCACGTTCTTGTTGCCCAAGCTGGAGTGCAATGGCGTGATCTCTGCCTCACCACAACCTCCACCTCCTGGGTTCAAGTGATTCTCCTGCCTCAGCCTCCCAAGTAGCTGGGGTTACAGGCATGCGATACCACACCTAGCTAATTTTTTTGTATTTTTAGTAGAGACAGGGTTTCCCCATGTTGGTCAGGCTAGTGTTGAACTCCCAACCTCAGGTGATCCGCCCGCCTCGGCCTCCCAAAGTGCTGGGATTACAGGCATGAGCCACCTCACCCAGCCAAGAATCGATTCTTAAGAAGTAATTTGGCTAAAGGAGAAAGGTCCCTCTTCATCTCCTTTACTTCTAAATGTTGGAACACCCAGGGCTCAGTCCCTTGACACCTTCTCTTTTCCACCCAGAGGCAGTGTCTGGGTGATCTCACCTATTTATGCAGGTGAGAGGAGCCACAGGCTCTCTCAGCATGGGCTCCAGGGAGAGAAGAGGCCAGAGCAGAGGTTTTCCTGGGAGTGGGGTAGGGGTAGCTTGAGGGCCATTCAAGGACTCTGACCTCAGTCAGAGAGGGCAATGAAGGAAAGAGAGACCAGCAAAGACATCCAGAGAGAAGCCCAAGGTGAACTTGGTCATCATATTAACCCCTATGCAATAACAAAACATCCAGGCTTGATCTACCAGAGCTTATCAGTGAGGTCCCCAGGAATTGCCTAATTGCAGTAGCCCTCAGCTCACTTGCAGGCCACCAGATCTCAGCTGGCCCTGACCACCATCTCCAAAGCCTGAAGGAATTATTGTGAGACAGCCCACTGAAGGTGGGTACCTCCAAGAGCCCTGCCCTGCCCTGCCAGAAGCCAGAGCTGTCCATCTGTTGGTGGTCACCCTGGGAATCTGGGACAAGAAGGTGCACTCTGGTCTGATGCCAGAAAGCAGAACCTCTTGGGCTCCCAAATCTCAGGATCTTTTTGCTCCACCAATGTACTCATCCACTCATCCCAGCCTGGGGCCTCTGCTTTACATGGGTCTTTTCATTGCTTAAGGATGTTTGGGCATCTACCATCTCTTCTTCTTCTTCTTTTTTATTTTTTTTTTGAGACAGAGTCTCTCTCTGTTGCCGGGGCTGGAGTGCAGTGGCCCAATCTCAGCTCACTGCAACCTCCACCTCCCTGGTTCAAGAGATTCTCCTGCCTCAGCCTCCCAAGTAGCTGGGATTACAGGCCCACACCACCACACCCAGCTTATTTTTGTTTTTTTAGTAGAGATAGGGTTTCACCATGTTGGCCAGGCTGGTCTTGAACTCCTGACCTCAAGTAATCCGCCCTCATCGGCCTCCCAGAGTGCTGGGATTACAGGCATGAGCCACTGCGCCCGGCCTCATCTCTTCTGCTTATGACCTTGTGAGGCAGGCATCCCAGGTTTCATTATCCCCGTTGTGTAAAGATTACGACTTACCTAAAGCACTGCTGGACTCAAACCCAGATCTTCTGCCCTCGATTCCATGTCCATCTCTGTGACCCCAGGTTTGGCCAAGTGTGGATCTTGCTGCATATGAACAGCCTGCCATTTCCTTCCTTGTGTACACACTGCCTGTGGAAAATGGACAAGGGAAGTTACATTTCTATCAAGAGCTGAAACAAGCAATTTTGCTTTAGAGATGATATGTAACAGAAAGAAATAGTCCTGGAAGCAGGGAGCCCTGTATGCATCTGCCTGTGTTCTGCTCCTGGCTGACCCCTGAGATCGAATCATGCTGTTTGCTAATGTGTGGAAAGTATGTTTTGCTCTCTAGGAGTCCTCCCCAGAGCCTGACAGATTCGGTGATAGGAATAGAACTGTGGAGTGAAGATGGCTCTCTCCAGGTGTCACTCCAGTTGCCATACATGTAAAGAAAGCCTAGACACTGTGATAGCTTTGTCCTCCTATCCCTGAACTTTGCCCAGAGGCGAAGCTTCTTCCCCAATCCTTGCTCAAATGCCTTCTTTTTCCTCGAAGAATCCAGGCTGTTGAGCAAAGAGGGAGATCCTGGGAGCTTCACCCAAATCATCTGGAAGTTTCTTGGGGTGCCAGATTTGAAATAGGAGCTGATAGGGTCAATCCATCAGGCACCCTGACCCTAGACATACAGGAATTCCCCTCTGAGGTTGAAGAATTCCCCCTCCATCAGACCCAAAAGTGAAAAACAAACTTTGCAAAGGCACGTTTATACCAACTCTTCTGGACGGGGCTGAGTAGAGTTTTCTCTGGTACCGGGCACATGCTGCTCACAGACTCTCTGGCCCGTGGACATGGCCCCTGGGGTCTGAGAATGCAGATGGGGGAGAGGCTCACCGAGGAGCTCTGGATGACCTGGCTCCAGTGTGTCACCTCCTGGCCTTGGCCTCCTAACCCCAGCTGGGCTGAGAAGACCCCAAAGAGGGTCTTTCCCACTCTCCCAACCTGTTTTCTCTGGTGATTAATATATAACCTGAGAAAATGAATCACTTGTTTAAATTCAGAGTTAGCTGGGCTAAGACAGGTGACAAGAATTACTCAAAAACAAGAAAGCAATATTGGGGGTAAAGATGCTTTCTATTTTTCTTTTCTTTAGTTATTTTTTTGTTTTTTGTTTGTTTGTTTAAGATAGAGACAGGATCTTGTTCTATTGCCCAAGCTGGAGTGCAGTGGCATGATCACAGCTTACCGCAGTCTTGACCTTCTGGGCTCAAGCCATCCTCCCACCTCAGCCTCCCAAGTAACTGGGACTACAGCTGTGCACTGCCACACTGGCTAATTTTTTAAAAAATTTTTTATAGAAACAGGGTCTCACTATGCTGCCCAGGCAGGTCTCAAACTCCTGGGCTCAGCCATGAGCCACCACACCCAGCTTGCTTTCTTTTTTAAATAGAAAGGAACACATAACAACTTGATTTTAAAATCAAGAACAGGAAGCATAGACTCTATACTTTCTTTAAAACATTGTAAATAAGTCTCCTATTCTTTACTACTTCAGTTAAATGGGCAGGAAACAAGAAAGGGAAGGATCAGGTGAGGGATGGGAGAAATAAAAACCATGCCGAAAAACTGCAGTAATACATAAAAACACTAATGGCTGATACGTATTTATTGGGCACTATGGTATGCACAGTTCATGGTTTTTCTCATTTTATCTCCCCCCAAGCCCTGTGAGGCAAATAATTTTACTACTCCTATTTTAAAATGAGGAAACTGAGGTGCCAGCTATTAAATAATCTGCCTGCTTAATGGGACTAAAAACCGAGAAACCAAGCTTCGAAATCCGGTTCTCAGCGATCAGAGTCTTCACTCAGGAGGCAAAAATGCAGCAAGAGACAGCTTTTTCCTCCAGAAAGAACCTTATCCTGTTATCATCAGAATTCTGTAGCTAAATACTTCCTTTACCATTTTGTAACAATACTAAATATAGGGAACATTTTGTATTTCCATGGAAAAGGATGTATTGTCTACATACGGCACAGCCTCCCTGGGTTATTTGATTCTAGCTTTCATTGCCCTTGAAGCATTTTGCAACTCTGTAAATTGCAGATAACTAATAGCAATGCAAAATGCAAATTCTGTCCTATACTGTAGAAGTTACACTGACTTCACTGCCACACTGCAGAAAAAGCTACTTCTGTATCCATTTGCCATTTGTACCTTCATTGCAACTTTTTTTTTCTTTTTTTTTTTTTGAGACGGAGTCTCGCTCTGTCGCCCAGGCTGGGGTGCAGTGGCGCGATCTAGGCTCACTGCAAGCTCCGCCTCCCGGCTTCCCGCCATTCCCTGCTTCAGCCTCCCAAGTAGCTGGGACTACAGGCGCCCACCACCACGCCCGGCTAATTTTTTGTATTTTTAGTAGAGATGGGGTTTCGCCGTGTTAGCCAGGATGGTCTCGATCTCCTGACCTCGTGATCCGCCCGCCTCGGCCTCCCAGAGTGCTGGTATTACAGGCATGAGCCACCACACCTGGCCAACATTTCTTTACTCATATAAACTTGTGTGGTTTTTTGGCTTCTCCTTTGAACTGGTTATAACACCCTTACCACTTGCCTCATTAATTAGTTAAGTAAAATATTTACCATGTACTCGTTTTTATATTTGAGAGTCATGATTTTACCTTCGTTTTTTAAAAAATTATCTCTTAATGGAATTATGAAAGCATGTCAAAAGTATCTTGCTTGTTACTTTCTGAAGGACCCCAGGCATGATCTAACTCAAATGAATGACTTCAGGCGTAATTGGATAACTGATGATGTTCTCAGTTGGGTCCTGAGAAGCACAGCCTTGTCCTGACAACTTCCTTTCAAACACTCTGCTCTATCCGGGACAAAGCATCATGGCCAAAGGCCCCGGTCCCCTCTTCCTGGCTGGTCTTCTTTACTGTTGATTGAGGAAAAGTAATTGGCATATAAATTATATGATTATGTCCCATTATAATGTTTCCATTATTTCTAACTTCTGCTATGTCTCGTAGTTTATCTCAGAGCTATCGCCATTAAATAGCTGAGAAAAGGCTTGAGAACATTTGTTTTAAAAATAATAATAAACATGTGATGTGATGGTTAATATTGAATGTCAAATTGATTGGATCGAAGGATGCAAAATACTTTTCCTGGGTGTGTCTGTGAGGGTATTGCCAAAGGAAATATTAGTAAAATTTGAGTCAATGGACTGGGAGAGGCAGACCCACCCTCAATCTGGGTGGGCACCATCTAATCAGCTGCCAGTTTGGCTAGAATAAAGCAGGAAGAAGATGGGAAGGACTTGACTTGCTGAGTCTTCCAGACTTCACCATTCTCCCATGCTGGATGCTTCCTGCCCTCAAACATCAAACTCCAAGTTCTTCAGCTTTTGGACTCTTGGACTTACACCAGTCGCTTGCCAGGAGCTCTTGGCCTTTGTCCACAGATTGAAGGCTGCAATGTCGGCTTCCCTACTTTTGAGGTTTGGGAACTCGAGCTGACCCACCACTGGCTTCCTTGCTCCTCAACTTGCAGACGACCAATCATGGGACTTTACCTTGTGATCGTGTGAGTCAATACTCCTTAATAAATTCCCTTTCATATATAAATGAAATGCACGATATATGTCTTTATACGCAGAGCAAGAGCATGACACAATTCCATCTTTTTAAGCAACTGATACACAAAGATCTCACAGCCAATCCCTACTATACTTGGCAAAACTACTTTTTGTTGTATGGACTCTGAAGTCAAACATCATTCAAGTCTCATTCCACCACTTACTACAGTATGTATTTGGGCAATTCAGTAACCTCCCTGAGCCTCAGTTTCCCCTGGGGGAAATCATGCTACATCATAGGATTCTTCCTAAAGTGTGAATGAGATCACATGGAGATTCTGGCACTGTGCAGGCACTTTGGACGCTGGCTCCTGAATTGTTAACTCCTGACTTTTAGGCCTGCCTAGGAAAAATGATGAACCATGTCAGCAAGATACCCTGTCTTCAGAAAAATGATGACTCATTGGCAGCTCTTCAGAACTTGAAACACATCATTGGGAATGAAGAGAATAAAGGGGAATTAATTCCAGGTTTCCGGCAGCCATGGATCCTGTGTGCTGAACTCAGCAAGCCTTTGTGAGATGACGACGTGGCATCCTGCTGCAGGGAGGCTTGGGCCGTTGCAATCTGACCAGTGCCCAGCCGTCCCTGATACCCAGGGTGAGGACTGTGCCCCTGAACACCCCATGGTTGGCAGCACTAGGACCAAGAGACACAGCCAGTGTGCTGGTGCCCCCCTCCCCAAACTGTCCTTGCTTGTTGCAAGCAGCTAGTTCAGTTCATGGCTTGCGGGGAGTCTCCCTCAGGAGCCAGCATGGTCACCAGTCACAAAGCCTGGCCAGCACCCCAGCAGCTGGAGGAAGCAGACACAGAGTAGACACTTCACGAATTCTAGTCTACACTCCCCCTCTTCCCCACAAAGGGGAAAACCCTGGGCAAACTTTACGGAGCCAACAATACTCACTATCTACCTGGTGTTCAAAGCCAACTTGAATCTTTATTTCCTTTTGCTTCAAAGCATAATACAAAGAGTGAAAATAGGTTTTCCATCCTACTGGAATTTCTAAGATCATAAAATGCATTGCTGGTTCCACAGTATCTAGTCATAAAAAAGACTGCTCTGGTTCTAGGGTGTTGTTGTTGTGATGATGATTTTCCCAATTGTTCTACAATCTGGCAGCTGAAATCCTGATAAGGAGAGTCCGTGGGCCAACACAGACCAGGAAACATAAAAATAAGAAGAAAGGGGATCTCAACTCTTTGCTCCCTGGCTGCATAACTTGAGACTCTGGGAATCAGAATATTAGATCTTCCAGGGACCTAGCGTCCTTATATCCAATCTATATCAATTAGATATGTGACCTTGCGTAAGGAATATCCGAACCTCAGTTTTCTCATCTGTAAAATGGGGAAAATAATTCCTACCTTATTTGTTAAGAAAATCAAAAGAGGCTTGACTATGCAGAGAGTTGTTATAAGCATTTTCATGTGATAATAATTTAACCTTCATAACCCCATTTGACGGGGGAATAAACAGGCAGAGATAGGTTACAGAATTTGCCCAAGGTCACACAACAAGTTGGAGACAGAGCTGATGCAAAGACACCCCTGGTCACCAGGAGTGATAATCTTGGATGAATAAATACCTATTTGAAATGCTTGAAACACCTAATTCTTCCAAATAGTCTAAAATGTCCTCTGCAATCTTGTTTTCACCCTTCCTTTGTTTATCAGGTCTTTTTTTTTTTCTAACACAGATAAGGAAAAGGTTAAACTCCAGTCCAACCACTTTCCAAATGAGGACGTTCCAGGCTAACTCAAATTAACGAGGTTTACCTACTTGTTTTGCCATATTCCCTCATGGCGCAAGAATGTCCACACAGATCAGTGAGTGACCCAATAAAAACTTGGTCATTCTCCTCATGGCACCCTGGCCCCAAGCAGGAGTATAAGAGGATAGAGTCATTTTCCTATAACATGATCCAAGGAAATTCATTTCATCTTGGAAGTGGACTAGGCTGATGTGCAGAGAAACCTGATTCAGTCCCAGGGAAAGCCAGATACATAGGGATTAAGGATTTGTGGTTGTTAAGAGAACAGAACTTGGCCTCAGATCCCCTGACTTCTCCTCTCTCTGTCTTTTACTGGTGAGATACAGTTTGGTACCAGTTCCCAACCTCTTAAATCTCAACTGCAAAATTAGGAAATAACAGTGTCAAATTTTATTGTTTAAAGTATTATTTTATTATAACACCAACAAAAGCTTGCCTTTCTCAGGTAAGATATCCCAGTTCCTGAAGATGAAAAGAAGAAAACCTGATTCTGGGTATAAAATTCTGTTTCTGTCATCAGTGAACTTCAACTTGGTCCCCTGGCCTCTTCCTCTTGGGATTTGCTTGCTTTATCCTTGTAAAATATCTGTTTCTTCTCTCCTAATTAACTTTCTTATCACCATGACACTAAAGAAAAAGGTCATTCTCAGGTCATCAAATGCCACTCTCTTGAAATCTTTATTTATTCAAGAAGCTCTGTAAATTAAGACAGAGCAAGAACTGGGCAATGTTTAAAAACCTAATTATAAAACCATTATTACTTTAGATAGAGGACTGCAGACCAGAGTGCAATGTCACCCAAAATAGAAACGTCTTTAAAGAATTGCAAAGGAAGAGGCCAGGCATGGTGGCTCATGCCTGTGATCCCAGCATTTTGGGAGGCTGAGGCAGGCAGATCACTTGAGCTCAGGAGTTCTAGACCAGCCTGGCCAACATGGTGAAACCCCATCTCTACTAAAAATACAAAAAAAAAAGCAAAAAAAAGCCAAGTGTGGTGGCACACCCTATAATCCCAGCTACTAGGGAGGCTGAGGCATGAGAATCACTTGAACCCAGGAGGCAGATGTTGCAGTGAGCCGGGATCATGCCATTGCACTCCAGCCTGGGCAACACAGCAAGACTCCATCCCCCCAAAAAATAAATAAATAAATAAAAGAATTGCAAAGGATGAAGCCACAGAGCTCTGCTAACATGCACCATGCTGATCACTCCATTGGAGGCTCCAAACTCTAAGAGGCTCAGGCTTGCCTCCTCTTTAGCTAATAGGAAATGAAGAGGCCTCAAGAAACTGCTGGGCTTCCTTGGGCATGGAAATGACCAAAGATGCTATGAATGGATCTATTGACTGCTCAGATGCATGGCTGGAGTCAAGCACATGACAGTCAGGTCTGGCAGCCCTGGGAGCCATTCTGTCTCTCTAAGGCAGAGGCTTTACCCATTTTTTGACAACACATCTTATCCCCAATATCTATTTATTTGTTTATAAATAATATAGCACTAGTATATTCCGTAGTACCACCTGCAAATTATATAGTACTTATATGCTATAAACATTATACGTGCACAAACATGAACTGTCTAAGGAAATACAAAGAAAAATCTGAAAGGTCTATATTATTTTCTTCTTTTGCCCCAGAAGATCTCTCAAGCACCATTCTGAGGCAATGGTTCTCAAACTTTGTGTAACCAAGAATTACTTGGAGATCTTGCTTAAAATGAAGGTTCACTGGGCCTTGACCCTAGTGTTGATTCCATTACTCAGTATTCCTGGGATGGGCCCATAAGTTGTCATTGTCTGAGCTCCCCAGCTGACTCTTATTCTCATGCTCAATTGGATTTTGCAGCCACTGATCCAGACCCTTGTGTTTTCCTGCCCCTTACATTTTTTGCTACAATTATATCACTGTGGTCTTATTGTTATCTACCTCCTGGACACCTTCGTGATCCCCTCAGTGAATTTAAACATTAAAAAAAATTAGCTACCATTAATTATTTCCTGTGGCCTAGGATTGCTGAGGGCTTCACATGCATTGCCTCACTTAATCAGACTAGGGAGGTATTATTAGTCCCATTATACAGGTGAAGAAAACTAAAGCTCAGTCACAATGTCTTATCCAAGTTCACTCAGCTAGTAAGCACAAGTGACAGACTAGGAATTCAAGCCTGTATCTGTCGGATTCCCAAGGCTGGACTCTTTTTTTTTTTTTCTTTTAGAGATAGGGTCTCACTCTGTCACCCAGGCTGGAGTGCAGTGGTGTGATCATAGCTCACTGCAGCCTCCACCTCCTGGGTTCAAGTAATATCCCTGCCTCAGCCTCCCAAGTACCTAGGACTACAGGTGTGTGCCACCATACCAGGCTAATTTTTTGGTTTTTATGTTTATATAGATGGGGTCTTGCTATGTTACCCAAGCTAGTCGCAAACTCCTGGCCTCAAGTGATCCTCCTGCCTCAGCCTCCCAAAGCACTGGGATTACAAGTGTGAGCCACTGCCCACTGCACCCAGCCTCAAAGCATGGACCCTTGACCACTAAGTATATTGCCCACAAAATAGGTCATTATAATTTATTGACCCTCTACTATGAACCAGGCACTTGGCTTGACACCTTACACACAAATCTCTAATATTCATGGCATACCTCTTTTCCTAGAGGTATTAATTTCAGTCCAGAGATTCTGATGTGCAATAAATTTCTCTATTCTCTGTAACCCATCTAAATTCCTGACTCTTAACCCCTATTTTCAGGCCTTCTGGATTTCTTCTCCCCACCCCACCCCCAACCCCAGTAGTTATGCCATAGTTCTGGACAAATACAATAGCCAGGCATGGGGTCAGGGGAGTGTGACCTAGTCCTCTGTCATCAGTCCACATTGGTGGCCACTGAGGGGCCCATCCTCCCATCAACATGACCTGCTGGCCCCAGAGACTCACTGCTCTCCCACCCTACATCAAGCCAGGTATATCTTTTGCCCATGTGCCAACACAGCCATTTCCTCCCTGGGTTCTTCTCTTCCAGCAGGATTTCTGGGAAGCAAGGTACTGTCCCCTCTGCTCTCAGACCCATAGACAAACCTCCCCCTTCCACACCACCTGCAAAGCCCAAGAGAATGTCTTTCTAGTGATGGCAAGGTGAGGGGTTCCTTCTCCCTTCACATCCCCTCAAGAAATGTTAGTCTTTTGCTTTTCTTTGTTGGCTAGAATTCACCTGCCCACACTTTGGGAGGCCAAGGCAGGAGGATCACTTGAGCCCAGGAGTTTATGGCCAGCCTGGGCAACATAGGAAGACCCTGTCTCTAAAATAAATAAAATAAAATAATATAAAATAAAATAAAATTCACTTGCCCTAAGGTCCTATATTTTTGGAAGACAAAAGATTTGTAGCCTTCTCTCTACTTTGCCCCTCTTAAGTGGAAGGGAGACAGTTTGGGAGAAAAATAAGTTGATATCTCAAAATATTATCTCAGATACATGTTGTCCCCATTTTATAGGTGAGGAGATTGAACTCATTAAGGTTATATAATATTATATACAGCAAGTAGATAGGCCTAGGACCCCCCCAGTTCAGGAAATCTCATACTCTGTGAAGTCCTCCCCTCTTCCCTGCCAGTAGCCTCCCTGGTCAGCTTCAAGAAAACACAACAGAGCTTGTGCATTAAAACCACCACTGGAAGGTCAGACCCGGTGATGGGGCAGGCTGGAAGAGCTTAGGTAGAGGTGAAAGCAGACAACACCCTGAAAGGGGACAGGTACCCACTCCTCCTTGTCATTTTCCAGGAGAGCCTTATAGAATTTGAGTTGGCATGAGATGATGTTAGAGGAATTTGGGGTGGTGCAAGTAAAGGAACTACAAGAGCTAGAAACAATCTTGAAGGCTTCTTCCCATGTTGAAAGTGTTCTTACCACGTAGAAAGTGGTAAGAAAGTGTACTCTGCAGAAATTTGGGGGGCGGGTGGGGGCACACGGTTGGTATTTCAGAGGCACTTGGATTCACTGGTGTCTTTTGATGAGTTTGTGTCCCGAATAAAATGGGGAGTGGCGGTGGTTACTGGCAGTACCCAGAGGAGAGGAGATGAGGGTGGGCACAGGGGAGAGGAGCCCGAGATGGGTAGCCAGCTGGTCTTACGTGCCAGCTTTATAGGAAAAAAAGTGGAACTTTCAGATTCTGCTTAACTGTGCAGGAGCCAGCCAAGTATCCAAGGCAGAAGTCCTTGCTCAGAAATTGTATATCTGATGGGCACGGTGACTCACGCCTGTAATCCCAGCACTTTGGGAGGCCGAGGTGGGTGGATCACAAGGTCAGGAGTTAGAGACCAGCCTGACCAACATGGTAAAACCCCGTCTCTACTAAAAATACAAAAATTAGCCAGGCATGGTGGTGGGCACCTGTAGTCCCACCTACTCTGAAGGCTGAAGCACTAGAATCGCTTGAACCTGGGAGGTGGAAGTTGCAGTGAACCGAGATCGCGCCACTGCACTCCAGCCTGGGCGACAGAGCAAGATTCCATCTCAAAAAAAAAAAAGAAAAAGAAAAAGAAATTGTATATCTGACGGGATGGTCCGCAAGCTTCGGGGCTTGGGAGGAAGGTACAGTCATAGGACAGAACACAGCTTTAGACTGGGTCAAGATCGTCCAAGTCTGGTGGTGGCTTCAGAAGGCCCTTTGAATGAGGCTCGTCCAGGCAATAATTACCATGTTATCTAATTTTGCCCGCTTAACGTTTCCACTTGGATGTCTAAGAGCCATCTCAAAGCCCCACGTGGCCAAGGCTGAATCTCTAATCTTCCCCCAACAGACCTGCTTCACTCACAGCTTCCCCTTCTCAGCTGACAGCAACCCCATTAATCTGCTTGTTCAAGCCAAAAAACCTGGAAGTCATCCTTAACTCCTCTCTTTCTCCCACATCTCACAACTCAGCAGTCAGAAAATCCTGTGGGCTCTACCTTCAAAATATATCCACCACCCATCCACCACTCCGCAGTTGCCCTTTACCATGCTGGGCCACGCCACCATCACCTCTCACTGGGCCACTGTAATAGCCTTCTAACAGATCTCCCCACTGCACCCTGGCTCACTTGCAAACCAGAGTGATATTTTAAAACTATAATACAAATCATATCACCCTTCTGCTCAGAGTCGCCCCCCATGTGTCAATGCATAAAAGTCAAAGTCCTTACAATGTCTCCCCATTCATTGGCCTCCTTGCTATTCCTGGAGCACACCAGGCATACTCCTACCTCAGGGCCTTTGCACAGACTGCCCGAAGCTCTCCTCCCCAAGACGTCCACAGGGGCAACTCCTTCACTTCCTTCAAACCTTTGCTGAAAGTTTAACTTCCCAATGCAATTCACTCTAACCACTCTGCTTAAAATCCCTACCTTCTCCCCAACCCCCTGCTTTTCTTGTAGTGGTTCCCATTACATTCTACCAGTCTACCTAATTTTTTTTTTTTTTTTTTTGAGACGGAGTCTCTCTGTGTCGCCCAGGCTGGAGTACAATGGCGCGATCTCAGTTCACTGCAACCTCCGCCTCCCAGGTTCAAGCGATTCTCCTGCCTCAGCTTCCTGAGTAGCTGGGATTACAGGCACTCACCTCCACGCCCAGCTAACTTTTGTATTTTTAGTACAGATGGGGTTTCACCATGTTGGTCAGGCTGGTCTCGAACTCCTGACCTCGTGATCCGCCCTCCTCGCCTCCCAAAGTGCTGTGATTACAGGAGTGAGCCACCGCTCCTGGCCAGAAATCTCTTCTTTATTATGTCTACTGTCCGTTATCCAACTCCAGAAGGTAAGAACCTCCACTGATACATAAGGACTTGTATACCCCACGTGCCTGCAACAGTGCTTGGCACCTAGTAGGCATACCAAAATATATAAATGTTGAACAAATGAAGAAAGTTAAAGTAAAACTAGAGGTCCAAAAATATCACAAAAGCCATCTATGGTCGCCTTTTCCCTACCTGATTTTGCTGAGTGGCCTTACTTTTCAGTCCTCTACACAGCTGGAACATTAATGAACACAGAGGGGGAAGAAGTGTGTTTACTCTAGGATCACCTCTCAATGGGTCACTTGGCAAGGGCATCTTTGCTTCTTCGTCAGCTCCTTTTGACACGGGGGTGAAGGGTTTTCTGCACCACACTTTGACCACAAGCATCACCAATTTCACTGAACCCAACAGAAATTTGGACCCTCTGGGGGCTCTCTGCGTGGCAGGGCCCTTTTCTTTTTCTTTGGGCTTAGGCTGCAATTTGAAACACCACTTTCCTGAGCCAGCATCCCCCTTGCAGCGCTGTCACAGGGAGGCTTAGGCAGCCACGTGGAAGCCACCTACCCCGACCTTTGGCAGAATTTCCAAACACAACACAGTAGCTTTAAGTTGATTAATTTGGAACTCTGACCTTGGCCCCAAAAGGTAAGAATACATAACAAGGTATTTTATTCTCAAAATGTGTCAGGATAAGAAGCACTTCTGTAAATCGACCTTTTTAAAATAGATATAATTAGATTTGCAGTTGGGGGCAGTAAAGAAAGGGTCTGAACAGTGGATAACATGTTGAGAGGTTAATTATTAATGGGCAGTCTTCCCTAACAAAGTATCTAATAGGCATTGTGGTCTCTTTGGCTTCAGAAATTACCAAGAAAGCCTGGACCCCGGGTGAAACGGAGAAATGGACACAAGTCCCCTGTGTTTCTCCATTCTGTTGGTTTTATGCATCTTTATCCAATCAAGTGCCCTTGGACAAAGCCTGAAACCAGGTAAGAGCCTGACTTTTCTCCAGAGATGGGCATGAACTTTTCTTTTTAAAACGTGTGTCACAAAGAATCCAGGGGTTTCTGACTGTATGGGACAGAGCTTGCTTCAGAGCGTGCCAGGTGGTTCTATACACGACCTCACAGGTTCACAGGGACACGTAGCCGTTTGTAAACAGAAATGAAATTTTAGAAAATCATCCTCGGATTAAAAGTCTTCTAAGAGTGCCTGCAGCTAGCAGTGAAGTCTCTTGCGTATCTGATATGGAAACAGTCATGCTAAAAGTTATTCAGCGGCAAATGATATGAAAGCGATTCAGATCTTCCTGAGAGTTAATGTGGCATCTAATTTGCAACCGGGGAGCCAGGCTTGCAATGAAATGCTCTGTCGGGTTGGGGTTGTCTAATTGCCTGCCTCTCTCAGAAGAGAGGGGAATTTATGAGAGTTCTATTTCCAGTCAGGTCTAAAGTAGAGATATCATTGCACAATTTCTAGACTTTGTTTTGCTGCCAAAATTTTAGTCTGAGGCTGAAGAATCCAACAGCCGTCCTGCCTGTTTTGTTTGTAAATTCACAAACTAGATTGATGGCGAAAGACAGATCAAATGCCTTATCAGGAAGGTAGTAGAGTGGAGCCCAGCTTCCAGGCTAAGCAGTGGACCAATAAATGACGGATCAGTTAATTGAACAATTTGGCCAGACTAGACAGGTGTTTGGGAATTTGTTTTGGTACTGGTTACTGGTCAGGAGCTAGTAACGCTAAGGTAGAGTCTGAGATTTTTCTTTTCTCTAAGACTAGCCTTGGAGAGAGCTCCGACAACTTTGAGAATTAGAAATTCCCTAACGGGATGTACCTAAAAATTTCAGAAGCTTTTTTCCCCTTTAAGAAAAAGGCTGTTCCTTTGTATTTGACTATTTTACTTCATAGGCCAGTTAATAACTGAGTAGCAGTATTAATTATTGCCATTCACTAAGTATTTTCTGTGCCAAGCACTATACTAATTATTTTTGACACATCATCTCATTTATAAAGCCACATCCAAAAATGACCCTTACATAATAATTTAGAGCCATACAGGTAAAATTGCTGGTAATCTTTATTCCCTTGGTTCATAGTGATTTTGCTAAAGGGCCTTTCCTGCCCTTTGCCCCGGAATGTTGTATTTGTTTGTTTACTTTTTAATGAAGTTTATAACACACTTCTAGAAAAGGGCCTCTATCATAAATCCTCAATGAGTTCTCACAAACTGAACCAGTACCCCAAAGCCTTCCTTGTGTGCCCCTTGAGCCTTAACATATATGATTTTTTCCTTTGGGGAGATTTTTCATTAATAGAAACACATCAGTTGCTCTTTTGCGTCTGGCTTCTTTCGTTCGACATTATGTTTGTGAAAGTCAACCATGCAGTTTCGTGGAGTTGAGGCTCATTCATTCTCACTGCTGTAGCATTCCACTGCGGGACCATGCCACACTTCCTTTATCCATTCTACTGTGGATTGGCCAGGACTGTTTTTGCAATGGAGCCATGGGAATTGGAAGCTGTCAGTGCTGAGATAGAGGTTGAAGGGAGGGATGGCCTCCCCCAGGCTTCTGGGTATTGTCCAGATTTTCCTTGAGCAATCTCATTGTCCTGATCAGCCTGCTTCTTTCCCCGGGGCCTAGTTTGTGCAAATGCTGAGAGAAGTGGCCACTATTAGCAAGAGGGTTCCTCAGAAAAGAGGATCCAAGTCAGGAGGCCTCTTGTTCTCTTGGAAGCAGAATCTCTTGGCAGAATTCTTTCTGCAATGAGTGAGCCCAATCTGTGTGCATGTGGCTGGTATGATGTCTTTCTGGGGAAACCGCAGGGAAGCCGGTGTCCTGTGGTGGAGCCCTTGTCAGGAAAGTTTCTACACCAATGGTTCTCAACAGGGGCAATTTTGCCCTCCAGGGGACACTTGGCAATGTCTGGAGACATTTTTGGTTTTTGGTTGTTAAGACCAGGGAGAGAGTGCTTCCCTTCCAGCATCTAGTGGGTAGAGGCCAGGGAAGCTGCTTCACATCCTACAATGCACAGGACAGCCCTCACAACAATGAATTGTCTGGCCCAAAACATTATTAGTGCAGAGGCTGAGAAACCATGATCTATGCCAAGCTTCAACTGTCACTCATCGAGCACCAGGAAGTACTCCCTCAAGGACCCTTCCTCTTTAGCCCCTCCTCCCAGCCTACTTCTTTTGAGTATTTATTATTAATGACATCTTACTAATGGAGTCACTAATGTGCTGCACACCCAGCATGTGCCAGGCACTCCACGGACATTTTATCTCATCCTCACCATATGGTTGAGTAAGCTGGCAGTTAAGTGCCTTGCCGGCGGTCGCATAGCTGGTCAGGGCAGAGCAGGGAGAGGTACCTGCAGCCTCAATCTGTCTACTGAGGCCGCAGTGCTCTGTGTCGAGCCCACACCCAGTGATTTGACAGCCAGAGGTTTCTAGAAAAACATTCTGCTCAGTTCCTCTCACAGAGAGGGAGATTTAGACAGTTGTTCCTGCCCTTCAGCACTAAGGGGGACTGGATAGCGTGAGCTGCTTGAAGCCCACATGGCACATCACACTTATGCCCAGCCCCAATGCCTGAGACCCAGGTTCCCCAGTCGGTGTTGCCATGAGAGCCAACGCTGCTCCTAGACCCTGGCAAGTCCCACCTTCCCGGTACTGGGCCCACTATCAACAGGCACCTTCTCCCTCCCCTCCACCCCAGCCTCAGCTTGCAAATCCTAGGAGCAGCTGAAAGCTACCTATTCAGTCAGTCCCTCATGAGTGTCACAAGCATACATGAGCACCTGCCATACGTAACGCAGTGCCTGAGTACAACTCACACACTCTGTTCACACGTTTCCTCTCTTAAAAATCACTGAGGACCCCAAACAGTGTTTATTATGTGAGATATCAATATTTCCTTCATTAGAAATTAAAACTGAGAAATCTTTAAAATCTGCTAACACTTTTTAAAATGATAATAAACCCTTGCATATTAACACATATAATGTAATTTTATGAAAAATAACTTGTATTTTCCAAATAAGTTTTAAATGGAGAAGAGTGACATTGTTTTACAAAGAAATGTTGCAAATCTCTCTAATATCTGGCTTCCCAAGACAGCTGGATTATCTTACCTGTTTCTGTACTCAGTCTGTTGTGATGTATTGCTTTGTTTGAAATGTAGGAAGAAAATCTGGCCTCCCATAGAGGAAAAGGGAGGACATCCTAAGGCGATCTCCCTGGGGCCTTGGCCTGCAAACCACTGCGCTTGTGCAGTGGGCACTGTACAACAGGGGGCTGCACAGCCGTCCCCACCTTGCAGGAATTTACAGTCAAATGGGGTGGGAGTGGGGTGGGGAGGGAATAGGGGGCCATGGGACTGGGTGGAGGGGGGATGTGCCATCAATAAAAGAGCAACCGTCTGTGGAGAATTTAAATACAAATATAACCAAAAGCTGATCTGCCTGTCATTATCACAATTATAAAGAATGTCAGCCGGGCGCCGTGGCTCACGCCTGTAATCCCAGCACTTTGGGAGGCCGAGGTGGGTGGATCACCTGAGGTTAGGAGTTCAAAACCAGCCTGGCCAACATGGTAAAATGCCATCTCTACTAAAAATACAAAACATTAGCCAGGCTTGGTCATGGGCACCTGTAATCCCAGCTACTTGGTACGCTGAGGCAGGAGAATTGCTTGAACCCGGGAGGCAGAGGTTGCAATGAGCCGAGATGGCGCCGTCGCACTCCATCCTGGGCAACAAAGTGAAACTCCATCCCAAAAGAAAGAGTATCAGCGATAAAGGCAAAGCTCTTTCCAGAAAAAAATGGTTTTATGGCCTAAGTTCTAAACAATCTCCGTGGTTACTGTTGGATTTTATGTAGTAAGTATATGTAAGCTTCAAATTCATCACATCTTTATTATTTATCCTTTCATAAATATTGTGTTCTACATTGACATTAATCTGGAGAACTCCCGGTTATGCACTTGGCCCCAACATGCACAGACTCAGGGGCGTGTTCTTGTTGCAAGAGTAAGTGTGCGATGGTTCAGATCCTTTGACGTCCTTATGTCTCCAACCTCAGTGGCACTTATTACCTGCTTCTGCATGTAAACAGTAGATTTGAAACAAAAAATGATAGCGTAGTGGTTGTACAAACAAAAAACCAGAACTTGAATTATTTCAATTCTCTCATCCTAGGTGACCCCTGTAAGCTTCTCATATGTGTTTAAAATTTAAAGCAACAAAACAGATTGTGAACAATGAGTTGTAACATCTTGTTTGATAGGTAAAAATTTGGACTCATACGAAAAATATTTTTACTGCATTTGAATATCTTAAAGTTAAAATGTATTTGTCTTTTTAAAAATTGTTCACTGCTTTATAACTAAAGAAGAAATCGAGAAAGTAGTGATGATTGCTGATTTTTACATAAATATGACTGAAAATACTTTTGTCTTATAGAGCAGAGGGTCATTAAAATGATCCGTTCTGTGTGTCAAATACATGAGGTATACCACTGAGTCACATATGTAAATGTTATCAGCTAGAACAGAACATGGCATGAGATGAGGACCATGAGAGAGGAATGAGTAGAGAAGCAGATTTTACTTCCAAGTGGAGGGAAGAAGGCTTCTTGGAGGAGGCGGCATTTGAGTAGGGTGTTGAAGGATGGTATCCGGACAGAAGAGAATGAGGCTTTCCTTGTACAATAGCAGAGGTACACAGCTGATAAAGTACATGTGCTTTTCAAGCCCAAATACCTTTCAAAAAAGACCATCTAGGAAGAAAAAGAAAAAATATCCCATAGAACGGTGTTGATAGCAACACTTGTTAAACTGCAACAAACTGGAAACAATGTGAATGCCCAAGTGCAAACCACTGAAGTTGGGGACTCCAGCTACTGCTAAGTCCAACTTCGAACAGGCATGGTTTTGAATACCTACTACTAGAAGTCACAGAAACTTTTGGGGGCAATAATGATGAAGTTCAGAAACAAAAGCCTATTGCTGGCCCCTAAGCACTCACAGTTTAACACCAGGGATCTTAGCACAGAGGATGGGTTTCCAAGAGTCGTTGAGCCTCCTGAGATGGTGCCCAAGGCTGTGTGTGTGTGCATTTTGAGTGGGGAGCAGGTGTCATAACTTTCAGCAAATTATCAAAGGGACCTGTGACCTCTGAAAAAGCTCAGTAACAACTGGTCTTGCAGCTTTGTAAAACAAGTATAAGAAAATTGTATATGCAATAATGTAGGGAAAAAAAAACAGGACTAAATAATCTACATGTTGAATCATAATTATGAAAACACTGTAGACACATGCTGTATATTGCTAGAGATTCTAAGTATATTTAAAGATATATAAAGGGTTTTAAGGTTTGGAGGATTTAAGTACTTAAATGTACAAGAAAAATAAAATAAAAAGGCCCTGATCAGCTACAGTTAGATTGGTCATCCCAAGACGACCCCCGGGAAAGGGATTTTCCACTGTCCTTCCGACCTGCCACCAGCACCCAACTTTGCAGGTTCAGCCACACTCAAAATCACTACCCCAGCAGGGTCTGTCAGATTTCTGAGAGGCCTCCACAGTTACATGGAATGTCACCCATGACTAATATTTGAGATAGAGTCCGGAGATGAAACTCATTCTTCCAAGAGTGCGTACTATTCTGGAATCAGCAGAGGGCCAGCCCCCAGCATTCCAGGGAAATTCTATCTTTCCCATGCAAGAGACCCTCCCATCCATGGCCATCCTTCCTAGCCCTACAGCTGAGCAGGTCTGTGGTCCTGCTGAAAGGTCCACCCTGGAGAGACGGGGGACAGCAGCCTGTCCTCCACTCTGCTTGCCTCTCACAGAGACCCAGGACTGGAACCCATATTCTTTCATTCTGAGCTGGAGAGAGAAACTGCAGGGCTGACGGTTGAAGGCATGGGGTCTGTAAGCTGACCCGAAAACATGAATCGCCAAATGAGTGCGCAGCCAAAAGCCAAGAGAATCTGGTACCTGGCTACCCACGATGGCCCTCTCCCTGCCCTCCTCTCCACATCAGCTGCCACAGTGCTGCGGGCATGCTGGGTCATCACAGTTGGCACAGCAGGGAGAGAGGCAGAAAGAGGCTGGGCCCCGAGACAGGGCAGAACAGTCCCCATTTCATCATGAGGGGAATGCAACCACCCAGGCCTCAGCCTGGGTGTCCCTGACAGCCACGGGCTCCACGTAGAACAGAGGTCACAGCGATTCTCACAGCCAGGAAGGTACTGTGCGCTGGCCCCCAGGACAGTGACCAGTTTCGAGTGGGGCGCTCTCAGCTGGGAAATGGGGTCCAACCCACCAGGGAAAAGGGCTGACTAGGGGCCAATAGGACCCTCCAGATCCCTGCCCAGCAGGCTGGACTTCAGTCCCAAGGTGATAACTAGAACAAGGGGGCCGAGCCTAGTCTGTCCAGCAGCGGGTGGAGGAGCCGCGGTAAGAAAGGCAGTCGGGTCTTACATTCAGGTACCTACTTGGGGCGAGAAGACCAAATCCAGTCACTCCAGCCCTGGAGGAGTCAGGGCGCCCACCCGGCTGCCCCACAGAAGGTGCAATTCCTAAACATGGTCACAAAGTAGCGCAGTGACATCTCAGCTGCTTCGGAGTTCCAGGAGAGGGTTTCTGGCTCAGGAGAATGGAGTTTCTGGGTGACTGGAAGATGAGGCTGTTGGCTAACTTCCCTTTCCTTCCCACTTAGGGGTCTATTTCCAGAAGCATTCCTCATTTCATTTTTTCCCCAGTGGGGCTTGGCTAGGGGTGGGGAGGCATGGGGAAAAAGTGAAGAGAAGAGAAGGAAATGCATGGAATGCAAGCGGAGGCCTCTTTGTCTACAGCGTTTTCACCTCCACTTGTGCAGGTTCATATTCAGGGCCTGGTGAAGTCAGTTCTGGCACGGCTCTCCAGTGGACTGGCAGTGGCCCTTAAAAATAGTTCTCAGGAAGATGTGTAGGTGGCGACGCTGAGTAGTGTTTATGTCCCAACATGAAGAGCAGGCCTCATTGTGTGTGTCCTGTGATTACAACTGTGTGAAAATACATGTGTTTGAGAAAAAATGCTGGAAGAAGATGCATGAAAATGTTTATACGTCCGTTGAGTTTGTATCTGAACTTTTGTCTCTTCCCCTCTTTATGTAATGTTATAGTATGTATATGGTATATTGACTTTCATGATTTAAATAATCAGAAAATAAATTTACTACGAAATGATAAAATAAAGGAGTTTGACTAGATCAGTGATCCTGGAACTGTAGTGGGTAATGAAGCACCTAAAAGGCTGCTTTTTTTGTTTGTTTGTTTTTCCTGAGACGGAGTCTTGCTCTGTCGCCCAGGCTGGAGTGCAGTGGCACAGTCTTGGCTCGCAGCAACCTCTGCCTCCCGGGTTCAAGCAGTTCTCCTGCCTCAGCCTCCTGAGTAGCCGCGATTACAGACACACAACACCACGCCCAGCTATTTTTTGTACTTTTAGTAGAGATGGGGTTTCACCATGTTGGCCAGGCTGGTCTCGAACTCTTGACTTCGTGATCTGCCCGCCTCAGCCTCCCAAAGTGCTGGGATTACAGGCGTGAGCCACCGCCCCCGGCCAGGGCTTATTAAAATAAGATTCTGGGGCCCTAACTACAGAGTTGCTGATTCAGTGAGCCTGGGGTAGACTTGGATATTTACGTTTCTCAGCAGTTCCCAAATGATGCTGCTGGTGTGGGGACCACAGAGAACCACTAGAGAAAAAACAAAAGAACCAAGACTTGAAACTAGGTTACTGACTTCCAGGCTAGGGTGCTTCCTACAGAAACAACACGAGGCTACAGGGCAAACCTCACTTCACTTCTAACTTTCTAGGGTTGAAGGGGTGAGAATCAACATCCACTGCTCCTGGATACTGACTTCTTCCCCAGTAGCTACAACCCCAAAAGTATTTAAAACCCCAAGATATTTGTGAAAATGTATTTGTCCAAAATAAAATATCTACATGCTAAAAAGAAAGCAGTCCTTGAAATGAACAAAAATTCCCAAGCTGAGCATTACTTGTAATTGGTAGAAAAATAATCATTGCAAAAGCTAATTAACCATCCACCCTGAGCGGCTCCTTGGCAGGCCTGAAAATATGATCAGGAAAATTCTTTTCCTATGAGTGAGGCATTATCAAAGCAGGGCAGAGCCTATGGGTTATCCGTTGACTAGGACTGACCTTTCCGTGACTGCCAAAAACTTTCCAGTGACAAATGTTCCAGCTTCCTTGTCCCAAGAGAAACTAAAGTGGTAAGAAAACAAACTGCTTTATACTGAAACATAACAAGATCAACAGCAGCTGTGACAGCATTTATTAAACTGTCCGCTGTGTACCAGGCCCCATGGTCAGTAGGAAAGTATATCCCTGAGGGTACAAAAATGAAAAAGCGTACATCCACTCACCAAGGACTTCCCACTGTGCCAGGGTCTCTAGCCCCTTATGGGGTGTGTGTGGGGGCAGGGAGGTTGGAGATTGGGAGAGGCGCATAATTTCAACACAATGCAATTAGTTTGTAAATAACACTACATGCAAAATGTTACAAGAGCCCTGAGGCAGCGCAGGTTAGCTGAGAAGCCTTTACAGAGGAGGTGATATCTGAGTTGAATCTTGAAGTTTCCTTCAAGAAGTGGAAGGACATTGTAAGCAGAGGGAAAAAAAACATGAACCAGCCTTGCTTGACTCAGAGGCTGGAAAAGGGAGAGTGAAGTTGGGAATTCTTGAGATTTTGGGGTGGCCCTGGATGGGGTACATAAAAAGAAGTGGCCAGAGGGAAGGACAGGAAGGGCCATCCTCAGAAGTTTTGTCCTCATCCTGGAGGCAGGGCAGACCACTGATGAGGGGGGTTGTTTTTAAAAGGCTGCCTTTCCCAGATGGATTGATAGACTTATCTCAGCCTGGCTAAAACCCTGGCCACTCCCTGATAGAGAACAAGGTTCCCAGCAGGCAAGGGCAGGGGTGGGGCCCAGCAGGGACCAGTTTTGCAAGCTCACCTGGCCCTACACCCGCAAACACTCAGCTTTTCCTCCAAGACAAGCCTCAAGGCTTGGAGCAAGTCTCTTTGAAGTTTTCTTATGAATTGCTATGCTTAACACTAAATCATGGGAAAGATTAACACCCATGAAACTGAAGCAGGAGCACATAACAGGAGCTTAATATGAATCTTCCATCTTAAAAATATCTTATTCTACATCTGAAAAGAGAACCATTTGGAAATTCCACGTCATACTCACTTATAGACTTAACAGCAATTTCAACTTTAAAAATTCATTCCCACCTGCATTATATGACTTGATTCTTACAGTAGCCCTGTAAAGAATATTGGGTAGGAATTCTTATTCCCATTTTAGAGACGTAAACATTCACCATCCGCGGACCATGGGGAACACAGCTGACATCAATTGCAAGTCAGTTTCTGTGGTTTACTGCAGCAAGGGAGAGCTCACTCCAGACTTGGGCTTGTGCTGGTTGAGTCTAAGGAAGGGGTGGAAAGCAAGGGGAATTCTGGATTGGATTCTGTCAAAAAGGAGTCCAATTCAATGATTCGGCATCATAATAATTTAATAGTTATCACTAATTATTATTTAATATAATCAATAAATGATCTAGCAGATGGGAAGATGAAAACAGGGCTGAGCTGGCTTTGATACAGCAACACAAGTCATTCCTGTTAGTCAGAAGAGGGAAATGTTTAGTCATGTTTTTTGATTTTGGAGTGGCCTCCTCCCTGTCTTGATGCAAACACAGATGTGGAGGGTCTGTGCTGCACATGTTTCTGTTCGGTGGGCATTGTCTCTGTTCACTTGTGAATATTATGGTCTGGCTGACGGCAGAGCTGGTTTTTGTTGCTGTGCTGTGTTTTCGTGTAGTCTCTCCCAAAGGGACTTGGGGAATGCGTTTGAGGTCTCTTAATACCTATGCCCTAGCTGCACAGCTTTGGGTGATGCCCTTTACCTCCTTACCTCTGATCTCTCAGGAGTAATAGTGTCCCTTCCACACTGACATTCTGGGTGTGAATGGGACTGATTAGAATGGTCATCGTGGTGCCAGGAGATCTGCAGTGGTGACCTTCCCTGGTATCAGCTATTTAAATATTATCAGGAAAGAGAAATGTGGAAGCAAAGTTCTATCCATTTTAAGCATGTGACCTTTTACCCTAACTGAACCTTAATTGACTCATTTGCCTCTAGCAATTCAAAGATTCCCAGACACCCGGAGGACAAAGATGGGATTCTGTAAGAACAGCCCACGCAGTCAATGACCCTTATGCCATTTCTTGCCCGGAACTGTTTTATTCAGGGCCTGACATGCAGCAGTGTTTGATTAAGTGCTGACAATGAAAATAGGTATTTGATGCTGTTTGGAAGAAAACTCTTACATTTCTTGAATTGAACTAAGATGTACAGAACAACAGAAACCATTATTTTTAAGAATATTTAAATGTGCCAAGTTCTTTGCCTATTTATGTCAATGAATCCAGAAAAACACCCTGTGAGATAGGTATTATCCCCACTTCACAGATGGGGAAATTGTGGCTCAGAGTGTTGCAAACTCTCCTTAGACCACTCAGCTAATAATTTCCTCTCTGGTATAGCTGAAACATGGGCTTGCCTGAAGGGCAGAGGCAGAAGAAGCCTCCAAACCTCCCAAGGTCCTGTGATTCTCATTGATGCCTACTTCTAGTGGTTCTGGTGTCCCTCTCAGAGCCCACATGGGTATCTGAGCCTTCAGAGATATCTCATTTGGTTTGGGGGGTTGTTTTTGGTTTTTCTGAGTCTCGCTCTGTTGCCCAGGCTGGAGTGCAGTGGCGTGATCTCAGCTCACTGCAATCCCCGCTTGCAGGGTTCAAGCGATTCTCATGCCTCAGCTTCCCAAGTAGCTGGGATTACAGGCATGCACCACCATGTCCAGCTAATTTTTCTGTTTTTAGTTTAGTCGGGGTTTCTCCATGTTGGCCAGGCTGGTCTTGAACTCCTGCCTCAAGTGATCTGCCCACCTCAGCCTCCCAAAGTGCTGGGATTACAGGCCTGAACCACTGTGCCTGGCCGAGATATCCCATTTTGGATAGGGGAGCCTGGGACATATTCTCAACTTCCGTGGGTCTGGCCACTACTTATCAGAAGTTTCTGCTCACCTTACACAACTGTGAGTGATGGCCAGGAGCAGCCTCAGTGGCCCAAGGGGAAAAACCTCTGGATGAAGCCCTGGACCCCTCACATCTCAGCCTCCATCACTGCCCCTGGCTACCCAAAGTCAAGCCCAGAAACACAGATGTGAGCACAAACCCAGGCAGCCCATAGAAGGCACAGCCCTGTGATGTCAAGCTTAAAAATTCTGGGCTACTTTTAAGGTCACCAGGGATATTTCGAAAGAGCTGAAGCTTTTTCCTCCATCCAAGAATCCTCTATCTTCCAGGTTGTTTTTATGAGCTGAAGAGGACCCTCCACGGCTCCTCGGTGACTTAGTAGTATCAAGACAACACCTGAGAAAGCTCCTTTCATGCAAATCTCTGTCTCACGCATGTGAAGAGACCACCAAGCAGGCTTTGTGTGAGCAACAAGGCTGTTTATTTCACCTGGGTGCAGGCGGGCTGAGTCTGAAAAAGGAGTCAGCAAAGGGTGGTGGATTATCGTTAGTTCTTACAGGTTTTGGGATAGGCGGTGGAGTTTGGAGCAATGTTTTGCGGGCAGGGGGTGGATCTCACAAAGTACATTCTCAAGGGTGGGGAGAGAATTGCAAAGAACCTTCTTCAGGGTGGGGGAGATTACAAAGTACATTGATCAGTTAGGGTGGGGCAGAAACAAATCACAATGGTGGAGTGTCATCAGTTAAGGCTATTTTCACTTCTTTTGTGGATCTTCAGTTGCTTCAGGCCATCTGGGTGTATACGTGCCAGTCACAGGGGCTACGATGGCTCAGCTTGGGCTCAGAGGCCTGACAGTCTCCTTCCTGCCTGCGACACAGGTCTAGGAATTATTCCACAGTTGGGCACTCTTGGTGTATTATTGTTCATGCCCTGGCCCCCACCTTTGTGCCGCATAGAGGGACTCCCCTTCCTGAGGTTAATGATTGGGAAGGTGTTAAAGCAGGAAGAACTGCAAGAAGGCACTCGTGAGTGAGCCTATCCACTCATTCCTGGAAGATAAACAAACGACCAGTGTGGCTCTCCATACTCAGAGGGTGGTTTCTGGATGTCAGAGATTTCGCCACACACCAGCTCTGTGCCAGGCCTTGTGCTAGGACCCCAACATGGTCACTCGATATTCACACAGTCTAGCAGTCTGCCAGGACTGCCAGGACAGAGGACCACAGACTGGGTGGCCTCAACAACAGAAATGTATTTTCTCACAGTTCTGGAAGTGAGAAGTCTGAGGTCAAGGGGTCAGCAGGGTGGGTTTCTTCTGAGGCCTCTCTCCTTGTCTTCTGATGGCTGCGTCTCTTCTGTCTGCACACAGTCTTCTATGTTTCTGTGTCCGATCTCCTCTTTTTATAAAGACCCCAGTCATATTGGATTAAGGCCCACCCCAGTGACCTTATTTCACCCAAATCACCTCTTTAAAGACTCTGGCTCCAAAAGCAGTCACATTCTGAGGTACTGAGGGTTAGAACTTCAATGTATGAATTTGAGGGAACACAAAGTTCAGCCCATTACACCCAGCAAACACTTTGCTAGGCCCTGCTGTGACCCGGGTCCTGGGCTTGGCACTGGGCATACAGTGGAAACTGCAAATCTCTCTTTGTTCTATTTGAGCTTCAGCAACTCTCCGGAAGGCTTCCGCGTTAGAAAAAAGGCTTACAAATACACAGGAAATTTGAAAGTGAGTAGTAAGTCCACACCAGGCCCAGACAGGGGGCCTGTGCTGAAAGGTGCAGGAAGCAGCAGCCCTGCTGAGACACACAGGAGCCGGCTGGCCGGCCGCTAGCAGGGTGGGATGGGGAGTGGGGGCTCAGGGAGCCTGGGCTGGGGAGAGGCATCCTCCCTCTTCAACAGAATGATTGGGACTTTCTGGCAGCATAAGCAATAACCGGCAGGAGACCAAGAAGGCGCCGTTTAGCTGGCTCATGTGTGAGTGAGTGATGAAACTCACCCTCTGGCTTGGCGCCTTATGGAACTATCAACTCTGCATGGGTGTGCTCAGTGTGGACCCCAAACCTGCTCCCTCTGGCTTTGAGAGGTATTTCTCCCATACAGGCTGGCTTCAGCCAGGGGGTTGCCTAGACTCGCCCAGGCCTCAGACGAGGGGAAAGGGCCAAGGCCGGCTGCCACTTTCTCATCATGTGCCTGCCTCCCTTCCCACATAGAAGGGTCAAGCCCAAATTAGAAGGGTGGGATGATGGCTGGTGCCTGAGGACAGAGCTGGGGCTAGGAGGACAAACTCCTGGGCTCCTCTTCATGTCTGGGCTACAAGATCCTGGCATAAACAGGGGCTCCTGGCACAGCGGAAATAAACCATGGGTCCCTGAGGGAGACTCTGGGTGAGAAAAGAGACCCAGATTTGGAGTTGAAAGACCTGGGCCTGAGTCCCAGCTCCATCACTTCCCAGCACGTGGCCTTGAACAAATCACTCAAGGCCTGCAGACCTCGGTCAGTCATTAGTAAAGAGAAGATTACTATTATAGAGACCCCACTGGGCTGTTTTGAGGGTGAAATGAGACCACGTAAGTGAACGCACTTTGAAACTATCCATTGCTGGTCACAAAACTAACGTGTGTACGCATCTATTTACTAAATAGTCATATAATACTCACCCGATTCATATGCTACTCCCAGTGTTTTTCTCTACTTTTTATTACAAAAGTGTTCAACTACAGAAAGAAGTTTAAAGGATACAATGAATTTCCATATTCCCTCCAGATAGACTCAATAACTGTTTGCATTTTCGTATATTTGCTGTATGTGCATATTTATATGTGTGTGACTTGTAAAACCAGTTGAGATAAGAGGGGGAAAGGAAGAGAGAAAAAGACACACACATACATATCCCATATGAAAGTTGTGGACATCATGATACTTCAATTCTAAATATTTATACGCTAGTATTTCTTTCTTTTTTTGAGACAGAGTCTCACTCTGTCACCCACGCTGGAGTGCAGTGGTATGATCTTGGCTCACTGAAACCTCCACCTCCTGGGTTCAAGCGATTCTCATGCCTCAGCCTCCTGAGTAGCTGGAATGAATGCCTCTTACTAAGGACATTCTCCTACATAGCCCCAGTACCATCACCACACCTCAGAAAATTAAAAATAATTTTATACTATCCAATATCCAGACCTTACTCCAATTTTCCCAGTTGTCCCAAGATAGTTGTTGATAGCGTTTTTCAGACTGGGATCCACTCAAGATCCTCCTGTTGCCCTGTTTGCTGAGCTTCTGCCATGTCTCCCCAGTGTCTGAGGTTGTGAGCATCTTGGTTACTTGCTGCCAATTCTCACACTCATCTGTGCTGCCCACCGTCCCATGGCCTCTTGCGGACCTCTCTCCCATGGCGCTGGCTCCTTGCACCCAGCTATCTGCTTGCACACCTCTCTCCCTGCTGGAGGATAAGCACCCCAAGGGCAGTGGCCAGTCTTAGCTACTGTTGTTTCCCCAGGACCCACACAGGCCTGGCATGGAGCAGGCACGTGGCAAATGACTGTTGCATGTTTGAATCTTCATCAGAGGGCTAAGCAACACACACCTTTAAAAAGTGAGTGAGTTTTGGCCAGGCGAGGTGGCTTATGCCTGTAACCACAGCACTTTGGGAGGCCAGAGGCAGGCAGATCACTTGAGGTTAGGAGTTGGAGACCAGCCTGGCCAATATGGTGAAACCCCTTCTCTACTAAAGATACAAAAGTTAGCCAGGTGTGGTGGTACGTGCCTGTAGTCCCAGCTACTTGGGAGGCTGAGGCAGGAGAATCACTCAAACCTAGGAGGGTGGAGGTTGCAGTGAGCCGAGATTGCGCCACTGCACCCAGCCTGGACAACAGAGCTAGACTCCATCTCAAAAAAAAAAAAAAAAAAAAAAAAGGAAATGAGTTTTAAGTAATTTCATCTGACAAATTCTGTACCCCTGCCGGAGCTCATGGAAAGCATCCCAGAGACCCAGGTGACCTAGCTCAGGCCCTGCCCTACTTCCCCATCTACAAGTGGCCACTGGGGCTCTGAAATCGCTTGGACTCTCGACTAGTCTGTGCTCGACATCTGTGACAGGACCATCGACTGAGAGGGAGAGCTGCCCTCCAGACCACAAGTCTTCTCTGGAAAACACACACGTATATGAGAAGTTGGCTGTGTTCCCATTATAGGTCTTACAGAAGTGATTCCAAGTCTTGTGAGTTTCTGTGGAACCAGAAAACCACTTCCGGACCAGCAGGAGTGAGAAGAGGCGCATGCATATCATGTTTGCATTGTTTTCTTGCATGTGTCACTTCACCACAATGCTCAGGACCTCAATGAGAGTTTTAAGTTCTCCCAGCTTCAAATTGTGCTTTCCAGGCCAGAGCTTCTCAAAATTTAATGTGCCTTTGAATCATCTGGAGAGCTTGATACAATGAATGTTTTTTTAAAAGTAGATTTGGGATGGGCTCCAGGATCCTGAATTCCTAACAGTTGGTCTGGGTGACGCCAGTGCCACTGGTCCCTGAACTACACTTTGAGAAGCGAAGTTCTAAAGGTCACAAAACAACTTCTCATTTCTTCAGTGAACTGGTAATTAGCACCTACAGCTAAATATAAGGCAGTGTTCTAGCACTGGAGGAACAAGGAAATGGGAAGAAATACAAAGAAGAATAAGACACAGGCCTTTGACTCAAATCCAACTGGATATCCCTTTATACTACGTCTAGCATTTTGCTTAAGTGGGACCTAAAAAGTTACTCCAAGCTGCCTCCCCTAGGGTCTTCTGGCTGTTTCTGGTAATGTGTATTCCTGCTGATGCTCAAGCCCTTTGCAACAAGTTCCTAACATGGTATCAAATACTGGGCACACTAGCAAACTTCAGCCATAAATTAGGGCCCAAATGTTGTCACCAAATGGCTGTGTGACTTTGGATAAATCACTCTCCTCTCACGTGGACTAGGGTTGGGAGCTCTTCAAGTCCCTTCCTGTCTGCCAAAAGGTTTCTAAGCAGTTTCCAAGCCGTTTCTTGCAGTTTTCCCATCAAGCCAGGTGAAGGCAAGTGTTATGTCCCCATCAGGGTCCCCCAGCCCCCTCTTCTTAGCTCAGGACTGGGGCTTTCTGGGGCTCACCTACAGTCTTCCTCCTTTCCTTCCTAACTTCACACGCATTTATCAAGCACATACTCTGCATCAAACCTGTGCTCAAGGACAGGGAGGCAAAGGTCAATAAGATGCACTCCCTCCCTGGGGAGGAGACCTAAAACAGACCGCAGGTGCCCTGCTGCGTGGCTGGCTCAGGCTCTCAGAGTGTGAAGGAGAGCACCTCACTCAGCACTGGCAGAGGCCGGCAGGCCTAAGTGGGCCTTCACCATATGCCAGGCCTGGCTAGGAGCTTCCCTGGAAGATTCCAGGTAACGCCCAGCAACCCTCAAAGGAAAATGCTAGTATTGTCCCCATTTTAAAAATGGGAAAACAGGCTTAAAAAGTCAGATGTCTGGCCCAACATCACACAGCTAATATGGATTCAGTGAAATATATGCAAAAATACTCAGCAGAGTGGCAAGTAGTAACTAAACGGTAACTAAAATACCTTTTTCAAATGACAGAACAGAGAGTGGGGGCCAGTAATCTGCACTCTCAGACAAAACTGACAAGTGGGAGAAAGGCTTGTCTACCCTGAAGGACAAAAACCAGGCTTGGGACTGGCCACACATGACGAGAAAACTGTGAGAAAAGAAGCAGGAGAGACTTTGGAAGAGGGCTTGGCAGGCCGGAAAGCGCTAGGTGCACACGACGGGCAGTGGGGGCTCAAACACAGGTGGGAGCCCAGGGGAGGAGGGAGCGATTAGTCATGCTGGGGAGGCTCCAAGGGCCCTTTGTCCTTCCTAGATGGCTACTCAGACGCCAGTCTGCGAGCACCCCACGCTCAGCTGCTCCATGCTTCAGCCACCATGCAACCCATCTGGATAATGGACTGTTATGAAGCATGTTGGCAGCCATCGATTAGGACTAAACTCTATGCTCATTGGGTTGTATTTGCAAGGATGCTCTGCTAAGATCCACAGCAGAGGTGCATCTCTCTCCTTCTCATTTGATGGCTTGGAATTAAAATGCCACCCAACATTCTCTGCCAAAGACATGAAGATTTATGGGTCACTGTCAATATCAACACATGCTGGCCATTATTTGAGTCTCCTTGCTGCTTGGGACTGATTGCTATTTACTTTGAAAGATAAATGTGGCTTTGTAATCCATGCAGGTTGCTGGGAGGAATGGGTTTTAAATGCATTTGTTCTTTTTTTTTTTTTTAAGACAGAGTCTCACTCTGTCAACCACGCTGTGCAGTAGCACGATCCTGGCTTACTGCAAACTCCGCCTCCAGCTTCTCCTGCCTCAGCCTCCCAAGTAGATGGGATTACAAGCTTGCGCCACCGCACCCTGCTAATTTCTATATTTTTAATAGAGACAGGGTTTCGCCATGTTGGCCAGGCTGGTCTTGAACTCCTGACTTCAAGAGATCCCCCCTCCTCGGACTCCCAAAGTGTTGGGATTACAGACAGGTGTGAGCCACCATGCCCGGCCTTGGGTTTTAAATGCATTTGTTTCTTCCCTTGGAGACCTTTCTATTCCACTCCATTCTGCTTTGTCTGGTGATGTTGGTCCCACCCTGTACCCACCATCAGATATTCTAATGTCCTCCGAGGCTCTGGAACAAAGACCAGAGGGACCAGCCTGTCCTCTGTCCAGAGTCATCAGTATGACAGTATGGAGAGACCCTTAGCACCTTAGTAGAAAAATTGCCCCTGTCTTATGGGGTGACACCACTCATATATGATCTGGGGCAAGAGTCAAGACCCCCAAGGAGCTTACTTAAGGAGCAATAGGTTGTCCCCTTTGCCTCTTCTGGTCTTTCGCGTTTCTGAGCGTGGTGTGGAAACTGAGTCAGGAGCTAAATCAGTTAGGTCACTGGTTCTCAAACTTGAGTGTGCATCACAACCCACTGAAGAGCTTTTTAAAACACAGATTGTGGCCCCCACTCTAGAGCTCCTGATTCAATAGGCCTAGGGTGCGGCCCAGGAATGTGCATTTCTAACGATGTCCCAGGTGATGCTGATTCTGTTGCTGGTCCTGCATCCCACCTGAAGAACTGCCTCAGAACAAGAGTGGGAAGCATTAGAGACCAATCATGGGAGAGATGAGGCTGCTGGCAGTGTTTGGCACTTGGGAAAAAGAACAGCACCGTCTAAAGGAGAATTTTATTAAGTTTCAGTGAACAATGTGCAATTTAAATCTTTTTGTAGGAAATCGTCAGTTAAAGGTCAATTTCCATAAGTATGTGGATCTATGTATTTTGGAAATGCATTGAAATGTTACATGGGTCTGGGACCACACAAGCTACCCACTGGTGGTCTGCTATACCTAGGTACTAGGAAGGTCAAGGTACTGAGTAGGTCACAGTCTTGCCACCGGGATGCTTTGCTAACTTTATTGAGTGAAAGTAGTAAGAAATGCCTGGTATTGATAAGAGCCCACCGTGCTAGTTTTTACCAATGGTCCCTAAGCGATTTTCCCTGCAGCAGTCAGGGTTTACAGGTAAAACTGGGCCCAGGGCAATAAAGGGGTACAGTCTAAGGACTCTGGGAGTTTCCTGATGAATACTAGAGGTCTTTGGAGGCAGACAACTTTTTCTTTGCAGCGGGACTTCACATTATAAGCCATGATGAGGCTGCAATTGCGATTTATCAGTGCTGCCTTCCTTCCCCAGGCAACGTACTAGGAAGAATCATGGTTTACTGAAGGCAGGCTACCCTCCCCATCAAAGCCTAGTGGACTGGGCAAGCAATCGGTTGGGATTCATTACTTGGAGGCATGTATCCCCAGAGCAATCAAAGGCCCTGACCGGCACAGGATTGGGAGGCTGTTGCTGAGACCCAGGCCTCGAGTGACAGGTAGAGCAGTGGGGTGGAGGAAAGTCAACATATTTGGAGATACGAAAAAGGCAGGTAAGTAATTGTATTCGTTGAGACTTTGGGTCACAAGAATAATAATCCAAACCAAATTAACTTGTGGGGAATTTATTTACTCATGTAACATAGATGTCCAAATTATAAGCTTCAGGGACAGCTGGATCTATGACCTTAATAAAGTCACCATGTTTCTTCATTCGCTCCCCACCCCCTTCTCCCTTCATAACACTTCAGAGTGCCAGATTCCTCAGTCCTTGGAACTCAAACTTCCAGAGAGACCACACTTCATCACATACCTATGGCACATGTTCCAGAAATGATTCTGGCCAGGTGTCCACCCCTGAATAGATGGCCACAGGCAGGAGAATGGGATGTCTGATTGGTCTGATTTGGGAAACATCCTATCCACCACTTGGATAGGATCAACTTTACCCAAACAGGACTGATCAGGATCCACATGGGAGGTTCGCTCCTTTGGAGGAGGAGATGCCAGCAGACCGTGGAGGACTGGCTGTGAGGCACGAGGATGAGCGGGAGGCAAGGGCGGCTCCTGCTTCCACAGAGGCGAGCAGGAGGATGCTCCTGCCCTGCTCACACAGCTGTGGCTCTGCACCTTGCTCCCCGCTAGAAGGTGGGCTATCGTAGCTAAGCTACCTGGGCAGAGCAGACCTCGTGAGTGTGGGGAAAATCCTGGGCAGCATAACAGACTCATTTGTAGGGCAAAGGGATTTTCAGTTAGTTCTGTAACACACTGGAGAACCAACACAATGCTCAAGCATCGTTCCTCCCAGAGGAAGCAGATGGGTGAGATAAATAAAACCACACTTTCATTGGCATCCTAGGATGCTCGGGGCCCTATTTTCAAGGCTGTGTATGTTGAATACACATTTCAGTGATGCTTTAGTCTATTCCACAGTGATTCTCAAATTGTGGCCCCCAGGCCAACAGTATCACCATGCCCCGGGAACTTGTTTGAAAGACAAATTCTCCATCCCACTCAAGACCTCCTGAATCAGAAACTCTGGGTATGGGGCCCGGCAGTCTGGGTTTTAACGCACCCTCTGGGTGATTCTGAAACAGGCACCAAAGTTTGAGAACGTCTGCCTATAAATGTATTTGATCCAATCCATCAAGTTCAAAGGGACCACCTACTATAAAAACTAAGGCTTATGTTCAGGGTTTATTGAGCAGTCTGAATTTAGAAGAGTGTGAACGTGAAACAGTTTTCTATTTCTCCCATTCCAGCCTTCAGCCACGCACTATCAAGTTATATGCTTCCATCCCTTTATAGCATCCTGGGCAGATTCCTTTAACTTTTGGTCAGTTCGATTATTAAGTTATTTTACTTTATTCTAAAGCCTCAATCTCACATCTGATTTGACATTCTTCCCTTCTCTCATGAGCTAGACTCAAAGAAGATGGAATCTGCAGTGGGGAGGGGATAGGATAGTTCTGCTCTTTCACTCCTCTTTTCTCTGGAGCACCGTGGGGTAGGGTGGAGTGGGATGGGGTGGGAGGGCAGGGTGAGGCCTGGTCCTGGGATTGCTGCCCCTCATTTTTCAGAGCCCAACCCCCATGGGACTGGGAGCTGGTAGTGAGGGTACAGCTGGGGGACACAGAGGTCCTCATCTCTTGTGAGTGGTCTGCTCTTGCTCTGGTTCACTGTGGTCCCATCTGCTGCTGGTGGCCTTGGCCTGTGAAGATGTGGATGTGGTTTTCTGAGGGCCCTATCGGTGTGAGCCCAGCCCATTTGTCACTAAGGACAGCTGTGGCCCCTTTTGGCTTCTCCAAAGGTCCATGCCCCTCCTACTCTGTCCTCCTGTACAAAGTCTCAGAAATGACTTCGGTCTTCTTCCCCGCCTCTGAGGATTGATGGGAGCTGAGGTGTGGGGACCCATCCCCTCAGGTACACTGCCTCATAGTATTTCTTCTCCCCGCTTGGCTGAGCCTCCTCTCTTCAGATGGCTAAAACAGGCACAACCCCCACGTTGCCACACAGTCCCATAAACTCCTATGGATACAGGTCAGTCTCTCTCCAAAACTCCATCCTCATATCCCCAGCACCACATGGGACCTAGAATAGCAACGTCTCAGCCAGCATACAGCCTGGAACAATATGACCATTTCTGCCTCCTGCAGGCACCCTCATTCCGCATTCTCGGTAAGTGATTCTAATCGGTCCCCCAACTTGAACTCTAGAGACTAACAATGGGAAGAAGAGAACTAAATTATTCTCCCAGCAATTCCTACTCTCCCTCTCCCACTTGTCTGTCTAACATGGGCTGGGGGAAGGTGGTGATGGGAATAGAGACTGCTTCTTTGAGAGCCCTGGAGTTTGAAGAATTTGGCCCCAGTTGCTGGCAACTCTCATTACAGAGTGTGGGTTCCGTACATTGGCGCGGTGGCTTATGCCTGTAATCCCAGCACTTTGGGAGGCCGAGGCAGGTGGATTGCTTGACCCCATGAGGTCAAGACCAGCCTGGGCAATATGGTGAAATCCCAACTACTAAAAGTAAAAAAAAATCAGCCAGGCCTGGTATAGTCCTAGCTACTAGGGAGGCTGAGGTGGGAGAATTGCTTGAGCCACAGAGAGCGAGGCTGCAGTGAGCCATGATCATGCACAGCAAGACCCTGTCTCAAAAAAAAAAAAGAAAAGAAAAGAAAAAGAAAAAAAATGGATAGAATGTGGGTTCCTTAGCACCTGTTGTTTCAGCAGATGTCCTGGTGCCACATTTGCTATTTGCAATGCGTCTTCACATACATTATCTCAGTTGACCCCACAGTGATTCTGTGAGGTGTTTAACCTATAAGGAAACAGGCTCAGAGAGATTAAGTGACAAGCCCAAGGTCACACATGCAGAGGTGATGGCAAGATGGGAACCCAGCCCAGTGACTCCTGAGCACCTGTTCTCTCCCTGCTGTTTCATGCAGGTGCCTCAGCCACACTTGTCTTCCAGCTCTGGGTGAACTTGGAGCAAATAACCAGAGAAATAGCTTGTCTCCAAGGCCACAGAGCAGCTGGCAGGGGAGAGTTTGGGGCAAGGGATTTCCTTAGGGAAAACACCAATTCGTTCTGGTCATGCCCAGTCACATGGGTCCCAACCATCACCTTCCCAGGCCAAGGTCTTAGGTTCCCCTGGAACCCCTTTGGCTTTACTCCCTTCCTGGGCTGGGGGAAAGGGTGGGGATATAAGCTGGTACTTCCAAAGCAGAAAGCTGGGGTTTGGGGCTGACAGAGCTGACCTTGAGCTTGAGCTCCATGGAGTACCCAGCCCAGGTCAAATGGGGTCAGGAAGCCATCTGTGCCTTCTGGATGGCTCTGTCTGAATGATTCACTTCTGCCTATGGTGGGTGGAAGTTCATGGTTTTACTCCCACATGGTGACCACAGTGCATGGCAATTTTCTAGTCAACAGGTGGGGTTGGGGCCTCTGCTACACACAAGAGGCTTCTTTCTTCAAGTTTAAGACTTCTGATGCTCACAAGACCCTCCCATGCCCTTACCACGTGCAGCGCTCACCCCCAGGGCCTGGGGTTTGGTGAGATGTGTCGCCCACATGGGCTGGGATCATATTTTCCCCAGGGAAGATGAAAGCCCTCACCCTCTCACAAAGCCAATTGCTAAATTTTCAAGAATTTTGCAAGCTGATTTTTAAACATAGCCATTATTTTAAAATTACATTATAGAACTTACAATGAAACAAATGTTTAAAATGACAGTAATAAATACTCAAAACTCCTCTGTTCTCATTTTACTATTGTCTCTGTCTGTAAGGTTATTTCCGTCTGTCGTACTGTGTGGTGGAAATACTATTCAATGATACACCAAAGTGAATCTCTTCCCAACTCCGTTATCAGTAACATCACAGTGGGAGCTTAACAGCAGCCATGATGGCTGTATTTATACATGGACATTGGCAAACATTATAGATTAGGGTTTGATGTATTGTTTTGTTGACTGTGTAAAGCAAGGTTCAGCAAACTTTTCTCTGTAAAGGGCCAGACAGTAAATATTTTTCCTTTTGTAGGCCATAGGTGTCTGTTAAAACTACTCAACTCTGCTATTGCAGCACAAAAGCAGCCACAGACAATAGACACACAAATGGACCTGGCTGTGTTCCAATAAACCTAATTCACAAAAACACATGGTGCACCAGATTTGTCAGGCCATGGATTGCTAGCCCCTCATCTAGACTTAAGAGAGCCATAGAAAAAAAATGTTAGTAATGAAGATTAAATTTAGAACTGTCCCAATTGTAACTAGCACAAAACATTAAGGAAATATTCTTCCAGTGCTCAAAAACAATGATTTGATTGAGCAAAGAATTCATGTCATTGTTGAATGATTGAGTTTCAATGTGTCCTTATTTCATTTTTGTCTTCTTCATTAATGTAAATAAACCTGTCAGCCAACCTACACTTGTCATTTGCCACCATAGGTTGACTAGTGAGACAAGGGTCCAACAAACATCAGCAAAAGTATTCTGTGAAAATCAATTGCTATTTGGAGTTTACAATAAAGAATACTGTATATTTCATTATTATTTATAAATTGTATAATACCTTGATAGCAATGAAATGCACAATATATGCATGTATGCGTGTATATATATATGAATATATTTTCTTCCAGAGAGCCAGTTGCTGAGTATCCACCAATGCACCACTGCCTGAGGGGTGTCTACATAAAAAGAGACCTAACAGCCCAGAGCAGCACTTGTTAAGGACCCAAGGCATGGTCCAGACCCCAAGGAAGGGAAGGGGGTCAGGGATGGATAGACAATCTGGAAAGTTCTCCAAGGTGGTCTGAGAAGGCTTCATGGGGGACAGAGAGCCGTAAAGCATGGTAGGACTCAATGACAAATGAAGAATGGCTGTACTTCAGACAGGCACACAGCATGAGCGCAGGAGGCGAGGCTGAAGTCAGGGACACCGAGACAAGAGGGTGAGCATAGGGAAGCAGAAGGGAATGAAGTGGGGTCAAATATATGTAATGGCATGGAAACATGCTATGAGATCAAGCCAAAAGAAAAGAAAAAGTAGAATGCAAAATTTTACATTTGCATTAAGGAAAAAACACGTTAGAAGAAAATGCACTTAAATAAATTGCTCTGTGTGATAGTATGATAGCTGATTATGTATTTATCCTCAATGCTTTCTGTACCTTCCTGTTGTTCTGAAGTTGTATTACTTTGATATTCATGGGGAAAAATAAGCTTTTCCAGTATGAAGGGCAAAAAGCACTGAGCCAAACCTGAAGCCATAGCTAAGGACAGGGCACATCTCCCCTGATGCAGCCCAGAGGCCCCTGGAGGGAGGTGCTGGGGGGTGAATAGAGACTAGGGGTGTCACTCCCTCCTAGGAGGACTGCAGGAGCACATGGGTAGCCAATGCTAAGGCCTCCTGCCCCCATGGGCCTAAGTAGCCCTGTCCACACTGGGGATCTGCCCGCTACCTCATAGCCTCAGGTAGATGTCTGGTCTCTCTTTGCAAATGTCCCCCGCAACCCATCACATTCATAAAGGCAACAAATTGGGGAAAACGAGAGGTCCTCTGTCTTTTTAGGGCTTCACCACTGCTGTTTTCCCAACTAAAGAAATATGTACATATGTTTAAGTATACTTTACCATGCGTAGAATGGGAAAAACAGAAGTTATTCTAGAGAACATCTCGCTCAACTCGTTTATTTTACTAATAAGAAAATAGAAACTATGGAGGTCAAGTGGCATACCCAGGGAAACAGAGCTAAGTGAGAACTAGGCTCCAGCAGAGATGATGCCCAGGGCCGGGCACCTCCTTTGTCAGCATGCAGGTATCATCAGACAAGGCCAAAACAGCACTGGGCGATGTGGGCTGAGCAGCCCTTGGCTTCGAAAACATGATTTTTTTATTATTTTTTGAGACGGAGTTTCACTCTTGTTGCCCAGAATGGAGTGCAAAGGTGCGATCTTGGCTCACCACAACCTCCACCTCCCGGGTTCAAGCATTTCTCCTGTCTCAGCCTCCTGAGTAGCTGGGATTACAGGCAGGCACCACCACGCCTGGCTAATTTTTGTATTTTTAGCAGAGACAGGGTTTCTCCACTTTGGTCATGCTGGTCTCAAACTCCCGACCTCAGGTGATCTGCCCGCTTCAGCCTCCCAAAGTGCTGGGATTACAGGCGTGAGCCACCGCGCCCGGCAGACATGACGTATTCTAAGCACTCCTCAAATTTACCTGTGGACAGCAAGAAGGCCTACAAGGCACCCCGTTTACGATATGCCACTTGGCTCCTTCAGGGCAGAGCTGCAGCAGCAGTCCTTGTTTCTCTGTGCCCCACATCCCCTCAGCATGTAAGACCACTTCTGCCCCACCCATTGCTGAATGGGACCTTCAGATGCTATCTTCTCCATAAAGCTTTCTATGACTCAGGCCGCATCATTTTGTGGTCAACTACTTTCACTATTATTGTGTTTATTCTCCCTAAACCAGCCAAGCAATCCCATTTGGTAATCGAAAGAGCAAGTAGCACTGGCTTGGTCATTTCCTTCACATAAACCTGACTGAACTGGATATATGGTAAGGATTTCCATCTTGTACATAAACACTTGTCCACCTCCGTGATTCACACAATTCCTTTTCCACTCTATCCCGGGCCCATGTCTCCATCCTGCCCCTGATGCTGGCTCTGCAGGCATTTTCTACATGGCTGTCTGTGTACATGCCGTGTGGTTAGTCTTAAATCAAGGGCTCCTAGAGTGCATAGGACATACCAGTTTATACTTTTTCTCATCAGGAATATGTGTAGCTGGAGGATTAAGAAATACATTTTCATGAGCTAGACAATAACAAAAATTAAATGGCAAAAGTCCTTGCTGTCCTTAGTAGCTAGGGAGCTTTAAAAATAAATACATAAGCACCTGTTTCCGTTTTTTTACTCCTACAGAAGCAGGGAAATTGCTGGAGAAAAAAAAAAAATGTAAGTCCATATATTCTGTACTGTGTCCCTTGGAAGAATAAAATTTTAAATGAGGTCATCAGGAAGTGCTTCCTAAATGTGAAGTTCACAGACTGAACTTTGAAGTTTAGCAATGGACTTCCCCTGAGCAAGGTCGGCTTATGCTATTGTTAGACCAGCAGCTGAGCCTCCCCCACCACGTCCTTCTACCTCTTGCAATTAAAGCACAGCCCAGGCAGGTTTTTCTTAAACAGGATTTTTCTTTATGTTGGTGCATATGCTGCTGTTATAATAGCAGGGACATTGTCCTCATTCCCAGCTCTTTCCTCCAAGTCAAAACATTTAGAATGACACCACCCAAAGAATAAGTCTTACTTGAGGCTTTGCAACCTCTAACCCTTCCCACCTCTAACCTTTTCCCATCTTTATCCCCGTTATCTTGGGTGCTTTCAGTTTTCAGAGACCAGCTTTCCAACAGGGCTAAATAACACTCTATGGTTTCTTTCCCCATCAGAAACCAAAGAACTCCCTGTTTCTCAGCCCTTGCCAGCAGAATCTGGTCACCCCTCTGCCCCTCAAAATTACACATCTTATACAACTAGCTCCTGTCCCTGCACCATTCCTGTCCCTTGTCCTTGATCCTGGTTTCCCAGTGGAACAGGAAAAAGGTTTTACAGAGGGTTTTTTGCCACCATCTCTTTGTTCCTCAGGAGATGATTAAGTTGTGCGTTAAGTGGGGAAAAAGTACATTAGGTCAACCCCAAAATCTGCCATCGATAACATCAGAGTATGTCCATGGCTTTATTAGTTTTCTAGTGAATATTTAAGAGAAAAAGGTGCTAGGTCATAGAACATTGAGAAGGCTATACATCTCCCCTTGGCTATAGGTGCAATACATTCCAAGAGGGAGAGATGGTAGTCATGCCTCCTATTTTTTTAGGTGAGGTATGTATTTTGTAGTTCTGCTGGGACAAAAACAGCTTTCAGTCATTGAAAACCAAAGGCCCAGTGGACATCAGGAGGAGATGGCCTCCCTCACTGCAAGACGACCTCTGGGTCAAAGCCTAGTGAAACTTTGGCTTTTCCCAGCAAGCAGGAAGTGACATAGACAGTGTCTTTTTAGAGACCTCACTTTGGAGAATGCTCAGTGAGGGGCAAACATTTGCTGGTGACATTGTAGTTCTGTCCTTTGCTAAGCTTGAGTGAAAATCTTTTGGAGAATCGACTTTTTTCTTTCTTTTTTTTTTTTGATGTCCCTTAGAGAGCTCACAATAAATAAATAAATCAAAACAAAGCTAAAAGTTCATAAAAAAGTCTCAGGCATGGTCCAGATTTTCAGGAAACCAGCAGTTTCTGGAGGAAGTCCCACCCGCTCCTGAAAACAGAAAAAATAAACGAGAGAGAGTCCACCAGCAAACAGGTGTTTAGTCTTCTCTGGAGTCATATTAAGCAATTTTTACATTTATGGAAAAGCAAACACTCCCCCCACATAGGGTGTGGCCCACACTGGGATTGAAAATCAGCCTCGTGCTCTGCACCGTGTTCTGGTGGCTTCTGCAGCTGTCACAGGAAGGAATCCACACCCGTCCCCAAGGACGCCTGCACGGGAACAGATGCCCGCTCCCTTACCCCTTGGGGGAAGGACAGAGGTATCTGAGGGATTCAGCCCTGGGCACTCCTCTCAGCTTCCTCCTTCACAGGCGGGGCCCTGGGAGGCCCTGAGTGGGGCCACTGCGTTGCTATGAGATCAGAACGGTAGCCAGTTGGTGGGTGCAGCAGGCTCACACCTAGCAAGAACCTACCTCTCCCTTTTTCCTAAGAAGGGAAAACAACTCTCAAGGCTCACCCTGGAGGCCCAAAGGGAAGGCTGTATGGGTCCCGTACTGCAGCTTCCAAGCCCACGGTGGTTACGTCTGAGCACCCTGTAGGGCTCTGCTCTGAAAGTCTTTTCAGCTCCCAATGAGCATTGTTCAAGCCGATGAACATCCCCAAAACCCTTCCACTCTCAGGGCCTCGGCCCCACCCACCACCTGGCATCTGTCTTTAAGGATGTTTATAACAGAGTTCTGAAATAAAGTTTTGGCTTTTTCCTGGAGTTCTAACTCTGCAGGAGAAGCAGTGAGGTAGGACTTTGAGGAATTCAGGAAGTGGAGAACAGCTCATGGTGAGAGGAAAGGCTGGGGCCGACTTGGGATGTGGATGTGCAAAAGGAAAGGTGAAGGCTGGATGGGAGGCAGGGTGGGCACAGTTAAGGTGGGCCCTGGGCCAGGATGGCCTCCCAACCAGAGAGTAGCCTTCAACATCTCAGCCTCGTACTGCGTGCCAGACACTCTACCAAGCCCTCCACTTAGGTAATAATCACGTCTTCCACCCTCACTCTCACCCTGTAAGGGAGCTCTTAGAATAACGCTGCTCTCCACGGCTGGGAAACCCAGGCTCTGATGGGTGACATCACTTGTTCAAGGTCACTCAGCCAGTAAGGGCCAGGCTGGGCTGCAAACTCAATGGCCCACTGCAGAGCTCACACAGGTCCATTTCCTACTCGCCATGATGTTTTCCAGGGAGAGTTTAGAGAAGCTCTGGAGCTGGGAAAAGAGGGCAGCTGTTAGAGAACAGCCAGCGAGAATGGGAAGTCAGGAGACCCAGAGCTCAGGAACAGACTTCCTTGGCAGGTGGCGTAGTCCCATGGCCTCTTTAGCTCTCAGTTTTCTCATCTGCAAGAGGACAATGGGCCAGATTGGTGCTTCTCTGAGAGAAAGTACCAGTGGTTTTGACCAAGGGACTGACCCGAACATGGCATGTAAGAGGGGTTTGTTTGGGGTTGGTCCACAGGATGGTTACAGAGGAAGGAAGAAAGCCACCAAGGCCAATTTGAAGATGTGCAGAAACCCAGAAGTGAGGTGAGGACGGCAGTTCTCAAGTGCAGAGCTTGAAGTGGTCACTGCTGGGAGGGAGACGTCATAACAAGACCCAGGAAACACTTCAAAGGAAAAACTAACAGCATTTAAAGATTGGCTGCAATAGTAACAATAAAAAAAGCTAACATTTACTGAAGGCTATACCAGTTATCCCACCAAGTGCTCAACTACCAATCCTCACAGCAGCCAGCTGCAGGAATTATCATTGCTCCCACTTTATAGATAAGGAAACTGAAGTTTATAGAGGCAGAGAAACTTGCCCAAAGTCACAAAGCTGGCAACTCCCAGAGCCAGGATTTGAACACAGTCTCAGTACAGAGCCTATGGTTTCTTTGTTTTTGAGACAAAGTCTCACTCTGTCACCAAGGCTGGAGTGCAGTGGCTCGATCTTGGCTCACTGCAACAATTGCTTGGCTCCCTGGTTCAAGCGATTCTCCTGCCTCAGCCTCCCGATTAGCTGGGATTACTGGTGTGCACCACCATGCCAGGCTAATTTTTGATTTTTTTTTTTTTTTAGTAGATATGGAGTTTCACCACATTGGCCAGGCTGGTCTCGAACTCCTGACCTCAAGTGATCTGCCTGCCTTGGCCTCCCAGAATGCTGGGATTACAGGGGTGAGCCACTGGGCCCCGCCACCTATGTTCTTAATCCCCGTGCAACTCTGCCTCCTATCTATGTGCCGAAGAAAGGAACAACACTCCCCTCCAGACCTCTGCCTTTCACACCCATTGGCCTTGGATGCCCTTGTCTCCCCCCGGTTCCGATTCCCTTCAAATTCCAGCTCCTTTAAACTTTCACACCTTACTCTGTCCACCCCTCCACACCTGCCTCGTGCTGTCCCCCCGCCCCCACATCCCACTCCACCCCCACAGTTCAAACCTGCTCATGGAAGTCCTGGAATGTGTTTTCTCCCTCATCCTCAGTCCCACCCATCACACAGCCTGCACTGGATCATCCAAGTTACATGCCAAATGTCTGTACCCCTCTGTGTCCAAGTGAGGCCCACCTTCCTCTTTGCTTCTGTCATCTATTTTCCTGTTTCTTGCATGCATTGCACTGTGTTCATTATGTCTATTGTTGACTGCTTGTTCATATTTCCACCTTCCCTATAGGATCGTGAGTGCTTTGAAGGCAGAGAGAGGCTGGGCCTTAGTACAGTCTGTTTGCAGCACATGGCATATAGTGGATGCTGGAGAAATGTTGATGACTGAATTGACATGATTGATTGATTGGATCAAATGAATGAACACAAGAATAAATGAACATCGGGATCCAGGAAAGGGGTCCTTCTGGCACCAACCCTATTCTGTCCCCCTAAACAGTATTACATTTAGTGTTTATGATAAAGGCTTTCAGCACCTTTTTGAAGAGTTGGTACCACTGGTCCACTTTCTGCCCTGCCCTTAATCCATCCAATTGGTTTAGATACTCACACATACATTCTTTCTTTCTCTCTCCTTCCCTTACTGGACCCCAGACCAAAGCCAAAGAAATAAATGTCCCCTCTCCTGCTCTGTTTCCACTTAGATAAATTAATCCTCAGCATGAGAGGAACCAAAGCCAGCACCTTAGAAGTCAGGCTCCTGTCAGCTCGGTTTGCTCACCTGCACACAGCCCTTGACTTCCTCCTCCTGTGTGGGAGGAGCACAGCCCTGACTCAGAGGCCACTCCAGGCAATCCTCTCCTCCCAGGCAATCCTATAAGGAACCCACTGGCTGAGCTCTGGCCTCTCGGCAGAGGGGGCAGGCCTGAAGAACCCTTTCCAAGACCAGCTGAGCTCTGCTGGTCCGCTGGGCCCTGCCTGCAGAGTTATTGGCGGAGTTATTCTTGGTGCTCATTAGCACTGCACAGGCTGTGGATTATTCCTTTATTGCTAAGTGGCCCCCAGAACACTGCAGACTCATCCCTCCTTTTGAAGTCCTTGTAAAAGACTCCAAGAAGTCGATTCCAATCTCTTCTCTCCCAGCGTGGACTGCCCCTGGAGCAGCACTGGGGGTGTGTGGCTGTTAGAGTGGCAGCCAAGGGCCAGCTCCCCAGTGAAAGGTGATATTGTGCTTCTACCGCACACCTGCACGTTGGGATGGTGTTTGCCTTCCGGCCTGACTGCTCTGTTCTCATCTTCCATGGACATGGAGGTGGGAGGGGAACTTATGTGTCATTCACTCCAGGGTCCTGATGGCCACTTGCGTAGAGCAAAGAATGTTGGTAGGGCCTGCAGTCTAGGTTCTAGCTTCAGTGAGCTCTGGGGCCTCGGGAAAAGGGCTTGATCCCTCAGAACATCTGCAGGAGTCTGTGACCCAGACCACACCAAGCTTTCAGAAACTGCTCTGCTCTTTTACTCTCCCACTCCTCTCCACCCTCTCAAGCTGTGCTATATCCACAATGCACCAGCCCAGGCTGACTCAACTTCCCGCCCACTGCTCCCCTTTAAGCTACAGCACCCACCATTTTGCCCCAAACTCGTCTATCCTACCTGAGCTCCTGCAGCCAGACTGGGTCACCCATGCCCCTCCTCTAACCAGGAAAGAAAGGAAAGAATCCATCAGGTCTTTTCTGTGTCCTGAGATTGCGCAGGTATTCACCCGCTCCACTCCCATCTCCTTGACCTCTTTCTTGCCCTGTTTCTCGGCGACCTAGGCATTGGGTCCTGGTCAGTTTTCCACTTTTCCATCACTCCCTTAGGACCCCTCAACCTCTCTGCTCATCAAAAAAGTCCAATAAAGGCATTCATCTCTTTGAATACTTAATTTTACAGTACCTCTTGCATAACTTTCAAGTTTGAGGTCAATACAAATAAAATCATTTAAAATGTCTGATATTAAACACTTCTGACCCGAAAAGCAAAAAGCCTTTTAACAGATAGTTACATTGATACAAGAGTCCACAATGACAGGTTTCAAAGATGAAAGTAATGGATCAGTAAATAGAACAGTAGAGAAAACACAGATGAAAGGCAAATAACCCCACCTGAAAAATCCAAAGCTTTCATTTTTTTTGAAAAAAAAATTGTCAAAAGCACTGTATTATTTTTTAAAATCATGATAAAAGGAGCATGCACCTGTCACCCTCCCAACCCCCTCTATACTTGCCCCTTTCTATCTTTAAGTGCTGTGGTCTTTGTGGTGACTTTATTGGCTCAAGTTTCCTAGGCTGGTACTCTCAGAGCCTGGTTTCCTAGGAGCAGTACTCATAACGCAGGTGCGATGGACACCTGTAGGTGGGTAGTGCCGCCTGTGTGAACCAACTCGGCTCCAAAGAGCCTAACTCCCTATCTGCATGGTTAATCCAATCAAAGCCCAACCTGCTTTCCCACACAACAGAGTTCAACAGAGCTTTTCATTAAAGCAACACATCATAGCAAATACTTAACTAGTACAAATAAAGCATTTTATTTAAAGCAAGGTTTAAAGACATATAAACATTAAGCATCAGAGCTCCATTCTTTAGTTGCTATTCATCACAGCTTATGCCAGTCCTTGAATTCTGTCTAACTTGGGTAGTAGCCAATTTTCTAACTCACCTTCAACTTCTTGGGATGAGTCCTTCCCGGGCTCCTTGTTTTTCTAGAAATTTCAGTGGCTTGACCACACATCAAAACACACAGGGTGGCCAGGCATGGTGGCTCACACCTGTAATCCCAGCACTTTGGGAAGCCAAGGCGGGCAGATCATCTGAGGTCAGGGGTTCAAAACTAGCTTGGGCAACATGGTGAAACTCGGTCTGTACTAAAAATACAAAAGTTAGCTGGGTGTGGTGGTGTGCACCTGTAGTCCCAGCTACTCAGGAGACTGAGGCAGAAAAATCGCTTGAACCTGGGAGGTGGAGGTTGCAGTGAGCCAAGACTGTGCCACTGTACTCCAGCCTGGGCAACAGAGTGAGACTCTGTCTCAAAAATGGGGAGCGAGGGGGGAGCCCACCACACAACAAAACATATAGGGCTTCTCATCTAAAGTCCGAATAAAAGAATAATACTATGGCTGGTTTGCACTGGAGGAAAGAAAAGCCCTATCACTGCTACCTTACTTTTCTGATGTTTTGGGTTCCTATGTCTTATCCCCTCAGGAACCAGGGGAAAAAGAAGATTCTGTGTCAAGTGCACCCTACATCTGTCCATGTCACCCCCCTTCTTCCAATCAGAACAACTCATTTCCCCCACTTGACTGCTCCCCTAATCTTTGCACCTTGGAGCAGGATGTGTTTATTGATTGATGGATATTTACTTATAATTGGTACCTCTTATGAAAGCCAACAGTTTTTACATCTGGCTTTTAACACAGACTGTGCTCTTCAATAGTCTTAGTGTAGACTGAAGGTTTTTCAAATTCACATTTTTAGAAAAGAGTTCCATTAAATTCCACATGAACAACAGAAAAAAATTTAAATGGGACATTACAGTGATCAATTATAGATTGTAGGACATGACTGACATGTAGGGCTGGGCTGGGAGGAAGAGACAAAGACCAAATGCTCAACCAAGGGCAGAGGTGAGGTGTAGATTACGGGTCAGAACCGTAACATAACGGATGGAGTCCCAAGTGAATCCAGGAAGTTGGAGGAAGCAGGTAAGTACTTGGGTTAGGCATTCACAGGCCTAGGAAGTCAGCTGGGGCAGGAAGGCTCAGACAAGGCAAGGGGACCAGGAAGCTTGGACCCGTCCTGGGAAGATAGAGTCCAAGAGGGCAGTCATCACCGGTCCCACACTAAAAGCATCAAAGCTCTCTAATCTTCTGTCTTCTCTACTCTCTCTGGTGTGTTGTCAAGGAAGGAATAGGTACGTGGGAAACTAGGGAGACAATCATAGCCCTCGATGTCTACCGTTTCTAATTAATACAGGGCAGAGGAATTAGATCTTTTGGTAGAGATCTAAAATTCCTCTGAAGTTCTATCAAGCCCCATCTCCTGATGATTCAGTGCTAGTTCTAAAATAGGAAAACTTACTTCCAAAACCAACAGATGTTTGGGCTGTCATCATTATGCCTGTACTAAACTCACTTGTGATTTCACTGTGAAGTCCTGTCTGTGTAATTTATTAGGAATCATTTATGTAAGATTATGTAGAAAATGTTACTAGTCGTGAGATATCTATCCATCTCAATGATTTGACTTTTACAGCAATGCGATGGGACGTGCTGAGGGACCATTTGGTCAACTTTCCACCTAATGGTGGTGTGATTAGAACTCCTAGCGGGTGACTCATAGAGAGTGATTAGAAGTAAAAAGGTTCTGGAAATTCCCCCACACTCTTTAAGGCAGCCTTTGTCAGGTGTCTTAGTTTCGTGAAAGGTAGACTGATGTTTTCCATCTGGTATACAAAACATTTTCTAAGTAGTTATAGAACCTTGAACAAGCCACTTAGCTCTCTGGGCCTGAGTTTTCTCATCTTATAAAATTAAATCCATCAATAGATCACATGATCTCTATGGCTTCTTTATTCTAAGGATGTATGGTAATTTTAAACACTTGGTTAGCCATCTTGACCAAACTAGCATCACAGGTAAGAAACAAGCTGCGAAGACCAAAATTCTTCTCTGGTTTATACACTCTGGGTCAGAGGCAACCACTTTCTATGTTGTTTGGGCTACTTTTCCCTAAACACATAATGGCTTTGTCTGCATCAAAGGTCATCTTCTATTTTCCTGCCCATTCATATGACCCCATAAGACCTTCCAGCATCTCAGTCAGCTGAGCATTTTACCTCCTGCAAAGCACATGGTTTCCTTCTTCTCTTTGCAGGTCATATGAAATGCTCACACAGTACTTACTGTAATCACTTCGTAAAGTTGATTTTCACATATCTTCATCCAGAAAATTATCCCAACTGTTATATATAACTTTATTCTAATTGAATAATTCCAGTTTTCAAGACACTTTTCAGACACCCATTGTCTTGTCTGAATCCTCATGACAACCTCATTTTTTTATAGATTATACAGCATTCCTACTTATATATAATAGTTATAACTTTTTATTCCTAATAAACTTTGGCATGACGTTTCATCAGATTCTGATAGTTTCTTTTGTTTTTCATTCATTGCATTCCCATCCAAATGTTTACTGACCCTGGGAAATAAATCCAGTAGACCAATGAAGCATGAATCCAACTCACAGAGGGTGGTTAGAACTAAAAGCTGAAATGGACTTCCGTGATCACCTGACCCACTCATCCCTGACCGTAGGCTCTTGTTCACAGCGGCCAAAACGTGCATGTCTCTCAGGGGCTTCCTGCTTGTGGAGCAGAACCTTTGCTTGCGGGCTCCTTGTGTCTGTGAGCTCCTCAGAACCGCTCTTGAGCTCACAGTGCCTGATTTGCACGTATTGGTTTCCGCTCCGTTGCTTATTCTGGTCCCCTCATAGAAGCAATGTTATCCTTTCTTCAAACCCGTCCTTTCCCAGAGAGCTTTGCAGCCACTTTTACCGGGTTTAATGAGTCAGCTGCAGAGTTTATGATCCGGTACTAGGCCTTCTGGGAAGCAGCTTTCCTGGGCTTACGTCAGGCTGTTAAAGACCCTCCTGGCCTTCCTGCCGACATTTGCTCGGCTACTTTTTCCTCCTAATTAATGCCTCTATCTTATCAGAGTGGCCCATTCTCAAATGCAGTAAATGAGTCCTTGATGTTCTATGTTTTATTTTGGAAACTTCCCACTCTGCTCATATCTGAATTGGTATTTGCTCACTGTTGCGCAGTGGTTTGCCTACCAGGTATCCCTTACATCAAATCCTGTCCGCCGCTTAGAAAAACCACAGCTAAAAGTTGTTTGGCAACTCTTGGTGTTCACAGGGTTTTCCCACTGAGGGTCAGGGACTGCACAGCGGTTGAGAGCTTGGACTCCGGGGTCAGCTGGAACTGCTTCTAACACAAGGACCGCTCTTAACAAAGAACTGAGGCTTCCTAAACTTCAGTTTCTGGGTCTGTAAAATAATAGGACCCACTTCCTATAAATGTTGAGAAGATTAATGGGAATGATGCATGTAAAATGCTCGGTACATGATAAAAGCCCAGTGATTACTCATTATCCCACTCAATGCTTGGGGAAAGGCAAAGCAGCTAATATTACCCCAGATTATAGATAAGAATACTGGGTTCAAAAGAGATCACTTGGCTTACCCTTGTCTATACTGCACCTGCATGAATCATGGACCTGAACCCAGGTCACGGCCACCTCCCAGACCCTTGCTCTCTCTGCTTCCCCAGCAGCGCCTCTCAGAGTGAACACCTATGTCCATGACAGTGATTCCCAAAGTGTTGTCCCCAAACCAGCAGCATCAGCATCACCTGGGAACTTGTTAGACATGTTAGGGTCTCACCCCAGACCTAATGAATCAGAAACTCTGAGAATGAGGGCCCACAATCTGGGTTTTAGCAAGATCTCCAGAAGATTCTGATGCACACCCGTTTGAGAACCAAAGCTCCATGGAATACTAATTTGCCTTTGGATCTAGCCCTGCCGCCCACTCGAGATGGATGGTCCACAAATCTCAATGTGATTCCTAACATGAGTTAAGCTGTCCAACCCTGTGACGTTATCAGGGGATTTGTGATTAATACATAGTGACACCATTTAACTGTGGCAGAGGTTCTTACCCTTGGAAGCTCATTAGAATCATCTAGGGAACTTATAACAGAAAGGCCCACCCCAGACCAGTTCAGATCTAAAGACAGCCTGGACTGACAACCACAGAACTACAGAGCTGCCACCCAGACTCCATGGAACTCTGCTAGGCTGGTAATATTTTTAATTCATTAAGGGTTTATGTGTTTAACAACCCAGGTCCAGTAAATTGGCTCCTTTCCTCCCTATGAACCTTGGACACTCTGGCTGGTCAAGCCTCCACCTCATGCCCACTTGTTTGCACAGCTACTAACGTTTATGAAGTATTTGCTTAATGTACCTAAGCTCCACTGCCCAGAGCTATCCCACTTGATCTGAAAACGTCATGATGAGGTATGGTAAGCATTAAACATTAGTTCACCATAGTTCTATTTTTTTCTAATAACTTAAACGGCTTCAGGGAACATTTTGTGTGTGTGTGTGTGTGTGTGTGTGTGTGTGTGTGTGTGTACGCCTTAAGAGACTGGATCTCACTCTGTTGCCCAGGCTGGAGTGCAGTGGCATGATCGTAGTTTACTCTAACATTGAACTCCTGGCCCAAGTAATCCTCCTGCCTCAGCCTCCCAAAGCACTGGGATCACAGGCATGAACCACCATACCCACCCTAAGGAATATAGTTTTTTGAGCATGTTGGAGTACTCAGAACTCTCAGCTCAGCTCTTGGCCCACTTGGGTCTCAACCATTTAGAGTACTGATTACCAAAGGAAGAGCACAAAGGAAGAAAATCAGCTTTTCTCCTCTTCCTCAGTGTGGGAGAGGGGATTTGGCTTGGGCTCAAAGCCATAGTGATGCTTTCTGCTCCACCCCCTTTCAATTAAAGATCACCAGCTTCCCAAAAACAGGCCACCCTCATTTTCCAACCTGGCTCAGGCAGGGAAGCTGAGAAGCTTGGGGCTGCCCATTCACCCAGTCACCAGGCAGATAGACAGGTAAGAGAACTGGGACCTTCAGGCCTGCCCTCGGGAGGACTGGCCACCAGGCTTTACAGCCCAGAGCAGAGAAACACTGTGGCCGTTGCAAAACTCCTTGAGTGAAGTGACCCTACCCTCTACTAAAAACGTGGCCCAGTGGATTCCAGTTACTAACAAAGCTCGTTGAGAAGATGCAAGAAAGGAATGGAACAATGGCTAGGACCTCCCCGCGGCAGCACTTCCCCCAAGAGAATAGAGGAGCTGATGGGCACGTCACATTTTTCTCAATGCTGGATGACATTCCATCACCTTCCTCATCTTCATGGAATTTTTTTTTTTTTTTTTGAGACAAGGTCTCCCTTTATCACCCAAACTGGAGTGCAGTGGTGCAATCATGCCTCACTGCAGTCTTGACCTCCCAGGCTCAAGGGATCTTCCCACCTCAGACTCCTGAGTAGCTGGGACTACGGGTACATACCACCACACCCGGATAATTTTTGTAATTTTTTAGAGATAAGGTTTCACCACATTGCCCAAGCTGGTCTCAAATTCATGGCCTCAAACAGTGCTTCGGGTTCAGCCTCCCAAAGTGCTGAGATTACAGGCATGAGTCACCGCACCCAGCTGGAATGCATTCTTTGAATTTTAAAAGACTGTAAATGAGAGATTTGTTCAGAGAAGAGGGTGTTTCCTATGTACAAAACCAAAGACCAGCTTTTATTTTTTATTAGGTATTATAGTCACAAAGGTATGAAAGGGTATATAGTAATAAGTCTAAGAAATTTTTATGAAGTTTTTGAAGTAAAAAGCATTTTTATAAAATTTTAAATAAAAATTTTAATAAAATTACTCAATTGTTAAATGTAACTTAAAATTACTTTTTCATAAAATTACTCATTTTATAAAACACATTTTTCCTACTTTGAAAAGTAGTACATGCTTAATACAGAATTGGAAAAGACAAAAATACAGAAAGAATTGCATTTAACTCCTTTTTTTTTTTTTTTTGGTAGAGACGAAATCTCGCTCTGTCACCCAGGCTGGAGTTCTGTGGCGAGATCTCGGCTCACCGCAACCTCCGCCTCCCGGGTGCACACCATTCTGCTGCCTCAGCCTCCCCAGTAGCTGGGACTACAGGTGCCAGCCACCACACACAGCTAATTTTTATATTTTTAGTAGACATGGGATTTCACTCTATTAGCAGCCAGGATGGTCTTGATCTCCTGACCTCGTGATCCGCCCAAGTCAAAACTTCAGATTTTGCCAAACACCTTGAAAGTATGAGTAGATAGAGGAAGACTCGTCCTTTTGTCTGCCTCCTTTTCATCTTCCTAATACCTAACACCTCTCTAATCTTTCTAGAAATGGGTAAGAAAAGCTTCCATAAAGAAAGGTGGAGAGAATTGAAGCATGGTAGTATTTTTGCAGGAGAAATTATAAGGTTTGAAATTTATGGAGGCCTCAGGACATACCCAATGACCTAAGGTCTAGGCCAGAGATGGTAAGTAGGATTTTTTTTTTCTTTTCTCTTTTTTTTTTTTTTTTTTTTGAGATGCGGTCTCACTCTGTCACCCAGGCTGGAATACAGTGGTGTCATCTCGGTTCACTGCAACCTCTACCTCCCAGATTCAAGCGATTCTCCTACCTCAGCCTCCCGAGTAGCTGGGATTACAGGCACTCGCCACCATGCCTAGCTAATTTTTTTTGTATTTTTAGTAGAGATGGGGGGGGGTGGTCTCACCATGTTGGCCAAGCTGGTCTCGAACTCTTGACCTCAAATGATCCACCAGCCTTGGCCTCCCAAAGTGCTGGGGTTACAGGTGTGAGCCATCACACCCAGCTGATAAGTAGCTTTAAACACAAGTGAGGATTCTATTCCATCAGGAATGGCTGCTTTATGCAGAAGAACTCTAAGATTACATCAGGCTAAGGGTGACAGAATGCTGTAATCCATTAGCCTTATCTGTCATGGTCATGGCAGCAGCAAGAGGCAGTCTGAGTGCCATACACTGCAGTAATCTAGGGGTGAGCTGAATAGTGAATGGAGATTTGCCTAAAAGAAACTTCTGGAGTCAGTGCTCCAAAACTCTGAATCAACCAAATGAATGAATTGAGCCAAATAGAAATGCATGACTATTCAATATTTATTATGTAGAGAGGCTTAGAAAGGGCAGGCACCTGGAGTTCCTCCACCCTCCTCACCCAATCACAACTGCCCTTACTGCCCTACCAGTCCAGCCACGTGCCCTTTCCCACCCCTCTCAATGACCCTTGGGCTCCCCAGTGAAGCTCCCTGAGGGCAGGGGACATAGCTCTTTGGGGCCATAAAGGCATTAGCTCACCCTTCTCAGCCCCTTACACATTTACTGGGTACTTAGATCAGGCCAAGTGTGGTGGCTCATGCCTGTAATCCCAGCACTTTGGGAGGCCAAGGTGGGTGGATCACCTGAGGTCAGGAGTTCAAGACCAGCCTGATCAACATCGTGAAACCCCATCTCTACGAAAAATACAAAAAATTAGCCAGGCATGGTGGCACGTGCCTGTAATCCCAGCTACTCGGGAGGCTGAAGCAGGACAATCACTTGAACCTGGGAGGCAGAGGTTGCAATGAGCAAAGATTGCACCATTGCACTCCACCCTGGGCAACAGAGTGACATTTGGTCTCAAAAAAAAAAAAAAAAAAAAAAAGAAATCTTAGCAGGATTACATCTGTAACCCCGGCACTTTGGGAGGCCGAGGGAGGTGAATCACATGAGGCCAGGTGTTCAAGACCAGCCTGACCAACATGGTGAAACCCTGTCTCTACCAAAACATACAAAAGTTAGCCAAGTGTGGTAGCATGCGCCTGTAATCCCAACTACTCAGGAAGCTGAGGCATGCGAATCACTTGATCCTGGGAGATGGAGGTTGCAGTGAGCCAAGATCCTGTCACTGCACTCCAGCCTGGGCAAGAGAGTGAGACTCTTGTCTCAAAAAAAAAAAAAAAAAATCTTGCCCCTTCCCTCAAGGGGCTCACAGCCTGTGGGAGAGGGAAAATAGATATAATTATATTTAAAGAATTATAAAACAAATTGTATAAATTTAAAATTATAATTAAATCATTGTAATAATTTAGATCAGAAAAAATAAAGGCAAGTAAGTGCCAGGCATGGGGCTAAGCATTGTACTCACCCACTGTATTCCATGTTGTCTTCACAACGGCCTTATGAGGTTTGCTAGTATTGCCCCCATTTTACCAAGAAACTGAGGCTTAGAGCATTCAAGCTAGCCAAGGGCTAAGCCATGACTCAAACCCAGGTGTGTCTGACTACGGCTGTTACTAAGAGGGGAAGGGAATCATCTGAACTTGGGTTTCACTCAGAAAGGGGCATGGTTTTGTTAACTTTGAAAACACTACCACCCTACCCTCTAGCACTGGCAGAGGGGAGCTGGACGCCTGGACAGCTGGGGAGGGGGAGGACGGCAGCCAGAAGCAACAGCCTCTGCAGTCCCAGCAGCTGGGACCTCATGCCTCAACCAAGGATCAGCACTGGGTATTGGCTCAGAGTAGTGAAGGCTGCTGGGGGCCTGTGTTTCCTGCATTTCCTATGTTTATGCTGCCAGGGTGGGTTTTATGTGACCAGAGAGAAGCAGGGAAAATTGCTGAGAAGTCAGAGATCTGCCAGGGAATCAGTGATGAGCCCCAGGAAATGCTTTTTGTCTAAAAATATGCCATTTCCGAAAGGAAAACAGTCATTAGAGGGTGTGAGAAGCCCTCGTGGTGAGGAAAGCAAAACTGTAAGACTCAATGGGAGGCCAGTGGAACAACAGAGAAGCCCATTACCCACCCACTTCCTGTGCGATTAACAAGACGTTTGGAGGATGAAAGGCAAGCAGACAAAATGACAACCCACAGACACAACTCCAGGGGAAATGTCTGGGGACAGCATAGGAAGACGCAGCAGGGAGGTAGGAGGAGAAAAAACTGCTCCAGTTAATATCTTTCTGGCATCGGCTGGTTCAGCTATAGATTTGGCTAAAATTACCTGTGTACTTACTAGACGCCAGGCAGTTAGGGGGCTTTGCTTAAATCACTCTCCTGCATTCTTCACACAGCACTTGATGAAGGAGGAAAGTGAGTCTTGGAGGTTAAGTGACTTGTCCAAGGTTACACAGCTGGGAAGGGAGAAAGACATGGCTCCATCCCAGGTTCCCTGATCCCAAATCTCCCCCTCATTGCAATGTACCAAGCTGCCTCCAATAAGATCAAGAGTCTTGACGATCCCCAAGCTAGTCCACTCAGTCCAGTTTTCCTGCCAGACTATAGCTGTTTTGCATTCCTTATCTTGTGTTGAAGCAAACCAGGTAAGGAAACTCCCCACCTTTTTTATTAATGACTCATTTTCAGCCAAAACACATTGCAGCCACATCAGGTACATGTGCCCACTCAGCAAAGACGTACTGTGAGAAAGTAACATCTAAGTTACTTGGTCCAAAGCCCTTCTACATCAATCATCAAGCAACCAACCCTCCTTTGCTGAAATCTCCAGGGGACTAGGCCCTTTGGTGGGGGAAGAGGGGACGGTTTCTTCAGGGGCATCTCACCCCTGGGAAGTGCATCCTCTCTGCTGGGGGCAGTAAAAAGGCTTTACGTGGGCCACTGTGGCTCATGCCTGTAATCCCAACACTTTGGGGGCCCAAGCAGGGTGATTCACTTGAGCCCAGAAGTTTGAGACCAGCCGGGCAATATAAAGAGACCCCATCTCCACAAAAAAATACAAAATTTAGCTGGGCTTGATGGTCCCACCTGTGGTCCCACTTACTTACTTGGGAGGCTGAGGCAAGAGGATCAGAAGGTCAAGGCTGCAGTGAGCCATGATTGCACCACTGCACTCAAACCTAGGCAACAGAGCTAGACCCTGTCTCAGGAAAAAAAAAAAAAAAAAAAGAGGCTTTTCACGAATTTCACATTCCACCCTCCACCATCTTTGATGTAGGTAATTTATCAGCATTTTGTAGAGGAGGAAACAAGGTCTCCCCTACGTTGAGCCCAAATCAGTTTGACCTTGGGGAACACAGTGAGCATCCCTGCGTGGAGGTACGCAGGATCCCTGAGGGTGACAACCTTCGAGGTCGTTCCCTGGCCTCTCTGCCCAGGGTGAGCATCCTCAGAGACCTCAGCTCTCCTCTCAGCATGCAATTCTCCTCCACTCATGGCCCTCCCAGCTGCCCCTGGCTTCTCAAAGCTACTCCTGCATGGAGGCAAGTACAACTAGCCAATGAGCCTCCTGACCTGCCCCATCCCAGAGAGCAACTGCTGCTAGGTCCTCGTGGATTCTGGGCCTCTGTCCAGTGACCAAAGGAGAGGACACATCTCCAGCTACCATCCCTCCACCTATTTTCTAAGGAAACCAATGAGTTCTCAAATGCCACCTGTGGTGGCCCCTTCTCAGCCCTCACCCTGAGAGGCCTTCCCCAAGTCAGAATTTCCCACAGGGGAAGTTACTGTGGGCTTCTCTCTCCTTCCCCCACCTCATGTGGTCAGGAAGTCCAGCTGGCTTTTTCTCCTGTCTGTCTCTCAAATGTGTCCCCTGGCTCCCCTCCATTGCCACTGCCCTCTTCAGTGTCTGGCCTGTGCTCCCACAACAACAGGCTTGAAGCTGGCTGCCCTCTCCCCTCCATCTTCCACACCATAATCCAGGTGATCCTTCTAAGAGGCAAAGGTAATCATGTTTCTTCCCTGCTCAAGATCTGTCAAAAGATTCTGTGGCCTCCATAGAAAAGGCAGACAGCCCGGCCACCCAGGCCCTTCACCATCTGCCTCTTGACCATCTCCAGTGTCCTGCAGTGTCCTGAATATACCTTTTCCCTGCCTCTGCCCAACACACTCCCGTTCTTTCAACACCCAACTCAACTATTACCTTCTCTCCATCAGATCTTCCCTGAACCACCCCCCAGAAACAAAGGTGACTGTCCCCTCTGGTTCCCCACAGCCACCCCACCACTTACCCCTGTGCTCAGGCACTCCTGGAGCACTGCATTGCAACCATTGGCTCACACATCTGTCTCTACCAGCAAACCACTAAACCGTGAATAAGTGGCTTCCTGAGCCAGGCCTTGTGCAATGAATGGATTTGCAACAAAGGGAGCCACTGAGAGATTACATGAGCCAAGTCATGGCAATTAGTCCCCATGGAAGCAGCAGCTCAGGGCAGGGTCCAGACTTGGGCAGACTTAACTATGCAGGACATTCCATTAACAATAAGCACCACTCTGAGCATTTCCTATGTGCCAGGAACTACGTGAAGCTCTAGATTCTGTCATTAGAAAGGACTGAGTTAATTAATGGAAAGCAGGTAGCACAGTGCCTGACACAGTATAAGCACTGAACACACGTTAGCAAGAAAAGTGACAGATCATTTACGGGATGGTTCTTACACCAGGCAGCGTGCCAAGCACAGTCCATACATTGTCTCACTCTTCATGACAACCTTAGGAAGAGAGCAGTCCTGTTTGTCCCCATTTTACAGAAAAAGATACTGAGTCTTGGCTAGGCTAAGCGATCTGCTCAAAGTCTTCAGCTCGGAAGTAGTGGATTTGGTCTTCCATCCCCAGTCCATCTGCTCTGGCACCCAGGTTCTCAGAGTCTCTGGTACAGCAGGGTGCCAAAGTCCAGTTGAGAAGAAAGCAGGCCAGGTTTTTCAGGCACAGCCTGATGAAATATCCAGGGGAAACACATGGGACTAGCAGGCTTCTTTTTCTGTCCCATTTAGTCTAATATCACATTTAACACACCATCCTCTAAGGGACAGAAGTCACAGGAAGCCATGCAGTCTGGTTCCTCCTGATTTCTCCTGTGTGCCACATAGTTATGCTTCCTTCTGGGAAGGTGTGAGTTGGAGTCAGTCCCCTCCTGCATGCAGCTGGGGAAACTGAAGCCAACACCATTTTAGTTACTCACATGGAGCTAAGACAATCATACAAAACTCAGGCATGGGGTCAGCCCACCAGCAGTGTGGACCTCACCCTGCCGGCTGCGTTCCAAATGACAGTGGCATGGTGCCACAGAAAAAACGTGAGGTGTGCAGCTGGACCCCCAGAAGCCCTGACTCTGCCAGGTGCTAGCTCTGGGACATCTTGGGCAAGCCATTTGGCCCGAGTCTTTTTCCCCACCTATGAAACAAGCCAGAGAGCTCATTCCTCACAAGGCTGTGGTCAGAATGTGCCTCTGTACTTGAGAAGCTGTAAAATGTTCCTCAGTTGCTGCCCTTAGTAGGGAGCTCAGAGGAAAGCTAGTTTTGCCTGTGCGTTTCTGTCGGATTGCCCTGTACCCAGGGCACGTCCTGCTCTCTGACAACAATCAGGGTCATTCTAACTCAAATCAAACAACCTGGTCTCAGAACTGGTCTTGCACCACCATGGTGTTAAGCTGCCTTCCCACTTCATCCATGTTTGCTAAGCCGGGTGGGATCTTTCCCCTACAAACTCCTATAGGCGGCCACATTTTTCTTTTAAAGATATTTTCCCTTCGACTATAGTCCACAGGCATCAGAGGATGAAGCTAGCAGGTTGTCTGTATGTAGACTTTCTTCCAGGGAGGAAAGCAGCTTTGCTATCTCCTACCTTTTTAAACAAAATCTGCCTTGATTTTGTCTGCCAAGATATGTCTTTGGATGGGGTAAAGCACTTCTGAGGGAAGCTACGTGAGCCACGTTGTAGCTGGAGAGAGAATTGAAAGAGGAAGCCGAGCTGAGACCACCACAGTTCCGGGGCTGGAGCCCAGCTTTGCAGAATGCCTGCATAGCAGTTTGACCCCAACAGATGAGGCTGTTAGGGACAGAAATGAAAAGCACTGAGAGAGGGGAAGTGTGGGTGGAGCTTATGGACATTCTATGAGCCAAAGCAATTTTGAAGTCTAATCATTTGGAGGGAAAATATTTGTCATGTCATTTTAAAGGGTACAAAACAACACAGAGGAAAATGAAAGGGTTAGAAAATAATTGGAGCGCTTCTCCCTTTACCCTTGTAGAAGACAGCTCTCCGGTTTTCAGCTCCACTCATTCTGTCCTCCATTGGAAGCTCCCCCAGTGTCTTAGAGATGGATGATGTAAAAGTTAGAAAATGCCTGTGTTTCCTGCTTGCCTTAATTTAAGAAACTGCTTGACTGAAAAGTGACTGAATTTCATTTATAGGATAAAATACTTGATCTCCAGGGAAGCCAGGCCTCAATAGATGGATTTTTACCATGTCACTTCCCCCTAGACCTGTGGGAACTGACCTGAGTCTTGGGGAAAATTTGAGCCACATGGCAGTCCGCAGGTGCCCACAAGTCCCTCTATGATCTGAGTACCTGTCTTCCCAGTCTCATCTCACCTCCCTCCTCTCCAGCCAGGGGGACGTGCACCCTATACCCACCCCATGCACACCTGTCCCAGGCTCTGGCTTTCAGCTCCTACCCCAGAAATGCCCACCTCCCCCCATAGCTCAGTGTACCCAAGCTTGGCCCATCCTAAAGCCATCTCTGATAACTCCACCACAACCTGTCTTGGTCCAAGCTGGAAGTGATGAGTGAACTCTCAGAATAAATAATAGTAGCTCACATTTCTTGAGCTAAGAGCCAGACACTTCACAAACTCACTCTCACATTTCTTTTTTTGTTAGTTTGTTTGTTTGGGAGACAGTCACGCTCCATCACCCAGGCTGGAATGCAGTGGCATAATCTCGGCTCACTGTAACCTCCACCTCCTGGGTTCAAGCTTTTCTCTGGCCTCAGCCTCCCAAGTACCTGGGACTACAGGCGCACACCACCATACCTGGATAATTTTTGTATTTTTAGTAGAGATAGGGTTTCAACATGTTGGCCAGGCTGGTCTCGAGCTCCTGACCTCAAGTGATCCACCGATCTTGGCCTCCCGAAAGTGCTAGGATTATAAGCATGAGCCACTGCGCCCAGCCAGCTCACTCTCAACTTAATCCTGGAACAACCATATAATATAGGTATTACTATGATTTATCCCCATTTCATAGAGGAGGTAATTAGGACTTAGGGAGGTTATGCAAGTTACCCAAGGTCATATAGTTGATAAGTATCAGAGCCAAGAGTTGAACTCATACCACCTTTCCCAAGAGCACCTTGAGCTACTAGAACTACTGCACGCTTGTTTTGTAACATTTACAGAACTATAGTTCAGTGGGCAAAGGCCATGCATGATTCTTCACACCTCCCACAATACTGAGCCACCAGCAATCAATGCATGAATAAATGAATGAATGAGAAAATACCCACAGACTAGAGAGTTAAGGCAACTTTTACAAACATTAAAAGGATGCCATGTCAACAAAAACACATTAAGCACCAACCGTGTGGTCCACATTCTGACGGGCTCTAGGCCTCGGAGTTGAAGCCAGGGTCCACTGGACTTTCAGATGTTCAATGAATTCCCACTTTCCAACCTAGAAGACAGTCTTCTATCGAGGACTGCTTTTCAGTCTCCTAGCTGCTGCTTTGTTCATTATTGCTCAGCAAACAGTGTGATTTATGCATGAGACACACACCTTAAGATGCAATGTAGTTCTTCCAACTGTCATAACTACTAAATTGAATTGAATGGCAATCTACTGGTAGCTCAACTTCTGCAGGAAAAAATAATCAGCCTGAAAATAATCAATGCAATAGCACTGTAGTGACACTGTCGAAAACTGTACAAACAGTAGGAAAGGTAATGTTGTGACTGTCATTTATTAATGCAGAGTTCTAGTGTTCCTAAGATAAAGATCATTGAAATGTGAAGCGCATTTGTCCAAACAGAATTTCTAATAAATACCTTTGATTGTTCCTTTGTCTCTATCCTTTACTAAAGTCAGGCAATTAGCAGTGTTTGCAATATTACAGGCAAATGAAATTGGGTCTCTGCCTGGTCCGCCTACAGAGGACTTCTATAGCAATAAAAATAATCAACTGGATTCTTCGTTTTCTGCTGGGTCCATGTGATTTCCTTAATAATGTCAATGCAGATTGTAATTTGTAGGAAAAAAATACTGCTTGCATCAGGCATGAAATTTAAGACCACAGAAATGCCATCTTTTCTTACAGAATTGTTTTGTTACAAGGGTATGTGGCTTGGACGATTAGAAGAGACCTCAGGTGTGGTGCCCAATTCATCTTTCATAGACCAATATTTTGTTTCCCAAATGTGCCTTGTACATTTCTCCAATACCTTCACTCTCTAGCTGTTGGTGAGGGAAAGGACAAAAATTAGAGTCATAAAATCACCATTAACCCCCCAGCTTGACCACTCACTAGCTAGTCATTTAGGCTCCGTGGGCCTCAGTTTGCTTCTCTGTAAAATGAGGCAGAAAACTATGAAAGTGCCTCCAATCTAAGTTCCCCAGGCTCCTAAGACAAGGCCTGGCCCATAGAAGGCACACAGTACATGTTGCTTGAGCAAATAAGTCAGTTTCTTGTATGGTATCTGGCATGTGATCAGCATAATTAATGGTTGCTTAAAAATTAACAGTCTGTTCCCCACCAGTAACATTCATCTTCTTCCTCTTGGCCTGGTGAAATCTTACGCATTCTTCAAAGCTAACATCACATTCTGCTTTGTCTGAGAAACCTTCCCAAGACCACACCAACTAGAAGTGATCTATCTCCCTAAACTCCTAAGACATGTGTTGTCCATAAGCTTCATTCATTCATTCATTCATTTTATGTATTTATTTATTTTCGAAATGGAGTCTCGCTTTGTCACCCAAGCTGGAGAGCAGCGGCGCAATCTCGGCTCACTGCAACCTCTGTTTCCTGGGTTCAAGCGATTCTCCTGCCTTGGCGTCTCAAGTAGATGGGATTACAGGTGCCTGCCACCACACCTGACTAATTTTTGTATTTTTAGTAGAGATGAGGTTTCACTATGTTGGCCAGGTTGATCCCAAACCCCTGACCTCAAGTGATCCGCCCCCACCTTGGCCTCCCAAAGTGCTGGGATTACAGGTGTGAGCCACTGTGCCCGGCCTATAAGTTTCATTTAAAACAAGCTTGTCCAACCTTCAGCCCAGGACTGCCTTGGTCCAGAAGCTTTGAATGCAGCCCAACACAAATTCATAAACTTTCTTGAAACGTTATGAGATTTTTTCATGATTTTCTTTTTGTAGCTTATCAGCTACCGTTAGTTTTAGTGTATTTTATGTGTGGCCCAAGACAATTCTTCTTCCAATGTGGCCCAGGGAAGCCAAAAGATTGGACTGTCCTGATTTAGAACTTGGGACTCATGGCCTTGTACTGTAGGTTCCCCTCTCAAAGGATTTCTTAGCTGTTCAGTTATGTCACAAGCTTCTCGGAGGCAGGTCCAGAGACTTCGGTTCCTGGTGATTTAAACAGCCCCTAGTCAAGAGCATGGCACACAACAGATGTTCCATAAGCATCCACAGATTGACTGGGGGAAATGTCCAATTCCCATGGAGATGGTCAGATGCCCTGGAGAGGCCACAGTGATTACAAGCCCTACAGCCCTCCATGGGATACACTGGGCCAAAGACACTGGTACAGAAGACTTGTCTTCTGTAGAAAGTTTGCTCCATTTCGCTAAATATCTTCCCATTTGTAAGGAAACTGATATCCTCATGACTTGTGGTGGGAGGGAAATTGTACAACCTCTTCAGGGGACAGAGTGACAATGACTCTCAAAGTTTAAATGCACATACAATTTTAAAAGATTAAAAAAACCATAAATGTCCTTTGACACAGTAATTGCACTTATAAATGTTTATCTCACAGACTGACCTACACATGTATGAGAAAAGTCATTGAGAAGATTCACTTTTGGGTTATCTGTAGTAGCAAAAGACTGGAAACAAATGTCTATCAACAGGTAACTGGATAAATAAATCAGGATATATCCATGTACAAGAACACTATGCAGCCTTTTAAAAGACTGAAGTTGGCCAGGCACGACAGCTCACACCTGTACTCCCAGCACTTTGAGACTGAGGCAGGCAGATCACCTGAGGTCAGGAGTTCAAGACCAGCTTGGCCAACATGGCGAAACCCCATCTCTTCTAAAAAAATATAAAAATTAGCCAGGCCTGGCACCTGTAACCCCAGCTACTCGAGAGGCTGAGGCAGGGAGAATTGCTTGAACCTGGGAGGCAGAGGTTACGGTGAGCCGAGATCGGGCCACTGCACTCCAGCCTGGCCAGCAGAGCGAGACTCCATCTCTAAATAAATAGATAGAATAAAGTAGAAATGTATGTACTTGTGTAGAATATTCTCCAAGATATAAGTGAAAAGACAAGGTGCCAACCAGTATGCATGGCTTCATCCAGCTTATGTAAAAAGGGAGATGTACACATGTGCACTTGTATGTGCCTATCCTGTCTCCAGAACAATAGCAACGGCTGACTTGGGGCAGCAGGGAAAGAGCCTGGGGTCAGAAGCAGGAGGAGACTTGTCACTATATTCGGTATTCTCATTCATATGGACTAAATTTTTTAGCAAGTGCATGCATTATCTTTCTTTTAAATTTTAACTTTATTTTTAATCAGATGATGAAGTCACATGCACAAAATCATGAAAGGTACAAAATGGTACATGGTAAAACGTCTTCCTCCCAGCCCTGTCCCCAGCCACCCAGTTTCCAGCCTAGAGACACCTAATAGGAACCCTTTCCTCTGCCCTTTTTAGAGACAGTCCATGCATTGCAGAGATTTTCTTTTAAAATAATCACAATGAAGTGAACTGGGAGAAAGCTTCCATTGACCTCACCACCCTCTCCAGCTCATGCTCTGTTCTCCAGAGCCAAGCTTTCACACAGGGTTGTCTACGTGTATGGAGTGGTGAAAAAGAGTTCCTTGGGCTTTGGAGTCAGACAAACCTGAGTCTTCAATAGTTGACCTAACCTCTCTAGGTCTTATGGCTTCATCCATAAAATGGACAATTCATACCTGGCTCTTAGGTTGTTATAAGGGTAAGAAACAGTCCATGAAAAGCATATGGGTCACTTAGCCACAGCCACTCTAAATTTCTGGGCACCAGCACCCTCCATGGCTGGGACCAATCCTCACTGAGCAGTGTTCCTGGGCACAGCCAGAGACCCCAAGACCCCTGGATGTCCCCCTAATCCCCTGAGAAGTACATCCTGTATTTCTGAGGTAACATTTTACGGTAAACTTCTACAGCAAGCAAAAAACCTTAAGGAGCTCATGATCAAGACCAGTCCTCCCTGGGTTTGGGGGCTTTTGAAAGGGCCCAGGTTTAGACATCAGGAAACCTGTATTTGAGGCCTGACTCTGCCATTAACTGAGCCTCCTGGAGTGATTCGCTTCTCATCCCAAGCCTTGCACAGACTGGGTGGTGATTCCTGAGGCCCAGAACCTGGCCAGCCTTATAGCGTCAGTCAGGGATGTGTTAGTGGAGCCCTTCACTCAGCGAAAGCATAGCTGGCTGAGTCTCTAGACAGAGAGTGTGTTGTTCAGGCTAAACTATCTCCCTACCATGGACATAAAATGACATGGGTATAGAACACACTAAATTCTTCAAGGTAACAAATTTAAATTCTTCAAAAAGGGAGTGGCTATTTAAAATATCTCTAGTTCATTTTTAGCATTACTGAAATTCAATGTAAATCACAGTGGCCATATAGAGTTGACATATAACCCTCCCTCTGTCAAACACCAGGTTACTAAAGTCACAGGGATTAAGAAATGACCCTTGGTAACAAAAGTTACCAATGTAGACCAGTTATGTGGCAGGTGGGGAGAGCTATTCTAAGGTTCCTTCTAACTCCAAGGGGCTCAGATCGGATATTTGGCAAGTAAGCAATTGGCACACTGACCCTGCAGTTTACAAAGTGATTCCTACGATCCTGAGGGTAGAAGAAGATTTTGCTCCTGGCAGAGGTTTTGCAGGATGTGGGTGGGGTTGGAGAGGAGGCTGCTGTGAGGGTAGAAGGGGGTAACCTCTGTCCCTTCACCATGTTTATCTTGCCATATCACCATCCAGCATTCACAGTCCATTGCCCAAAATAAACCACAGATACAAAGTAGAAAGATACTTCATCTATTTTCTAAGTAAATCTAGGAAGTTAAAGATCACAGCTGTCTCCAAGACCATGCCCGTTGAGTAAAAATATCTCTTGGCAAGTTGTCCTACATCAATTTTTTTTAATGAGACCTCTTTTTTCCTACCTAGTATTGATAATTTAATAGCTCTGCAAAAAGTGCTTCTGAAGCAAGAAAACTTAGTATTTTCTAATTTATTCTCTGGGAGATTTGACTGCTAATCAAATATCTTAATTCCCTCCATACTTAAAGGGGGCATTTTAAAGTGACTTTCCCAGCCGTTCCAAATTACTTCTTGAGGTTTATTGTTTGCTTTTAAATTTATGTCCAACATGGGCTCTCTTCTTGGGGACTGAGCTGTTTCAGAAAATGATGGAAATTTGGGGTGAATCTACCAACAGTGTTCAGTCTTTCCAAAAAGACAGTTCATTAAAAGCTGAAAGGTTTGACCCTCTGGCTCTATCTTTTTGGCCTAACATCCTAACACAGGTGTGGACAGGGTCAAGCATGCAGGCCTGTCTCTGATACCTGGTTATAGCAAGGCTGTCCTTGGCATTTCACCTCCACCTCTTCTGCATCATACATTGTTTATTTTCACCTCATTATTCCATTCCTACTCCATTTGGTGATAATCCACTGTGTGCTAGGCACCCTTCTGGGCACCAGCATATAGAAAAATGCCTTAGCATTCGTCCCTGCCCTCAAAAGGGCCTTGGGATCAAGAAGAAGTGGACACGAGCACATCTGACTAAACACAACATCATGGAGGGTGTATCCAGGATATGAGCAAAATGCTCAGAGACAACTCTTTTTATTTACGTCACAAATGCTTCTACAGCACCTACTATGGGCCAGGCATCATGCTAATAAGGGCTTTACCAATATTAATTCATTTAATCCTCACAGCAACCCACTGAGATGAATACTATTCTTATCCTTTGGTACTGTGGGGAAACTGAGGCACAGAGCAGGGAAATAACTTGCCCAAGGTTACACAGCCAGTCAGCTCCAGGTGGGGCTCATGGGGCATGGGCCCTGGAGCCCACACACTCTGACTCCAGGGCCCACACTCCTACCGTCGGGCCACACTGCCTCACAACACACTTTCTCGCCAAATTCAGAGACACATAACTAAAACCACTTACAAATGGAGTATGCCAACTGAGAATGCTACAGAACACATTGAGGAAGTGACATTTACACTAAAATCTGAATGATGAACAGGAGTTAACTAGACTAACAGGGGAGGAAGTGGGTTGCAAGCCGTGGTTCTGGGTGGGGAAGGAGTGCAATGTGTTCCAGGAACTCACCAAGGCCACCAGAAAAGGAGGGTGGAAAAGAAGGAAGAAAACAGCTCAAGAAGAGGCTAAAACATGAGCAGCAACCATAGCATTCAGCACCCTCACTACAGGCCAAGGGTCATTCCGTAGTTGGGTTCCGCAAGAATGATAGGAACCTAACAGCTTTGGCAGGGGTAATAGCATCAGTTATGCATCATCCACTGATCACTTGGGCTGACATGTAGAATGCATTGGAAGAGGACGGCGGGGTTAAGCAGGGAGACCCCGGGGGAGGCAGCAGCAAGGAGAGAGTTGATACTCCCTTGGATGGGCTGGAGGTGGATAAAAATGGATTCAAGTGAGTTTTAGGAGACAGTATCAACATGTTATGCTGCATGTTTGCTTATGATGGGTGAGGAGAGGGAGGAGTCAATGGTGGCTCTGAAGATTCTAGGTATTCACAGGGTCGGGAAGCACTTGTTTGTCACAGGTTTGTTGGGTGCCGGAGGGGAAGAAAGTCCCGTGCAACAGCCACATGCAATGTTCATCACTCCCCTGGCTCTCAGGCTGCTTCAGGGCTCCAGACCCTCGCACGTGCTGATCTCGGGCTAAGGGCTGTTTCCTTCCTTCGACTGAAGACCTTTCATACTGTAAGATTCAGCTTGAAAGTCTCTCCCTCCATACACATCACACGCTGACACTGGACCAGGCACTTATTTGGATCTCACAACATCTCTGCAAAGAAGATATTGCTATGCCTGTTTTACAGACTACTGAGAATCAGAGAAGTTCCAAAGCTGCCCTGTCATTTGTGGCATAAGCGAGAGAGCCCACTGACATCCCAGCGCTGCCTTCCCAGCCACACTGAGGGAGAGGTGGGCTTGGCCCTTGAGGCCCCTTCTTCTCAAAGGCATTGAGGTTACTTTCCATGTAGATTACGGTTGAGAACAATGAGAACTTCTGGAGCACATTCTGTGGGCTGTGTGAGGACGTCGGCAAGGGAACAGACTAAGATGGCTAGAAAATGCCCCTCTTTCATCTCTAGAATTCATCTAGTGAAGCACTTCCCAAGCCTCAGGTATCCAGGGTCTCCCTGTTCTTCCTAGAAGTAGGTTCCAGTGAACAGAAAGCCCACAGCATAACTAAGAAAAAGCTGTGTGTCTCTACCATGCTGGTGAATCCATGCTGCTCCTTGACCTGCCACTCCTTGACATGGACGGCTCTATTCTAACAGTGCCACTCTCTCATGTCACTGTCCCTCTGCCTGGTTCCTCCTCCTCTCTTATCTGCCTGGAGAGTCCCACTCCTTGGATGAGTCTCACCCAGAGCATCCCTCCCCCATCTCCTCAGGCTGGGTGTAGGGTGACCAGCTGTCCTAGTATGACTGGGCCTAACGGATGTTCTGGTTTGTGGGACTTTGGGTAGTATATCAGCTCAATCCCATGCAAACCAGGATGGTTGGTCACCCTAGTTAGGCATGTGGATTGCCCCTGCTTATGGCAAGCCCAGCAAGTATCCAAGCTGTCTTGCACTCATTGGTTCTCTCCTCTGCTCTTTCCCCAAAAGTAGTTATGACCCTCTGAGATGAAGCCCTGTGCCTTGTTCATCACTGTATTCTCAACATCTAGGCCTGGTACAGACCAGGTTGTGTGGTCAATGTTTGTGCAATGAACGTACGAGCCCAGACTCAGCATATTTAGGAGATGGCTCCTACCACCCAGCAATTAGAGAGGGGAGGCAACGCAGGCGGAGGACATCTACCAATGCAGCACATGAGCAAGACACAGGGCCTGAGAATAACTGAACCCTGGCCCACAGATGCCAAAGAACTGGTTTTGCTTGTTTGTTTCATTTGCCAGTCAGAAGCGTGGGGGATAATTTAGTGGAATCCCTTCACAGATAGGTTTTAACTTGAAATAATTCAACTATAGGTGCTTGGCAAACAATCAAATAGTGAACAGGCCCAAGAGAGAAGGAAATAATTTAGATGGCAGATGGCAGTTGGCTCCACTAGAAGTGCCACCTGGTGAGCACGGGCCCACAGTGGGTGTGAGGCGGGACAACGGGGGCACACTTCCCTCCTGCGTGTGTACCTCACACTGTGCTAGGATGATTATGGTTCTGGCATACAAAGTCACTTATTTTTCATGCAACCTGGTCCCTAAACTTAAGAAAATGCCTTTATCTGGTAATCAACTGGGAAAAACATTGGCTGAACCCCATACTTTCAAGTACTTATGAGATTTTCAAAGGTGGTTCTTACACACTAACTTAAGAGTCCCCAGATGGTGAGTCCCAGCTGCGCCACTTCATAACTAAATGATCTTAAGTAGCTAATGACTTAACCTTGTAGAGCTTCCATTCTCATGGGCAAATGAAGGATAACATCTCTCCCTCATGGGCTCACAGTGAGGATTAAACGAAGGGAAGGTATGCACAACAGTTAGCAGACTGCTTGGTACAAAGTAAGCGCTCAATAAACCAAAGCTATTATTTTTAGTGGTGGTAATAGCACTGCTTTTCTTTGGCATTTAAAGCTGTGTAGCTAATCTGGGCATTCCACCAGGTTGCTGAAGCAATAGACGGCCCCTTAATAAATAGCTTCCAGACAGCATGTCATTTAAAACTGAATGCATTTTTGCTTCTCAGTTGTTGGACATATTATTTACTACCTGATGGTCTTGCTCTGGCCCAAACAAGCTAATTATTGCAATTCCAGAGTACATGCCATCATCCAGAAATAGCTTTCTGTAGAGTGGGGACTGAAATTAACAGGCAATTAGCAAGTTTAAAAGGATTTCCTTTCCCCATCCCCACCCCTGGCACCTCTAACACATTAAAGCTCATCACAGCAGTTATTTTAAGGAAATTCAGCAGAGGTACTTGCAGGGCCCGAGGTCATCTTGTGTTGGCCCTGGATAGATCATGAAATCCTGTTGCCAAGGAGCATGGTGGGAATGTGGCAGGAAGGCTAAAGTCAGGAAAGCCACCTCAGCCACTAAGTAGCCATATGGCCTGGGGCAAGCCACTACTCAACTCTGAGCTTCAGTTTCTTCATCAGTAAGGAAGTGGCCAGGCACGGTAGCTCACACCTGTAATCCAGAACTTGGGGAGGCCAAGGCCAGTGGATCCCTCGAGGTCAGGAGGTCAAGGCCAGTCTGGCCAACATGGAAAACCCCCATTTCTACTAAAACTACAAAAATTAGCCGGGCATGGTAGCAAACACCTGTAATCCCAGCTACTCAGGAGGCTGAGGCAGGAGGATGGCTTGAATCCAAGAGGCGGAGGTGGCATGAGCCAAGATCATGCCACTACTCCCAAGCCTGGGCAATGGAGACTCCATCTCAATAAATAAAGTTAAGAAGTTAGACTGCTCAATTCCTGAGACTCCTTCCAACCCAGCAATCTGACGTCCACACTGGGGCTGACCACTGAACTACATGGAGGCACATGCCTCAGTTTCCTTATCTACGCCATTCATCTAACAGCTATGTATCAATCCCTGTTAGGCACTAGGCACTGTGCTAGGTGTTTGGAAGAGTCATTCTCAGGCCTATCCTATCTCAGCAACCTGTAGGAATGTCCTCACCTCCAGAGTTAGCCCCCTTGGAAGGAAAATATTTAGTCCCACATTCATTTCTTTCCTATATGAACCTGGAATCACTGGGGGCAGCCTCTCTGAACTGCCCCATTTTCTGAAAAGTGTCCGAAGTACAGCCCAGGCATGGGGCATTCAGCACAAAGGGCCCAAGTCTTGAGAGGGAGTAGTTTAGGAGTGAAGAAATCCCAGCCTCCCACTATCCAGTCTTAAGGTAAAAAGAATTGTACAGATGAGCACCTTTCTTCCCCTTGGTATTTCCCTTTGGCATGACCCAAAGACCACTCCCATAAAGGGCCATACCCTAGTGTTTTCTGACAATCTAGGGATGAATTCCCTATTACATCTCAGGATGGGAGAAAAACAGGATTTGGGAGTTCTGGTTTAATCACTAAATGAACTTAATCTTGACTTCTGGTTTTGTCATCTGCAAAAGGCAAGTGGTCCTGATGGCTACTTAATAAAGCTGTCTGTGAGCCAAATGAGAGTGTGCATCTGCAAGTGCATTGTAAACTGCAAAAATAATTGTGGTTCTCTCTGGGCCGCCTTCTACTTCACAACAATACTGAGCTGACCTTACAGATAAGCTGAACAGATGGTTGCCTCCATGGTAGTATTTGAATAGCACCAGAAAGTTTCACCTCTCCAAAGCATCTTTCTGCTGGCCTGAAATTCAACCATTAGGGATTCATTTTGTTGCGGGGGCGGGGGGGCGGCTTACAAGCTTCCCAGGGTTCAGGAGCACTCTATTAAATAGCTGTTGTAATCACCCAGCAGGTTCTTCCTATTCGCTGCATAGACAAAACCAGTTCACCAAGACCACGCTATTGTAGTAGAGTTTAACACAAAGCCAGCTACGCAGAAGACAGTTATTACTCCAATCAGTCTCCCTGAATGCTCAGCGGTTAGGGTTTTTCAAGGATAGTTTGATGTACAGGGGATTAGGGAATGGGTGCTGCAGATTGGTTGGGGATGAAATCATAGGGTTATGGAAAACGGTCCTTGTGCACTCAGTTGGCCTCTGGGTGGGGGCCCCAAGACTGGCTGAGTCATGAGCCTCAAGTCCGGATGTAGTCAGTCTAAAAAACAACTCAAAAGATCCATCTTAGGCTCTACAATAGTGATGTTATCTACAGAAGCAATTAGGCAAGTCACAAATCTTGTGACCTCTGGCCACATGACCCCTGAGCAGTAAGGGATGATAGAAAATTTGCCTATATCTTAGCAGAATTCAGGCCCCTTTCATAATCCTGACCTTCTGGCCTTTCACTGGTTTTGCAAAAGTGGTTGAGTTTGGGGAGTGGCTATTATCCTTGCTGTAAGGTTCAACTATAAACTAAATTCCTCCCAAAGTTAGCTTGGCCTACACCTAGGAATGACCAAGGACAGCTTGGAGGTTAAAAGCAAGATGGAGTCAACTATGTCAGATTTCTCTGTCATCATTTCACAAAGGCAGTTTCACTGTGACCTGCTAATACTGTGGGGAAAAGAAAAAAACAGTACTCATTGGGCCTTAGGCATATTCTAGGTTCTTTGCAATACTTAATTTTGTTTTTAATCTCAAACCAGTCTGAGACAGGATTTACTATTCAGCACATTTTTGAAACTGGGAAAATGAGTCTCGAGATGTTTAGGAAACTTGCTAAAAGGTCACATGAGTGACAGGGTTAGGACTTAAACATGCGTGGGGTCGGGAAGATGGCAGGCACAGGGTATCAGGCCAGGGGAGATGCCCTAGAGCCAGCGACACTCAGCCTACTTAACTTCTTCTAAGAGCCGGTCACCTCCATAAGGACAGCCAGAGCTTCTGCCAGGAAAGAAAGAACGTTGATGCTATTCGTTTTCCAAAAGAGCGTATCTCCTCCGGCTAATCTGAACATATTTCTTACAGGGCTCTTGAATGCCCCTTTGTAGCTGAGTGGGTGAAACGGCATCACCAACATTTGGCCCTGCTGCTCCACTGAGAGCCGGCGCCGTTCGCGGGATAATTATCCTGTAGTCTTCTCACCTCCGGAGAGAATGCAAGGCGCCCTCCTTCCAAATCTGGCCCGTCACGCCAGCACCACTTATTTTTAGAAGCTGTTTTCCCCTCATAGTTTCACAACCTCTAATCTGCCACTCTCCAGTGAATATAAATTAAAACACAACAATGAAATATGGAGAAATGTTTTCTCCCGTCATCTCCAGCTCTCTGAACCCGGGGCTGGGAGTGGGTGGAGCGCCTGATTTGTCTCCCAGGCGACACGGAAAGGGAGGCAGTGAGACGTGCTACCTGGTCGCTTCCGGCTCTGATGAACCACTGCCAGCCAGTTATTAGGGAGGAGGGCAGCACTTGCAAAAATTTCAGGTCTCTGAGAGCCCAGAGCCTGAGAAGTGTGGAGGATACTAATTACACCCAGGTGGAAGCCTGGCCACAGCTCACCTCCTAAGGAAAGAGCGAGCCCATTAAATAGCCAGGAAGGAATGGAGTTCACAGGGGATTAGATTTCTAGATTATAGCCTCAGAGTCATTCTCAAATTTATCTCCTAAAATCTGGAGGTCAAGGAACAAAAGCACCCTTGAAGAACAGGTAAAGGGAGCCTGGTCTGAATTCTTAGCTCCTGACAGCCAGGCCGCAAGAGGACAGACATCCCGTGCACACACGCCCGCCCCATCGCCAAAGAAAGCTCTAGAGCTAGACACTTAGACTGGCCTTTCATGAAATGACAGCACCTGCCAAACACAATAGGGAAATAGTTAGTCCAGCCAGGCAGTGCCATAGAGTGGTCAGAGCATGGGAATTTCAAGCAGACAGCAGCAGGCTTTAATCCTCACTCTACTCTCCCCAGATGTGTCACCAAGGCAAGTCACTCAGCTTCTCTGAGGCTCAGTTTCCTGGCCTGTAGAGTGGGAATAATTATAATACTATCTTGGTTGTCAGGTTTAAAAGACCAAATGAATGTCACTGCCTGGCAGACTACTTAAAACAATAAGAGGTGCTAAAGTTACTTTAAACCAACCCTCTCCACCCTCTCCTTCCCCACCTCAGTTTCATACCCCAGAGACCAAATTCCTGATGGATTCCTAAATGATATCTCTGCCAAATACTGGTGCCAGGTGCTGGGCAAGGCACAGTTTTGCAACCAGCTGTCAGGCAGCAACAACTTCACAGTCGTACTTTTATTCAGTGTGTGGTAAAACTTCTGGGACAAGAGTCAAAGTCGTAGGGCTTTAGTGGGAAACTGCCATTGCCTGACCAGAGGTACAAAGCACTGGCCCTTCCCTCATCCCTGGCCTGACCTAAGAGGGCTGGGGTACCACAGGACTGTTGACCCCACTGAGAGCTCAGGGTGCCAGAAACACTGCCTGCCACGTGATTCCTATTGGTCCTTCCAGAGATGCTAACAGGCCTGGAGGCTGGAGGTCTCTCTGCCCACACTTTCACACATGACCTGGAGCAGGGGGTCCCAGCTCTGTAGCTGCATTTCTGACCCAGTTGGATACCTTGACATGGTCCCAGCAAGCAACAGAGCACCCATTGTACAGCCTTCCCCAGCCCCAGAGAGGGACTGTCCCTGCCAAGAACAGAGGTGCCACCCAGAATCTGACAGCAGGGGAGGCTCCCCAAGCATTCTACCCAGAAGAACAAGCACCCTCCCCAGATGGCCTGTGGCCCACCCTGCCCTCAGTTCCTAGCAGATCCTCAACTTGGCCTGCTTTGATGTTTGTGAATGGCAGGTAGGAAAGGTCAGGCAAGTGGAAGAAACCTAAAACCATGCTCTCTATGGCCATGGAAGCTTCCTAGGTATTATTACATAGCTGTAGTATATTAATATTACTGTCATTAATTGATATTATTGTAATGTTACTATAATATACATAGCCATAATATAAACACATTATAAAGCTGTAATAGCTTATCTTTATTCTACTATGTGGCAAGTCTGTACTAAGCATTCTCCTACTCTAAACCCCCACAAAAGTATTAGCTATGAACTATCATTGAATTTCGTTTTACAAACAAGGACAATCCAAAGAGGCCAAGTTACCTGCCCAAGGCCACACAGTCCACAAGAGCCCAAGTTCCCACTCAGGCCCATTCTTTTAGCTCTGTGCCACCCAGCTCTGCAAATGTAGCCACCCAAAGCCAATCAAGCCAGTGGTAGAGTTCTAAAACCAAATCTAGGGCTCTGTCCCACCAATCTCCACCTGGTGCCTGGAATTCCTCTATTTTTGTTTTTTGTTCTGTTTTGTTTTAAAGTTTCACTCACCCCCCTCCTTAAACCCAAATATCCCTGGGACAGGATGGAAATCCATAAACAGGTGCCTGAGTAAGACATCATTCACAGAGCCTTTTCCTCCTGACAGCTGGCCAAGAACAGGAGAGGGGGCCCTGGGCAAATCTGCAGGATTACATCAGAGCTTATTTTCCCCCGTATGCCCCTAATTTTCTACATGCTCTTCCATTCCTGATGGATTCCTAAATGATATCTCTGCTAAATCCTGGCGCCAGGTGCTCTTCCATTCTCCCAGTGATCCAGAACTTTCTTGCTGTCATGAAGAAAACTGATTTAATAAGTAAACTCATACTTAGGAAGCTTCCCATCCACCCTGGCCCCCCATGGTATCTCACATCATCATCAGACCAAAAGAACCCATACCCTCATCAGTGATGACTCAGCAAAATCAACTTCACATGATTAGGAAGCTCACATAACTAGCAAGGCGAGGAGGTTCTCTCTGCCGGCCACCTCCTCCCGCCAGCACTCCACCACAGCCTGCCTACTGTCTGCCCGTTTGGACTAGCAGCTGGTGCTGTGGGATCTTTAACTCCACTGAAATTATGTCACAAAACTGGGGCATCGTAGGGAACCTAGGAAAACAGACAAGAAATAAAGACTCCATATGTGCCTGGCCCACACCCGAGTTTGGCTCACTATGCACACATTAGATCCTGCCATTCACAATTTAAAATATATATATATTTTTTTGTGTATATATACATATATACACACCTAGAAAAAAAGTATGTATTTTGTATATATACAAAATTTATTACATATAAATAAAATTTATACAAAATTTATTACGTATAAATAAAATTTATACAAAATTTATTACGTATAAATAAAATTTATACAAAATTTATTACGTATAAATAAAATTTATACAAAATTTATTACGTATAAATAAAATTTATACAAAATTTTGTATATATTTGTATATGTGAAATATTTTTTAAATGTTAATATATCTATAATATTTATATATTTGAATATATAAGTTTATATATATTTATATGGCTCACTATAAAAGAAATTGAAACCTCCTTAAGCATGAACAACTCCCACGGGTGTTTTCTTCATGAGACGCACAGGAAGATGGCAATGGGTACTGAAAGGAATGAATTGCTTGTGGGGGAACTTTATTTACTAGAACAACCCCAGGTAGGAGGAGAGGTTTTAAGAAATGAGAGTAGGGGTTCTGGAGGAGGTCACCTTGCCTCCTAGTACAGAGGTAAGACTCCACTGAGGCTGGAGAATAATGCTCATGAGGAGATTGGCAGGCCCCAGATCCCTGCAGCTACTGGGACAGAGGCTTCAGTTCCTTGCCATGGGGGCCTCTCCCTAAAGCTGCTCACAACATGGCAGTTGGCTTCTCCCACAGCAAGAGAGAGAATCCCCAGAGAGAGCAAGAGGCTCCACAATGGAAGGCCTAGTCTTTCACAATCTAATCCCAGCAGTGACATACCCATCACTTCTGCTCTGTTATTGGTCAGACCAACCCTGGTGCAATGTGGGAGAGGACCACACAGGGTACAAATCCTGGGAGGCAGGGGCCCTTGGGCCATTTGAAGGGTGGTTACTCCAGCAGGTACAGAGTATGGTGAGCCCACATGAGGAGGTGCCCAGATTGCAGCCATAGATCCTTGGGCAGGTCATCCAACCTCATTTACGCTGTTTGCACTTACAGAAAATGAGAATAATAGACTCGTCAGGGCTTGGCAATGCCTATGAAAGTGCATTGAACAAAGGGAAGTATGCTGCAGATATAAGACAACATGGTTTTGATTGTAATTACTAGTACCAGTAGCACATAGTTGTGAGGACTCCTATTCTGTTGAGCTAACAGCCCTGACCCACCTGTATCAATCAGTGCCAATGTATATTTCACATTGCCAATACCCAGCGTCAGATAATGAAGTTTTGCAAAATACAGCTTGGGTGGGATCTCTTTAATGACCTGTTAAAACTGATTTATAGTTAGCTTTTTACCTGAATGCACATAAGGAATCTGGAGTTCTTGCTAGTTCTTGCTTGGAAATGATCTGTTTCTTCATCTGAATGTCCTCCCTTCATCTGATTTCCTTAGCAACCCTGGTTTTTCTGTTTTGATTGACAATACAAAATTAAATATTAGTCCAGTCCCTCACTGGGCTATCACAGGTTCCAAAACACCCAGCCCTCATGTCATTGATCCAACATCAACCGTTCCACCGGTCCTTCCCTCCCCTGCCCCCTTACCCTGCCCTAAGGGCTCTCAAGACAGACCTGTTTAACTCTGGGCATTTAGAACACAGAAGACTTTCTCACCAGGGAATCTCTCTTTCTAAAATCCCCACAGAGCTGGTCAAGCAAGAAGAGCACTGGACTACGCATCAAGACCTGGGGTGCTGATCCCGACTCTCATCCTTGACTGCAGTGTGGGCTGGGCAGGTCACTTCACTGCTCTGAGCGATTTAGTTCTGGTTTTGAAAGACTGGGTGATTCTACCCATTATTCACTGAGCACCTCTGGGCCTTCTATTATGGCCTCCTCCCTTTCCTGCCCTGCAGCTCCCTGCCAAAAACAAAGCCTATGCAACCTTCGTAGATACTCTTCATAGAATCTGTTTCTCTCCCTGTGGGCTCTTTCCTTCTGAGCACTGGCAGGACTTAACCATATGCTCTAGGCATTGGGTGTGAAACCAGCAAGGCTTGGTGCTGGAAATTTAGCCTCATCTTCCCAACCACCATAGCTAACTCTTGTCAAGTACTTGCTCTGTGTGCCAGGCACTGTTCTACCTCATTAAAACTTCACAGCAACGCTGAAGTGGCTATTATCATCTTCATTTTATAGATGAGGAAATTGAGGCTCAGAGAGAGTAAGTAACTTATTCAAAGTCACCCAGCCCACATGAGGCAGAGCCAGGATTCATGCCCAAGCAGTCCAGAACCCAAGCACGCTGTCTTGGGACTGGATTTTCTTTCCCCATGAAGAATGTAAATTTCTTAATCACAGGCCCTGTTTATTTTACACACAGTCAGCATCTACAAGTCTTTGTTAACTGATTACAGGTTTCTGTAATTCTAGGCATGTTAAGCGTAGGGTCAAGCATAAACTCTGTCCCTACCTTTCCAGAACATATGCTCTGATATATTATAGCAGACAAATGCAAAATTTCCAAGACTCGTGGGATTTAGAAGGGATTTTTCTCAACTCTTCTTTTCCAGATAAGAAAAGGGAAGCTTGAGGAGATTAAGTTACTTCTGACCACATAGCTCCCTGCTGCAGAACCAGGACAGAAACCCAAGCCTTCTCATCCCTATCACGAGTTGGATCTAGGGCAGTGGTTCTCAGTGGTTCTCAACTGGGATGGTTTCGCTCCCTCACCCCATGGGACATTTGGCAATATCTGGGGGCATCTTTGCTTGGCACAGCTGGAGAAGAGGATGTTACTGGTATCTAGTGAGAAGCCAGGGGTGCTGTTAAACATCCTACAATGCACCAGACAGCCTTCACAGTAGAATCATGTGGCCCAAAATGTCAATAGTTCTGAAGTTGAGAGATCCATTCTGTGGGATTTACCACTTCCTCTAAGGCTCTTTGTTTCTGTATCTTTACAAGCAGTCATCTACAGTTGGACACCTTGTCTTATTCATCCTTGGCTCCAGTGCTCAGAGAAGTGCCTGGCACGTAATAAAAGCTCATTGAACAAGGGAGGGAAGGAGAGAGGGAGAAAAGGAAGGGAAAGAATGACAGAAAAAGATATCAGGCTTTCCTGGCAGGCAAAGAAAGTCCAACACTATAAATCAAGACCTCTGTTCATAAAACAGAAGATGTCTGACTGTTTGAAATCAATTCTTGTATATCATTCCAGAGAGAAGACTAACTCCGAATACCTTAATTATGCGTTAGCACAATTTAGACGAATACTCACAAAATTAAGCAGAGAACCCAAGCCCTGCTACAGAAGTCTTCCCCCTCAAAAAAAAAAAAAAAAATTAAGATGGAGTCTCCCTCTGTCACCCAGGCTGGAGTGCAGTGGTTCAATCTCTCCAGGGATTACAGGTCTGCGCCACTGCACCCGGCTCATTTTTGTATTTTTAGTAGAGATAGGGTTTCACTATGTTGGCCAGGCTGGTCTCCAACCCCTGACCTCAGGTTATCCACCCGCCTCAGCCTCCCAAAGTGCTGGGATTACAGGCATAAGCCACCGCGCCCGGCCCTTTTAAAGTAAATCTTGATTGATGGACATGATGAAGTCCGTGAGGTACAAATGCACTGCCTTTTACAAAAGTAACTGGTTCCTTGGAGGTGTCCATTGGGAAGATGGCAGTAGTTAGAGCTGCCACTGAGGAAGACATAATAGGCAGCTCTCATTCCAAGGCAGCTGAGCCACGAAGAAGGCTGGCCTGAGTGGTCAGTGTGCAGTAAATCCAAATCTTTAAATGCAGTTCATGCTTCACCCCCGACCGAATGACAAATGGCTCCCCCGTCAGAGCAAGCTGGCAGGTGATGCACCACTCCTCCCCTCCCCTGCCACCCGTGGTGGGACAATCTGTCAGCAGCCACTAATTCTCAGGAATGGATGGGGAAGTGGGGGAAGTCAGGCTGTGTTTATTGGGCAAGGAGAAGGGGTCTCTGAGCCCAAAGACCTTCTTGGGAAATGCAGCTCCTGCCCTCCACAGCAAATAATGCTCAATGACCAGTCAGGGAGAGCTTGTCTGGGCTCTCTTCAAGCTATGGGGAGCATCTAGAAAATGCCTTGAAACCGTCAGATGGAAACATCCTCTCATCTTCCTCCCTCCTGGAAGCAATGTGCTCCGCCGCTCTTCCAAACCCTTCCTGTCTCTACTGGTACACCTCTCCAAAGCCCTCTGGATACCTCCCATGATATGCCTTTCCCAGGCTCCAGGTCAGCACAATGCTCTCCCCACTCTATTCCCCAAATGCATACCTGTCTCCATCGCAGACACCTTCACATGCCTGGCTGGCAGGAGCTCAGCCCTGCCCATCTGCCTGTCTTTGTTGTGCGACCACCTTCAGGGTCCTCCCTTGGGCTCAGCAGTGAGCTGACTTGCCATGGAGCCAATGGAGCTTAGGTGTCAAGATCCTTCACTTGCACAAGCCCCTTTCAACCTCCTCTCCCCCAACACACAATTATGTATTCATGATGTATTTTTTTTCTTAAAGAGGACCTCCAAATTATATCTAAGATTCAGGCTCTGTAGAACCTGGCTCTTTCCGGCCAAAATATGATCTTTACAGAGCTCAACATGCCTTGCACACACTAGGTGTTTAATAAGAGCTGAAGGATCAAAGAGAATGGATCCTGACCATGATTACAATTAATTAAGAAAGTGATTAACAGGAAAGGGAAGATTGGTGTTTCTCTCAGGCGAGCTTTCCTAATTCTTCCTCTACCATCAAACTGAAAAAAGCCAATAGTCTCCCCTATCTCAAATCCAGGATCCTCGGAAGGGTTTGTTAAGTCACAGCCAGCTGGACCCCACCTCGCAAGGATGTGGTTCAATAGGTCTAGAGCGGGACTTACAATCTGCATTTCTAACAAATTCCTGGTGATGTTGCCGCTGCTGGTCCGAGGCCCTCACTCTGAGAATCACTTTGAGCCCCTGCGTTATCAATAGGGGCCATATTGCCCCCAAGAGGGTGAAATTGTATCTTGAGGTGGGTGATGAAAAAAGTTTTTATTATAAAGCAGATATATATATATACACACACACATATATATACAGTACACAAACAGGGTGCAGTATATCCCTGGTGCTAAAACTTCACGGGTAGACAATTAGGGGGTAAAAATGTCTAGAAAGACTCTTTAGGGGGGCAATCATGATAAAACATTGAGAAACACTGACCTGGCCCAAGTGCCTACTTGGTGCTTACTCCCCAGCAGCTGAGCCAGAAGCCCTCACCTGCAGAGACCTGCAGCCCACACCATCTGATACTGTGGAAGAAGCATTAGACTGGGAGTCACAAAACCCAGGTTCAAATCCTAGCTCTGCAGTAACTTCAGGCCTTCCCAGCCACACCCACTTCAGCTTCTGTACTGAAAGAGACAAAGTTACAACCAAAACTGCCAGGGAAAGAATGCTGTGCGTGCTTGGAAGAGATACATGAGGGGGTTGTTTATACAAATAGGAGTGAGCAATACTCCACAGGGCATTGTTGAGTAGCAAAAGCAACACATTAAACCATCTCCCAAGGAGGCTGGGCCTGTCAACGGCCTTGCTTCGCTGAGCATGGAAAAGCACGTGTCAGGCAGAGCAGGATTACTCGGCACAAGAGAGGCCAGGCTGGGGTGGGAAGAATGGAGAGACAGTGCCTGCCAGTGACAGGCTGGGGCAGGGCGAGAACACCAGGGAACATGCACATCGATCCTGATTTGAGCAAGTGTTCTCAGAGGCAGCTCTATAAATTCCTTCACCACCCCTAAGAATTTTGTACTTTGTCGCCTGCCTCTAAACAATGCCTTTGGGGACAGCAGATTCTTTGGGGGTAGAGCCAAAAGAGGCTGAGTCTACTTTAATGTTATGCTGGCTCAAAAACAGACTCACACATAGTGGGAACCACCAGACTCCTGGGTTACAAGTCTTGTGTCTCTGTTAACTATGTGTCCAATCTCCCAGGCCCTAAACTAGGATTCTTTAGGAATGAGTATGTAACAGGAAAGGGAAGATCTGTGTTTCCCTGAAGCAGCTTTCATAATTCTTCTACCATCAACCTGAAAAGAACCAATAGTCTCCTCTATCTCTAAACCAGATTCCCATTTCTTCCTTAGAAACTATGTCCAGTCAGCCACCGAACCCTATAAGTTGATCCCAGTGGATCAACTCTTCCGCTCCGGTTTCTCTGAGCACCTAGGAACTGGTCCCTGTGTCTCTCCTGGGGGGATCCATTTCTTATCCAGGCCCCAGCTCTGCCTGTCCAGCCCAGGAGCCACCCGAAATGCTAAATCTGTCTTCTTGCTAAACAAGTTGGATTGTCATAACTGTATAGCCCTGGTCTAAGTGAGGTTGGATAACAGAAGTGGTCTAGGAAAACTGTGTCCTGGGGAGGAGGTAAAGTGATAAATAGGATGTGGTCACGGTGTCCTAGGCAGTAGCCCCTCACAATGCCAGTGGATGTCAGGATCACGAATCAGGGAGGTCTGTTTCGGTAGAAGACATGAGTTGGGGAGGTCTGATTTGGTACAAGAGATCCAGAACTTGTGTCCAGCTGGAGTAAGGAGAGTAAGGTATAGCAGAGACAGGACAAAGTAAATTGGACCTCAGAGACAGGGCACGGGGCAGAGTCTGATTCCAACTGAAACGTAAGGATCCCCACATCCCTCAACAGTCCCTCAGATGGTGAGGTTTAGGACACAGTAAGGAGGGGTGGAAAGAGCATGGGTTTGGGTATGTCTTCCCTCATGAAAACCGTGGAGCCAGAAGCAGTAGTGTTACAGTGATGTCATCCCCTGAGGCTCAGTTTCCTCGTAGGTAAGGTGGGAATGGAAATGACTGCTGCATAGGCTGTGAGATGATTTTGTGAGATGTAAGCGCCCAACAGATGGTGGTGATGACGATGTTGGAATCAGGTGACTCTAGCCTCTTCACTGTCACGCTTGCTCTCGTCTGAACGTGCTTCCATGTCTCCATGTTGCTCTTGTGTCCACAAGCAAAAGCAATAATCCATTGCCATTTAACCAGCACAAAACTGAATGAGGCTGTCACCTTCCTTTTCTGAAACACATGCTTCAGACAGCGCAGTCTACAGTCACTTGAGGGCTGGGAGAAGATGCTGTACAATATTTACTCCTGTTGAAAATTATAATCAATAAGTCCCTGACTGTTTTCATATGTGCTGCTACTAAGCTACCACTCCCTGACCTTGAGCAGATAGATTTGGGATCCACGTGTAGCCCTGTTAAATTTTGTCTTTTCAGATTTAGTCTCTCCCTCTCTCTTCTCCCCCCACCACCCCCCTCTCCCCCCACCACCCCCCTTCTCATCCTTTTTGACACTTTTAGATTTGATATCTCTTCTAGCTTCTTGACATCTGAAATGTGGTGAACTCATCCTCTATATTATCCAAATCAATGACAAAACTCTTGACTAAGACAAAGCCACGTCAAAACACAGGAACCCCTACCCCCTTGGAAGACACACCAGGCCATTCATTGATACTTTTGGGGTGCATTGCTCCCATTAGTGACACAACCTTACCATTCTCGCAGCCAATCCATATTTCTCCCATCTTTCCTCATGGGCATCACTGAGAAACCTTAGCAAATCTGCTTCCCAGACCCTTCTGTTCTCCTTTCACTCCCTCATTTGATCAGCCTCTGGGTCCTGCTGACTCCACCTTAAAATGCCTCCTGTGCACCCTTTCCTCTGCGTCTCTACAACCGCACGCCTCACAGGGATTTGTCATCTCCTCCCAGAACATTGCAGTGATTTCCTAACAGGCCCCCTCGCCTATATACCTAGACTCTTTCTGGGAGGGATTTAAGGTGGCTCAGCCTATGTATATTCACATGTCTCCACCTACTCCCAATGTGATCATTACCTAGAGGCCTCTCATACTTTTTTTTTTTTTTTTTAATGCCTGAAGTTTTTTTGTTTATTCCTTTTTGTTTTCCAGCTCTACCCACCAGTATTTTTTTGTTGATGACAGATCTTCTCCTAAAATGACAAAGAATTTAGAAACATTTTCCATGTATTTTTAACATCTGCGTCAGTGAACAAAGAAATCATAGTTGATGATGGGGTGGGGAGGGAGAAAAGGGAAACTTAATTAGCTTTAGTTTTTATAAGAACTTCCATCAGCGCTGAATGAACTGGAATATGACATCTGATTGGGCCTAATCACAAGGAAGAGTACATTAACTTGCCGTGAATATATTTACCAGTTTTTACAATACCATTTTTAAATCTCTACAGAAGCCAATTTTCTTACAAGAAAATTACCCTACCAAGATTTTTTTTAGAACAAGCAAACCCAAATTTCTTTCTTACCCTAACCCAGTTCATCCAGCTCTGACACTGTGGCCTGAGGACAGACACTGATGCTATCTTGGAGCCTCTGCCTCTCCACCCTTCAGGAATGTTCTGCACCCTGAAGGAGGTAGGAAAACTTGAGGATGCAAAGAAAAACCAGACATCTGTTATGTCTCTTGATGTTAGGGAGTGGGAGTGAAATTCCAGCTCACCCACTCTCCTGGGGAGGCTAGAATTTAATGGGATGCTTGAGATGCGTGGGCCGAGGGTGAGGCTGCAGCCAAAGATGCTTGAGGCTGGACCTGAAGGTGATTTAGTGACCAGAGGGCAATGCCAGGGAGAGAGAGCCTTGCACGGAGTTAGTGACACTACAGTTCCCAGAGTGGGGCAGGAAGAAGCAGGCACACCATGACATCTTCTCATTTTCTTTCCTTCTCTGCCGTTCCCCAGATGCCCCCTCACCAATTCATCAGCCCTTTCTTTCCTTCCACACAAGCTGCTCAGCACTTTGGCTCTGCTCTGGAAACATTTCCATTCCTGTGCTGCTACAGAACCCACCCTCCCCACCAGATTGGATGCACCTGGACAGCAGGATTGTGACTTAGCTGCCATCCCGAGTTTTACCTGGCACACGCAGGTGCTAGGTAGTATTCCTTCAAAACAAGGAAAAGGTGGTGTCGCATCCCTACTTAGCTCCTACCGTTGGGTTGGTTTGCAAATTTTGCATTGAATTCCATGTAATTTTCTCTTTTTTTTTTTTTGTTTGTTTTTATGAAAACGTATCATTTAGCCTGCCTTAACTCTTGCTTTGAGGTCACAAATGTCAAAGTGGTTAACTCCAAGTCACCTCCAAGAACATTATTCCTATTGGGTTAAGGCTCCACCCTTTTGAGCTCTAATTATCTCCTTAATGTGTGAGAACTGGGGGAATATGTTCCCAAATTAGAAATAAGTTCTCTAAAACTAAGGCTTCCAATGCTGAAGAGAATGTACAAAATGAGAAAGGCATACTCAGTCCTTCACTTACACAGTCAAAGAGCAATTTTTAGGGCACTCCCATGTGCCAGACAGCCCAACAGGCTTTAGGGAGGCACAAGGATGAAGAGGACATGGTTATCAGCACCCCCAAGCAACTCTCAGCCTGTAGAGCTTTCCTAATCATTCAACAGGTATTTGAGGTGCTGAAACATTGTTTAAAAAAAAAAAAAAAAGCCCAGGTGCAAACACTTCTATCAGATGTGCCATGCATCATTGACAATAGTATACACATATTATTTATAATATGTATAGGTGCTTTATAAATATTAACTCATTTTATCTCCATAATAACTGAGCTATGGACAATAAATGATTATTATGGACAATCTCTTAACCCTCACAATTCAGACAGTGTTGCTAATCCCATGTCAAAAAGGGGGAAACTGAGGTGCAGAAAAGTTAACTTTCCCAGAGTCACACAGCCTCTTAAGTGGTAGAACCAAGATTTTATTTGTCTTCCTGGTGTAAGAGAACTTGGTGGGTTCCTTAAACCCTGTTCAGGATCTGTCACTGGATTTGCCTGTTGTGCATTCAGAGGCTGGAGAAGGAGTGGAGGGGGCAGAGTCCAAGGTAGGACACTAAGAGTCAGGGAGAGGTGATTTGTGAAAGGCTTTAGGGGCAGCGCCAGCCTCTGGATAACAGGGACCCTGGTGGTACCAAGGAATCATTGGCAGGACTCTGGGAGATGAGGACTTGGTCTGCATGGGGCAGCACCTCGCATCTGATACTGGCGCATATCAGCACCCTACTGGACACATTCAAACAGGCAGCACCCTGTGAGTGTCTCAGCACCAGCACATCAACCTTCCAATTCACCAACTCACTCCAGGGAATGTGAAGGGCAGGGTTCCACTGGGCCGCACCACCCAGCCCGGGGTGGCCCCAAAGGCAGAGGGGATGTGAGTGCTGTCTCTGTGAGCCTAAGTAGGCCCTGCACCTGCCAGAGACAGGGCACAGAGCAAGTGTCTGAGGGCAAGTCACCTGGACACAGCAGTGGCAGAAACCAAGGAGTAGGCATGCCAGGCAGGTCTCCAGCAGCCTCTGAGTTTCCAGGCACAGGGCCCACACCAGGGTGGACTTTTTATATGTACATACACACCCACACACCCACACCCCCACCCAAACACACACACTGCACCAGTCCCGTTTCCTCAGATGGACATTTTTCAGAAGAAAGCCAATGACACTAGCAAGTCCATGACCCATTTCAAGATATGACAGGACATCATTTTCCAAGTGGAGAAAACAAAAATTCTCAGAAAGCCCTGTATACCACAGAAATCCATACACCAGTTTCAAGTCTCATCCAACAGACCAGCCAGAGTGCAGGGCCACAGGGCACCCTGGCTGGAGTGAACAAGCTCCCTCCAAACCCCCTCAAGATTCTAGGCCCACCAGCATAAAAGTCCTCTTGATGGTGGGGTCATTCCAACCCCATCTGGGGTTGTAACCTCTCAGAGCAGAGGAAAATAAACAGGCTGTTGTCAGGCAGCCCAGGGCAGAAGTGATGACACCTGCTCATTCTGAATTTATCTTTATTATACATTATGGCCACCTGTGGACCATTCAGAAAAGATGCTTTTTGAGTCTCAAGCAAGTGACTCTTTAAGCCGAATCACAAAGAAATTCCCATTTTGGCCAGTTCTGTTTCTGGACGTCAACACCCCCCTCTCTGTATGAATAAGGGGTCTTCCAGATGGCCAGGAACAGCACTCAACAGGCCAAAACAAAGCAGAGGGTGGCTTGAGAACTACACTGCTACATTCAGCCTGAGGCCCAGCATCGACCTGGCCTTCTCCCACTTCCAACAACTCATTTTGTAGCTTTTTGGTTAAGAACAAATTTGGATTTCTTCTTTTTCTCCTCCCAGTAATCTCAAATGTATCAGAAGAAAGGAAATTTCTACCATTATTGTCAGAAACAAGACAAGTAAAAGGCCATCCTCAAATACTAGTGTTCTCTTCACCAGACAGCAGCACACGTGGAGAGTAGCAGATCTCTAAGCACGACCCAGTGTGTAACTCCAAATGGCCCCATTATCCTATCTCGAGGAGAGCTGCGCATGCTGTACCCTGTTTTACATGGCCTGCCATGCTTCTGGTAGCAAAGCAGTAATCTCCTGGTTATGTAGCACTGGGGATGCCAATAACAGCCAGATAAAGAATAGAACTCATGAGGCCAGTTATTTTCAGTCAAACCAAGCTACAAAAACCACAGTCATGCAGAAGCTGGAGGAACCACCAAGGCAAAGAGAATGGAAATTCCCTTATGCTAGACAGCACAGGTCCCCAGTTTTCTGGGGCATCTGAAACTTGATGTGACAGCACTGGGAGAGGCCAACAGTCCACGAATAGGCCAGGACCTAAGGGGAAAGGCTACCACTCTACAGCCGGCCATCAGGGTGCTGGGCTACAGCAGGGCTGGCAGGAGCAGACGGAGGCCACATGCCAACTCCAGCCTCTGCTACATATGGTCCCAGCCCCCCTACTCACCAGCCATGCGGCCTCAGGCAAGTGGGATAATCCCCGTGTCTCAGTTTCCTCATCTTTAAAAAGTGGGATAATAAAAGATTCATGTACTTTATAGGGTTGTTGTGAGGATCAAATGATTTAATATACAAAAAAATGTTGACAACAGGGCTCAACACAAAGTGTGCTCAACAGCTGCTGTTGGTATTGGTGGTGGTGGTGAATGGTCTGCCAGCTTGGTAGGGATGTCTATGAAGTGGGACAAACATTTCATGAGTATGAAGATAGACTGTTCAGATGATACTCATCTAATGCCATTGGCAGCTCCTCTCTTTATTGTACCAAGATCTGTTTCCTTCACGTTTCACCCAACGTCAACCAGCCCTTCCCTTCTTTGGACTAAGTCTCCCTTCAACACATCCTCAAATGACACAGTTTCCAGTCCCCTCACTCTTAGTCACCCTCCTTGGAACAAGCTCAAGTTGCTAAACAACTATCTCTAAAGCCAGTTCCCACCCGAGCCAACATTCCAAGGCCAAAAACCATCACCTCTATCATGAGTTGAGTATCCTGCTTTCATTAGGGGACTGCACTGACGTGGCTGCAGGTTGCTGGTCAGCCCTAGGGAGCCAGTACCATACAGCCAGTACCCGCGAGCTCCCTCCTCACAAGAGGCGGCTGTTGCCTCCTTGTGCCAGAGCTCCTGGGCTTTGGATAGAGGAATTCCACTGCTTGGGTCTCATCCTTACTCACCAACTTGGAGGAACTTCCATAGAGTGGATGGCAGCCGCCCCTCCCCACTCTGTCTCTGTGGTGTGTGCCCCACCTAGGCTGTGTTTGGGTGCCTGTAGTACCTCTTCCTGTTCTTGTCTCAAACACACACCTGTGGGGCTCCTTTCCCAGTACCGTGCTTCACAACGGGGCTCTCCTTAGCCCAGGAGGGGAGAGGCTGTGCAGAAAGGAGACTTCTATGACACCCTTGGGGCAAGGGTGTTGTTTTGCTCCTTCCATAGATCTCTGAAGCCACAGCTATGCAGGAGAACAGAAATAGAAGCCAGCCACACCCAGTCTTCTTTGGCATGGGCACATTGAACGGGCTCAGTTCTCCTGCCACGACTGAAAGGGCACCCTCCCACAGAAGGCACATGACCACTGTTCCAAGACAGTCCAGATCAGGAGAGAGGCCTTTGACCAGGGCAAAGCAGGTGCTGATGAGAAGGCACAGCAAAGGTGGCCCAAACCACTCTGCCTATTCCCTATCCCTCCCCTGTTAACTCCACTCACAATTCCAAACCCAGAGCCCTAGCTTCTGAGATATCCAGGTAGGCGACAAGATTTTCTTTCTCTACATGATACAGACTGCTGAGAGGCTCCCCTAACAAAGCACCAGTATTCTCCCTGAAGACACAGGCTCAAATTATGCTCTATTCAAAGCTGGCTGTGTTCCCAACTCCTAAGCCCTGCTGGCTCCCTCTGCCCCCCACCCTGACGTGGGGGAAGATGCTACAGGTGTGGGGGTGTGTTAGTCCATTCTCACACTGCTAATAAAGACATATTTGAGAAATACCCGAGACTAGGAAATTTATAGAGGAAACAAGCTTAACTGACTCACAGTTCAGCATGGCTTGGGAGGCCTCAGGAAACTTACAATCATTGCAGAGGAGGAAGCAAACACATCCTTCCGCAAATGGTGGCAACAAGGAGAAATGCCCAGCGAAGGGGTAGGGGAAGCTCCTTATAAAACCATCAGATCTCGTGAGAACTCACTGTCACAAGAACAAGCTGGGGGAAACCACTCCCATGATTCAATGATCTTCACCTGGTCCCTCCCAGGACATGTGGGGATTATGGGAACTACAATTCAATATGAGATTTAGGTGGGGACACAGGCAAATCATAGGAGTGGGGAAACCAGGAGAACAGGGAAATAAAATTGGTTTTCACAATAGCTAAACTTTCCCTATCCTCTTGAGAGTATTTCTAAGCAAAAGAGAAATATACTTTTCTTTTTGCTTTCTCTAAAAAAAGAAGGAAAGAAGGAAGGAAGAAAAAAATGGAGGGAGAGGAGGAGGGAAGGAAGGAAGGAAGGAAGCAAAGAAGAAAGGAAGGTCAAACTGACTTGATTTAGCTCATTATTAAACATGCAAATAAGAAAATTCCTGTTCTTGGAATGTGATCAGTCATCTGCATAAGGTCTTGCGACATATCTACGATTGAATTATTTCTTTGAATCAAGGATTCCCCCGGCCACACACAAATCAGTACTTGCCTTACTTTGGAAAACGAAAAGAGCTCACTAAAGTGGTCCCTCTTATAATAAGGTGAGAGTGGCCTCTAGGACAAATTTCAGCTTGTACAATTCTGGAATACAGAAAGGGTAGCTGGCTAGCGACCTTTTTCCATACTCCACCAGGCACTGTGTAGAGGCTAAGGGAAAGCTTCCCCTTTGCCCTCTGAAAGCTCACTGAAAACTCACAGAAGACAGATTAGTAGAAGAAAAGGCATACGAATTTATTTTAACATGTCTAGCACTGGAGGATCCATAGAGAACAATTACCCATTAACCCTTCTTCATAGGGGAAGGGGAGATGGGGGAAATGTGGCAATTTGAGGGATGGTAAATGATTTTTAGGGGGAGACGAGTGGACTTGGGGAACTTACAATGGCCATGGACGAAGTCTGTTGGGACTTCAGAGCAGACAAGGGCTGGTAAATGATTCTCTTTGAAATACTGAATGAGCACCAAAACAGAAGACGATGGTTTGTGACAAAATACTGTCCAGGTGTGTTGACAGACTTCAGTCTTTCTTCCTGTGATATGGGTTCAGTTGATGAAAACTCAGGGAGGAGACTAGAGGTAATTGCTTTCTTCCTTGGTATTTCCAGACTTTAGGCAGATAAGGGATGAAGAGAACAACTTCATCCAGAGCTTTGGGAGAGATGAAGAATTGAGAGATGGGGTAGGGCCAAGGGTGGGGGGTAGGGAGTGAAGATCAGAGAGACCCTGAGGCTCTTCTTATTTCAGCATGTCAAAGCACCATATTTTGGGGTAACAGTTGCTGAGCCCCAACAACTGCCACCCCATAGTCAAATTAAGCCGATCATCCCCAAAGCAATATTAGTCCAGTCCAGTTCCTCTCATGACAAATGACCTGAACACAGGATTCAGCGAGTCTTACTCGCTGTGGTCATTTTGGAGGTAGGGAGATCATTAACCCACATACTTTGATAAAATACGAAACGCCTTTCCTAGCTGGTTCTTTTCCTCTCCTATAGGCCGACCCCCCTCCATCCCTTTATTAGTATTGAACTGAACAAATTAGTTAATATGGGAACATTTGGATGTATCAACTTTGCTCTGAAACAAAAATGTATTCATCCCCAAACTCTATGCTGGGGGCTGAGGGAGAGTCCTTACGACTGACATAGTCCCCAACAAGGTTCTCATTAGTCCCAGTTTTTTTTTGGACACCTTTTCCTCCGCATTCACATCCTTCTGCCCTCTCCAGCACTGTGCAGGAAGAACCAACCAACCTGACCTTGGTGAAAGGGCTGTGGGTTTTTCAACCCTTCATTCCTGCTACTTTTTTTTTTTAATTTTTTAGTATTCTTCTGTGCATCCTTTCTTCTCTCCTAGGCTTCTCACCCAGCCTCTCTGTTGAGTACTACTTGTAGGCAGAGCTCCCTCATTCACAACATCCCAATGTATTTGTCCTGTATCAAAGCAAACCTTATACAGTAGCTCTTTTAAGAACTGCTAAAGGAATGAAGGAACAAAACTGAGCCAAATAAAGCAAAATGAAGAGGATATGTATGCAGGCAATTGTGGGAACATATCACCAGAATCCTCTCTTGTTATTGTACCCAAATCCACACATTCTCCTCAGTGTTGTCTGGGAAATACATCAATCCACTGTGAATGGTTTAGATAGAATAGAATCCATCAATGTCACCAGCTTGATTCCTCCTCAGATGATGAGCCACTTTCTCCACTCCACCTCCAGGGCTGGCCCCAGTCTTCCTAAATGTTCATTAACTCCTATTAGGTATTCCGAAACTCTCAGGTTTTCTGAGTCAGCATAGAATGGTTGGAAAAGCAATTGCTGTAGAATCAAGAAGACTGAAATTGGAATACTGGAGCAACTACCTACTAGCCACAGGCAGGTTACTCTCTCTGAGTCTCAGGTTCCCCATTTGCAAAATGAAGCAAAGCTATCTACTCCAAGGATTGCTGTGAAGATTAAAAGACCACGTGCTAACCTAATAGGTGTTCAGTAAATAAATATAATTTTCTATTTTTCCCTGCAAAATTCATTTCCCAAACACAATCTTTATTCTTTTTTTTAACATATAATAGCCATACTATGGCTTACCAACTCCCCAGTAAGCCAGGACTCTCTGTATACGCAGTGTTTTGCCACATCATTTACATGGATGAAATTGTTTCCTATACTCCCAAATTTACCCTGCTTGGTGACCAAGAATCACTTCTGTCCCTATTACTAGTGATATCATGTCTGCATTTAGAAACAGACAAGTGTTATACAAAATTACATAATATGATAGGAATGCTGTCAATGGATATCTATTATTATATTTACCAGTCAAAATTTTAGTTGTTATAACTGGTATCACCAATTAAAAAATTTTATAAGAAAGGGGTTTTTGTACCATTGGATCTATTGAATCATTAAAAAAAAAAAGAGTTTAGAAAAAGAAGAAGCTATTTATATACTATTTCATTCCATAAGACTTTATCCAGTTCCACTGTTAATAAAATGTACATGCGCAGAATTGTATTGTTTTCTCCATTACTAAACATGTATTTGCTGAGTACCTTCTGAATGCCAACATGGTGCTAGGTACTGGGCATAGGGTGGAAGACACAATAGACAAGGACACAGCTCCCTGGTATGGGAAACAGATACTTTATGTCTTCAGTTGTAAGGTCCACTGTTGTTCCTATTTAATATCTTTGAATGTGGAATATATCTTACAATGCTGTGGGCTAGGGCATGGTTGTGACATTGATAAAAAGGGCTCTTAACTGCCATCGCTTCAGTTGACTTGCTTGCCTTTTTGAGTGGCAGTGCATGGCTTGAGCTTAATTTCCATTCAGAAGGTTTTTGAAAAGACTAACTCATTATTTGCACATAAAAAGGCACAGAGACAGAGGTGAGGCATAAATTTGATATTCATCATTAGAGTAACCATCATCCTATGTTTTCTTACAAAGTAACAAAAAGTGTTTTATGAAATGTAATCACAATATATGAAGCTGTGCTTTACTGGTGCACATGCAAGAGGATTGCCCATCAGGCTCTAAGCAAAGCAACTAAGAGTAGGAGAAACTGCCAAACCCTAAAGTAGGGGAAAGAAATCTCCAAACAACAAGAGGCACTGTGACCAATTCACATAAGACTATCACTAAGACATCAGGTTTTAACTTGTAACTTGCTTTTTTCCTTGTTAGTGGTATGTTAAACAATGGTATATCATGCTATTTGTGTATACTGGATTCAATGAAATACTATAATAAACAAGTAAGCAAAACATAAGATCATAACACGTCCTGAAAGGACCTCTCAGCAAGAGTGACACATTGCCAAGTAATGCACATTGTTCCACATGGAGTTGGTGAGGATAACAGCACTTCCTTCCAGAAATACTTTAGTATACAAAGTGCTGTCACGTGATGACGTCTCATTTCAGCATCTCAACAACCGCACCTGGAAGGCCTTATTATTTTGTATATTTACGGATGAAGAGACTGGATCTCAAATAGCTTAAGAGACTTCCCTAACATAACTCAGCTAATGCCTGGAAGACCCAAAACTAGAATCCAGGGCTCCTGACTCTACATCCTATGTTTTTCTTCTCGGCTACATGAAATGGTACAAAATACGAATTAAATGATTATCCATGGTCTTGTGTAATTCTGGCATGTTTCCAGCTAAGACTTCTCAGCTGTTCATTCAACTCAAAGGCATCCTTCAGTCCTCTTCCCCATTCTTCTCTGTCTCGGGGATCTGCCTGGGGAGGGAGTGTGGTGAAAGCAGAGTAACTGAATCCTCACTAACCCCAAGGCCCTAACGCAAGGAGATGCAGGCAATAAATCATTCCATTGCATTTACCATTGCATTGCATTTACCATTGCATTGCATTTACCCATACGTGGGGCTCTCCAGGGATGGCATCAGATGCTGCAGGAACATGAATGATAAATACCACATCCCAAGGGTTAGGGCCCAGGCAAGTTCTCAGGGGAGAGCTATACATATGACTGGTAAAACCCACTATGTCCAGAAGACAAGGGCACCCTGCTGGTTTGCATGAGCAAAGCTAAATTGGCGCTGACAACTGGCAATAGGTATTGAGAGTCTTTTTAAAAGTTGATGTCACTTAATCTAGTAATCCCATTTCCAGGAATTCATTCAAAGAGAATTAATCTGGGATATAGAGAAAGGTCTATGAATAAGATTGCATCACAGTGTGGTTTACATTTGGAAAAAACTGTGGTTGTAACTTAAGTTACAACAGTAGAGGGTTGTTCAAATATTATAATTCTGGTACAACCACACGTTAGGATTCTCTCTTGCCAATTATTGATGTCGTGGGGGAGTGTTCAAGACAAAACATTGAGTTATAAAATCAGGATTCTAAATTATATATATACACACACATACACACAATTAAACTCAAACATACACATGGAGACACACACAGCATTTTAAAACCTAGAAGGAAATCACAACCATAATACAATAGTTATCTCTGATTATGGGAATACAGGTAATTTTGGTGATTTTCTCTATGTTTTCTTTTTTTTCTTTTTCTTTTTTTTTTTTGAGACGGAGTCTCAATCTGTTGCCCCAGGCTGGAGTGCAATGGCATGATCTCAGCTCACTGCAACCTCCTTCTCCCAGGTTCAAGCGATTCTCCTGCCTCAGCCTCCCCAGTAGCTGAGACTACAGGCATGAGCCACCAAGCCTGACTAATTTTTGTATTTTTAGTAGAGATGGGGTTTTACCATGTTTGCCAGGCTGGTCTCGAACTCCTGACGTCAGGTCATCCACCTGCCTCGGCCTACCAAAGTGTTGTTGGGATTACAGGCATGAGCCACTGCACCTGGCTGTTTTTCTCTAAGTTTTCTACAATGTTTTATTTTGCTTTTTAAGACAGAAAGTCCACGCAAATCAGTCAGGAATAGATGTGAAAAATGGGGATGGGGCCTTTGAACCAGGAGCAATATGAGAAGGTGAGAAGGATGGCCTGGGCCGGCTGGGTCTGCGAGACTACCTGGAAAAGCCACGGGAATCACAGCCCACAGGGTGACATCTCCAGATCCAGCAGTCTTTTAGGAAGGCAGATGGAGTCTCAGACCTGTCCCACCCATCTTAAAGTGGCCTGGTCACAGGGTCAGAGCTTCAGCAGACAGAGGCGCCCTGGGATAAGTTGCCAAATATGGGTTGAGCAACAGTGGCACTGGAACGAGGTAGGAGGCGGGGAAAGGGGATGGAAGGTAAAATCCTGCCCCTGTCCTCAAGGTACTTACAGTCAATGTGAGGAAGGCTGACAGCCATAAAATGATGACCTATGACAACGAGGGTCGTTCCACACACATCCTCCAGACCCCGGCACAAGACCTCCGCCTTTCATCTCCATTATATTGGGCAAAACACAAAGCATCAACGAAAAAAAAAAAAAAGTAAAAGTACATAGAAAAGGAGACACAGAGGAATACAGAAAAGCAAAAACCTCCTTCAAACTGGTGGATGTTTCATCCCAAAGGACGCTCGACCTTTCTCAGGCATCCTGCCACTGAAGAAGTCAATTACTCACGGCCCACAGTCCCTAGGTTCCGCTCAGCACAGTCTGGAATCAAGGGTTCATTTAATGGAAGCTTAACAGATTCAGATTTCTCTAATATTCCACATCCCCTTCTGCCAAGAAGCTGCTTTGAAAGATGACACTCCCTTGATGTGAATTTGCAGCCTGCCCCATTAACAAGGCTTCAGTCAGAAAACATTTTTAAATCAACCCTGTTCCAGACACTTGCTCCCAAGGACAAACTAGAAGAAACTCTGCACCAGCTCAAACCTTCCAAGCACTTTGATGATCAGAAATGAAGGGAAATATTAGAACAAATCTTATTAATCCAAATATTCTCAACAATCTTCAAAGCAAACCGTTGCTCTGGGCTGCAGAAAGCAGAGCTCATGCAGAGCCGGCCCTTTCTGTCCTAACTCCTGTTAGCCAAGCCAGCCCCCTAAAAACAGACCTCAGAACAGCAGAGGGAAATATTCAGAATCAAAGGTGATGGGAGGAAAAAGGAAGAGGAAACAGGTAAATGAAAGAAGGAGGATGAGGATTGGAAAGCTGACTACTTAAACTTTTAGCACGTCCCTCAAATAAAAGGATAAGGTGTTGTATGCCACACTGCCTCAAAGCAACTCCCTCAGTTCACAGTTGTGCAGCTGAGAATTCTGGAGAAACCCCACGGCAGCTGGCATCTATGTCCTGGCTCCACTCACAAGGGGCTGAGAACCCCAGGACTCCTCACCATGCACATTTCTCTTGGGTGTGGTGGGAGGAGCATTTCCGTTTCCAAACCTCGGGGCCATTTGCTCTTAGATACACAAACATCTCCCCAGCCTTTGCCAAGTTCACCCAGCCAGAAGGCCATAATGCAGAATTAGTAGCATTTCAATCATTTCCGTGACGAGCTGGTGACAGGCTGGAATATGATGAGTGAAGCAATCAGATGTTGTTACAGGAAAGAGGCATGAGAAGAGAATGACAACAGAGTGGTACAGTAATAAGCATCATCGTAAAAGCCCCCACTGGCATCAAGTTTATCATCGCCAGCATAACTAAAGGAGCCAGAACACCTGTTTGTAATGGGGATTCCAGCTCCTCCACTTTCTAGCTGTGTGGCTGAGCACGCTTCTCGCCCTTTCTAAGTCTTGGCTGAGCATCTGTGGAAGGTGGATAGCAATCGCTACTTCATAAGATTGTTTAGTGATTAAAGTCAAACAATGTCTATAAGGCATTTGCAAAGCATTAGCAGTACCAGTAGTACCAGTAGTAGTAGAAGTAGTAGTAGTATTTGGTATTATAAGGAGTATTTTATATTATTTCAAATAGGATTATGCACTATTTCATTATACCCTTATCTCATATAGAAGACATTTTTAATGCTATTTGATTGAAAGTAGACCAGAGACTCAGAAAGGTTAAACCTCTTTCCTAGTAAGTATAAAAAGTTAATGCAGGCCAGGTGCAGTGGCTCACGTCTGGAATCCCAACACTTTGGGAGGCCAAGGCGGGAGGATCACCTGAGGTCAGGAGTTTGAGACCAGCCTGGCAAACATGGCAAAACCCCATCTCCAGTAAAAATACAAAAATTAGCCAGGCATGGTGGTGCACACCTGTAATCCCAGCTACTTCGGAGGCTGAGGCAGGAGAACAGCCTGAACCCAGGAGGCAGAGGTTGTGGTGAGCCAAGATGGTGCCACAGCACTCCAGCCTGGACGACAGAGTGACACTCCATCTCAAAAAAAGTTAATGCAGAAATAAGGCTGCATATCGGTTTCCTATTGCTTCTGTTAACAAATTACTACAAATTTAATTAGTTAAATTGACACTATCTTACAGTTCTGGAGTCAAAAGTCCTAAAATTAAGGTGTCAACAGAACTGTGTTTCTTCTGGAGACTCTGAGGACAGAATCCGTTTCCTCACCTTTTTCAGCTTCTAGAGGCCACCTACGTTCCTTGGCTTGTGGCTCCTTCCTATATCTTTAAAGCCAGCAGCATAGCATCTTCCAGTTTCTCTCTCTGATTCTAAGCCTCTTGCCTCTTTCTTATAAGAACCCTTGTGATTACATTGGGCCCATTCAAAGAAACAAGGATAATCTCCCCCTCTCAAGATCCTTACCTTAATCACATCTGCAAAGTCCCTTTTCCATATAAGGTAACATATTCTAGGTTCTGGGGATTCAGATGTGGACAAATTTGGAGGTGGTCATTATTCAGCCTACCATAAACTGGATCCTGTTCTGCAGAACATAGCTATTTGGAGCAAGAATGGGAGTTTTGTTTGCTTTGCTTTAAACTCTTTCATTTCTTTACTCAGCAAATACCATAGAGCAGCTACTATGTGCAGGGCACATTCATAACTCATAACCTCCTCCTCTCTGGATATAACCACATCAGAATCGAGCTTCATTAGTGTGATATAAAAGAGGTCTTTGCATATACACACACATATATATATATATATATATCTCAAAATATCACCAAAACCCATACTTTAAAAAACAAAAAGGGCCTTTGGAGATCATCAGCCAATCCCCTTATTCTATAAAGGGGCAGAGGAGTAATACAACTATCCCAGTGTCAAATAGGGAGTTTGTGAGACATAATGAGGGCCTGAATTAGATCTGGAGGAAAAAAAGTAAATGGAGGTATTTTTGAGAAAAATCAGTGAGCTGAACGGCAATAGGGTAGGAGAAATGTAGGGGTCAAGGGTGCCTAAAGTTCATGGCTTGGGGATGTCACTCACAGAGCTGGGGACAGATAGAGGAAAGACACTTTTGAGGGAAAATATGTATTCAGTGTGTTCTAGAACTCGGATCTCTTCTTAGTGTCACTGTGAAATTTTCCATTACTTCATCTCACTTCCTGTTCTCTCATAAGCGCGAACACGGGGCTGTAATCATCGTCTGACCACCACATGTTAGTGCACTGTGTTTCTTGCTGACACCTGGCTAGGCTTTGAGGATGAGTTTCCATCCCAACATCTACCAACATACAAGGAGCCCAAGGCAATGGGATTTTCTGCGCATCTTTGCTTGAACCTTAAAGGTGCTGCCCCATTGTCTTCTGGTAGGCCTCGTTTCTGGGAAGACGTCTATTGAATTCTTATCTTTGTCACTGAGTATGCAGTTTGACTTTTTACCTCTAGCTTCTTTTTTTTTTTTTTTTTTTTTTTTTGGTCACTGGTTTTCAGCAATTTGATTATTCTGTGGCTTGGTGTAGTTTCCCTCATATTTTTTGTGTTTTGAGATCATTGATCATCTTGGATCTATGTATTTAGTGCTTTCATCAAACGTAGATATTTTTCCACCATTATTATTTCTTTAAGCATTTCTTCTGTCCCCTTTCTTGTCTCCTTTGGAATTTTCAATTACATATATATGAGGCCTCTTAAAATTGCCCGACAGCTCCCTGATGTTCTGTTAATTTATTTTCAGCCTTTATTCTCTGTGTTTCAAATGGATGGTTTCTGTTGCTGTGAATTCAAGTCCACTAATCTTTTCTTCTGCAATGTGTAATCTGTTATTCATCCCACCTAATGTATTTCATATCTCAGACATTGATTTTTGAATCTCTAGAAGTTCAGTTTAGACTTCTTATATCTCCCATATTTCTTCTTAGCATGCTTACATTTTCTTCTACCATCTTGAATAAATGAAATATAGTTATAAGAACTGTTTTAATGTTCTTGTGGACTAATTTTACCATCTATAACAATTCTAGGTTGGTTTTGATTGATTGATTTTTCTCTTCATTATGGGTTGTATTTTCCTGCTTCTTTGCATGCCTGGTAATTTTTGACTAGATACCGGACATTGTGAATTTTACCTAATTGGTGCTGGGTATTCCTACATTATTTTAAATGTTCTTCAGCTTTGTCCTGGGGTGCAGTTAAATTACTTGGAAATAGTTTGACCCTTTTGAGACTTGCTTTAAAACTTTGTTAGATGGGACCAGAACAGCCTTTAGTCTAGGGCAAATTTGCCCCTTGAATCCAAACACTGTTTATGTTGTTAATGATGACAAAATATCCATGTCCCACACTATTCCTTACTAAGTCTCCCTTCAACAATTGTGTTTGAGTAGAACTGTTAACTGCCTCACCTCACTCTCCTGTGTATTCACAAGGCAAAGATCCCCAAGGTTTTGACCAATACCCAATGTTGTTTTGGTGCCAGCTTGCACAGCACCAGGGCTCTTGCCTCTCAGAGAGAATTGTGCCCCCTCTCTCCACTATGTGGCACAGCACATTGAGCTCAACAACGTTCTATCAGACTGATGTTGCCATAACACTGCATATCTTCACCCAGGAGGGGCGACAGCCCTAAGTCTCTTATGTGGCAAAATAAAATCCAACTTTCAGTGCTAAAAAGGCCCTGCTTTTCTGGAGCGAACCCCTTCAGAGGTCTCACAAGCATTTAAAAGAGAATTTCTAGACCACAAGTTTCAGTGTGGAGAGCTGCAGGCTTAGAGAATTGCAGGGATGTTTGAAGCCCTGCCCACAGTTCCAGGAAACACCCTTTGTATATGAGCTCCTTTCCCACACAAATGTGAGAAGGAGGCTATGACCCTGGAAATTGAACACAGGGCAACAGAAACCCTGCCGAAACTATTCTTGCATTGACATTAGACACAAAAACACCCATATAAGCTTGATTTGCTGTCACAGTCAAATAAAACAATAACATGTAAGCATTTCAAAGAGATTCCACTGACATTCTCACTTGTGATTCTGACAACAAGCGTGTAAGTAAGAAAGGCAGGCGTCACAGCTCCTAAGTGACAGACGAGGAAATCAGCCTTGCGGAGGTTAAATGATCTCAACAAGGTCAGACAGCTAGTTGGTGCAAAGTGGGGCCCTGAACCCAGATCTTCTGACTCTTGGTCAAGAGCTCTATTCATTCCGCTGTGTCTGCTCTCTTACTATATCAGAAAAGGGAACAGCCACCAACTTCCTGTGTTGACCCTAGACCAGGACTTCTTGATCACAGCACACTTAACATTTGGGGCTGGATAATTCTTTGTTGTGAGAGGCTGTCCTGTGCATTGAAGGGTGTTGAGCAGTATCCCTGGCCTCTACCCACTAATGCCAGTAGAACTCCCCTTGCCCCCTGTTTTGACAACCAAAACTATCTCCAGGTGTTGCCATGTTTCCAAATGCCCCAAGGTGGGGGAAGGTAACAGCAGAGCAAACTTACCCCTCAGTTGAAAACCACTGCCCTAAATGATGCCTGAGAATGCTGTCCACGTGTTTGAGAAAGCAGTGGTGATTAAGTTAGTTCTGTGAAAGGAGAAACAAAATCAAAAGAGGAACTTGTGCTGATACCAGTGAGTCTGGGACCACGAAACTTGGCCGTGAGAGACAGAATTGTGCAGCACCAGGGAGTTATCTAAAAAGTTCTCTTCTGGGCCACCCTCTGAACTTAACCTTCTGTGTTCTCGCTCCACTCCTTCAGGCTCAGTCAGCTCTGCAAAACCCAATCCACTTTCCAAGGAAACATTTCTGGAAGGCAACACGGAATTAGTTAATGTGATGAGAGGCAGAACAGAGCAGTTAAGATGCAGGCTCTGCACATACCACAACGTGGATGAATCTCACTTAATGTTGGGTGAGAAGAGCCAGGCCCAAAAGAGCATCTATTGTGTGAATCTACTAACTCGAAGTTCAAGAGCAGGCAAAACTAATCTCCGGTGATGGAAGTCTGAACAGTTACATCTGCTGGTGGTGTTGCCTGGAGACACGTTTCAGAGAATAGAAATGTTCTCTGCCTTGATGGTGGTGGTGGTTACGGTGGTTGTAAACATAATAGACACTCACAACACTCACAGAGCTATACACTTACGATTCGTCACCTAAAAAAAAAAAGAAAGAAAAAGAAAAGAAAAGAATGTTGACTCTAGAACCAAATTGTCTAAGTTTCATCCCTGACGATGACTCTGGTTACCTTAGAGCATTTTGTGAAAAGTTAATAAACTACACAGGGTATACAGGAAGTGCACAATAAGTATTTGCATCATTATAATTAACAGAACTACACTTCAGCCAAGCGCAGTGGCTCACGCCTGTAATCCCAGAACTTCAGGAGGCCGAGGCAGGCAGATCACGAGGTCAGGAGATCGAGACCATCCTGGCTAATATGGTGAAACCCTTTCTCTACTAAAAATACAAAAAAAAATTAGCCGAGCGTGGTGGCAGGTGCCTGTAGTCCCAGCTACTCGGGAGGCCAAAGCAGGAGAATGGCGTGAACCCGGGAGGCGGAGCTTGCAGTGAGCCGAGATTGTGCCACTGCACTCCAGCCTGGGTGACACAGAGAGACTCTGTCTCAAAAAAAAAAAAAAGAAAAAAAAGAACTACACTTCTAGCCAGTCAGGCAAAGCCAAGGATTAAGAGAGTTACTCTGAATTTCTCTGCTGCCCCCTCTGCCTCACCTCCCATGCATTGAACACAGAGTGTATATGTAAGTCCTCCCACCCCAACCATCAAGACAGGCACATCTGCCATTTTTCTCTGTCTTCTTCAGTTCCTTCCAGGTTCTCTCTGCCTTGCTTAGGAGCTGCCCCTGTTTGCAGAGCTCTTCATCAATAGACTGAATATTTACAGAATAGCGCAGTTTTGATTAAACAGTTCATTTCACTGGAGACTGGGGTGGTGTATTGTGTCTCCTCCGGAGTTATTCTTGGCATCAGCAGCCCTTGCTCTTAGCATCCGTTTCTTTACATTTTAAGGTGGAGCATAAGAAGAACTGCAGTGAAACAGATCAGATGGGGGGCAGGTGGGATTTCTCTTTACCTTTCCCCCGCTATTTCTTGGTGGATTTATCCCGTTATCTTCGCTGCTATTTGCTCCTTGCTATCTTTTATTCTTCTCTTTTGAAACTGGCCGAGTCAGAAGGAAATAAACAAATGCAAGGGTGCGTAGAAAGAGCATTAGATGGTAGGTCCAGAAACTTGGACTCTACATCCAGCATCTAGTGATGTGATTGATTGATATCTGTTTTAGCTTTTCGGCACCTCAGGTTTTGGGCTGTTTTTTTTTTGTTTTTTTTTTAATCTGTTAATTGAAGTGATTGGTCTAGATTTGTGGTCTTTGAATGTGTGTCAGCCATGGAAACCTTCCTACAAACAGAATCTCAAGCAGCAAATGTTAAAACCTAAAAGCAATTTTGTTTGGGTTGAAACAAGGTGGGCGGGCAGTCAGGAACCCACCCTTTTAACTTCTGTGTCCTCTGCCATCTCCTGTAGCAGCCCCCAAAGTAGTTCCACAAGATCCTTGGCCTTGGGATGCTAGAGCACAACGTCTAAACCATTCGATGTGCCTATTTAGAAACTCATTTCCTGCTCTTAAAGCGCTCAGCCCTCTCCCCTACACATAAAGCCTTGCCTCCATGAAAGCAGGGAGGACTAGCCTTCGAAACCCCAGCACACAGAGGTGAGTGTGAGCACAGCTCAACAGTATACAAGCCCGCTGGAAAGCTGCCCCAGACAGAATTTCCTCAGTTGCATCCTATGGACTATCAGTCCCAGAAACGCTTGGCCAAAAAAGGAAATACGGAGGGCGGGGGCAGCTTGCTTCAAAGTAATTGAGGTTGAGAGCCGCTGTATACCATCTGCCCCTTCTAGAGATTAAATTCACAGTAGCTTCTTCTCTCGGGCCAGCAGGAAGCCTGATTAATGCCGCTTAATACGACACTTCCCATATTTATTTGGCCACAAAACTCCTTTTTCCCCATAACTCCTATTAATATCACAGGAAACAGTTTGAGATCAGAAAAGCCTTCACAAAGGCAATTTTTAAAGACTGAGTTATAAGGCTCAAAATAAATGAGGAATTCTAGAAAAGGAAGGGAGGAGGGAGAAGGACACTGGTTTGGGGTCTGGAGGGCTTTAAGATGAGGGCGAAACAAGGACCACCCATGATTCCAAAGAATATCCGGAACTTGCTTGTTGTCTGTTGGTGCCTTTCTTTCAGCTCATTCCTAGAGGGCGGACAGAGGCAGGAGTTGCTGTGTTGCTGGCCAGTGGCTCCTGACCATAGGAAGGGGACTGTGGGTGTGAGAAGTAAAGCAGAGCAGGCCCCTGCCTCTGTTCTCCCCTTCCCCCTGGTATTGGCTCACCGTGACAAATCTTTCCCTAGGAAGGGCAGAAAATGAATTATCCTGTTAAATCAATTCAGCAGATAACCCACCTCTGTGCAGGCCTTGTGCTGGGACCACACAGATGCATAAGACACGTACAGCTTAGAGCCTAGTCATGAAATGGGAAATAAACAGCCCCATCCTCAAGGTCTGAACAGGGGATTGGGGAGCACAGAGAAGGGCCCCACCCCGACCAGCTGTCAAGAGAACTATCCATACATTCTAATTCCTCCAAGGTTGAGGGCTAAGGTGTAGGAAGAGGAGAGAGGTTCCAAGCAGAAGGAATTGCAGAAGCAAAGGCACAGAGGCATCCGGGACCTGCGAGCAGCTATGGCTGGAGCCGCGTGTCGCAGGATGGAGAGCGTGTGAACAGAGGGGACTGGAAGCGGATCCTCCCAGGAAGCAGTTGCAGGCGGTCATGCTACAGTGAGTTGCTGATAGTAGGAGGGGAAGAAAGAGGAAGGGGGAGTGGAAGATGACTCAGTGGGGGGTGAGCCAGTGCCTGGAAGAGAGGAATGTGTGAGCAGAATGAGGAAGTTAGCAAAAGCTGGTTGAAGGTAGGAGGTGGAAAGACAAGTTCAGCCCTCAACAAGTTAAGCAGGTTATATAAGAAGTCCAGGCATGGATGACGATGATCATAATCATGATGGGGAGGATGACAAAGATGACTAGGAACGCTCTGTCATCTCTCTCTCTCTCTCTCTCTCTCTTTCCTTCCTGGTTGTGTGAGTTTGCAGGGAGACGGGAGGTTGTGAAGAACAATAACCAGAAGAGAGTTTGCGTCTTCATCAGAAAGCACCTGGGGCAGGTAGAGTTGGTGCTAGCTTCTCCATCCATCCCTGACACCCCAGCCCCATTCATCATTCAGCAGAAGACAGGCTGGGCTGGCCCAACTTGGTCCTGTACCCCCACCACCCCAGAACCCCACTGGTCCATAGTGAGGATCCCTTCTCTTTGACTCTCCTCCTTCTCTGTGACTCGCCTAAGCCTGATCCTACACCTTCTCTCCCAGCCACTGCCTCAGCTTCCTCCACCCCCAGCTTGGGACGAGCCACCTCCCTGGCTGGGTAGCATGGGACAAGCCATCTCCCTGCAGAGGCAGAGAACCAGTGACACTACACGCAAACCAAGGCCATGCTGCAAACAGAACACCAAGGCACCCTCGTCTTAGGATGCATTATATTCGGGGTAGATGTTGAATTCTAGTAACACATTCCCTGGGGTGTTTTCAAATCCAGACACACTGGAGCCTTGTTCCAGCCTCACTGTGGGCGAAGGCCCCGGGCTCACCTCCAGCCTCAGGCTGGCTCTGGCTGCTGCCCCTGTTCCATCCTGGCAAGCGGAACTGAACAGGCCCGACTCCACAGCCCCCGGTGCTGCCAGCTGCAAGCTCTGCTGACTCCAACCTCAGGCCCCTGCGTGCCTGCTTCTAAATCCACACGTTCCTGCTCCTTCCTGCCCCTGCTGCCCTCTCAGAATGCCACTTCTTTCTGCCAAGACCTCAGGCATTGCTATGGCCCAGCCCCATCTTTATTGATGTCGGGGCTCTGTCCCCTTGCAGAGCCCATCCCATTGCCACCCACATCTGGGACAGCAAAAGACTTCTCAGTTTCCTCCAGAGTTCAGTTTCTTCCAAAAAGCTCGGCACATCTTAGCTGCCAGTGTGAACTGTGAGCTCCCAGAGATGCCCGTGGCACTTTCCAACATTCGTCACTTTTGACACATCTAAAATATCCTAGCTCCCAGAGCTGCGTGAGCACCAGCCCAGATGGACCGGCTGCTGGGGAAGCATCAGTCTCTCCAGGGCCTCTGTGAAGCCCTGGGGCAGTAGGGGGATGTCTGACAAAGCTTCCTAACTGAGGAGCCCCACTTCCTCTCGCTCTGGGCACCCCTGCCAAATGAGCGGGCACCTCTATGTTCCAGCAGCCCTCGCTGCCCAGCTTCTGAGCTGCAAGCCAGCTTCCTTCCACAGAATTCTCTGCACCTTGGCTTCCGGTGGCTCCAAGCACTTTGCCATCTGCCGAGTCAGTTCTGCCAGAGATGAAGCAGCTGATGTGGGGAGTTCTCTGTGGGGGCCACCTTTCCTCTCTCAGGTCACCTTTACTCTCAGAAGGAAACTGACCCCCTGACCTATTAAATAGCTGAAATCAAGGGCCACTAGGACCCAAGTCGGTGAAGGTGCAACTGAAGGCAAGAAGGTCAGCATCTAGCTAGACAGACACGTAAGCCAAGAAGACAGACGAGGTGAGTGGACCCTTTGACTCCACAGTCAGACAGCAAGAGAGCTACTCCCAGAGTTCTCTGGGGCATGAAGGGGCTGCAGGGGTAGGTGAACAGCATCCAGAGAAATAGTTATCATGGAAAGTGCAAGCAGGAAACAAGCTGGGATTTTTTTTTTATTTAAAATTATTTTTCAGGCCAGGCACAGAGGCTCACGCCTATAATCCCAACACTTTGGGAGCCCGAGGCAGGAGGATCACTTGAGGCCAGGAGTTTGAGACCAGCCTGAGCAACACAGTGAGGCCCTGTGTCTATGATAAATAAATAAATAAATAAATTAGCTAGTGGAGCAGGGCTGGTGGCATGTGCCTGCGATCCCAGCTACTTGAGAAGCTGAGGAGGGAGGATCGCTTGAGCCCAAGAGGTCAAGGCTGCAGTGAGCTACGATCACTACACTCCAGCCCAGGCAACAGAGCCAGAACTTGTCTCTAAAAATACAAAGAAATAAAAGAAAAGAAATTCTTTTAAGGAAGTAAATACTAACATGGCTCAGAAATTAAAAGAATGTAAAATAGAATAGATTTGCAAAATCTCACCCCCATCCCACGATGTCCATATCCATTCCCTCCTCCCCCTTTCCCACCATGGGTAACCACTTATATTCATCTCATCTGTATCGTTCCAACATAACCTTACGCAGCTGAAAGCCAACATGGAGTTATTTACTTATGCCCCCACCCTTCCACAAAAGTATCACACTTTAGATACTGTTCTGCACCTTACTTTGGCAACTCAGCAGTACATTCTAGAAATCTTTTCAAATCAGTACAGAGTGTTTCTTTAGTCAAGCTGCAAAGTATTCCATTGAGGGATATGTCCCCGTTCAGTTATCTAGACACTAGATGGACACTTGGGATGTTTCCAGTATTTTACAATTACAGACAATCCTGCAATGAATGACCTTGCATTAATTTCATTTCGTAAGTGTGCAGATATAGCCACAGGGTAGAGTCCCATGCAGGAAATGCTGAGTAAAGAGAAAATGCATTTGTAACTTTCATAGCTGTTGCCAAATCCCTCTCCATTGGAGTTGCACCATTTTGCATTCCTGCCAGTGTCTCCATCAAGGTGTGTGGTCACACTTTTTAATGTTTACCAATCTGATGGTTGAGACTTGTGTCTCAGTATATATTTACTTTGTATTTTTCATCTTAGGAGTGAGGTTGAGGATCTTTTCATATGTCAAAGGGCCATTCATATTCCTTTTTCTGTGAAACGGCTCCTCATGTCCTTGGTTGGCCCATTTTTTGTTCTGTGGGTTGCTGTCCTTGGTCTCCTTGATTTCTAGGCATTCTATAGATATCGGGGATATTCGCCCTTTGTGTTATGAGTTGCAATTATTTTTTCTCACTTTATTGTTCATTTTTTGCCTCTGCTTATGGTCTTTTTTTAATTTAGTTGGTCATACAGAAGTTTTTTGTTTGCTTTAATGTAGTCTAATTTAACAATCTTTTACAGCTTCTGAATTTTGAATCACAGAGGGAGATTCTTATTCAAAAGGTTATCAAGGAATTAGCCCATATTTTTTTTCTGGTCATTTTATGATTCCTGTTATTTCATTTAAAAATTGGATCCATTTGGAGTTTTTCCTGATGTATGATGAGAGGTATGGACCAAACTTATAACTTTTCATCTTTTTCCAGATCTCCCAATACTATTTTTTAAAGTCCATCTTTACCCCAGCACTTTGAGAAATTAGATTTCCACTGCCCAGAACAACCTGGCCAATTTGAGAAGTCACTTCTATCAAATACTGAATGCAAACATATGCATTTGAGTGTTCTGGGTTTCTATTCTGCTTCTTTATCCAAGCTCCTGTATACACAGCTTGAATTACTGAATCTTTACGGTACGTGTTAGTATGAAATAGGACAAATCTTCCCCCATAGTCCTTTTTAGTTCAGAGCTCCCCTGGCCATTTACTGGCAAGCTGAGCTCTGTCACTGGGGCTCTCCTTGCTCACTGTCATGTTTTATTCTCTTCTCTCCTACAAGGAGGCCAATATATGCCTGCAGGCATCCAACCAGGGAAAGAGGCAAGCACAGCCCACTCCCCAAACAAGGCAGAGGCAGGGGTGCAAGGCCTTCTGGGAGAGTCCCAGTAGGCCATGTCTATGTACCCCTTTGAGGCCGGTGTTCTGGGGAAAGGCCAAATAGGAGACCTATGTCTTCCTGGAGGTTTGGACTTTGCCCTGAAGATTCTCAGCACTGATCTTCTGGTCCATCCAATCTGTTTAAATGAGGGTGATCCCAGATAACCTCAACATAAAGAGTTATCCTGTCTGATATTCTGTCTCCTCATGATCTGTTACTGATCAGGTGCAGAAGAACCCTTCAAGGAGGAAGATGTTACAATAGCAATATCAATGCCTACTTCTACTACCACCAATGCCACCAGGGCCACCTTTATTCATTGAGAACCTGCTATATACCAGGCATTGTGGGAGGTACTTTACACGTTTATCTCATTCACTTACAACCCCATGAGGAAACCATCTGTAAACGTGCCCAGAATTGTGGCTCATTAGCGGCAGAGCCAAGCTTTGGATCCCAGCCTGGTTCCAAAACTCATACTCTTCACCACTGGGCAACTTCTTCTCAGAATGATCTGCCACCCTGGGATGATGCAAATTCCCAGGCCTCCCAGACCTACTGAATCAGCTGCTCTGGGAATGGCACCCAGGAGTCTGCATCTCCAGCACATGAATACATGAGAACCACTGCTCACAAATGTAAAAAGTTAGGTAATATATCAGGGAGGCTGTGAGGATGAGTGTTTCCTTAGCAGTGGTGTAAGGGCAGAACCCTGGCTGGAGTGTTTTGCAGTCAGACTGATTTCCTCATTAGCAGAGAGTGTTAACCGGTAGCCTAGTTTGGCTCCTCGAGGTGCCTGATTCAGACAGAGCATCCCACAGCTGGAGCACCCTAGCTGGTGGAGGTAGGGACTCAGCCAAGTAGGCTCCAGAGCTGCCACCTAAGCCCAGTAGATTTCTCTTGCCCAGAACAACCTGGCCAAATGGAAGATGGGAGGCTGAAATCCTCACTCCAAGGAGGGGCCTCCTTTTCTTGGCACAAAGGCACCGCGCCAAGCTACACAGCTAAGGCAGTGTGCTACCTAAAGCAGGTGCACAGAATTCACAGAGAGGTACCAAATAGGCTGGCAAAGACCTTGGTGGATAAGTACCCACAAATATCTGGAAGGAACTATGTTGGGTTGAGACATGAGAAGGAAGAGATCTTAGGCAAGTTTGGAAAGGGAAACAACACATTGAATGCCAACCCCTGGACTAGATATTTCATCAACTTCGTTCATCCTCACTACCACCCACACAAGACGGTCTTCCTATTTCCAACTTAGAAGAAGGAAGTTGAGGCTCCTACTGGTTAAGCAAGCTTCCCAAGGCCATACAGCTAATAAGTGTTAAACAATCAAACACAGAACTGACTGGCTCCAAAGCCAGTGCCCGCCCCACTGGCCACTCCACTACCCTGCCTCTGCCATTGCTCCCTATGGCAACCTGGAAACTGTCGGGTACCTGCCCGTGGTCTGAAGTGGGCAGGCAGCAGTCAGCTGGGCCTCCAGATATGGGTGGTGAAGGGAGGATACAGGTCCAAAAGAATATCTTAGGGGAAATAGTGCACATGCCCAGAAAACTTTTATAGTCTCAGAACTTAGATGTGCGGAGAAATCGAATTCTGGTCCTGGTTTGCTTTTTTAGCCAGTTGTGGGCCTTGGCAGTCACTGAACCCCTCCTTATTTCTTCATGAGGAAATTAACATGCCTAGGATAGGAACCGCTGTGCTGCAGACCCCAGGGTCAGGCAAGTCTCAAAGAAGATGAGAGTCACCAAGCGCCTCAGGAAAGCTGAAGGGCACAGGGTGCATGCTGCAGCCATGACCTCAACCTCTGTGAGTCTAGAGGTGACCATATTGGCCACACATAAGCTCACCTTCCCCCTACATTTCATAATCCTTCCCTCCCATCAGGGCCAGCCTTTGATTAAAATTCCCAAGATTATCTGAGGAGCTGGCGGTACCACCCACCAATGGAGTTCATCTGGCTGCCTTTACACCAGCCACCTTATGGCTGGGTGGGCACTTTCCTATTCTTCGGCCAACACAACACTTTCCAAACTGTGTGACAGTTGTTTATTTACTTGCCTCTACCATAAGACCATGAGCTTTTTGAAAGCATGGTCTGTCTTATTCACTGTTAGGTATCACAGTGTATTCACAATCCCTGACACATAGTAGGTGCTTAATAAATGTGTGGTTGAATGAATAAATGAATTAATGAATGAATGAATGAATGAATGGGATCAGGGTGGGCCTTCAGTCTCTAAAAGCATACCCAAGAGCCAGCCCTCTCAGCCGCAGGTCCGCACATGGGGAAGCCCTAGGGAGGTTCAAGGACTAGATCAGGCCCATTTTCTCATCAGGCAGCCCCCAAACCTCTGCCCCAAAGAGCACATCCAACATGCTTTCAGCCCACACTCCCCACCCACGGTTTACTGCCTGTAATCCCAGCTACTCGGGAGGCCGAGGCAGGAGAATCGCTTGAACTCGAGAGGCAGAGGTTGCAGTGAGCCGAGACCACCCCATTGCACTCCAGCCTGAGTGACAAGAGCAAAACTCTGTCTCAAAAAAAAAAAAAAAAGAATAACCTTGGGCTGTTTGGCCAAGTTAATGCTTAATGCTTTCCTCATGCTGCAAGCGTTTATCTTTGCCCAGATTCCAGCTCCAGGGAGGGGAACATTCCTGCAGAACAGCCAGGCGTTCCCAGGTCACCTCTGCTCTCACTCTCACTTTTCTTTTTGCATGATTAAATCCGGCCTAAAAACACGTCTCAGGGGCACATATCTGTCACTCATAATAATCCTATAAGGTAGGTACTACTGTTAGTCTTATTATATAGTTGAGACACAGAGAGGTTAAATAACTAGCCCAAGGTCACACAGTTAATAAGTAGCAGAGCTGGGATTTAAGCCAGGCAATCTGGCTCCAGAGCTCGGTGCCTTTTTTTTTCTTTGACAGGGTTTGGCTCTGTCACCTGAGCTGGAGTGCAGTGGCACAATCACTGCTCACTGCAGTCTCGACCTCGCTCAGGTGATCCTCCCACCTCAACCTCCCAAGTAGCTGGGACTACAGGCACGCACCACCATACCCAGCTAGAGCCCAAGCTCCTAACCGCTTCTGCTGTGCAGTAACAAGCCACGCTCAGGGCATGGGCCCAACTTGAGTTTCTTCCATCCACGGGTCCAGACTGGAAAGGAAGCAGCAATCTTCTCTTCTTTTCTCACTGAGTATAAGGCACCCAATTCATCTTCTGGCAGCTGACCTGGAGGACGGAGTGGCCCTGATTTTCCTTTTACAGGTACAATCACTGCCAATACTAAAGCAGTGCCTGTCCCTACCTGCCAGGGCACCCAGGATCCTTGTCTCCAGCAGTAACTTCATGAGGTAGGTGGCTCTGGGCTGAGACAGGACTTGCATATTCCTAGATCCCTTGACTGTGATGTCGAAGGTCCTCTGCCCCCACCCCTCCTTCTATTCCTTGTAAGCTTCACTTGGCAATTGTGTAGTTTATGTCTGGTACAGGAATGAAGGATAAGGTCAAATGAAGCTCAAAGCCAGGAGCTAGATAGTCATGATATATCAAATAAAGTTTTGGAACAAGAACACAATGGGATTAATTTGCCAATCAAAACAGCGCTTGGCAACTTGACTGTAAGCCAAGATCTCTCATGGCAAGAGCAGCTGAAGGGCCTGTGATTGTCCAGCTCCTGGGGAGCCTCCCTGGCCTAACCGTGGTCAGATGCCAGCATCACAGCCCCCTTAGCTGGGTAAGGATTCTCCTAGTGCTACCTCTGGGAGAGAAAGAAAAAAATCTAGTCTGAGAATGACACCAGCAGACAGCAGCTCTGCCAGGTGTTTGAAGGGTGAAGGTCATGGGACTCTGTTTTTACTACCCTGGTCACCCCAATTGTTTCGGGGTATTTTCCATAGACAAGAGGATGCCCCAGTCAGCTGTCTTCCGTGATTCAAGACCCAGTCTACTGTCTTCTGTGATTCAAGACCTGTTTCCTCTTGTGCCGATCAGAGGCCTTATTTGGAGGCATCGGCCTTTATGTGGCATGGAATGTAAGCCCTCTGAGCTTTAACAGAGATAGGAAGAGTCCTAGAACATGGCAGGGAAGAGGGTCGGAACCTCTGTCCTCCAGCACAGTAGAAGGATGCTGGCTTGAATGTCAGGAGAGCCCAGAGTTTCTACCTGGATGCATGGTTTGGGGCATGTCAGGTGGCCTTTCTGGGTCCCAGTTTCTTCAACTGTGACATAAGGAAGGTAGACTAGATCATCACTACCAATAAAAGGTCCCTGGTCCTTGGGGAGCAGTGGTTGGAGTGGGAGAAGGGCATCGCCCAGCTATTTTCCAACACATCGTAAAAGATATCGCACAGGACAACTGAATGTTGACTTGGTTTGCTTACCTGTGGAATTCTATCCACTTGGTGTGGTAAAACGGATTCTCGCCAGAGAACTGGAAGTGTAGATGGGTGGTGTTACCTATATCCTTGATTGATAAGAGAAGGAAAATGAATTTTTCCTCAATAAGTACAGGTTGTTTGAAATGCAGGCTGGGTGCAGCGACGCTGCATGGTCTCCAGGCGCCTTGTGTTTCTAACCCTCTTGCTGGACAACTTGGCCTCCACAGGGTAGTCCCCAGGGAACCCTTGGCCATCTCCGGCCTGAAGGAATCAGGGAAGACCTTCCGGACATGCCAAGTCTCCCTGAGACCCTGCTCCATGAGGGCTGGCTCCCTCCCCGACCTGGTCTTTTGGTTCAAAGTCAGTCCTGGAGTTATGTCTGCCAATTGACCCCAACCTCCAGAAAACTCAGAAACAGCCTGTCCTCTCAGGCCTGCAAACCAGGAGCAGCCAGGCCCAGCCCTGACTTATGCAAGTAACTACCACAGAAGGCCTGCTGTGCAGCCTATGCCGCTCAACCTGGATCAAGGGCAATGTGGAGAAACCACATTATTGCTTGACTATAGTGCAGTATTCCAACAATCATTTTAAATGTGCACTTGTGTAACCATGATCACCATCAAGATGTAGGATATTTCCATCTCTCTTTAGAGATTCCCTTTTGCCCTTTGCTAGTTAATCCCCACCCCATTCCCTGGACCCAGGAAATCACTGATCTGCTCTCAATCACAATAGCTTTGCTTTTCCAGAACGTCCTGTAAATGGAATCACACAGTTTGTACCCTTTTAAATCTAGCTTCTTTCACTTAGCTTTATGCATTTTAGATGTATCCATGTTCTGGCATGTGTCAGCAATTGTTCCTTTTTCCTGCTGAGTAGTATTCCATTGGATGGATATGCGACAATTTGTTTATCCATTTACCAGTTGATAGATATTTGGGTTGTTTCAGATTTGGGGTTATTATGAATAAAGCTGCCATGAACATTTGAATATTTATGTGGACATATGTTTCCATTTCTCTTGAGTAAACGCTTGAAGTTTACTGGGTCCTATAGTAAGTGTACATTTGCCTTTAAAGAACTTGTCAAACGGTTTTCCAAAGAAAGTATTTTTTGTTCTCACCAGCAATCTATGAGGAGTTCTACCCGGTTTTGTCAGTCTTTTTAATTTTAGCCATTCTAAAGGGAGAGAAGTGATATTCCGTTGTGTTTTAAATTTGCATTTCTCCCATGACTAATGATGTTAAGCACATTTTCTTGTACACATGTGCCCTTTGTGTATCTTCTTTTAAGGATATCTGTTCAGTTCTCTCACCCTACCTTGAACCTACACAGGGTGGAATGTGCCTATGACCTCGGAAGGACTTTAGGGAAGCAAGCCCCACTTTCCCCAGAGAGGATTCCAGTACAAACGGAAAGCTCTTCTGAATGGCATACTCTTTCATAACCAGATTTCTTAAAAGAAAAAAATCATTCTGATTCTAGCCTGAAGTGCAGTAGAATTCAAGAGAATTTAAGAGAAAAGTTTAGAAGGAAAAAATTTTTGGCAAGAAAAAAGACTCTACTTACTTTTTTCCCTGGGATCCACAAAAGAAGAAGTTGTGGCCTCAGGCTACAGTAGTATGGAGCCAAAATGGACTCAAAAAAAAAAAAAAAAAACCCCAGAATAAATCAGACATGAAAATAACTTTCCTTCCATCCCGTATCTCATTTTCTTATTTGACAAAAAAATAGTAAAGAGCAACTACAACAACAAAGAAGAGGTGAAACAAGAATGCAAAAAATGATGGGAAGATGGCAACCTCCAAAATGTAATAAATTAATTTCAGCAGCTTTAAACCTAAAGCTATTTGTAAAGAATAGCTAGAAAAGAAACCCACTCAAGACAAACTTAGGAATTTCTTCTGAGTTCAAAACAATATCTTAATGACCTGAAAAATTACCACGGCTTTACAAAGCACCTCATTCACTCCTTAGGAGTGAATTATACCTTGGGTAATTGAGGTTCGACATTATAGTGAAGTGATGCTAGGGTGTCACAAGAGGTGAAGGACAATACAAAGTTTAGTAACTATTGTGCACATTCAGAAATTGAGACACAGAATTACTTTCAAGAAAAAAGTAAATGGGAGGGTCAGGTGTCCAGGTCAGGGCAAAATTCAAGATGGTGGGAGTGGGAGAAACATTCCTCACCATGGCCTTGGGCAGAATCTGCTTATCTCCAGACAAAGCTCAGCAACAGCTAGGAGCTGAATCTGTAAGGTCCAGCAGTGACTAAATTCCCACACAAATGTTTCCATCTTTCCATCGTGCAAGAAATTCTGAAGCCAACATTGCCCAGCTACAGATCATTGGCCTGACCACAGAAGCCAGGGACAGAGCTGCGGTTACATTTATTACATAGGATTGTTCCATCCTGAGCAGAGTACATGGCCTGGAGAGTTTTCAGGGCAATTATGAAATTTCGGTCTTCCAGAGGACCCTTGCCAGGTCTAGGAATATTTTCAGCAGTGGATGTTTACAAAGCAAAAGCCCCCCTACACACACATTAGCAAATTAAATAATGCATGTTGTATGAAAAACCTTGTGAGGGGCATAGCAATACCCGAGGCTTCTTTCTTATGCACTTGTGTGCCCAGTACCAGCCAATACATGGAAAGGGCTCAACAAACACTGAACTGAGCAACAGCTTCTAGCCCAGGCATCATGGGCGGGAGGCAGATCCTGACTCCAATCGGGCCTCCTATGGTAGAATCCCTGGTTCTCTCCCATGGAAGGTGCCCCACCTCAATTGCCTGCAGTCACCCATCTGCTGATGTCCTTACCCAAAAGAAAATGAAATAATTTCTTCTTGTATGAAATATCAGGAACCCTCAAACCTAGGAGTTAACTAGGAATAGAAAAATCACTTGCTGTAAGAAATAATATTAGAAATGTAATGGCTGGACCCAGCTTCTCCTTCTAACTAATTTTAAGGATTGTTTTGCTGCTCTAGGAACTTACTGTCATACAGAGGACAACCCCAAGCCTCCCTAGTCCATCAACCCCTTTTCCTGGATACAGGGGCTGAATCCCTTGATGGATTTGATCACTTACCTCAATTTAATATTCCTCCTCCTAAAACCACAGTATCATCCCCAGATTCTTATCACTGGTGTGACTACCTCTTCTGAAGACATGAGAAAAGCTCCAGTTTCAGAAGGTATGCTTGGAGAATGTGCTGCTTCTAGCTTATCCAATATGGAACCAATTTCTTCACTCATAGCTAAAGCATATCCTTTCCTCACAGCTTATCATAGAGTGGCCAGGTTTAAATGAGTCAATACAAATAAGACTGCTGGAAAAGTGCCTGGCACAGAGAAAGCATTCAATATATATCAGCTTTTAAAAATGCTGAAGATCAATTTGAATATATATGTATATATAAAGAGATATAAATAGGATCACACGTAAGGAACTGATTCTACTTTTAGGAAACTACACTAAGAAAATACTAATAGATTCCGATAAATATTTATACATAAAGAATATCATCAGAGAATTGTTTGTAATAGGGCAAATAAAACCTTGAAACAGCATACATTTTCAACAATAGTGGAATAAGTAAATAAATTACGGCACTTTTTCCAAGTACGTTTTGAAGAATTTTTGATGCTATGAGAAAATGATAATGATAAGTGAAGAAGGATTTAAAACCATTTATGTAACATGATCTCAATTATACACACTGTAAATAAGAATCTATGGAACAAATATCTCCATAAGAAAACATTATGAAGATATACTCCAAATGTTATTTGTGTTTTTTTCTAAATAATAATATTCTTTATTTTTTCAGCACTTTTCAAATTATACTGAAATATATTTTCAGCATACATACAATGAGCATCCCTTAATTCTACAAAAAGCAAAATAAAATATGAAACAGTTAAAAGTCTATTGCAACACTATAATTTGAAGGGGAAAAAAAAGGCTAAGGACATACAGTAGGCCACTGGGCAGACAAAGGAGATCATTCTGAGCCTGAGTCCTCAGTATTTGGTGACCCAGTAGAGAGGCAAGAGAGGGCATAAGCTCTAAGCTTTCCACCTTGGGCATAGAGATGAATGACGGTGTTATGAACCACAATAGGAAACGTAGGAAGAAAGGAAGAAGAATGGGTTGGGAGGAAGGAAAATACATTTAGTTTGGCCTTGCTGAGTCTGTAGTGCCCAAAGAGTACCCAGGCAAAGATGCCCAGTCGAGAGCTGGTGATGTGCAAAGCTAAAACTTGTAGGAAGAAACTGCAGTAAAGGTATGAGGGTGGGCACAGCAGTGAGTCCTTGAAGCCACGGGCTTCCCTTAGGATGCCCAAGTGTCCTAAGTGTTCTAGGAATAAGCGACAGACTCTGATCTCATGGAGGCTCAGACCCCTGGGCTTCAGGGCTCTATTCCTTCCACCCCTAAATGTGACCTGAAGTGGCCCCTGCCTCCCTCAGTCCTAGAGGCTGCTGCTCAATTACAGTGAAGAATCTCTTATAGACTCACGGTGACTTAAACGCTATTTGGTGCTGTGGCTGCTATTTCACTGAAGATTACAGGGCTCTCAGAGTTAACCACATAAAACTTGCTGCTATATATTTGTAACCTCCTTTTTCAATAACACATAGGGAAACCATCTTGGGTTTCAGGACCAAAAAAGTGTGAGTGCCTGGCCACCAGGAATGCTATAACTGATCCCGCTTCCCTCTTTGATGTGGCCAAAAAGAAGCTCAGAAAAAAATCTGTGGCCCATCTTCAGCAGCCTTATAAGATCACATAGTGTACATTTTTGGGTGTTAATATTGACATTCCTATCTTTATTGTTTTACTGCCCTTATTTTCTCTTTGTCCCAAGTTCTTCAACTATGAATTTTTGCCAACTACTTCAAGTTAAAAATGTTCTTCCATGTCATGCCCACCCAGTGATTCTGTTTGTTTCTACCTCTTGAAGTTACACAAAATAAGTCTAGTCTACCTTCTCCACAACAGCCCTTCAACTCTCATGTCATCCTCCCAATCTTATTTTTATAGGCACCAGAGCCCCACTTTCTTTAACAATTGCTCGTGGATATGAGCTCTTAAAGAGTCTTTCCTCCATCTAGACTTGACTGATGCTTTATCTTCTCTCGACCTCTTCCCTAAAGCCCCTACGCAGGGCATTCCTCCGCTGCAACACAGCAACCACTTTTAATAGTTGCTTTTCAAGCTTGCATCCCCCACCCCACCATGGGGCTGGGGACTCCTGAAAGGAGCCACATGCTGTCTTTGCCTCCAACTAGTACCTAGCCAGGGGGCCTGGGGCATAATACATGCTTAATAAGTGTTTGTTGAGGAAGTGAATAAATGAATGAGCACATACCTGTATACAGTATACAGCTTCCTCGCTCATACACATGTTAAAGAGAGCTAAAGCCTCCGGGAAGGGAGAAAAGAGAGGGCCCTGTTCAGTCCAGTTGTTTGTGGGGCTTTCCATCTGACAACTGTTTTCCATGGTCTCTCCTGAACAGCCTCGAAGCCTCAGCCACCTGGGCTGGAGCGTATCTCACAGCTAAATCCAGAGTAAATATACACAAGACAGAATTGGTCCTATGAGGACAACTGGGGTGAATTTCCACAGAAAGAAAGGATTTCACTGATCAGAAATGTAAGATGCTAGATGCTCCAATTGGTACTTATTCTAACAACGCTCTCTTCTCTAGGTTCTAATTACATGTCAGGCATTGTTCTGAGCTCTTTACAAATATCTTATTTAATCCTCCTAACAACCTCATAAGATAGGCACTATTTTTATCCCCATTTTATTTTCATATGACCCTCTTAACATTTGAGGCAGCTATCCTAAAATGAAGAAAGGTGTAGTGTTTCAGTCTCTGAATAAAAGAAAATGAGCTACATTAGGTCCAATGTATAAATGGCTGAAGATTGAGTGCCAGCCTTTGATCCAAGATCTGGATCTGGCAGGACACCTCACCGCTCACTAACATTTATTGAGCACCCACCATTGTGCCCAGGGCTACCCTCCATGAGTTCGCTGACAGGTGGAGGAAGCACACACCTGGATAAATAAATCACCCCGCTGCAGGGCAAGTGTATTAGGATCAGGGAGGCAGTACGGTGCTGAGAGCAAGAAGGAGTAATTATCTCTGACTAGATGAGAAGGCTTCCTGGAGGCTGTGAAGTCTCAGTTCCATTTTAATGAATGGAGCAGCAGAGACAGAGCAGGAGGTGAGGTGCAAAGGTACCGGCATCCAAAAGGGCATTTGGGAACTGTTGGTAGCAGGAGAACGAAAAGAGAGGAGGAGGTGGGGGATGAGGGATCATCACTCAGGTGGTGGCCTTGGCTGCAATACCATGAAGCTGAAAGTCACTAACAGGTATAGTCATTTCTGTTTTAGACTCTTTGAGCAGCTGTGTGCAGGAGGACAGAGAGACCAAGCAGAGAGAGACCAGTTAGGAGGCTGCTGTAATAAACCAAGCAAGACACAGTGTGCACGGGAACTAAGGCACAGGATTCTAGGGATATTTAGGAAACCTGAAGCTTTGGACTGATCGAGAAGCTGGCATAGCAGTGCAAGGTGACACCCCGGCTTCTGACTTAGACAGGAGGGCAGCCAGTGAAATCAGCAGGCTAGGTTGGAAGCAGGCTTCCAGGAGTGAGGGCAAGCTGAGACTCTCTATAAGCTCAGAAAAGCCAAAGAGAGCGGCAGAAATTTTCTTCATTATCTCAGAAAAGTTATTCAAATTCTTGCTCACACCTCCTTTTAATAAAATATGATGCATTTCATTCTGTCTTCATAGTGAAAAATCATTGCCCTTTGCTGAGAATTAATAACCTTTTGAGTTAATACCCTTTGGGTAGGAAAATTGGTTTCATTAACACCTCCCCTTGCACTTTGTAGGTTCATCATCTCTTGGTCCTGCTGTCCCCTGAAACCAAAAGCCCAAGACATATTATTTGAGAAGCCTGAATGATTTTATTCTCAGAAAGAATGATCAGGGTCCTTATTAAATGGGCTGAATTGAGTTCACTGACCAAAAAGGTCAGAGCGGCCTTGTGTCTGCTCCTCAGCCGCAGGGGAGCCCACCTTCTACCAGAAGGAAGGGATGAGAGCTTCCTCTCCCAGCTCTTGGCCTGATCCCTAATCTTGGCAGAAAAGATGCGCCCATCTTGACATGCCACGCCATGGAAACGCGCCACCTTGCCAGGCTCTACCAGGCCTCTTGGCAGAGGTGTCCGTCTCTGGTGCAGCACCACAGACAGGACAGCTGTCGGGCTGCCTGGCAGAGTTGGATGGCCACTCACCCACCCCTCCAAAGTGGCTCATGGTCATAGTGAGGCTCCCCCAGAAGAGAGGCTGGAAGGCCCTTCGGTCAAACAACAGAAGGTGATATGTTAAAAACAATCTTCCTCTCCTTTTCCACCTCCCACGGCCTTGGAAAGCCTCCGAATGGACATTCCTCTACTCTTTTCTGTTGCAAACTCTTTAGCAGCAGCCTGGCATCTGGAGCATGAAGCCAGACTCTTCAGCATCCCAGGGCCCTCCATGCTCTGGCCTGCCTGGCCTTGTCTCCTGCCTCTTTATGTATGCAAGGTTGCATGCCTGTGAGCCTCGACTCATGTTGCTCCCTCAGCCACCCCTGACCCCCGCAACAAAACACACACACACACTCAATCATCCTGCAAGGCCAGGGTCAACATCACATTCCCTGAAAAGCCCTCCCTGAATGCCACACCCTCCCTCAAGCGGCATCCACTACTCCCTCTGTGATTCCCCCAACCCTGCCCCACACTCACCCCTGTACCTTGTCCCTGCAAGGCTTACCTGATATAATCTGTCTGCACGTGAGGACAAGTTGAGCCTCAGGAGCTAATACATAGTGTCACCCAGCTAAGATGCTCTATTCACTGTCTCTCTAGGTAGGGATGTAGGGATGAAATTGGAGACAGCGACACCTGGGTTCAAATCCTGTCTCTATCAGTTTTTGGCAGTGTGATTTGGGGTGAGGTGCTTATCCACCGAGCCTCCAAAACTGCCTTGCCTATATTCCTTATGACCTAGAGGGTGACTCTAGTGCTTGATTGGCTGGTCACTGGGATAACAGGCTAGAGGATCTGGTGATCTCAACCTCCTAGGCCACCCTCCATCACTTGGCCATTCCACTGGAAACAGTCTTTGGGGCTCCCCACAGTTGTGGCTCATTCTGATCTCCAGCATCTCCCAGTAACCTCTTTGGCTTGTGCTTGTAGAAGCAGCCTTTGAGAAGACGGAGGGCTTCAGATGAAGCAGATGCCAGGCTAAGCACCGTCCCCAATCTTATATTGCAGAGCCATTTGGAAGAAGAGCTCAAGCTGTTGAAACAAACAAAACGCTGCATGAGATGAAGACCAGATTCCTGCTCTTTGGAGAAACCAATCAGGGCTGTCAGATTCGAATCAATCATCCGGACACGTTACAGGAGTGCGGCTTCAACTCCTCCCTGCCTCTGGTGATGATAATCCACGGGTGGTCGGTAGGAAATGCTGACATGCCGTTTTTCTCTCCGATTTCACATTTTCTTTTTTTCTTTCTAGCGTGTTCATGTTCATAAAAAGATAGGGAGCTGGTGATAACAACTCCATGCATAATGTTTATGAAGCACGTTCTAATTTTCCAAGTGCTTCCCCACGCATTAGCTCATTGATTATCTCGATTCCATGAGTAAGCAGCGTGAGAAAATATAATTATCTCCATGTTTCAGATAGAATGTGGCTCAAAGAGGCCACACAGCCCATTGGGGCCCACAAGGGATTGCAGTCCGTGCAGGAAGAAGCCTCCTTCCTGAATCTGCATGTTACACACAGGGGGACATAGGAAGCCAGAAGAATGGACTCCCAATGAAATGTTGTATCAGCAAGGTTTAAGTTCAGCAGCAAATAACAGAGACTCAAATTAGCAGTGGTTCAAAGAAAACAGAAATTTGTTTTCATTTCGCAAAATATTCCAAAGATATATGTAACCCAAAAACCGGCTAGACAGCTTTGGTCAGTGAAGTCCTCCAGGCCCCAGCTCCTTCCAGTTCACTGCTCTGCCATCTTGGGGTGTGACCCTCATCCTCATAGTCCAAGATGGCAGCTAGAGGACTAGCCATCACATCTTTATTCCAGGAAGCACAATGTAGTAAAAGATGTACACAAAGGAGTCAAAAGCAAGGTTTTTACAAGAGCTTTATTGAGATATAATTTACAAAGCGTACAACTTATCCATTTCAAGTTTACACAATTCAATGGCTTTTGGTATAAAAGAGTGTTTTTTAGGTGTCCCAGAGCCTCTGTGAAATTCTCCCAGTTACATCCATTGACCATATCTAAGTGGAAAGGTGGCTGAGAAGTATAGGCTGTTAAAGAAAATGTAGCCTTTTAGTGATGCTAAAAATTCTATTACTATGGAAGAAGGAGAGAAAGGATATTATTGGCAATAGATGAAGTCAAACCATGTGAGAACTTGTCTCCAAGAGGAAATCCTGCCTCCCCAGTGTCTAGCCCACCCATGATTTCAAGCATAGTTCACAATTTGAACCCTCCAGAGATTTTGGTGTCTACTTCATGACTTAGAAACCTTTCCCTGCCATCTAGTTGAAAAGTACTCTTGAAACCCCCATCTATCCTATCCTGGAGAGGAAAATGAACCCTTCCATCACCTGCCTCCCCTCACCTCTCCCTGCCTCCCACATGACGTTCCAGCAACATCTAACTGCTTGTATTAATAGCTTCCTCCACACCCCATGCACCTGCCTTCTCTCTTCTTGGTCTTGGCTTAGTCTGTGCCCTCTGCCTAGAGTGTTCTTTCTCCTCCTCTTTTCCTGATTAACTCCCACTTTTCCTGTAAGACACAGTCCCAAACAGGTCCTCCTGCAAGCCATTGCTGCCTTCATCCCAGCACTCCCACAGGGCATTCAGTGTCACCGGGAGTTCCCGTGTGGCCCTGAGCACTCTCCACCACTGCTCTGCAGCTCGGCTTTCTAATTGTCTGTGTTTCTCTGCTCTGCTAGGCCGTAAGCTTCTCCCTGGGAAGGATTCTGTCCTATTCTCATCTAATAGACTACTGTGGGCCACTATCCATTATGTAATCAGTGCTCCAAAATGTTTGTTAACTGAATTAAAGATCAAATGAATGAGTCTTGTTTATAAATGCAACATGAGGACCACAGGAGCCTCTTACCAGGATGCTTTTACCAAAATGCACTCTTCATTATCAAAATTCTGTCCAACCTAGTATATGTCTCCTCCTCCTATTACTGCTAATATTAATAACAACAACAACTGCAGTAACGAACATTTGTTGAGTCCTTACTATGTTCCAGACACTGCTCTAAGCGCTTTAGATCTATTAACGTATTTCTCCTTCATAACAATCCTGGAAGGAGAGCATTATTAACCCCATTTTCCAGGTGAGAAAACTGAAGCACAGAGAAAAATAACTTGCCCAAGGTTACTCAGCTAGAAACTAGGAGAGCCTAGATTTGAACCCAAGATGCTCCATGCACATAGAAGGCACTTGGTAAATATCTAGTAAAGGAATGCATCTTACCCTGGAATGGCATGACAGGCCCTCAGGGGAGCTCTCCAGCTTCACCCGCTATTGTCAAGCCTTCACCTCCTATTGTCTAGCCTTCACCTCACCAACTTTCCTCCTCTCCCCTGACATACCACACTGCCCTTTCATGATTCTGTGACTCTGCACGCACTGTTCCTTCTGCCTGGGATGCCCTAGACCTCACCACTACCACATTCACCTGCCCACCTGTATTCTTTTTGTTTCTTTGTTTTGTTTTGTTGCGATAGGGTCTCACTCTATCGCCCAGGCTGGAGGGCAGTGTGATCTCAGCTCACTGCAGACTCGACCTCCTAGGCTCAAGCCATCCTCCCACCTCAGACTCTGGAGTAGCTGGGGCTAGAGGCATGCACCATCACACCTGGCTAACTTTTGTATTTTTTGTGGAGATGGGGTTTCACCATGTTCCCCAGGCTGGTCTTAAACTCCTAGGCTCAAGCAATCCCCCTGCCTTGGCCTCCCAAAGTGCTAGGAGTACAAGCATGAGCCACCGCGCCCAGCCCCCACCCATATTCGTCTTACTGGACTCCTATTGATCCTTTAAGGCCCAGCACAAGTGTCTTTGCTCTGTAAATCCATTAGGAGTGCCCTGCAAATTGGTTCTCAAACAAGGCACACACACAGAACAATTCTCTGTAAACATTTTTTACCTCCTACTATGTCAGGCTCACAGTGCCCATCCCGCTAAGTCCAGCATAACGCAGTCTGCAGGGCAGAGCCAGTGCTATGGGTTTAGGGGTGAGGTGGGGCAGCTGCACGCAGAAGGAGGCGTACAAATGGCCCTAAGGGACAGGTCAGCTTCCAGGACCTGATTTACACATATTTCTCCACTGTTTTAAGGTTTAGAAAGTCCCTAAGAGGAAAAACATTAAGATAATTGTTCTCGGGAGGGGGCGGGGGGGAACGTTTGGAAAAATCTGGAGACATTTTTGGTTTTCAAAACCTGGGGCAGTGGGTGGGTGTTGCTGGCATCTAGTTGGTGAAGGCCAGGAATGCTGCTAAACATCGTACAATGCCCAAGACAGCCCCCACAACAAGGAATTCTCTGGCCCAAAATGTCAACTGTGCATGGCTGAGAAACGTCATAGCAAGCCCTTCCTCCAGCATTATCCAGGAGCTGGAGAAGGAAGAAGGGTGAGCGGGGAGAAAGGAAACTAGTGCGACCCTCCCTCTGTCCCCTCCTCAGGTGGACGGCGTGCTAGAAAACTGGATCTGGCAGATGGTGGCCGCGCTGAAGTCTCAGCCGGCCCAGCCAGTGAACGTGGGGCTGGTGGACTGGATCACCCTGGCCCACGACCACTACACCATCGCCGTCCGCAACACCCGCCTTGTGGGCAAGGAGGTCGCGGCTCTTCTCCGGTGGCTGGAGGTACCGACCTGCCCCATCCTTCCTTCACCTCCCTTCCCTCCTTTCCCTTCCTCTGAGAGTGAATGAATTAAGCTGGTCTCCAACAGCAGCCCAGGCAGGAGAAGCACTAATGCTCAGCTCACAGGAATGAGAAGGCACAGGACTGACACCAGACCCCAGGGCTCTCTCAGACGCCTCCCTTGAACCCCTGTTTCACAGAACCACCTTCTCCCCTCTCCTCATCCACTATTCCTCTTATGCTCACCCCCTTAGACATGCTAAGGGATACAAACACACCCTGTAAGCTATCAAGCCCCCACACAAATGAGTGGGATCACTTCTGTAGGGCATTAGTGTCCAGGGGAAGACAGGCAGGCAGGAGGCTGCAGCTACAAGGCGAGGTCACAGGTACCTGAGTCCCAGGAGAGTCAGCCAGTTGAGAGATTAGTTTCAGTTTGGAGTGTGAATAAGGCACCTCATTTCTGAGCAGGCACGAAGAACAGGGTGGGCGCCACAACACACTGGACCGCAAAAGGCTTTCATCCAGGCAGCTCTTCTCCTGCCCCCATCCCGCTGCTGTCTTCCAGGAATCTGTGCAACTCTCTCGAAGCCATGTTCACCTAATTGGGTACAGCCTGGGTGCACACGTGTCAGGATTTGCCGGCAGTTCCATCGGTGGAACGCACAAGATTGGGAGAATCACAGGTAACCATGCCTAATAACTCACACACTGATCTCCACTCCATAGGGGCATCCAACAAGGACCTGCTTTTCCAACAGGCTCATCATTAAAACACCCCAACACTTATTGTGAGGGATCAGCGCTCATGAGAGGACTTGTGACATTCTTTCAAACATGACCAATGTCATGGATTGCTGTTCCAGAGAATTCAGAGCAAATTATAGCCTCAATTCCTATTGCCTGCCCTCAAACGAATACCTCATGTTGGTGTGCCAAATGGGACTAAAAGATGGACTTTTCTAGCAAGAAAGAGTCTTATTTTTTAATCTATAATTTACAAAGTCCAATTTGGGCGAGTTAAGGAGTGAAGAATCACAGCCTTAATTTGCTGTAATTCATCAGCCACGTTAGTGCCTCCGTTTCCACATTTGTGAAACGTGTATGTTTTAGTCTGGGACCCATTTGGGTTGAGGGAGGGAGCTCTGCATCCAAAACTTCACCCCAAACTCCATACACACTCAGAAATGGCCCAAGATATCCAGGAAGGTCTGCACATGTGCGAGGAAGGCCTTCCTCCCAGGCTTCCGTGACACCAACCCCACCCTTCACACTGCCAGGCATTGGATCCAAAAACACACAGCTGGTGAGATTGTTCCCCAGTCCAAGTCTGAGGCCCACTGATACCACAGGTATAAAACCCGGGAGGCACAGGCAAGGCCTTTCTCGGTGTGGAAGCCCCAGAGTGCCCCAGCCTCTCCTCCTGCTGATCCCTTCCCATAGCTCTAGGCTTCAACGACACAAGGTTTTTCTCTACTTCACAAACACACCATGGCCTCTTGTGCCTCTGGGCCTTTGCATGCACTGTTTGCTTTGCCCACCACTCAGCCACTCAAACTCCTCCTCATCCTTCAAGACCCAGCAGGCTCAAACAATATTTCACAGGCCAAAACAAAGAGCATTTTACATGAATAACAAAGTTGTTGCGAATTTATATTTTATCAAGTGAGGACATTTTTTTTTCTTTTGAGACGGAGTTTCGCTCTTGTTGCCCAGGCTGGTGTGCAATGGCATGATGTTAACTCACCGCAACCTCTGCCTCCCGGGTTCAAGCGATTCTCCTGCCTTAGCCTCCCGAGTAGCTAAGCCACACCCAGCTAATTTTTTTGTATTTTTAGTAGATACGGGGTTTCACCATATTGGTCAGGCTGGTCTCGAACTCCCAACCTCAGGTGATCCACCATCTCGGCCTCCCAAAGTGCTGGGATTACAGACGTGAGCCACCACGGCCGGCCATGAGGACATTTTTACAAACAACTACTATCTGCTATTACCATTCCTTTATAAAAGAATTTCTTTTAACTTGAGAAAGAATGGGGATAATGGCAGACGTTTCAACAGAATACACTTGTGATTATGACAGCTCATTTCCTCATGCTTTTTTGTTCATCTTGCTGGTCACTGGGGAAGCCTGGTCACAGACCGGCGTGTGGCCCCCATGGATTTAACCCACAATAGCCTGGGGATGAGCAGCCCTCCCACTGAAGAAGCAGGGCCAGAGGTCAGAGTCCACACCCAGCGAGGCAGCCTCAGGCCCAAGGCCCAGAACCCTCTCCATCCAACTGGTGCTGTGGGTCACATTAGGCGTATCAGCTGGGCCCACCCACCTCAGAGACAGCAGGAAAGCTCAACACCCTCTTGCCGTCTTGTCATCAGCCTGATAAAGAAAGGAACAGAAATCATATCAGGACATTTTTCTTTTTCTCTTTCTTTTTTTTTTTTTTTTTTGAGACAGAGTCTCATTCTGTTGCCCAGGCTACAGGGCAGTGGCATGATCTTGGCTCACTGCAGCCTCCACCTCCCTGGTTCAAGTGATTCTCCTGCCTCAGCTTCCCAAGTAGCTGGGACTACAGGTGTCCACCACCACGCCCGGCTAATTTTTGTATTTTTAGTAGAAACGGGGTTTTGTCATGTTGCCCAGGTTGGTCTCGAACTCCTGACCTCAGGTGATCTGCCAGACTCAGCCTCCCAAAGTGCTGGGATTACCAGGCGTGAGCCACCGCACCCGGCCAAGGACATTTTTCATTTGTCACTGTGGGTAGGGCTGGAGAACGGGTGATCTCACGGCTCACTCTCAATTCCTTCGCCCCCCAAGTAGGGAAGGAAACCAGGGCTGGGGTGGGACACCAGAGGGTCCTCCAGAGAAGGCAGAGGAAGAAAGACAGGGAAAAAAAACTTGGAGCGCATAAATACTCCCCAACCACAGTCAGCCAGGAGGTGCCACCTTACTTCATGCACAGACATCTGTCACTTGAGGCCCAGAGCTTTGAGCTCCCCTACTTGCACACAACATTTTCACATACAGTGAAATGTCCCGCGGCTGTTCTGGACGTTCTAATGAAATGACATCTTAGGAGAAAAATCAGCTTGTTTAGGGAAATTATTGACAACATACAGGCAAATAAATTTCATTCTTTGATAGGTAGGTTGGAACTACTTATAATGAGCATATTGGCTTTTTTTGTATGCAAACAGATGGTCTTGAAAGTAGCTTGAGAGGTACTCAAAACTGATTTGCTCAAGTAAATCAAGCATTCCCTCATAACCTTATTCCTTTTTTTTTTTCTTTTTGAGACAGGATCTCCCTCTGTTGCCTAGACTGGGTCACAGTGGTGCAGTCATGATTCGCTGCTACCTCAAACTCCTGGGCTCAAGCAACCCTCCTGCCACAGCCTCCTGAGTGGCTGAAACTACAGGCACAGGCCACCACATCCACATAACTTTTGTATTCTTTTTTATTTTAGAGATGGGGTTTCACTATGCTGCCCAGGCCTCCTGGCCTCAGGCATCATAACCTTGTGTCTACCACTGGAGAGTTTCCGCAAACCTCTTTCCCCGCTAGCTAATGCCCAGCCTGTGTGTCATTGTTAGCACCATGAACTACTGTGGTTTTACTGAGAAAAGGTTACGGCGAGGTTTTCTAGGGAAGGATCAGCCCTACGTGTTTCTTCTTCCTGCTAGTTCACTGATGTATAATAATATCCAAAAGCTAAAAAGCACATCTCTCTTCCCCTCTCCTTGCTCCTGCGTAACCCTTACCCCTGCTTTCCCATTAGGGCTGGATGCCGCGGGACCTTTGTTTGAGGGAAGTGCCCCCAGCAATCGTCTTTCTCCAGATGATGCCAATTTTGTGGATGCCATTCATACCTTTACCCGGGAGCACATGGGCCTGAGCGTGGGCATCAAACAGCCCATAGGACACTATGACTTCTATCCCAACGGGGGCTCCTTCCAGCCTGGCTGCCACTTCCTAGAGCTCTACAGACATATTGCCCAGCACGGCTTCAATGGTGAGAATGAAGTCATGGGCCGGGAGCACCGGCCTACATTTCAATGGGGCCTCTGGAATTCAGCGGAATCTACCAACATACGGGACTCAGGGAAGAGTTCAGCAAGGATAGGGGCCCAGGGTGTATGGTCACCAAGCCCACCCAGAGAGAAGGAATGCTGGAGTGGGCAAGGGTGCCTGTCCCCCAGCAGGCCACTCCTGGCAACAGGCCAACGCCACGCCCTGAGGATGAACAGAGGGCACCAACAGGAACCTCCACTTCTCACTCCAGCCCCATGTGCCCAGGCAAACCCTCTCCCGGGGTACCAGCTCTTCTGAGAGTTGAGTCCGGATGCCTGTGGTTATTCTTCCTTCTCTGGAAGTTTCCTCGTTCCAGGGACCGCCTCTATTCTGAACCACATGAGGATCCACTTAATAGGTTGTGGCTTCTCGATGAAGGTCTCACTCTTCATCCCACCCCATCAGTTTAATTGAGGAAATTACTCAGACTGTCCCAATGGGAAATTCAGCTTCAAATATGTCCTTGTTATGCCCTTTACCTCAGGGCAGACACGGAATGTGCTGTTATCTGGGTTGTGATCCCACTTCTCTCTCAAGTCCTAAAACCGAAATATTAACATGCACATTGATAATATGCACAGGATTAAAGAACAAAAATGTCAGCAGAAGCAGCACATTCCACGGGCATTCCAAATTTCTTGCTATTATAAAATATCACCCTGATTAAGACATGCCAATCACTCCAAGCCAAGTAGAGCCCTCCACCCCTACAAGCCACCTCACCCTGATCATCCAACACTCAGCTGAGAACACACTCTCTTGTGATGACACCATCCTCGCCTCTCCAATATCAGAGTGACCTTCACACTCCGCATCATCTCATTTTGGCTGGACTCCCAGCCTTCCACCGCCCAGGCCTGAGAGAGCCTTCTGGGAACTTGCCCTTATCATTGCTTACATCCCTCCCACCTCCCCCACTCCAACACCTCCCCTCCAGCCACCAGCAGTTCCCAGCTGACCATCCAGCCCTCATCCCAAACTTCACCCCACCCAACAAAGCTCAGTACAGACCATCAGGATGGTGTATGGGCTTTATTTTCCTGGTAAACACATTTCTGACCAATCATTACCATTTGCTCTTTTGTGCTAAACTTCAAAGTGACGGAACCAAATGTAGGTATTCAGCTTGCCCAAGCTTGGGCTGGTTTTTCTCAGTCGTCTTCACCCCTGTGTTTGAAAGGGTTCCTGGGGTAGTTCTCCCAGCCACAGCTGCACAGGGGCTCACTGGATAACTGCAGATTCACCTTCACTACCTCCTGGGTGGATGAGCTTGGGTGAGTTAGTGGATGTCTTGGAAGCTCAGTTTTCTCGTCGAAAACAGCGGCCTCAAGGAGCTGCAGTGAAGATGCAGGCAGTGGAGGAGCGGAGGGCACGCAGCATACACAGCCTCCTAGTAGGTGCCCAAGGAATGCAGCCGCTAGCGTCCAAGGACTGCAGTGACTAATCTTGGCATTTAGCCTCCAGACAACTGGGGAAATAGCTTTTGGCAAAGTCACCTGTGCTGTCCCTTTACAGCAAGTGTTTCACATATCTTGTGGTGGTTCCTCAACATCCCTTGAGAATTATTTACCACAGATTAGGTTAAAATTTGGAGAGTTAAAAAAAAAAAAAAAAGGTCAAATCCTTAGTAGATCAACCTCATAAGCTTGTTTTGGGGGTGAGGCCTGTCCAGATCTGGTTACTGGGCAATGTCCTTCCAAATCCAATTCTTGTGCTGGTTTCACAGGCCTGTTACCTAAGGGATGCAATGGCTGCTTTGGGACACAAGGTAGACATTGTCGAGAGGCCTCAGCGTTCTCCAGACCATCAGAGTGCCACGGGATTGTCTCGTGTATCTAGTTATATTAAGAGAAGAGGAGTCCCACGCAAGCCTGTTCCAGAAAACCCACCCTCCAGGCATCAGCACCTGGGCATTTTAAATTATCTCATTTGAGATAGAAATATTTCTATAATAAATTACACTAACCTGCTCTCTTAATGAATTTGATCTTTCCTTAGTGACTTGGGTGCCTATTAAAATGCCTACTGTAACACGCTGTCATAAAGGAGTGCTCTCAGGATCCCGGCAGTGCCCGGGATTTTGCCTGACACTACATGACTCAGAGGGTCTACTTCCCTTAGTTTCAGTCAGTTGTCACATCCTGCTCTTGTCAAGGGGTCTGCCTTGACAAGCCCACCCTTGCCTGTTCTGTGTGCTACTGCTAACCTCCTGTGGGATGAGAACCAAGGTGATCCTCTGAGTTGAGGCTGCTTTGGGTTAAGGGGTGATAACGTCCTTCTTGCCCTGTGTTCCAGCCATCACCCAGACCATAAAATGCTCCCACGAGCGATCGGTGCACCTTTTCATCGACTCCTTGCTGCACGCCGGCACGCAGAGCATGGCCTACCCGTGTGGTGACATGAACAGCTTCAGCCAGGGCCTGTGCCTGAGCTGCAAGAAGGGCCGCTGCAACACGCTGGGCTACCACGTCCGCCAGGAGCCGCGGAGCAAGAGCAAGAGGCTCTTCCTCGTAACGCGAGCCCAGTCCCCCTTCAAAGGTGAGTGTGGAGCTGGGGAGCCTTCAGAAGGGCAGGATGCAGTCCCCTGTCCAAAGGGCTCAGAAGTCCCCTTGGCTTCTTTCCTGGAGGTGCTTCAGCTCTGCTGTTGCGGTGTTTCTGAAACTGTGCAGGCTCCAGACAGCAACGTTGACACAGCCTTTCTCCTGTCCCAAGAGTGTGGCCACCTTGCCGCCAAGGGCTAGGAGGAGAAACCTCGACCATTTCTGAAACGATCCTTGGGTTGGCCTCTCTGTCCATTTTCATGCTCCCCTAGAATGTTAGATCTGCAAGGCCACACGCAGTTTACCTGGGCCACCCGGATCTCACTGTACAGGGACGTCAGGCATCTCCAAACACATCCTAGAACCCAGTTCTTTCATCTCTGTTCACGGCCCCCATGAAAAAACTGGATTCTAGACTGCATTTCATTTCTTCTAAGATTTGAATCAGCTGATCTGATAGGACATGATATTCACCCTGAGGCACTCCCAAGACAAGATTCAGCTTCCAGTGTTTCCCAGCCAGATTTTTAACCACAGGGCAGAAAGTGGGCCCAGCAGCTCTCTGGATTGAATGGAAGATTGTAGAAAGGGCTGTGACCACGTCTTAGGCTGAGGCCAGCAGAGAAATACTCCACTGAAACCTAAATCCTCCTGGAGGGAACAAGCCGACATCTGTTGCCATTAACATTTCTGCCTAATCCCTAAAACAGCTCGGGAGTGCTTTAGCATCTCACTGTTTCATCGCACAGCCTCTCCAGTGCTGGGAGAAGAAATCTGATGTGCTGTTTGACTATTACCAGGCAGATATTTGTATCTGGAGAATGTAAACAGGCCGTCACCACCACTTTGCTTTTAGGGAGCATTTTACACAAAACATTCGATGCAGCCATCAGCTCCTTGTGGTTCTCCCAACAGCCAGGCGAGGATGGCAGGGCTGGTTATTATCCCATTCTAAAGAGGAGCAAAGCAAAACTCGCGTGGGGTGCCCACAGCTGTGCAGCTGTAAGGAGACCTGGAACAGGGCCACCTGACTCTCAGTCGTGAGTTCAAACTCCCAGGCAGCTTATTTTTGAGGCACAGGATTTCTCTGTGTATCGGAACTTTTGCTCTCCAGTCAGGTTTCCCTCCCTTGAGTCAAGCAGGTCTAGGAATGACAGAAATTTCTTGTGGGTGCGCACAGCATCTGAAGAGTAGTTGGTGTGAGGGCAGGATCTTTCGGGCCAAAGGGTCCCTCCACTGGCTGTCCCTTAGGGCTGGAGGAGATGGCAGCACGCAGGTGAGGGAATTTGGAAGTCCTCCTGCTTCGGGGAGCTCCTCCGCTGCAGGCTGCCAATTAAAGACTCATTTGGGTGAACCAGCTCCTCTTTTAAATGGCAATGCCGCCTGGAGTGATTAAGCCTCTTAGATAATCACATTTCACTGGATCTATTTTAATCATGGAATGTTCGCATCATGAGGAGCAGTTCAACCCTGCCGTTTTTCAGATGGGGAAACCAAGGCCTAGGCAGGGAAAATTATTTGTCCAGAGACAAAAAGCTCTTGGCAGACCTGGCATTTAGACCTGGGGCCTCCAAAGAGTGAGCAGAGTGATTTTTAAAAACTCCTAAACCTGCCGCTGGTCTGTTTATGGGGATAAGAGGGGTATGGAAGAGAAGGGTGGGGGAATTGCTTTCTCCTTGAAATCACCTGGGAAGAAAAGAGGTCATTTTTCATCTTCCAGGGCTAAACTGGGCACTTCATCTGATTTGGCCCAGCCCTAGGACATCTACTGGGGACTTGGAGATTGGGAAGGGAAGCATCAAGAGAAGGAAGAAGGGGAAACAAGAGCAGTAGGCATGAACCAGGCTGAGCTTCTCCCATTTGCCAACGGCCCCACTGCCCGACCACCATACACTGCTGATGTGAACTCACAAGGATCCCTTTGTTATTAAGGAAGACCAAAGAATTGCATTAGGGCATCATTATCTCACCCACCAGCTACCAAAACCAACGTACTCATCCATCCGTATATTCTTCAAACACAGTCCTACCCTCAGGGGGCTCGGTGGAGACTAACCCACGATGAGTTCCTTGGAGACCACATTTGTGTCTCTTTATTACCGACTACTTATCTTGCTCCTGGGACATCTAGTGAGGAGGAGGTTAAGGGCAGGACTGACTGAAACTGGTCAGGAACCGAAAGCCCCAGGCTGGAGGGAGGTTCCAGTGCCGAGCTGTGGCTTGTACCACACCCTCTCCTTTTCTTTCTTACTTTTTTTTTTTTTTTTTTTTTTTTTTTTTGAGACCAAGTCTCACTCTGTCGCCCAGGCTGGAGTGCAGTGGCGTGATCTTGGCTCACTGCAACCTCCACCTGCAGGGTTCAAGTGATTCTCCTGCCTCAGCCTCCTAAGTAGCTGGGATTACCAGCGTGCACCACCACGCCCAGCTAATTTTTGTATTTTTAGTAGAGACGGGGTTTCGCCACGTTGGCCAGGCTGGTCTCGAACTCCTGACCTCAAGTGATCCACCCGCCTCTGCCTCCCAAAGTGCTGGAATTACAGGTGTGAGCTACTGTGCCCAGCCCATACCCTCTCCTTTTCTGCTCCCCCACAAATTCTCCCCAGTTCTCCTGCAGCCCCTCCAGTGAGCAAAGTCCTCACCCGCTCAACCCAGTTTCACTTGCTAGTGGAAAGTAACGTCTCTGTGGTCACATCAAGCCACCCTGGGCATGGCTGGAAAGTGCACTCATGCGAGACTCGCCTGTTTGAAGCAGCTGCTCATGGGATACTGCTATCTATATAATGTTATGTTATCCAATGTGGTAGCCACAAACCATATGTGGCTATTTAAATCCAAATCTAAGTTACTTTAAATTAAATGGAACCAAAAATTCAGTTTGTCAGTTACACAAGCCACCTTTCAAGTGCTCAAATACGTGGCTGCTGCATCAGAGAACACAGAAATAAAACATTTCCATCGCCGCGGAGAGTTCTACTGGTGATGCTGGGATGAAGATTTTAATCTAGGCCACCACAGCTACACCACTCCCTGCCCATCACAACCGTGATCATAACTGACTTGGGCCCCCAAAGCCTATTCCACCAGCCACCTCCAGCATTTTGATGAATACATATTACACTCTTAAAAGAGCAGACTTGCCCAACCCCGGCCTACAGAGAAACCACAATCCCCATTTTTCAAAAACATCTAATTGTACAATGTATTTTAGTGCAGGGTCTGGTTGGGCAAGATAAACATCGCCTCCTGATTGTAGTTTCACAAAGGATGACTAACTTGGCCTGAATTCCTCTGGCTCCCAAGATATTTCGACAAAACCATCAAAGGATCTATTTTCTACAACTGTACACCAGAACTCGGGTAAACACTGCGAGAGTACAGCAGTAGCAAGAGAGAATTGGGAAACAGTCGCCGAGTGAAACGAGGCAATTTATCGCCCACTTCCATTCTCACTCTCTCACAAGGAACCTTTACCAGTTTGGGAGCCTGTTTTTAAGGGAGGGGGAGGGAAACGGATCTGTACGGAGTAAATCCTGTTTCGCCAGTGCCTCCTCTCATTTCATCCTCAGAGCAGTCAGATGAGGTAACCGGGTGGAGAGGAGGGAAGGGGCCCTCGGGGGGCACTCTGCCCGGGCACTGGGCTGGATGTGTTGTACACGTTAGCTCATTTCCCATTTGATCCTCACAGCAACCCCCAGACAGGGAGAGACACACGCACACACAGAGACACGGTCAGGGCAAAGTCACACAATTTGTGAGCAGGAAGCATCGCATTGAATCCCAGCCTTTGCTCCTTTTACTGCACTTGGCCTCGGCGTAGGACCAAGGCCCTCGACTGAGTGCCTCTCCCTCCTGCGGCATTCCAGCTGCATGTCCCGCCTCCTCCTCTCTGCCCTCCTTCCACACTCCCTCTTCCATATCTCCTCCACTCTTCTCCTGTCTTCCCCGTGCTGCCCTTCCCCCTCCCCCGCCCCCTCACCCACGGCCCTGCACTCCAGGCTCCCTGGGTCGGGGGTGAGGGGCACTTGCTTCTGCTGCTCGCCGCAGCCATGAGAGCACCCTTCCTTGCTGGTCGGCGAGATGACGAGCCAAGCTGTGACTCGGGCAGTCGGTCTGTTTTTGGCTTCTCTCAGCTACTTCTTTGGAAGGTTTCCACTGACTTCAGGGAGAGTTCCAGAAGAAGCAGGGGGTGTCGTAGACAGCACAGGCTTGGGGTTGGGATAAGGAGTGTCAAGAATCTTGGCCTTGCTGCCAACCACTTATGTGACCTTGACCTAATGACAAAACCTATGTGGGCACCAAGGAAGAGGTGTGAATAGACATGGGGATGAACCACTAGCACGGGACCTGCAGGTGGGTCTCAAAACCTGCCCCGGTCAGTTCAGTGTGGAGGAAGGAAGTAGATGACACCCGATTAACACCTTCTGGAAGGCAGGCATTTTTTCATCGCCATCTTATCACATTTTTACAGCGACACTACAAGAAAGTTCCTAACCTGCATTCACAGATGAGGAAATCGAGCCCCAGAAAGGCTATGTGGTCTCCAGATCACAAGGAAGCAGGCATCAGAGAGGACTCAAACCCTGGGCTCTGTCTATCCGTTGAGGGCCCTTATTCCACCCACAGCACAAAGAGCTGGCAACAGGACGCCAGTCAGCACAACAGTCCTGGCCGCACACACACACTCCCCCATCTCCACCGCTCGCAGGCAGCAACAGACCCCCACAGAAGGGGCAGGCATTGGCCAGGCACGGTGGCTCACACCTGAAGTCCCAACACTCTGGGAGGCCAAGGTGGGAGGATCTCTTGAGCCCAGGCGTTCCAAACCAGCTCGGGCAACAAAGCAAGACGCCATCTCTACAAAAGAATTAAAAATTAGCCAGGTAGAGTGGTGCATGTCTGTAGTCCCAGCTACTTGGGAGACTGCAGGAGGGTTGCTTGAGCCTAGAAGGTCAAGGCTGCAGTGAGACATGATGGTGCCACTGCACTCTAGCCTGGGTGACAGAGTGAGACCCTGTTTCAAAAAAATTCAATTTAATTTTAAAAAGAAAGGGGCAAGCATCCAGTCTCGTGACATCAGGGCATCACTTAAATGGGACTGTACTGTTAAACCAAAATGTGGCCACGAAAATACCGACACATACAGGTGTTACATACAAAGGCTAACAAAATCACTTTCCCTTTTTCTTCTTCACTCGCGCCTGCTCTGAGTTAATTCACTTTCATTCAGCCTTGCCGGCACTGGCTGCCTTCTTTGGGCAGCAACACCCTGGACAACACCATCCTGGGCCCCTCAATCCTATGATCTTCAGCTTCCCTCTGAGTTAGAGGCATTTCGGGTCTAGGAACAAGCCCTCTGGGCTTGGAGAAAACACAAGAGGTCTCATTCCTACCATCTCCATGAGAGAAATCCATACACGGAGGGGGAAAAAAAAAAAGCCCTCTTTGATGTTTGCAAAGAGAGTCATAATATCTCCCAGAGCCAACATCTAATGATTCAGAATCATTGTTTCTGGGAGGCAAAAAATAGAAAGAAATATATTCTCTTTTCATAAATTCAATAACCTGATCTTGTGAAAAGAAAATGTAAGTTTTTTCTTTTTTAAATGGCACCAGCAGGGTCCACACAGGGTTACAATCCAGGATTTTTCCTAGTGAGGAGACTCTCCGGAGGCCTCAGATTTCTGCTGTAAATGGAGTTTCCCTGATCACATTCGAGGTCAATGGACTATTTCATGCCTTTCATCTTTAAGACCTGAAATAATTTCTCCTGCCAGAACTTGGGAGTATGTTGTACTGGTCTCTTTGCAGTCACAGGATTAAAAGCGTTTTCCCCAAATCATTTTTTAACGTCCTTATTAAACATGTCATAAGGTAAAGTGGGCAAAATCACTCACACTTTTTTCCTTAATCTTTGTAATAGCATCATTGTGCTGGGGGTGGCAGGGTAGAATGATAGGCAAATTGTCTTTTCTTTTCTTCCTTTTTTTTTTTTTTAAAGAAAAACACTTACAAAAATCCAAATAAGAGTAAATAATTAGGACTGGGTGTGGCGGCTCACACCTGTAATCCTAACACTTTGGGAGGCCAATGCAGGAGGATTGTGTGAGCCCAGGATTTTGAGACCAGCCTGAGCAACATACAGACCTCATCTCTACAAAAGAGGAGGAGGAAGAAGAAGAAGGAGGAGGAGGAGGAACTAGTTCTCAGCAGGAACCAGTTCTCAGCCTGAAAGACTCATTTATATTTAAAGTTAATTTCATTTAAAGATTTCTCCAAAAAAGGGCAGTCATGCAAGATTCTCCGTGCAGACATGGAGTTTCTCAGGAGTGCTCCTGCAAACTCAAGGGTGCCTCAGCCATCAGCGCAGGTTCCGTCCCCAGCCCGTTCCCTGGTGAGCCTCAGAAAGCATGCTGGCTTGGCTCTTCACAGCCCACACACCTTGGCACGTTCCATCCTCCTGCAGAGATGCTACTCTAGGGACACATGTTGTAGAAATAGGCAATTCTCATTCATAGGATGTGCAAGCTAAAGGGGCCTTTGCATCCTCTAAAGCTGACTCCTGGGTTTTACACAAGCACTTTCTCCTAAAATCGTGGAACCATAGCATCTCAAATGCAGAAATCAATCTCCTCCTACTCACAATTTAAGAAAAAGGGAAGAAAAAGTGTATCGCCAAGACAAGGGCATGAAACATTTTCCCCGGCTCAGGGGCCAGACGTTTAGGGGACAGGAGAGCGTCCTTTGTGGCAGCGATAGCCCAGGATGGATGTCAAGGGGTCAGAGCTGGCAGGCAGTTTGTCTTGGTGGCTTCATTAGAAGCAGGTGTTGAACCACAGCTTTTCTTCAGGGGCTGTTGGCCATTTGCTTTCAAGGGACAGACTCAGCTTGCAGAACGAAAACAGCAGGCGATATAGAAAGAGTCTTTTGGAATTAGACACACCTGGCTTTGAATCCTGCTCCACTGAACTATCTGGATAACTATAGGTCTCCAAACCTCCACTTCCTTATTTATATTCACCAGGATAATTAACACTGTGTCGGTCTAGGTCTCAGCAGAAAACAGGACTCCACTGGCCTGGATCAGCTGAAGAAAGCAAGTGGGACTCCTTACAACAGGGTGGGCAGTGTTAAGGAAACCAACAAGGACTGAGGCGACTCCCTGCCTCTAACAGCAGGACAGATGGAGCCAGGGAAGGGACTAGCTGTGGGAAAACCAGAGCCATGGAGGAGGGGCTGCTGATAATCGTGGGAGGGCAGTGGCTGCACAGTCAGGCTCCAGAGCACGGGGGAGCAGAGGGAAAATGCCCCTGCCTCTCTCTTCTCCGCCCTGATCTCCTGCTAGTGCCTCTCCCTCCAGTGGTCACACCCAACCAGAAACCAATCGACAAGGGAGCCCGGCAGATGCAGCCTAAGGGATCCCATCCTGGGGCTCAGAGCTGAGCAGTGGAGGGCAGAGTGGATGAGGACAGCAGGGGTAGAGGGAGCAGATGGGCACTACCCAGCAGGGCATCATTATTTAGCCTGTTATGAGGAGAAAGATGATGTATGTAAAACACTTAGTATGTAGCTTAACACATAGTAGGATCTCAACAAATGGGAGCTATTTTATCATCCTTGGTGTCTTTAATGCAGTTATATATGCATGTTGTTCTTCACTCAGAGAGCCTGTGAAGTACTCCTTGGAGGCCTAGTGTGTGCTGTGCCCTTGTGGAGATACAAGCAGTAGTGTGGTTCCGAGATGGCCTTTGGGGAGATAAGACATGGACACAGATGCCCGTGAGACAAGGCAGAGGCCACAAAGGACCACAACTTCTAGTTCTCTTTTTTTTCCTTTTCAATACTTGTAAAAGCTCTTTCTTTTTCCAATAGGATTCCAATTAGAATACACGTTTACTGCAGAAAATGTGAAACTTGCAGAAGAACATAAAGAAGAGAATAAAAATGACCACTCTGCCCTCTCCAGAGATAAGCACTGTTAATATTTTTGTGAATTCCCCTACTTCTATGCATTCTGTTTTGCAGAGTTGGTCTCATACTAGACAGTTTCGTAGCCTGTGTTTTTTTGTTTTTGTTTTCTTTTTCACTTCTTTCATAAGCATTGAAATCATTCCAAAAATAGCTTTTAATGGCTTCATAAGAGTAAATCACATGTTTGGGACAATGAACTGAGAATCAGCAGACTAACTTCTAATTGCAGCTTCATCAGTTATTAGCCACGTGACAACGACAAGTTACTTAACTTTTTCTGAGCCTCAGCTTCTTCCTTTGCAAAATGATGTGGGAGGGAAGATAAAGTAGGCATCTTATAAAGTTGTTGTAAAGAGAAATGAGATAATTATATGAAACTATTAGCTCAATGTCTGGGACATAGTGAAGCGCTAAATAGTAGTTATCATAATTGCTGTTATTAGTTCATAGCCATCCCTCTATTACTGAATATTTCAGGTGTTTTCAGTGTATTTTTACACAAATGTTAGGACATTTTTTAACTGAAATCTCTTTCCACAATTCAACTTTTTCCTTAGAATATATAAAGCTAGTGGTCCTGGGTATAAACATGTAAAAGTTCAAGTTCTGGAGTCAGGTTGTGTGAGCCGACGCCCCAGCCATATACGACTTACTAGCTGTGTGATCCGAGAAAAGTCACTTAACTTCTCTGTCCTTCAGTTTCCTCTTCTCTAAAATGAGATAATAATCGTATCATTTGTTTGAGGGTCAAGTGAGATGACAGAAGCAAAGCACTTGGCAAAAACCAAAATAGATATTAGCCAATGTTATTATCATGCATACTGCCATTATATGCTCTTTTTTTTTTTTTTTTTTTTTTTGAGATGTAGTCTTGCTCTGTCACCCAGGCTGGAGCGCAGTGGCGCGATCTCAGCTCACTGTAAGCTCCACCTCCTGGGTTCACACCATTCTCCTGCCTCAGCCTCCCCAGCAGCTGAGACTACAGGCACCCACCACCACGCCCCGCTAATTTTTTGTATTTTTAGTAGAGAACGGGGTTTCACCGTGTTAGCCAGGATGGTCTCGATCTGTTGACCTCGTGATCCGCCCCCCTCAGCCTCCCAAAGTGCTGGGATTACAGGCGTGAGCCACCGCGCCCGGCCTCATTATATGCTTTTAATTGCATTTAGCACTGGGCTAAACACACAGTAGACTTCCAATTAATACATATCATATTAAACTGAATTGAAGATCGGTTACTATGAGTGTTCCTTGAGAACTCTGGAAGGTACCCTGACTATTCATAAGGAGGTTAACCCAAGGCCAGTCCTCCCACATCTTACCCCCTCCCCCACTTTGGAAAGAACTTTCTTTTTGTCTCAGTTTGACTTACAAGACTGTTCATTTGTTACAGAGTTTCCTTGACAAACCCCCAAATAGTGTAAGACCTCTCCAGAGGCTTCTGGGATGACAGGCTAAGTCCCTCTCTCCAGTGGTGCCACCCAAGAGTTTAGGGACCCTTCCCAGGACTTGCGCCTATAGCTCTTTTCTTTTTTTTTTTTTCTTTTTTGAGACAGACTCTTGCCCTGTCACCAGGCTGGAGTGCAGTGGTGCAATCTCAGCTCACTGCAACCTCTGCCTCCTGGGTTCAAGCAATTCTCCTACCTCAGCCTCCCGAGTAGCTGGGACTACAGGCGCCCACCACCACACCCAGCTAATTTTTGTATTTTTAGTAGAGACGGGGTTTCACCATGTTGGCCAGGATGGTCTCAATCTCTTGACCTTGTGATCCACCTGCCTCGGCTCCCAAAGTGCTGGGATTACAGGTGCAAGCCACCGTGCCCAGCCAGCTGTTTTCTTACTTCTCACCCACAGCCTCTTTTGCTGTCTTGAGGGCATCACATTGCTTTATTCCAGGCTTGGGATTTGAGCATCTATTGTATTACAGCAGGGGTCCCCAACCCCCGAGCTACAGACAGTGGGCAATTAGGATCCGGGCCTCACAGCCAGAGGTGAGCAGTGGGCGAGCAAGCATAACCGCCTGAGCTCCACCTGTCAGAGCAGTGGCAACATAAGATCCTCATAGCAGCGCAAACCCTATTGTGAACTATTATGAGAATCTAATGCCTGATGATCTGAGGTGGAACAGTTTCATCCTGAAGCTATCCCCCCTGCCCCCACACTGGTCCATGGAAAAACTGTCTTCCATGAAACCCATCCCTGATGCCCAAAATGTTGGGGACTGCTGGTGTATAGGGTACTGTAGTAGGCACCAGATACTACCTGAGCTAGCTCTTATCTAAAGCAGAAAACTCTTGGCCAATAAATCAACTCTTAGTATTTGGCTCTTGTTGTGAACATAAATAAACATTTGGTGCTTCAGAGATAACCCCTTTAGTAAACCCAAGAGATATCCCCACTCACATGAGCAAATTATATACAAAATCCAAATGGGAAGATTAGTTTATGCCAAGGATAGGATTGTGTAATCTAGAAACTTGGCAATACAGGCATACCAGGACACTGGAGCTGGCAGTACCCTCTGCTGGGCTTGCTGTATAGCTACCAACCTCCGGTAGAAATAGTACCATTTAGGAGTTAGTAGATTGATTGATGAAGAGATGAATTTCCACATGCTGGGTACAAGGGATGGATAGTCAAGTGGCTAGTTACCGTGATCTAATTTTTTGAAATTCTCCTATGACAAAGCTTGAAACTCAGGTCTTGAATCCTCAGAGGTGATTTCCATGTTGTTAGATGTTAATGTGCATTGTGATACGTCACCCCCAAGCAAACCATCAGTTCATTCATCCCACAAAAGTTTATTAAGCACCTACTGTGTGCAAGGCACTGTTAGGATTCGTGGATTAACCATTGTCTAAACAGGAAAGGCAAATACGCAGCAAGTATTCCATAAATCCCTTATCCTTTTCCCAAACCAGACACTCATCTTGCCCCAAGCCCGGACATGGCCTCAGAATCCATCTCAACAGAGGGATCCAGGCAGTTCTTATCAATCAAATGGAATTAACATGCCGTATTAAACCTGTTTGCAATCTTGGAGCTAGAACACTGTAGATGCTTAGAGAATATGGAGACAAGAGAGCTCAGGAGGTCAAGGCTGCAGTAAGCCAAGGTGGCACTGCACCCAAGCCTCAGTGACAGAGAGAGACCCTGTCTCAAAAAAAAAAAAAAAAAAAAAAACCCAAAACAAAAACAAAAGCCAATCCTGGTCTGGAAGCTGGACCCTGCATCCAACCCTGGGGAATCCACTGGGGAGAATATGGAGACAAGAGAAAGAAGTCCAAGCAGTAATCAGCCATTTTGGAATGAGGTAGGATAATTTTCAAAACAGCTCCATAGCTGTGCCACCATGCAAGCTAAGCAAACACCATCTAGGGTGAGGGAAGCTAAGAGCACAGATGCTGCTATTTGACCTTAAGCAAGTCACTTTCATCTATCTGAGCTCCAGTTTTCTTATTTATAAAATGGGGGTGATAATAACAATGCCTACATCATAGCGTTGTGATGAGTAAATGAGATGATGCAATGCATTCAACAATGCAAAAATGTATTATCATTTAACGATGCCATGTATTTAACAACGCCTGTCTAATAGTAAGCCATTTGCTTTCAGTAACTAAATGTAGACTGTATTAGGTAAAGAAGAATAAAATAAATTATCCTCTTCCAACCAACCCATCAGTAGGAGGACATTCCAGACATGTGATAAAACAGAAAGATTTTAGGCCCAAGTTCTAGAACTACAGTTATCTTATTTCCATTAGGAAATACACTTATTGAAACTCACAGAGCTTGTTTCCAGGAACTGCCCCGGAATATAAACGCTTGGTCACTAGGGCATATATTTCTTGGCTGGAGCTCTGCCCCACCCTGAAACACACCCCATCAGAGAGCAGCAATAATGTAAAATGGCAATGTGTTCTCTCTTGCCTTGTCAAATGCCTAAAAGGCATATATTCTTTGATTTACGAAAGGAGACCCTCACCAAACACATGAAATATTACAGCAGAACTTGCATCTAGAACTCAGTGAGAATGCCAGATGTCCTATACTCCTATTCTGCCATCTTTTGTTGGTGAATATTTATCATTATTACATTACAAACACAATATAAGTCCTGAATAGACATTTAGGAAATACAGAGAAGGAAAAACAAGAAGATAAACCACCATTTAGGAGCAAAAAAATGTTGTTAACATATTAATATCTATCCAAACTCTTCCCTCTGCATGTTTAAATTTTAAGAAATAAGAGATTTTTAAATTTAAAATCACTGCTTAAATTATCTCTCTCTTTCTCTCTCTGTCTCTCTCTCTAGTTTATCATTACCAGTTCAAGATCCAGTTCATCAACCAAACTGAGACACCAATACAAACAACTTTTACCATGTCACTACTCGGAACAAAAGAGAAAATGCAGAAAATTCCCATCACTCTGTGAGTAGGAGGTGTAGCCCCCTAGGGTGATGACACACTTATTTTTCTTGCAGAACATAAATGGACTCTGTAATTTTCAAGAGTCAGGCCAGCTACAACTACTTTATTCCAGACGCAAACCAAAAACTATCTGAGACACATGTCAATCAATTTAGTTTATTTTGCCAAGGTTAAAGACATTACCGTGACACAGCCTCAGGAGGTCCTGGTGACCTGTATCCAAGGTGGTCAGGCTACAGCTTGGTTTTATACATTATAGGAAGATATAAGACATCAATCAGTACTTGTAAGATGTACACTGGTTTGGTCCAGAAAGGCAGGAGAACTCAAAGTGGTTTGGGGTTGGAGGTGCAGGGGAGCTTCCAAGTCATGGGTGCATTCAAAGATTTTCTGATTGGCATTGGTTGAATGAGTTTATCTAAAGATCTAGAATCAATAGAAGAGAGTGTCGGGATTAGATAAGGGGTTGTGGAGACCAAGGTTCTTATTATGCAGAAGAAGCCTCCAGGTAGCAGGCTTCAGAGACAATTGATTGTAAATGTTTCTTATCAGACTTAAAAAGGTGCCAGACTTAGTTCATTCTCTCCCAGATCAGTGAAAAGATCTGGATAGGGAAGGGAATTCTCTACAGAATGTAGATTTTCCCACCACAAGACAGCTGTTCAGGGCCCTTTCAAAATATGTCAAAGAAATATATTTTAGGGTAAAATAGTTTAATTTCTTTCAGGGCCTGCTGTCTGTCATGTGATGCTATACTAGAGTCAGGCTGGAATTTGGTGTCTTATTGCTACAAAAAGTCTGCTTCATCAGTCTTAAAATCTGGGTTTTAATGTTAATGCTGGTCAGTTGTGCCTGAATTCCAAAGGGAGGAGAGTATAAAGAGGCGTGTCCCACCTCCCCTTCCCACCATGGCTTGAACTTTGGAATGCCCTTGGCTGAGAGGAGGGGTCCATTCAGATGGTTGGAGGGCTTAGAATTTTATTTTTAGTTTACATGGGCTTGAGCATTTAAGCACCAATCACATACAGGGCACTGTGGTAGGCGCCAGATACTACCTGAGCTAGCTCTTACCTACAGCAGAAAACTCTTGGTCCACAAGTCAACTCTTAGTGTTTGGTTCTTTTTGTGAACATAAATAAATATTTGGTGCTTCAGAAACAACCCCTTTAGTAAACACAGCCCATCCCACATGGCCATCCTGGTCAGACAGGACATCCACCCAAGCCCGAACCCTCACGTCCCTCCTCAGCCTCTCCAGCTCCCACCAACTGCTCAATGTTATGCACTGTGGGCTGAGCAGACAGGGAAGCCAGAGATGGCCCCACTAGGGCCTGCAGTGCAGAGGCAGGTGGTGAGGGGCGGAGCAGGTGTTCCCAAGAGGTCCCAAGAGCCTTTCCAGTGAGTTCATAACCCAGAAATTCAAGTGGTATCTTTTGACTTGGCACAGATTTCCAATTTCAATCAGCCTGCTCTGCCAGCCTCCCCATCTGTCCTTCACCCTGTTACCCACCTGCTCACTCTGAGGCTCCCCAGCCTCTCTGGCCTCTCAACCCTCAGCATGGACTCTCCCTGGAAAGTGACACTAGCCCCTCACCCACTCCAGAGATGATCCTGAGCTTCCCGAAAATTGCCCCCAGCTTTGGATCTCTGATCATCACACTGATTCAGTCATTCAGCAAGCATTTGTTGATGCTCTGTCCAACACCTACCTAAGGATACAGAGGACCCTAGCCTCTGGATGCTCACAACCTGGCAGGGCGGGGGGATTCCTAAACAATTCTTCACAGCATACTCGGGAAGAGCTATGCCAAGCCACACAAGGGACCCCCCCCCAACCCCACCATCCATCTGCCTCGCCCTAAATCCACTGCTGCCTCTGCACTGCCAAAAATCTCTCCCAGGGGATGGTTCTCAATAGTGGAAAGGGCATCTCGCTGCTCTGTCAACGTTGGGATATTTTAGTGTCTTGGAGATTAGTGAGTAAAGCTGATCATGATACCTCAGAGTCTGCATTTAAATCTTGCTCTAAATCGGTGCATCCTTTTTATGTGTAGTTTTTCTATTACTGTTATGCCTCACTGTTTTAACAGAGGTTTCTATTTATATGGGGGGAGGAGCATTACTTGGGAGAGAGTGCATGCTGCAGGCATACTATGTTAAACCTACAGAGAGCTGAACTGTCCAGACGCCGTTGCCAAAGCCCCACTGTCTCCACAGCGGCTTCTTCCTAGAAGCTAAGCTAGAGAAAGTTAACTAGATTTGTTATAGTGGGACTTCTCGGAGCCTTTTTGATGTGTTAACCAGAAAATAGTATAGTTTTCGCAATTTTATTATCTGGAAATCCCTTTTTTATCCTGGCACACCTACTGCTAACTCTATCAATAGTCTGTTGAACACTAGTTTGGGAAATGCAGCAAAAATCCCAAGTCATTCAGGGAAACACAACACATCCTGAATGTGTGTGACCGTCACTTTGCTGTTACGACTAAACTGATTGTGTCTGATTTTCTTTGTGTATTCAAGGGGCAAAGGAATTGCTAGTAATAAAACGTATTCCTTTCTTATCACGCTGGATGTGGATATCGGCGAGCTGATCATGATCAAGTTCAAGTGGGAAAACAGTGCAGTGTGGGCCAATGTCTGGGACACGGTCCAGACCATCATCCCATGGAGCACAGGGCCGCGCCACTCAGGCCTCGTTCTGAAGACGATCAGAGTCAAAGCAGGAGAAACCCAGCAAAGGTGACTGCTGATTCAATCTCCTATTAACGTCCATTAAGCACCCACTTGTGCCAGGCAGTCTCACAATTTAATACTCACATTCATCATGTGAGGTGAGTATTATTAGGCCCTAGTGATGGAGTACAGAAGCTCAGAAAGGTGAAGTGACTATCCCAACTTTACACAGCCACAGGTGCCAGGACAAGGATTCACACCCAGGTCTTTGAATACACACCAGGGTCTCCCCACTGCCCGTGGCTAACGCTGCCTGCCTCTGGAGCCTGAGGACCATCACACGAACCCCAGGCTTCTCAAGCTTCGGTGCAGGTGAATCACCAGGTGATGTCAGTGCTGCCAGTCCAAGGTGCTGTGGTAGATGCAACATCTTTTTTTTATTGTTTGCCCAAAGAAAATCTTTTAACAGATCACAATATCAAAAATCTCGATGTATCTCTCTCTCTCTCTCTCTCTCTGTGGTCGTATCTTTCAAATGTCAGTTGCCAAAGAATCACTGGGAAGCCAAACACATTTGCAGAATTCCTGGACCTACCCGCAGATTCATGGTGGGCTTGGGAAGGGGTCCAGGATGCCTGTTGTTGAATCAGAGCCCTAAGAAACTCCAATGTAGAACAATGGGTCACCCGAAAGAAATGCTGCTGTGTTTGATTTAACATCTCCCGTGGCCCCAAAGTCTCCAGGGATACGAAGGAGCTGGGGTGGGGAGCAAAGAAAAGGAAGGACAGGGCTGGGCGTGGTGGCTCACACCTGTAATCCCAGCACTTTGGGAGGCCTTGGCGGGCGGATCACCTGAGGTCAGGAGTTCAAGACCAGCCTGGCCGACATGGTGAAATCCCGTCTCTACAAAAATACAAAAATTAGCTGGGCGTGGTGGCGCACAATGGTAGTCCCAGCTACTCGGGGGGCTGAGGCAGAAGAATCAGTTGAACCCAGGAGGTGGAGGTTGCAGTTAGCCGAGATCGCGGCATTGCACTCCAGCCTGGATGACAGAGAGAGAGACTCCGTCTCAAAAAATAATAATAATAATAGAAAAGAAAAGGAAGGATGCTCCAGCGCTCCTGAAGTCCTCCCAGCAAAAGAAAGGGCTGCCCAGCACACCCTGCCATAGCAACCGTGCTTTTCGGTCATCCGTGGTTCTCCACGGCAGAATTCCAGGCATCCCCGGGCCCTCTCCTCTCTCTTCCCTTCTCTATTCAGGAAACGGTCTCTCCTCTCCCACCTTCACTTGTCGCGAAGGCCATGTTTCTCTTTGGCTTGTCCTCATAGAGGTGGAAAACAGCAGGTTTCTAACCTCTGAACTACCCTCTTCCGTCACCCCCTGGGTTTCACTGCCAGATGCCGGCCTGTGGCAGATGTATGCCCCTGAGTCCCTTTATACAACCGCACTCTGAGATTTTATCTCCCTGGGATGCAAAATCCTGGCAATTACTGAGAGCATACTCTGCCGTCTGCCAACAGATCTCCCAACAGGATCAATCTGGGAAGATTAAACTGCTCGCTCCTCTTCTGCACTGAGCTCTTCTCACATGACTCTTTGGCCCATTGGAGCAGCGCTGCTTCTGAGCTCTGACCCTGCCCAGATGCTCTTAGCTGGAGAGTAATTCCTCAGTTTAGGTGGCTGCTCACCCTGACAATCCCATGTGGCTTGACCTGAAAGGGTGGCTAAAGCACAACACTACCTTCTCCACTGGGGCACACCCATGTGGTACGGAAGAAGAAATGAGGAGAGGGAGGGGCCTGGCCCTTCCAGGGCTCCCACACGGGGTGAGCATTGAAGCAGGTGCTCCATGGCATTGGTCTCACGTGATCTTTGCTGTGATCCTGAAATGGGTAGTATTGGCTGTGCAGATTAGGAACCTGAGGCTCACAGAAGTTACACAGCTTGAGGACATTGCTCAAAATTGTCCCAGTCCAGATTTGACTGGGATTTGTCTGATTTATTACCCATTTGTTGGGGGTGTGCTGTTTCCAACAGTTCCTTCTTCCATTAGTTTTGGTTCCATTAATCTGAATTTTCTCAGTCTAATCTAGCAGAGTTGCAGTGCTGGACATTAACATATGTATGCATCAAACCCATCCTTAGGGCTGTAGGAGGTACTGTATGCGGGTTATGGGAGCTATAATTTTTTTTAGGTTGTAAATACCGAGTGCCTCCTCTGTGTCTACACAGTGCCAGGTACTATCGGAGAATACAAAAAAAAAAAAAAAAATCTGAGTTGTGGCTCTTGGTAGAAATAAACTCCAGGACCTAACCAGGAAAATAAGATGAATTAATTTTACTAACGGTGTGGTCCATCCCAGGGCTTCTCAAACTTTCACGAGCATACAAAGCATCTGGGAATCATGTTAAAATGCAGGTTCTGCTTTAGTGAGTCTGGGGTGAGCCTGATGTTCTGCATTTCTAACAAGCGACCAGGCAATGCTGTTGCTGCAGGTCAACAGACCACACTTTGAATAGTGAGAGTCCAGCATTACACAACCCGGGAAGTGTAAGAAGAAAGTTCAGACCCGTACACTTGGGGCTGTGCTGCAACATGCTTTGAGGAGGCCAAGAGGTGTTCCCAGGGAGACAGGCAGCCGGCAAAGCAATATGGCTGGCAGGATCGGATGGACTCCAGTGTCAGCCAGTCCTAAACTCACATTTTAACTTCACTGCTCACAATCTGTGTAGCCTCAAACAATAACTTCACTCTTCAAGACTCAGTTGTTTAGTGATAAACGAGAATCATAATATACATTTCATGAGACTAATAACAACTACTAATTTTTTAGTGCCTTTTGCAGACCAAAATCCCAGAATCGGGATGGGAACATTAAACTCTACACTCGTAATATCGCTGCTAAGTGCAAGTGGGAAAAGAAGTAGGTTAAGTAACTTGCTCTGTGCCTCCATGGAAGAAATTCAGTGGAAGGTGGTTTTCTTCCCCCAAAGGCACAAAATCAGGGATGAGTAGGGTTGTGGAGATGGTGAAGAGAAAGAGAAGAAATTATTGGCCCTACAGCAAGACCAAGTATAATAACTGGCTAAACCTAATGAGAAGACATTCAATTTCCACAGTACTCATATAAATGCAAAATAAAATCAAAGAAATTATCACTGGTTACTCATTAGTTTGGCAGGAATTCAAAAACGGACAACACCCAGAGTTAGTAAAGATGTGGAGAAACGGGCATTCTCATACACTATTAGTGAGAGTGTAAATTACAGGCATTTTGTAGGGGAATTTCATTCAACAACTAACGTTTAGTGAGTACCTACCTTATGCCAGACAATGTTGTGGACACCAGATGTATAATAGTGAACAGACAGGCTGGGCTAAAATACAAAAAAATTAGCCGGGCGTGGTGGCGCATGCCTATAATCCCAGCTACTCGGGAGGCTGAGGCAAAGGAATCGCTTGAACCCAGGAGGCAGAGGTTGCGGTGAGCTGAGATCACACCACTGCACTCCAGCCTGGCGACAGAGCGAGACTCCGTCTCAAAAAAAATAAAAAATATATATATATATATGTATATATGTGTGTGTGTGTATATATATATGTATATGTGTGTGTGTGTGTGTATATATATATACATATATATATACATATATATGTATATGTGTATATATATATATATGTATATGTATATATATATATGTATATGTATATATATATATAGTGAACAGACAGAGTCCTTGGTCTCATGAAGTTTACATTATCACATGTTTAAATATGCATACTACTTTGAGCCAGAATTTTATTTCTAGGTGTCTTATCATCTTTCTGGAGTATCTGTGCACATAATCAAAATATGCACAAAGGCTATATATGAATACATATGTACAGAATGTTTGTTGCAGTACTATTAAATAAATACTATACATAATAAGTAAATAGTAAACTCTTGAGAAAATCTTAATGTCTAACAGTAGGAAAATGCATTGTGGTTCATCCTTAAAATGGAATGTCATGAAGCAGGTGAAAAATAGTGAAATAGACTTCTACCTACTGATATGAGCAAGTCTCTGAGTACCATTTTCTGGTAACAGGAAAAATTGCAGGAAAACATACACAACATGATGCCACTCAATATATGTAAATGCATAGGAACAAGTCTGGAAATGCATAAACCAAATCATAAATGTAGAGAGGGGAGTGATGTTAGTGAAGGCCGATGGTGAAGAGGTTCTTTATTATTTGGCTTCATTTATTCCTTTACCATTTGAATTTTCAAGAATGCATTCACAAATTACTCATAGCATTTTTAAATTTTAAAAGTCCAGTTTAGTGAAGACTTGACCTTAGACGCAATTCAAAGAAAAAAGAAGTAATAAACTAGAATTTTTCTACAGATATATCTATAGATATATATTTAACAGATGCAATTGGAAATAATAACACAAAATGGTATCTCGGGCCAAGCCAACAGCCAAAGCAGTCTAGTTGTTGTTTCCAAAACACATAGTAGTGTCCTCTTTAGTGGACAATGTCAGCTCCAATATGAGGAAGGGGCAGGGCTTACAGGGCTGAGCCAGGCAGAAACCGATGACACTGGCCTCATGCCAAGGACCTTTAAGAACAGCATTTACAAACTGGAGCTTGTCCAAGGAGGGAAGGCTGAGGAGGTAAGCTTGCCTTAGGAGGAAGGGTTGAGGAACTAGAAATGTTTGCCCTGAAGTCAAGGCAAATGTGGTCAAGGAAACAATAGTCACCCTCAAATCTTCGATGAGCTGTCATAGGGGAGAACAAAGGAGGGCTGCCCCAGGACTTTCCTTCTTACAGAACTGAAATCACCCCAGTGTAGAACTCCAGGAAGTCTTACACTGATGGCTTTCACTGACTTGGGTTTTGTTTTTCTCTGAAGTTACAAAAATATTTGCGAACATAAGAATCTAACTTAAAAAAAGACATCACATGCCTTACACAAATTGAGTGAAATTTGATAAAGAATGAAACACTTCAATAAGCTCCACCTAAAACTTAATGCTGTGTTTGCTTCCTGTTTTCTATTCAGAATGACATTTTGTTCAGAAAACACAGATGACCTACTACTTCGCCCAACCCAGGAAAAAATCTTCGTGAAATGTGAAATAAAGTCTAAAACATCAAAGCGAAAGATCAGATGAGATTTAATGAAGACCCAGTGTAAAGAATAAATGAATCTTACTCCTTATCTGGAATGGCTGCCTTATTTAGAAGCCAAAATTACATAAAGAATCTCACACAAAGCTTAAATAAAGTTTAGATTTAAGGGGGGTATGTTTCACTCTCATAAACTGAGCTTTTAAAAACGATATGATATAACTATTTTCCAGTATCAGTACAACCAAAAATGTCCCAATTTTATCTCTGGTTAAATGTTAATATATGCAAATAAGTACAAATGCAAGAGCCATTTTAGATCTGTTGTTCTAATTTACAATGTCTTTTATAATTAAGTTTCCCACATGTCCTTGCTAGTTTATTATGACCCATTTTTGAACCATGCTAGAAAGATACTTTTTTATTAGGTAACTAGTGCTTCAATAAAGCAAGATTCTAATTAATCACCACTAGTTGTGTATACCAAATACACATCCTTTAAGACAATACAGTTCTTAAAAGAAGAAAAATTATAATTATTCTAATATTTATACAAATCATATAACGATTTCACAGAACCAAACACTTACAAGTAGAATTCTACTAAAACTACTTGTGATAACAGTGAAAGCTAGACATGTGGTCATTTTAATAATGGAATTACAAATTAAATAAACATAATTATTATATCTTACTAATGCTTGCAACAAAAGCTAATTTTAAAAACTTGGAATGTCTCAAAGCATTTGCTATGGACTGAATGTTTGAGTCACCCCAAAATTCATATGCTGAAATCTAATCCCCAATGTGATGGTGTTTGGAGGTGGGGCCTTTGGGAGGTGATCAGGTCATGAGGGTGGAGCCCTCATAAGTGGGATTAGTGCCCTTATAGGGGATAAAGGATCAGAACTCTCTGCCATGTGCGGATATGAGAAGGCAACTATATGCAAACCAGGAAGTTGACCCTCACCTGGAAGTAGACTACCAGATCTGCTGGCACCTTTATCTTGGACTTCTCAGCTTCCAGAACTGTGAGAAATAAATGTTTCTTGTTTAAGCCATCCAGACTATGGTAATTTGCTATAGAAGCCTGAACTAACTGAGAGAGTTAGATGTCAAATTTCAAACTGTCCAATAAGTGAAATAATAATGTTTTGACCAGCAAATTCCATCACAAAGCACATGGTGACAATGGACGCTAAATATGGTAATCAGTTAGATATGTGTTTTACATAATTCAGAGAGGAGGAACATGTTATGCACATTAAACAAGCTAACCTAACTTGCACTTAGGCTCAGCTATATACAGACCATAATTCATATTCTCTTCACCAAAGCGGGGTAAACTGGGGCTCATGAAAACAAAAATCCTGGAAAGATGTCTGCCTCTGACTAATCAATTTAAAATTATCTTGCATGATTCACTTTTATTTCCCTTTGAAAGACCTAGAAATCTAAAACTTATGGGGTGGTGGGATAGGAAGAACAGCTGGTCAATGTTTCCAAATGAAGCATTCTGTCCTGAATGCTAATCTTACCTGCAAAAGTATTTGACCCTACTTTTAGGGAATGTGTGTGAGTGTGTGTCTAAAATTGATAGATAATAAAATGAACATTTCCCATTATGTCTAGAATACTAAGGTTTACAATAAAATGTTTGCATTGGATTGCCAGGTTTTATCATTAACGATCCAGAAGGAATTTAGAATATCACTTTTGAAAAACAACAGGGAAACACTCTTTGCTGTATATGCAACAGAGTCCATGCATATGTATTCCAGGAGACATGTATGTGAGCCTTGAAATCATCGCAGCCAGAAACAGCCCAAATGTCTGCCAGTACGATGCAGAAATGAACTGGGTTATAGTCTTGCTAATGGACTGTCGTACAACCGTAAGAAAGATAAGCCAAAGCTACACACACAAAAGAACAGAGCTGGGGCCAGCGTGAGGCAGCGAGGCATCTAGGGAGCAACATTTAAGGAAGCACTCATGCATTTTTCGTTTGCACAAAGACACAAAAAAAGGTATAGTATGATACAAACAATGGATAAACACCTGTAATCCCAGCACTTTGGGAGGCTGAGGCAGGCTGATCAATTGAGGTCAGGAGTTCGAGACCAGCCTGGCCAACATGGTGAAACCCGGTCTCTACTAAAAATACAAAAATTAGCTGGGCATGGTGGCGCATGCCTGTAATCCCAGCTACTTGGGAGGCTGAGGCACAAGAATCCCTTGAACCCGGGAGGCAGAGGTTGCAGTGATCTGAGATCGCGACACTGCACTCCAGCCTGGGCAATAGGGTGAGACTCCGTCTCAAAAAAAAAAAAAAAAAAACCAAAAGGAAACAAAACAATAAAATCATTATCACAAAAGGAAACAAAACAATAAAATCATTATCACAAAAGTGAGGCTGTGATAATCCCAGGAAAGAGGAAGGGCACCCTGGAGTTCCAGGTGCCAGCAATAGTCTACTTCTTACTCCAGGTGGTGGGTACACACACGTTCACTGATTTAACCGTTCTATATACATCTACATTTCACGCACTTTTTAGTATGAATGTCACCTTTCACAATGTGAAAATTAAAAAGGGAAAATAAAGGGCAGAGTTAAACAAACATGTTTCTACTATAGTGTGATATGTTTCAAAAGTAATATAGTTTCACAAGCAATATAATTAGAAATTATTTCATCTTTAGTAAGAAAACTTGAAGTGCCACAATACATGGTAACATTTTGGGCAGAGAATTCAACAAGCATCCAACGTGACAAGTGGTTAACTGGAACATTTGAAACTCCTCTTGGCATGTCCAAATCTGGTTGCCAATTCTGTTGTCGGTGGATTATTTTCACTTGGAGGGATGTGTTCATCGACATCACATTTTCTTAAGTATATTCGAGTAGGGAAGTCAAATTGGGAAACTGAATAATGCAGTCACATCTGTTCGTTGCACATGCAAAATGCTGGCTCGTGAACTGATTATACACACCTCTCTCCAAAGAATCTGCATTTATGAGCCCACTCAGGAAAGATAACACTAGCATCTTGCCTTTTAGGCAAAAGCTTATTTGTGCTTCTCTTGTAAGAGAGCACTGGGAAAGAAATGGAATGTCGATTACACTGCAGCTGGGCTCTTTGAGGTGAGTAAGTCAGAGAGAGAAGGAAACAAGCACTCCATTCAACATTAAAATGAACGCACTCTGCTGCATCGCAAAGCTCCCTGTCCTCAATGTTCACCTTGAGTCATGTCGGCCGCAAATACTGCAAAAGCTTGGATTGCAATACACGTCTGTGGGGCAGCAAGGCAAGGGGTAAAGCTGCCCAGTGCTGTGCTTGCCCTCCCACAGAGGCTGGACCAAAGTAAAGTCAGAGGGATGGGAAATAGACAAGCAAGATGAAGACTAAAGAAAGTCAGTCCCAAAAGGGACCATTTACATGGTCCCATAATACATACTTCTATTTGAATCCCAATGATCCGTACATGATTAATGGCTCCCGACACATCTCATTCCTTCCCTTCTCTTATCCCTTCCTCCTTTTCTTTTCTCCCCTGGAATTGCTCTGCCTAACTTAGTCCTATTTATCTACCCAGGCCCAGTTATTTTCACCAGTTGCCTCCTAGCCTGGCCAGGCCACAGAGATCTTTCTCTCTTCTGAGCGCCTGGCAATCACATAAGTGACGCTCTCCGCCATCCACTTGGCCTTTAGTTATTTGTGCCCCGCTGATTCCCCTCCAACCTCCCAGCCTCCCTGCTGCTCCCTGCCCTCCATTCAACCATTCCAGGGGAGCCCAGACCTCCTTCCCTACTCGCACGTTTCTCTCTTTATAGGCAATCTCACCCACTCCTATGGCTTTATTTATGATCAACCACATAGGCCAACCATTCTCAGTGTAGAGCTCCAGCCTGGGCCTTCTCTCCAGACCCGTATTCCCATATATTATGCAATTGTCCATTCCACAGTTCCCGCTGTGTCATCTCTCCCTGCATCCAAAAATGAATGCATGATGTTTCTTGCCCCTGGAACCTGCTCATCCCCATTCTCTCTGTTGTTTATCTCCTTGAAGGTCATTACCACCCACCCAGTTGCTGGTGGTGGACTCTGGGGAGTCATCCATTATGTGTCCTCCCCTTTGGCCCCTCACAATCCAATGATCACCATATTCCATGAATTCTACTCTTATTTCTTAAGCGTGTCTATGTCTCCCCACCTCTACTGCCATCAACCCAGCCCAAGCCGAACTATCGCTTACCCAGACATTTGCAACAACTTTCCAACTCATCCCTCAGACACCCTCCTCCCTCTCAATCCCTTCCCCTCACAGCGACCAGAGTGATCTTAAAAAAAAAAAAAAAAAAAAAAGGTTATATCATTTTCCTGCATAAAGCCCTCCCAATGACCTCCCACGTTTTTTGGAAAAAGTCCAAAATAATTACCCTGGCCTTCAAGGCTCCCAGTCAAGCCCCTACTTTTCTCCCCAGTCTTGCCTCCCATTACTCTCTGTCTGTCACTCACTAGGCCATTGTCCAGCTCCACCCACGGAGTGTCCGCCCAGCCTGCATTTTATTTTTAATTTTTATTTATTTATATATTTATTGGAGACAAAGTCTCACTCTGTCACCCAGGCTGGAATGCAGTGGTGCAATCACAGTCATTGCAGCCTTGACCTCCTGGGGCTCAAACAATTCTCCCAGCTCATCCTTCCGAGTACCTGGGACTACAAGTGCACACTGCCACATCCATCTAATTCCTAAATGTTTTGTAGAGACAGGGGTCTCACTATGTTGCCCAGGTTTAGCGTGCACTTTAGAAATGCCTGAGGAGCTTTAAAAACTAGCCCTGCCTCAGCCCCACACCTAGAGATTTTTTACTTAATTGGACTAGGGCAGGGCCCGGAGATTAAGACTGTTGAAAGCTCCCCAGGTGATCCTAATATGCACTAAGTTTGAAACCCAGAGGTCTAGACAACACCAGCCACCTCAGTTCCTTCAAAAGCGCAAAGCTCTCTCCTTGGCCCCTTCTGTTGCTTACACTCCCACCTCTCCTCCATTGCATGCTTGCAGCTCCAAGTTAGGTGTTACTGCTTGGGAGATCATTTAACAATTATCTCATCCTACCCGAGCTTCAAGCAGCTCACCCTGCCATCCATAGTCAATGTTTTTTTATTCTCCTGGTGAAATGATTTGTGGCCATGCCATGCAGAGCCACATTGGAGCCTGAGGCAAAAGGAAAAATCAGTAATAGTGAACCTGTGTTTATTTATATATTTATTTTTTAGATGGGTCTCACTCTGCTACCCAGACTGGAGTACAGTAACATGATCACAGCCCATTGCAGCCTCAACCTCCTGAGCTCGAGGGATCCTCCCACCTTAGCCTCCCAAGTAGCTAGGACTACAGGTGCATGCCACCAAGCCCAGATAATTTTTATATTTTCTATAAAGACAAGGGTTGCCCAGGCTAGTCTTGAACTCCTGGGTTCAAGCAATCCACCCTCCTTACCTTCCCAAAGTGCTGGGATTACAGGAGTGAGCCACTGCACCCAGCCTGATCTTGCTGTCACCTAGGCTGGAGTGCAGTGGCCAAATCAGAGCTCACTGCAGCCTCAACCTCCTGGACACAAGCAATCTTCCGGCCTCAGCCTTCCAAGTCACTGGGATTAGATGTGAGCCACCATGACAGCAAAATGTTTATATTTTATGTATCATAGATTTTTGCATTCATTTCCATTAGAAAAATTTTTGCATTAAAAATTTTCTTGATAACTGAGTTTTTGGAGCCCCCTTACATTTTTGCACTCAAGGCAAGTGCTTCACTAGCTTTACCCTAGCCGTAGGCCTGATCTTTGAAATGGTTTCTTTACTGCCTTTCTCCCCCACTGGCCTTGAAGCTTGGTGAAGTCAGGGAGAGGCTCTCATTGTTCACTGCATTATTCCCAGTGCTCAGCCTATCACCTGGTACAGAGTTGGCATCCTGTAAATGCTTGCTGAGTTAATAAGTGACAGGTATCTCTTCTTATCTGTATTTTTTTCCTCTTGATTAAATCAGAAGCTTCAGCTACCACACCTGTCCAAGATAGAGTTCACTGCTTCCTCATTCAGCTTAGAAACAAAGCCAGGTTGGCGAGGCGGTTGACTTCCTCCCTCCCTCATCTCTTGGCCCTGCCGGCCTCCTCTTACGTTAGCTCAGTTTCTGCCTCAATCAGTTCATCAAAATCCCTTTGGGTTCCTTGACTACATTTTTACTTTTGAAACACGTCTATCACAAAAAGAATTTTCCAGTGTCTTGGAGCTATCTTCCTGTCAAATAAGATAGAATTAGAGAATAACTGTAAGGGTCATCTACAACATCCCTCTCAACCCATTCTGTGCACAGGCACCTTGTTCACTGGCATTTCTGTCACCGTAGGTCTGGGGCACATCCTGACAGCAGGCATTCCTAACAAGCTCTCAGGCGATGCCATTGCGGCTGGTTCCCAGGCCACGCTGAGCAGCGTGAATGTAGACCAGTGTTTCCCAACTTTCCCCAATGATATGAATCACCTGGGCACTAAAAAATAAAGCTTCCCAGACTCCTCCCCTGGAGATTCGAATTCAGCGGGTCAAGGACAGATCCTAAAGATTTTTCTTTTCAACAAGTACCCGGGCTAATTCATCTCTTCAGAAAACTGGGGCAACACTGACGGAGTCCAACACCTTCCTCTCAAGAGAATATCACAGGTGTGGCCCAGCACCGCCAGGGAAAGAGCTTCCCCTACCTTGCCGTACCTTCTCCCCTCGCTTTCTTCCCTGGAAGCCATAGAGAGCAAATCAAACACATCAGCTATCTGAAGACAGTCTGCAGGAGACTGTGAGCCCCTTGAGGGCAGAAGTTGTAATGTATTTTTAGGTTTTGTTATGTGGTTATTTTAGGTTTCTCATTTTAAAGATATTTTATAAGAGTATAAAAGCAGTGCAACAATGCAAAGATATGTAAAGAGAAAGCTGGTCATCCGTCTCCCCGCACCCACCTTCTTCCCCACCCCAGCGACCCGAAGTGAAGATTGGTAACAGCCTGGCAACGTTATTCCTTCGAACATAGACAAGCATTTATCCACACTCAAGGCTTTTGTTTGCTTGTTGTTTTCACCAAAGTGGAACCATCGTATATATATTACTCTACAACTTGCTCAACTTGCTTGCTTTTTGTTTCTGTTTTTGCTTCTTTTTTTTTTTTTTTTTTTTTTTTTTTGTCTTAGTGACTTATTCGTATCCTTACATGCTAAAAGATATGGATCTTTTTTCTAATTTCCTTTTTTTTTTTTTTTTTTTTTTTTGAGAGAAATCTCGCTCTTATCCCCCAGGTTTGAGTGCAATGGCTCGATCTCGGCTCACTGCAACCTCCGCCTCCTGGGTTCAAACGATTCTCCTGCCTCTGCCTCCCAAGTAGCTGGGATTAAGTCGCCTGCTACCACACCAGGCTAATTTTTGTATTTTTTAGTAGAGATGGGGTTTCACCATGTTGGCCAGGCTGGTTTCAAACTCCTGACCGCAAGTGATGCGCCCACCTCAGCCTCCCAAAGTGCTGGGATTACAGGCGTGAGCCACTGCTCCCAGCCCTTTTTTCTAATTTCTGTATGCCTATTATACAATATTTTTTTATAAATAGAAGTATACATGCTGGAGGGGTTAGTGCAATCTTTTTCCTCCTCTTGTTACTTGGGTCAATGCCCTCTCCCCTGACCCATGTTCATAACCAGGAGTGTAATTCTGAAGTTTTTCTATAGTCATATATACTACCATATACAGACATCCCCAAAGAGAAGGGACTTGTTACTGTTTCACAAACATGTAATTATACATTCTTTTCAGCAAATTGATTTCCTTACTCAACAATATGAGCTGAAATATTTCTGGGTCAATTGGTACAGATCTTATTATTTTTTAATTTTTTTCTTAATTTTTTAGAACTCCAGTCTGTTGTCCAGACTGGAGATCAGTGGCCCTATCACAGCTCCCTGCAACCTCAAACTCCTGGCCTCAAACAAAATGCTTGGATTACAGGTGTGAGCCACAGTACCCAGCCTCACTACTTTTGATGATTGCATAATATTCCCCATTGTAGACAGAACCTTAATTTATTGTCAGTCTCATACTGATGTGCCTTCACTTTTCTCCAGCTTTTTGCCTTTCTGAAAAGTGCTGCATTTAACATCCTTATACATGTATTCTCATATACCTATTTGTGGGAAATATTTCTAGTAGTATAATTTTTTTTTTTTTTTTTTGAGACAGAGTCTCGCTCTGTCACCAGGCTGGAGTGCAGTGGTACAATCTTGGCTCACTGCAACTTCCACCTCCCAGGTTGAAGTGATTCTCCTGCCTCAGCCTCCCGATTAGCTGGGACTACAGACGCATGCCACCATGCTTGGCTAATTTTTTCTATTTTTAGTAGAGACGGGGTTTCACCATATTAGCCAGGATGGTCTCCATCTCCTAACCTCGTGATCCACCCACCTCGGCCTCCCAAAGTGCTGGGATTACAGGCGTAAGCCACCGCCACCGTGCCCGGCCCTTTTTTTTTTTTTTTTTTTTTTTTTTTTTTTTTTTTTTTTGAGATGGAGTCTCGCTCTTTTGCCCAGGCTGAAGTGAAGTGGCGTGATCTCGGCTCACTGCAACCTCCACCTCGCGGGTTCAAGCGATTCTCCTGCCTTAGCCTCCCGAGTAGCTGGGACTACAGGCACCGCCACCGTACCCGGCTAATTTTTTTTTGTATTTTTATATTTTTAGTAGAGACGGAGTTTCACCATGTTAGTCAGGCTGGTCTCGAACTCCTGACCTCAGGTGATCCGCCCGCCTCGGCCTCCCAAAGTGCTGGGATAGTAGTAGAATTTTTTAAGTCAAATGATATATATTTTTAAATTGAATAGATGTTGCCACATTGCTTTCCTAAAACATTATCACAATTTGCACTTCCACCAGCAGTGTATGAACACCTATTTCCCACTCCCTACTTCTTTCCAAGGCAGAAATATTTATTGCTCATTTTAGTTTTTGCTAGTCTGCTGGGTGCAAGTTGTGACTTCATTGTGACTTTACATTTCCCTGCCTACTGCTGAGATTGAGAATCTTTGCATATGTTTATTGAATTTGCTTTACTGTGAATTAATTGTTCAAATCCCATTTTCTTTTAGAACGCTTCTGTTTCTTGCCAGTTTGTAAGAACTACATATTTTATGACATATAGTAACCTTTTATTGTTCAGCTTCTTTGCAAATAACTTTCTAAGTTAATTTCTCTATTGATTTTAGCTACGGGTTATTTTATTTTATTTTATTTTATTTTATTATTTTATTGAAACAGAGTCTTGCTCCATCTCCCAGGCTGGAGTGCAGTGGCATGATCTCAGCTCACTGCAACCTACCTCGCGGGTTCAAGGTTATTCTCCTGCCTCAGCCTCCCGAGTAGCTGGGATTACAGGCATGCACCACCACCTCTGGCTAATTTTTGTATTTTTGGTGGAGACGGGGTTTCACCATGTTGCCCAGGCTGGTCTCAAATTCCTGGCCTTTAGTGAGCCGCCCACCTCGGCCACCCAAAGTGCTGGGATTACAGGCAAGAGCCACCCCACCCAGCCTTGATTTTAGTTATAGTATTCTTTGCTGTACAGTAGTTTAATTTCCTTTAGGTCAAAAAAAATCTAACATTTCTATTATATGGAATTTCTGACTTGAAGTCACCATTGAAATGCAAATTGTTGAAAATAAATATTTTCTTCTGAGATTTTTGGTTTTGTTCCTTAAAAGCCTTAATCCATCTGAGATTTATTTTTGTATATAGTGTGAGATAGAATGACAACTTAATTTTCTTCTATATGGATACAAGTGGAGCCAACGTTATTTATTAAACTTTTTCATGCTGAATTGAGATCCCACTTGTATCATAAATTTAAAGTACATGTGAACTATTTCTTAATCCTCTGTTTTGCCGCATTGATCTCTTTATTTCTATTTCTCATTATTTCTATTGTAATCACACTTAATTGATTGCAAGCATCTAGTCTTTCATACAGACTTTACAGTAATTTCCCAAAAATCTCTATTTCCCAAAAATCAAATATTCTAATTGGGTGGCACATGAAATATAGAAATTAGTACAAATGCCAGGTGCAGTGGCTCACACTTGTAATCCCAGCACTTTGGGAGGCCGAGGCGAGTGGATCACGAGGTCAGGAGATCGAGACCATCCTGGCCAACATGGAGAAACCCCATCTCTACTAAAAATACAAAAAATTAGCCAGGTGTGGTGGCGGGCGCCTGTAGTTCCAGCTACTCGGGAGGCTGAGGCAGGAGAATGATGTAAACCCGGAAGGTGGAGCTTGCACTGAGCGGAGATTGCACCCCTGCACTCCAGCCTGGGCGACAGAGCGAGACTCTGTCTCAAAAAAAAAAAAAAGAAATTAGTAAAAAAAGAACCAACTTTTTTATTATGTCATCCAGAGGGACATTGTATGTTTTTCATTTGTTTGGGTCTTGTTTCATATCCTTCAATAAAAGTTCATGTTTTTTTTTTTTTCCTAAGTATTTTAATTTTTTGTCACGAGTGTGATGGAACCCTTCATTCCATTCCATTTCTATCTCATAGGGCTTATTACTAGTATAAAGAACAGCTTTTGGTTGTTTATTCTATATTTGTCCACCTTATCCAATTAATGATATTAATTCTATTTGTTCTTTTTTATACTAGAATTTTACGTTGTACAACCACTTCGTCACCAACAACCACAGTTTATATTGTTTATTTCATTTTTTTTCACCTTTCTGGCAACCCAAGTTGACCTCAAGTGATCCACCTGCCTCGGCCTCCCAAAGTGCTGGGATTACAGCCATGAGCCACTATGCTGGGCCTCTTCCTTCTTTATTCATAGATTACAATATGTTGATAGACTTCCTGATATTGAGCCACATTGCATTTTTTTTTTTTTTTTTTGAGACAGAGTCTTGCCTGTTGCCCAGGCTGGAGTGCAGTGGCACGATCTCTGTTCACTGAAACCTCTGCCTCCCAGGTTCAAGTGATTCTCCTACCTCAGCCACCCAAGTAGCTGGGACTACAGGCACCCACCACCACGCCCGGCTAATTTTTGTATTTTTAGTAGAGACAGGGTTTCACCATGTTGGCCAGGATGGTCTCGATCTCTCGACCTCGTGATCCTCCCACCTTGGCCTCTCAAAGTGCTCGGATTATAGGTGTGAGCCACCGCGCCCGGCCCGTGTTTGCATTCGTGGAGTAAACCTTCCTTGCTTACCATGTATTTTTTTTTTTTTTTCATAACTTTGCTGGACTTTCCTTGATTTTATTTAGAATTTTGCCTTTATTTTCATAAGTGAAATTTTTGTTTTTGTTTTTGTTTTTGGAGAGTCCTGCTCTGTCACCCAGGCTGCAGTGCGGTGGCACAATCTTAGCTCATTGCAACCTCCACCTCCTGGGTTCAAGCGATTCTTGTGCCTCAGCCTCTTGAGTAGCTGGGATTACAGGCACCAGCCACAAGGCCCAGCTAATTTTTGTATTTTTAGTAGGGATGGGGTTTTGCCATGTTGGCCATGCTGGTATCAAACTCCTGGCCTCAAGTGATCCGCCCCACAAAGTGCTGATTACAGGCGTGAGCCACCTCGCCCGGCCTCATACATGAAATTGATCCACGCCTTTTTTAGGGGGTCTATCATTTCATGCTTTTGATATTCTACAGCTTTTATCTATGGCCTTGAATAGTTTAGATAATATTGTGATGATCTTTTTTTAAAAAATCTTTTTAAAACTCAGCTGTGAAACCATCTGGTCCTTGTGCTTTTGCATGTAATATTCTTAGATTTTCAGCTTGTACTTGCCTTTTGCATATAACATTTATTAAAATTATTTTTGTGAAATATCTTCAAGCAAGAGAGGCACAAAGTTATATAAGAGCATAATAATGAGTAAATGAAGACATAACCTTAAAGCACAGACAAAAAATCCAAAAGTAAACTCTGAAATTCTAATAATTCTTCCTAGGGTAGTTGAATCAATGGACGCATTTATCACAGAAAACAAGATAAACTACAGAAATGCTACATAGTGTTCTATCCAACATTAAATCTAGACATAATCCACAAAAGGGAAAAAACTGAAAAGCTAAATAGTTAACTGTCAAGAGAAACTATGTTGGACAATGATAATATTCCTCCTAATTTCTAGTAATATTCTCCTTAAGAGCATACTTAAATGGTATCCGTTTAGAAAGCACATTTAGAATAACTTTAAGTTTGTTCAATTCTTGGGTAATTGGTAGGTTCATTCCCTGACTGGTTGATGATCACAAAATAGCCCACGTTTGTCTGTTTTCTACCTTATACCCTGACATTCATTTTCTTTTTTCTTGGAGTCTAGCTCTGTCGCCCAGGCTGGATTGCAATGGCGTGATCTCGGCTCACTGCAACCTCTGCCTCCTAGGTTCAAGCAGTTCTCCTGCCTCAGCCTCCCCAGTAGCTGGGACTGCAAGTGCGCACCACCATGCCTGGCTAATTTTTGTATTTTCTTTTTTTTTTCTTTTTTCTTTTCTTTTTTTTTTTTTTTGAGACAGAGTTTCTCTCTTGTTGCCCAGGCTGGAGTGCGATGGCGCAATCTCGGCTCACTGAAACCTCCGCCTCCCGGGTTCAAGTGATTCTCCTGCCTCAGCCTCCAGAGTAGCTGGGATTACAGGCATGTGCCACCACGCACAGCTCATTTTGTATTTTTAGTAGAGATGGAGTTTCTCCATGTTGGTCAGGCTGGTCTCAAACTCCCGACCTCAGGTGATCCACCCACCTCGGCCTCCCAAAGTGCTAGGATTACAGGCGTGAGCCACTGCACCTGGCCTAATTTTTGTATTTTCAGTAGAGACCGAGTTTTGCCATGTTGCCCAGGCTGGTCTCAAACTCCTGATCTCAAATGATCCTCCCACTTCAGCCTCCCAAAGTATTGGGATTACAGGCATGAGCCACTGCACCCGGCCAACCCTGACATTCTAAATGAAATAAGATGTACAGATAGTCTTATTACTATTTATGTTTTTCATTAATGACATACAATGACATGTGTGGGCCCATAAAATAGGCTAATTGATTTAGGAATATAAAACAAGGTAAGAGATCTAATGCACTTTTTAAAAAATGAGTTGCTAAAAACAAACATTTAGTGGGTAACAGTAAGTTGTTTTTGTAAGACCTCTTTTGGCTCCACTATCTTCTAGGCTGGGATAAAAGTAGTAAAATTCAAAGACCACAGTAAGTATAAATTACATCTAGGTTACTATGAGTTTTGTTAATTTAAAAAAAAAAGAAGAGGAGGGAGAGAAGGAAGAGGAAAAGGAAGGAAGGAAGAAGAAAGAAGGGGAAGAGGAAGAAAGGAGGAGGAGGAGGAGGAAGAGGAGGGAGAAGAGGAAGAAAAAAAAGAAGAAAATTCTTTTTTTCTCCCCAGGAGGGAAGCTTTTACTTTTATAGTCAGCCAGAACTAGGGTGAGAGAAGCAAGGCACATAGGTCACACAATTCAAGGAAGCGATACTGTACAAGTGCCAGCTGCTCCCTTAACCCATGTGTGAAATCGGGTGCTTCCTACGGAGTGGGGTGCCTGGGTGCCAGGGCTGGCACTTGCACAACCTTATTTTCTTAAATTTTGTGCCCTAGGCACCTCACTTGCCTCTCTGTAGTTCCAGTTCTGTTTATATTAATTCCTTCTTCATATTTTCTTTTGCTTTATTTTATTCTTTCCATGGAACTTGTTCCATAGAAAAGCAACTAGTACTTTTATTTTTAGTCATTGTTCTTTAATGATAATAGTATGTAAGGCTGTAATATACAGATTTTAATATAAAGCCTTCTTTTCACTGTAGTTTTTTAGTATTAGCTTTATATTGCTCTTTGCTCCAAAGATTACCCAGGAAGTATTCTTCAATTTATAAATAGGCTATTCTGATCACTTTTAAATTATTTATTTCTAGTTTTATTGAATGTGGCTACAAAAATCTCTCATTTCTGTATTTGCTAAGCCTTTCTTTGTGATCAAGTACATAGTCAATTTTTATAACATTCTGTTGGATATGTGAAAAAATTCTATGTTTTACTTGAGAAATTTAAGATCATATATCTATTAAACTAAGTGTGTTGACTGTATTATTCTTCTATAGCCTTTTTTTGTATATTAGATGTGATTCTTAAAAGTGTTTTAAAATCTCTATTTTGATCAAATTATATTTGTATTTACATTGTTTGGTACACATAAGTTTACTAATGTTAATTCTGCCTCACAAAATGTGCCTTACATTGTTAGATAACATTCCTCCTTTAGTGCCCCCAATCTTTAATTCCTCCTTGTCTGACAATTAATTTTGCTAATCCTATTTTCTTTTTCACAATATTTTCTTGATATCTTTGTTCATTTCTTTATTTTCAACTTTTCTTTATACTTTGTTTCTTTAAAAATTTTAGATATTTTTCTTCTAGATAAAGTATAGCTGGCTTATTTATATTTTTAACTCAATCTAAGTGTCTCTGACTTCTAATAAGAAAATCTATTCCATTTACATTTAGTGAAATGATTGGACTCTTACTATCTTATTTATTGCCTTACTTTACTAATTATTTTCTCCTTTTATGTACTCTTATTTTTGCAGATTGATCAAATTGATAGTTCCCCTTTCCATCTTGTTGATACAACTTTTCTTGTAGATTTTCATTCTACTTCCAGCTAGTTTCCCTTTCCTGTTGCTCATAATCAGATACATATTTCTTTACCATTATATAAAACCAGACACATACTTCTCCCACCAAATACTGTTTGTCCACTGCTTCCACTCCCCATTCCAAACTTTAGAATACTTTCACTTCCCCTACCAGTTGCACAGCTACTACCCAGATGAGAACTTTGGAACATTTCCCTCCTTCCCACCCACCTCCGATGCCCAGATTTGCTGAGATTCACTTATTATTTTTAGCACCAGACTGTTTTTAGAAGAGTCGTCAAGGCAGATGGTGATGTGATCAACTCAGGAAAAGAATAGACTTTTACAGAGTGGAGGACCCAGTAACATTCACAATCCGAGGGATGAGCTTCTGTGGGCTTTAGTGTCCAGGAGCTGGTAATACATTTTGACTTGGGTGATGATCCCCTTTACTATTATTCTAAGATTTTATATTCTGATCCTTCCCAACTCTACTGGAGACTTTGACAGTTTATTTTATCACCAAGCAAAAGGAACTGATAACATATTCTTGGATACTTTTTTAAGAGCGGACTGAAGATACTGGAGAGCCAAGCTGCAGGTCTGCCTAGGTTGATTTCCGTATAGTCCTTTTCCCTCCGTGGTTGGCAGTTTTCCATATTGTCACTTCCAGTGTTGTAAGTAAGCAGTCCATTGCCAGGATGACTCTTTCTTCTTTAGGAGTAACTTGTTCTTCCCTGTAGAGACTTTTAAGATTGTTCTCTACTCTTGTAGCTCAGAGATACAATATGCCTAGAAGCGTGTCTTCTGATCATCATTCCTTCCTGGAACTCTCTTTTATGTTGTTGTTTTTATTTTTCAGAGGCAGGATCTCACTTTGTTATCCAGGCTGGTCTCAAACTCCTGGCCTCAAGCTATCCTCCCATTTTTGCCTCCCCCACATGCTGGGATTATAGGCATGACCCACCACGCCCAGCTCCTAGAACTCTGAGAGGCCAGTCTCTCTCTTCATCTCAGAAACCTTTTAAATATTTTCGCTCACATCTCTCTTCTGTTACATCCTTCACCTCCGTTCTGGATTTTTACTATCTCCTTGTAATCTTGCTCTGTGCTTTCAGATGTCTTTCTCTGACACTAATTCAGACATCAACAGTGACCACTTTCTCCTTCGATTTATCTCTTGAAAGCTCTGGTTCAAAATCATCCTTTTTTGGTTCCAGAGAATCAGTTTTATTGTGCTGCACTTATGTCTCCTTTTCTTATTCTTTGGTTCAAGTTATCTATGTCAGCAGCTATTTCTGTACTGAGGGTTCTGCTTGTAATTCTCCCTGGCTACTGGACTCCATTAGGAATCTTCTTTTCCTTTGTTTGATCACTGGGGCTCTGTTCCAGATACTGAGGTACCTTAAGAGACAGCATTCGCAGCCTGATAGAAGGAACAGCAGTATCAGCCTCCCAGGCTCAAGCTTAGCAGCATGTGGGTTGCCAGTCCTCTGGCAAGGGACTTGAAGGAAGCCTCTCTGCCCCCTTTCTAGTCTCCTCACCTCTCTCAGACACCTTCATAGCAGTGAAGGCAACTCAACCCATCTGGTCAGCTCTTCAAGAAGCAGGGAGACCCACACATTCACGAGGACCTTGCCCCGGATCCCCTCCTTAGGCTTATGATATGGTTCCCAGGCAGGAAGACAATCTTGCCCCAGCTCTCTGACAGGATTCTGCTGTGGCCCGAAGCCTCATTCACATCCCAGGCCTTATCTTCCCCCGGCAAGCCCCAGCAGCTGCTTTTCTCAGGAGAGGCAAATGGGTTAAACTGCAAGTAGAAAAAAGTTCAAGCTGCTATCATTCCAGAACCCCCAGTTCCTCATGTCTCGGAACTTCTTGATGTCTTTATTTTTGCATTCTAAAGTGCTTAATAAACATCACTGAATACATGCTACCACCCCTACCTCAAATCCTGTCTGGTGCAGGTTCAATCAATCATGATGCCTTTGGAAGCTAACTCAAACTGGCTTAAATAAAGAGGGTTTTTTGTTTGGTTGGTTTTGTTTTGTTTTTAAATCTCACACAAAAGGAAGTTCCAAGGTAGAGTGGGGCCTCAGGAAGAGCTGACTGGGCTGCTTGGTAATGTTATGAAGATGCAGTGTTTTTCCTTCTCTCTGCTCCACCATCCTTGATGTTGGCTTCATCCTCAGGCTGTTACCAAGTTGCCCACTGCAACTGCAGGCAGCTCACTCAGGCATGGTAACATCCAGAGAAGGAACAGTAGACATCATGCGGGAGACAGCCCTCTTATCTCACTGGCCAAAATTAGGTGACATGACCATTCCTAAACTTGGCAAGGGTAATGAGATTAACCACAGACCAAGGACCCTAACCACATGTCTGTTAGAGGAGAAGATACTTAAAATCAGGGGACACCTGCTCGCAAGCTAAATGTTCCAGTTCAGTAAGCAGTTTTTCACATGAAAACCAGAACAGTTGACATTCGAGTGTTCACCATATGCAAGGTGCCTTACATACATTCTCCTTTAATCCACATCATAGTCCCCTGAGGTGGCTAAAACTATTATCCCTGTTTCACAGATGAGGTACCTACAGCTTAGCTTTTACAAGGTCACACGGCTAATGGACCATCATTTCCCTCTTTATAGATTCTGTGTCCATGAATGCAGCCTACCATTGCAGTCAGCAACAGAAAATGTCCTTTACATATTAACTCCCTTGGACCCCATGTGAGAGCTATAATTAGGTATTGTACTTTAAGACACTGTCTTTTCATGTTATGGAGCTTGGTAACCAGCTATAAGTGCAAATCATTCATGGCAGACCACTAGCTGTGCCCTCCCTGCTGCCGCTGAGACTGTGCAGAGGCATGTGGCTATGCTGTGGAGTTTCACCTTTGATTATACAACATGCCCAGGAATCCTTTTTATAAAACAAGCCTTAAGATCTTAATATGGGGCCGGGCACAGTGTCTCACGCCTGTAATCCCAGCACTTTGGAAGGCCCAGGCAGGTGGATCACAAGGTCAGGAGTTCAAGACCAGCCTGGCCAAGATAGTGAAACCCCCGTCTCTACTAAAAATACAAAAATTAGCCGGGCATGGTGGTGCAGGCCTGTAGTCCCAGCTACTTGGGAGGCTGAGGCAGGAAAATCGGTTGAACCCAGGAGGTGAAGGTTGCAGTGAGCTGAGATCACACCACTGCACTCCAGCTTGGACAAAAGAGTGAGACTTTGTCTCAAAAAAAAAAAAAAAAAAAAAAATCTTAATATGGAACAGCCAAGCCTTACATATGAAACACTCGACTTACACATTTATTTTGTAGATTTCCCTAGGAACTAACATTTATCTAGGAAATCAAGTAAGTATTTTCTACTCCCTTCTACATATGAAACTCTTTGCATTGGTGGCTCTGCAGTGAGTGTGTGTGTGTGTGTGTGTGTGTGTGTGTGTGTATCAGTGGTTTTCCCATTATAAAACATTTGAGGCAGAAGGTATCTGAAGTTCTATTCAACCCTTCTTCTGTCCTCCCACCCTTAAGATAACCACGTTAACTGTGTAGTGTATTTCTATAGACTCTTTTGCAGCGCATTTTTTATTTAAAGTTTTTATTATGGAAATATTCAAATACACATAAAAGTAGAGAAGAATACAATGAAACCCAACATGCCCATCACCCAACTTCAACAATCAACATTGGCAATGCATTGTAACATAGTTGACATCCTAATATATTTAGTGATTTTAAAAATTATTTATTACGAAAAGAATCCGGTTCATTAAAAATTCAAGCAGTGCAGAAGAGTGAAGTAAAAAATAAAAATCTTCTTACTCTCCCAAGGCCCTTAATCCCAGTGCTCAGAAATAACTTAACAGCTTTTAATGTATCAATCTAGAGATTTTCTCTGAATAAATTATACATTTTTACAAATGTAAAAAATTTTCACACAAGAAATCAGACCATACATATATATTAATACTTGCTTCTTCCACTTAGTACTTCTTGGACTTCTTTAGAAGCAAATACCTGCAGGTAGCCTGCATTCTTCAATGGTTGCAGAGTGTTTCACTGGAAAGCAAACTTAACCCAGGAACGAAGGGAGGGCGACAGCTAGTTGGCTTGTAAGTAGACTCTATCTCAAAAGCCAGAGGCTTACAAAGTGGATTGTGTACACAGTAGGGAGTGCAAAATGCCTACTGGAATGTGGGAAGAAATATGATCTCCGTTCATTTTTCTCTTATCCCTCAAAATTGTGGCATACTTTAAAACATCATCATAGTGCAGTAACACAGTCATATTATTTATACATATTTCCATATTAGGAGTGTGTACTCAAGATTTTTAAGTGTAAGATACAAGATCAAAAAACTTGGAGACAAGCTGGATGCGATGGTTCATGCCCTTTGGGAGGCCAAGGTGGGAGGATCACTTGAGGCCAGGAGTTTGAGATCAGCCTGGGCAAAACAGCAAGACACCCGTTTCTACAAATTTTTTTAATTTTAGCTGGGCGTGGTGGCATGTGCCTGTAATCCCAACTGTGGGAGGTTTGCTTGAGCCCAGAGGGTGTAGGCTCCAGTGGGCTATGATGGTGCCACTGCACTCCAGCCTGGTCTACAGAAAACCTATTTCAAAAAAAAAAAAAAAAAGTTGGAGACCACTGTGCAAAGCAATTCTGATGAGTGCCACAGAGAGCAGAGTTGCTTGTAAGGGTGAGGGAGTAGGCTAACCAGCCTGTCCTGAGAACCTCTGCAACCCCATTGTCAGTGCCAAGTGTCATAACAGATGTGGAAGTCCCAGCCCAGTGAGAATTCCTTAGGTAAGGAGAACCTGTCCCCAGCAGGGCACACTACAGTACCAGCTATCCAAGAAGTAACACCCAGCGTGTTCTGCAGAACTCAAGACTCTTTAGGGGAGAAAACAGCAGAAGAGTTTACTAGTTTGGGAGCACTGCATATTATAAGATGCTTTTACAGATCACAATCAGTGCTAGCATACTAGAGGCTCTCAGAAATACCTCATTTTTTAAAAAATCAATCAACAGAACAAAATAAAAACCCGTGTAACTCTGCATTTCCATTTGACCCTGGAATTTATACCTCCTGTTTTTTCCTGAATATTTGTCTAAAAACCTGTTATTAAAAAAAAAAAAAAAATACTAGATTTCTGTGAAAAAACAGAAAATGTTAATCTGGAAGTTTACTGCAGGAAAATACCTTCAAAACGTTTAACTTCCACCTTTCACTATGAAATAGCCAAATAAACATTACATCAATGATTTAGCTAAAGAAAACATTCATCCACAAACACAAATCTAGAGTCTCCCATTTTATTTCTAATTTGAGCTTTCTGAATACATTTCTTCTCCTATCAGGAGTTGTTACTTACATGCCCCAAAGCTAAGTTATGCCTTTCCCATTTTTGCAAAACATGGTCGGTATGTTTCATATTCTATAAATACAGTGCATATTAGATTTTGAAAGAAAATTTATCTCCAGGTATGACGGAAGGAGGTTGTGCTGCCACAGGATTTAGAATGAGATATGTTAAAAGTTAAAAATACAGCTGTTGGTAATGTGTTGTAATGAAACTAACTTTTGTGCCTATCTTGTGAAATCAGCTTCATTGCCTATTTACAAAGCACACAACAAAACAAATGTTTATTGAACACCTACTATAGCCAAGCTCAAGGAAATGGAGATTAATAAAGCCCAGTCCTGCAGAGGAATCGAGGGAAAGGGCAATCCAGGGAATAGGAAAAGCACATCCAGAGTCATGAAAATAGCAAAGAACATGACGACAGTCAACTGCCCCATGGTTACATCATTTCTAAAAGCTTGTGACAGCAGCTTGGACTAGTTAGAGCAAACTTTTACCGAAACTCCAAAACTCAGGTCCAGCTTTTCTCCTCTGGGAAGTCATCTTGGCTCTTCCCACTACCTACCTACCATGCTCGATATGCACTTCCTCTGAGCTACCAGGGCATCCTGTGTTTGTAGAGTTTCCAACACAAACCCCTCTGTACTGTAACTGCTGGTTTCTTTCCTTCCGCTAGACCCTCAGCTCCCTGAAGGCACAGACTGCAGTCCTTTGGGGGCTGTGAAAAATTGCAGCAGGTTGATAAGTGAATGGGAGCTGAAGTAGCCACTGAGTGTAAATGATTCTCTCGAAAGTTTGGCTTAGATGAGGCAGGATTATATTGTAATATGGTGTGTGCTATGAGAGAAAGATGTATAAAATTCCAGGGCACAGCAGGTCACATGGACACCTCATTCATCCTGGTAGGAGGCTAGGTGTCTTAATCCTAAATTTATGATAGTCATGATACAGACGCCCAGGTCTGAAAAGCGAAGCGCCTTTCACAACTCCCAGATTGTTGGGCCAATATCCTAAGGAGAATAACCAAGTATGACACCTGCCAAAGTACAAGCCAGCTCTTCAGCAAATGAATGCAATGCAAAGCAAAAAATGAAAAAACATTTAAAAAAATAAAGGAATCTGAATGACTAGGCTGACATACCTTTCCCCAAAGAAAAATCAGCTATCAGTGCCCAGTATATAACCAATCGACATTATTAAAAATTCTATGTAATCTATTTAAACTCTCTTCATCCATCATATTTTGACTCAAGCATCACTTTCATAAGGAATTCTCTGACCTTCCTGATGTCCCACCCTCCTTTCTCAGTCCTATCTCTGCATTATCAGCTGTGACAACGTCCCACCCTCCTTTCTCAGTCCTATCTCTGCATGATCAGCTCTTGGATCACCAAAAACCTCCTCCTCAGCATGTATCACAGCTGGAATTGTACATTTATTCACATGATTATCTGATATCTATCTCACCTACAAGACCATACGCTTCACCAGGGCAGGGAAACTGTTAAGTTCACTACTGTATTCTTATCATCTAGCCAAGGCCCTGGCACAATCAAGTGCCTAAGAAGTATCTGTGAGTAAGGTAACTGGTCAATGCATATCAGCAAATGCATACCATAAAAGCCAAAGAATTTCAAACATGCTCTGATATGTTTCAAGGAGGAGGAAAGGAGGAGAAAGAGGAAAATGGTTAACAGGTCACTTCACTTAATTACAGATGCTACTAGCAGATACTTAAGAAAAATGAAAACTAACCACAATCACAAAACTAAATAATGAAGAATATATTGACACCTTAATTTATAAAAACCGGCCTGTTGTATTTAGAAACACAAAGGCTAACTCCCATACCCAAAGGGCAAGGGAAGAAAACGATAATAAAATATTCATTTAAAATAAAGAATAAAATTGCTTAATGTGTTCAGTATAACCACATAGCCTTCATTTTTCCAAAATGATTTTTCTAAAATTCATGCAAATGGAACCACTTTTTATATAAGACAACCTACACTCTTATCAAATTATTCTCATTTTTTTACACTGAGAACAAACAACTACAGAATATCTTTTTAAAGATCTATTTCCACCTCCAGGGAACATGATCATTTAAACAAGAGAGGGCAGAAGAATCTAGTTTATTGTAGTGAGCTACTTAACATTTACTCCAACGTGGGACACACAGGCTTAATGTGGATAAGCTGACCATACTCCTTGACATGTTTAACAGAGAACAAATATTTTACTTAAGTAGTTAGCTAAGCCCTTCAACAGTGAGAGAGAGAGAGAGAGACAGAGCAAACAGGGACCCAATGGCCTGCTTGCTAAGATTGCTGGATGACTGATAGCTTCAAGAGTTCACCCTAGCAGTTGAAATCAATTAATTATTCATTGTAACTGGAGCAGAATATAATTATGTTAGCTTGACTGGTTCAAGTTTAATTCCACTAAAACAATCATTATGAAAATCATTATGAATACAGGTCATTATCATGAATTACTGCTAAAATAAAAACAGTAATGAATCAGCTTCTATAGGAATTTGATTCACATTTAAAACACTTTTTTTTTTTCTTTGAGATGGAGTCTCACTATTTTGCCCAGGCTGGTCTCTAACTCCTGAGCTCAAGTGATCCTCCCACCTTGGCCTCCCAAAGTGTTGGGATTACAGGTATGAGCCATCACAACTGGCCACATTTTAAAACTTCTATGAAAAATTTCAAATATAAACACAGGTAGAGAAAATAGTATAATAAATCCCCAAGTGCCCATCACCCAGCTTCAATAATTATCAACTCACAGCCAATCTTGTTTCAACTATATCCACACACACCAGCCAACTTCAATCCTTATTTTTAAGCAAAAACTTATACATCGTATCATTTCATTTTTTAAGTGTTTCAATTTGCATCTCTAAAAGGGGTCCTTTAAAAAATGTAACAATACCATTATCACACCTAAAAATAATTAAAAACCTTAATATCAAATATCCACTTTTCACATTTTTCCAATGGTCTCAACAGTTTGTTCAAATCAGTATCCAAATAAGTCCATAAATTGTCTTGATAGATGTAGCTCTTAAGTCTCCTTTAACCCATCGTTGTCTTTTCTCTTTGCATTTCTGTTGTTGAAGCAGGACCATATGTCTTGTAGTTTTCCAGAGTCTGGATTTTGCTGATTGAGTCCCTTGTATATTATTTGTCCCTCTGTCCCCTGTATTTCTAATGAAGGGGTAGTTAGATCAGGAGGCTTCATCATGATGAGATGTGACTTTTGGCAGAACTGCTTCATAGGTGGTATATGTACTTCCATTAGGAGGCACAAAATCTGATTGCTCTCACTTTGTGAGGTTAGCAGTCACTGGCGATTATTGTCTAGATCCATAAATTGTTGGGGGGGTAAAATGGTGATATCCTAATTCTATCATTTCTCTTATTACCTGGAATTTCTTTAAAAGCGTATCCCAAAGGTAACTATAATTCTGTCCACTACCATCATTAACTCACAGAGTTAAATACAATACTATGAGTTTCAATCTCTTGCAGATATTATCCTTGCTGATGCTAAAGTTATCTCAGCCTTGGCCAGTGGTAACTTCTAAGGTGCCTCCTGAATCTTTCTGATCTGGTACAAAACAATGTTTCCTAGGTTCTTCTTGTACATTTCTTTCTTACAGGTGGAATTAGTGATTTATCCAAAGGAGTCTGGTTCCCTTGAAGAAAAATGGTACTTAAGAGACCACAATTAGGGCACTCAATTTGACTTGCATTTGAATTATGTCTAAAGCTAATCAACTGAATTAAGCATGAGTCTTCTATTATTGTTTCTAATACATTCATGTGGCTGCATATATGTGGATTTCTAAGGATGGGACTCTGATTTAATATATATATATATATATATTAAATCGTGGTAGTATAACTTGGTACATCTATCTGGGAGACAGTACCATAATTTTTATCAATGTCCCTCAAAAAACCTTTACCCCAACAATTCCACTTTTAGGAATTAATTTCATTATTAGGCTGAGGATTTTCCTAAGAATTGTTTAAAATTCTTTAGAATTGTTTAAAATAATAAACAATGTGGAACCTACATGTCCAAACAATGGGAAATTGGTTAAGAAAAAAAAAAACATACATCCACAGAAATATTTAGAGTAGTTAATGTGATATACATTATCAATGTACCATTAAATGAGAAAGGTGGGTTACAAAAGTGTGCATATTATGTTTTTGTCACACACATAGAAAAAAAGTAACAAAGGCCAGGTACTCAAATTTTTTTTTTTTTTTTTTTTTTTTTTTTTTTTTTTTTTTTTTTTTTTTGAGACAGAGTCTCGCTCTGTCACCCAGGCTGGAGTGCAATGGCGCAATCGCGGCTCACTGCAGCCTCTGCCTCCTGGGTTCAAGCAAATCTCCTGCCTCTGCCTCCCGGGTTCAAGCAAATCTCCTGCCTCTGCCTCCCGAGTAGCTGGGATTACAAGCATGTGCCACCACGCCCAGCTGTATTTTTAGTAGAGACGGGGTTTCACCATGTTGGCCAGGGTGGTCTCGAACTCCTGACCTCAAGTGATCCACCCGCCTTGGCCTCCCAAAGTGCTGGGATTACAGGTGTGAGCCACCGCACCCAGCCCTGCCAGGTACCCAAATCTTACCAGTGCAAACTACACCATTCTGTTGTGTTCCCACTGCTGGTTTAGGATTTGACTTCCCTGGGTCTGCCCAATCAATAGTACTCCTTCATCTGCTTCCAGATTTCGTTCTTGTTCAATTCACCTTGTCCTTGTTGGATTACCCCACACCCTATCACTTTAGTGTAGATTTCAGGAAAAAGCAAAAACTAATCAGTATTTTGCTCAATGCTCCGTTTTACCTAGCATCCTGTTGCTTTTTATAGAAGAGATGCTCTGAAGAACTTACCAATTATAAAATACATGAATTTCTACTGAAAATAGTACATACATGTATATATCTAAGACACACAAACAATATAGTAATATAAAACAGAAGGGCTAAATTTCTATCCTAATCATATAAAGAGTTGAATACAGAAACAATAGTGAAAAAACTAAACTGGTAATAAACGGAAAAGTATATCAAATGGAAGTTGTTTTTAATCAAGAACACAACATGAGAGATGCTGAAACTGAAGTTGTCCTCTGTGGGGCAAACCAATTGTCTTTCTAGTTTCTAAGAAGTTGAAAGTGGTTTTGGGGAAACTAAAATTTCTTACAACTTTAGTGACTTCTCTAAAGATGAACTGTCCCTGGCAGCTGCTTTAAAACTACATCTGGCTTGCACCCTGGTTTTGGGAAACCTTGACCCTTTAAATATGGATAATGAATATCTCTTCTTGTACTCCTCCAGGTGAACTGTCCAGGTTTGTAATGCTTGACACTCTGATACCTTCAATTAGAAATACTTAATAAGAAATGCCTTCTCATGCACAAGCCCCGAAATTTCATAGTTGCCAAGGACACCAATCCCATCTTTAAGAAATAATAATAATTAGGTCTTACTACAGGGACAAATACAAGGACTGAGGGTCGAGTAGTTTGCTCCGCTTGGACAAATCAGATTTCACTATCCTAAGACTGTGACAAACACGAAGTACCCAAAGCATAAAGTGTTGAAGACACCTCACAAAACAAGACTGATCAGAGAAAGTTGTCATTTCCTTAAATAAATGCTTCCCCAAACTGCATGACATTGCTTGACACTACAGGGAATGCTAAATCCAGAAGCAGTCAATAAATTTATTTTATTTCTGATTTTGTTTGTGAATTGGTACCTGAATTTATAAAACTGGGGAGGGAGGGATGGAGGGAGAGAGGACGGACTGTAAACAGAATTTAAGCATTCAATTACAAGTAAAAATAACTAATTTATAATTACCCAAATCAATCAATATTGAGAGTTTCATAAATAACTAAACATAATATACATTTGATGCTCCTAAATTAACAAAGTAATTCACAAAGTATTACATATTTACTCATTTAACAAGTATTACTTATAGCTAACCTTGACTAAAAAAAGAATTTGAAGCAGATTACCTCATGCAGGGAATTATTCTGGGCTTACAATTCCTTTTCTAGGTAACACTGAAATGTCAATTCTCTCCTTATTTGCTATGAAGAGAAAAATGATGGCTCAAAATTTTAAACAAACTTATCATTAAACTAGGCTTTTTAAAATAAATGAGGTACTTAGCATTCAAAACTTTGAAAAACACATAAAAACAAGACCATAAGTTTTCAAAATGACTCACCTCTTCCACCAAGACAAGCACTGAATATTGATTAGAAACAATGTAATGCAGTTGAGATTAGTTGGGTGTTTTAAAAAGGTTTATTGTGTGTACGCAGAGTATCTAACTGGAAATTTTCTACATGGATTCCAAAGTATTAAGAATAAAGATAATCTATACTTTTGTAGGAAGAGACAACTGTAAGAAAACACTGCCTTGTGGGAAGCTTCTTGTGATAGTTCTCAGAGTTCAAAGAGTATAGAACCTTCAAGTTGATTTAATCGTCTATTTATTAATGCATTTCAAGTTTCAAAAAACCTTACATCTTTGCACAATACTTTATTTTTTGCAATTTTTAGTAAAAATTTCCAAAGTGAACAAAAAAAGATACTGTATAAAACACAGTGGACATTAAAACTGACAGTAGTATTAGATCTCATTTGTCTTGATCCTTTTATATTACCACATCTTGATTCGCAGTGGAAAGAGTTCAGTGCATGTATCTCTTTTCAGAAAACATTTAACTTAGACTCAAAATAAAATAGGGCAGTGTGTGTACCTGCCAAAATCCTACCACAGGATAACATTACAAGCAAAAAATTTACATGTTCCAAAGTCTACCACACTCAAGAAGTTACTAAGAACTCTTGCAGAATAAAAGTCACCATTTTAGAAATGCAAACCCACTTCCAACCTTTGCACAGTCCAAAAACAAAGGCATTTAAATGATTTAAAAGCAATTACATACATATCTACCTACTTGTTTGTTTAGAATTATTTATAGTCTATCTGGGGTTTCATGTACAAAATTTGTCTCTAAATCATGTACAAAAAGCTGTATTTTGAAAAAGTCACCACATACTGTACAAGTTTACAAGGAAGAGATCCCGTTATTTTCTCTAGCATTTTTGGCCTTGCTGGCTTGCGTCACATTATGAGAATGATTGTGTAAACCTTATACTCTTAAAAAAAAAAAGGAAAAAAAAAAACCCAAAACATAGAAATCTTTACAACTTTCTCTAAATTTGCCTCCTATGTGAAGTCAGGAAAATCATAGCTTTACTTCTAGTTGAAGTGATGTAGTTGGAAAACAGAAGCAATAAATATGTCACAAGCTTCAATTTTTGTAATGCCCCTTCTATTTCCTGCATAGCAATAAGCCTGTTAATACATTAAATGTTTTTGCTTTCTCTTTAAAATGCCAATTATTTACATCTGTTTCAAAAATAAATTTGGAATGGGACATTGTGCTGTTTCACCTTCAATGCTGTTAAAAATTTTAGGAAAAAAAATGTCAGAAGGCCTATCTACAATTTTAACTACTACTTAAGCAAATTACTCATCTTTAGTGGTTACCAATGATCAGTGATGATATGCTGAAAAAACCGTTTAAATATTTTGATAAAGACACAGCTTTTCTTTTCCATATCAGACAGAAAACATAATTAGCATATTTCAGATATATGAAAAACACAAATAAGTAGGCTACAAATAAAAAGAATCATTTCATTGACATAATTTCTATCAAAGCATGAATAAAATTTCACCTATTAATTGAAAAATGGAATTGAATTAGAAAGTTTAAAAGACGTAAGCAGAAACCAGACATCTACATCATGAACTCTGAAGTAGTATGTGCTGCTATGTCCAGTTTGCACAACACTTAACTGTGTTCTTCAGTATAGTCACTTGTGCCCGTAGCAGCCATGTGATAAAGAAAAAATGAGTATCAAAACCAACTCCATCGTAACAGAAAGGTAAATTGATTTTCATTTCAAAACTGCCTGTGTAAAGCATTACAGAATCCTGGACCACTGAATACCACCATTCTCTGTTATCCTGAGTATGTCAATTAAACAGTAATTTTTAATTAAGAGCGGAAAAATTTTATAATACAAAGAAACATCCATATTGCAATTTCTGTTTACAATTGCACACAGAAGTACAGTGTACGTAAGAAATACATGTCTGCATATAACAAGGTATGTACATTGGCAAGTGATGTCTCCAATGTTGAGGTGGTCGAGCCTCCTAGCCTTGATTGGCAGTTGAAAAAAATATATTTATTTCAATTTGTGGTAAAAGTTTATTGAGAGCCAAGTTTGCCTGCAAGTGAAGAAAATGCAGCAACGAAGAACAGGGAACACGGGGCACATAATAATATTCTAAGACTTTGTGCCATTAAGTTAAAAATATCTGTTCATAAGAAAATTGGGTTCCTTTTCCACCTCCCACCCCCAAATTGGAATTTTCAGGCTTTAAAATTTAAGTAATTCCACCTGGTCTGAGGATATGATCTCTTGCCATTTTTTCTTCAACTGTTACTTGTGAGGGTTTAGTTTGGAGATGATGACTTAATAGGTTTCTCTTTGGAGTGAAGTTTTCCCATTGTAGGCACTAGGAAGAACCAAGGCAAAAGCTGCAGTTAGCGTCTCATGTGTCCCATTTGATAACTCTCTCGGGGCCGCTGACGCTGGGGTTGCTGAATGGGCTGTGGAGGTCTCCTCCTCTTTAAAGTGCCTGTGAGCCACAAATAAAAGCAAAGCAGATTTATTTATCATGAGCTTTTTAATCTTTAAAAGCAAAGCTGCTGTTTCAATAAGAAAGGTTTTAGTTCAGTGCTGTCCAATAATATGGGCCATCAATGTAATTTAAAATCTTCTGATAGCCACAATAAAAAAGGTTTAAAAGGTGAAATAATTTTAATAATATTTTTTATTTTATTTAAATTAATATAGCCAAAGTGTTATCATTTCAATATATAATCAATACAAAAATTACTAACAAAATATTTCTTTTTTTATACTAAATCTTCAAAGTCTGGTATGTATGTTAATTAAAACAGCACATTTCAATGGAAACTAGCAACAATTCAGTGCTCAGCAGCCACAAGTATTAGATTAATCCAGATTAATATCACAGATTCTGGACAGAATCCATATGAGGGAATTACTAAGTGTCTTTGAGCAAATGCCTTAACCTGAGACTCAGATGCCTACACTGTAAAACAAGGATGATAATTAACGTATATAGCCTGTTGTAAAGATTATATAATTCATATAAAAATGTTTAACACTTTTTGTGAGGGTTCAATAAATGACAGCTAGTTTTCTAAGTTTTTAAAGGTGCTATTCACTTAAAATGAAACCAACATACACATAAAATGTTTCACTGAATAAGACCACAATTGGTAACAGCATCTAAAAAGTGTCATGTGGCCCTTAGAACTTCCTTAAATACTAACATAAGTTCCAGAGTGCTAACTAACATTGTGAACTTAAGAAAAGCAATGATATAAAAATCAAATTTCCTCTAACTCTCACTAAGATACTGTCCTAGCATGACTACTGGGCCATCTTGCCCCAGACAGGTAAATGCAGGTGAACAACTGAGGGAAAACAGAGAAAAAGTGTAAGAAACCTAGTTTTGAACTACTTTGTATAAGGTAGTGGATTTGCCTGAGGCAAGACATCTTATGAGAAGTCTGAGAGCGGCAGGAGAGGGAACTGCTGTCATTTAGTTCTGGCTCTCCCCTGCTGCTGCCCTGAGACAATGTCTGTCCTCACACCTGTAGAGAATAGCTACGAATACCTTGGAGAAGGGGAGGGATAAACAGAGGGAACTAAACAATACGAAGGGTTTATTTCCTGTCCTTTTCTCCTTCCAATGCCCACAGCTCATCTAAAGAGGGTTCTTCCTCATGCTATGTCTCCCTGAGAGGTAAAAGGTGGAGACCAGAACTAAAGAGTTGTTTTCAGGAATGGAGAATACTTGACTGTGCTTATTTGATGAATGAATCCTCTACTCTAAGACTTTCCCACAGACTGGGATCTGTATGTCCCCACAAGCATCACCCTGGGGGAAAATAAGCTTATGTGCCAGAAAATATTTCAAGAGCACAAACACTAAAAACGATAAGAGAGCTGGGTGCAGTGCACGCGCCTATAGTCCCAGCTACTTAGGAGGCTAAAGTGGGGAGGATTGCTTGAGCTCAGGAGTAAGTCCAGCCTGGGCAACACAGTGAGAGAAAGAAAAAAGAAAAAGAAGGAAGGGAGGGCGGGAGGGAGGGAAGATGGAAGGGAAGGAAGGAGGAATGAAGGACAACAATATGAGAAGCACAACTATTAGAATAGAAAGATCAACAATTTTAAAGTAGTTCACCATAATCATGGCAAGGGAATATGTTAGAATATATTTAAAAAAAAAAAAACAAGAAAACAAATACCAAGCAAAATTTAAAATTTCTAGTTCTAAATATTTTCAGACACTCAGATAAATTAGCATTAACTTAGCAGTCACTGGCCAGATTGGATTGACAAAAAGCACACAAATATCAACTAAATCATTCATCCAATAATCCCATTCTTACGGAGAAAGTACTGTAACATTAGTTACTACAGACTCATTTATAATTCAATTCTACCTGCTAAACAATTCTGAGTTACATAAATATGTATCTTGCTCAAATATTCTTACCTGGAAGTGGTTTAGGAGGAGGCAACTTTGGATTACTACTTGGAGTATGAACACTGCATATCTTAATAAATCCAGCCATTAGCATGATCAGAGCAATTCCCATAAGTAATACTGCCCACCAATGAGCCTAGAAATAAACAGATTTTTCCACTGAAAAAAAAAAAACTACAAAATATTTTAGAGTATCTTTTACAGTATATAAAACATAGAATAGAACACAGTATATTGTAATTTTTAAAGAACATTTGTTTAGGAGTTGTATACATATGTTAGATATTTGCACATATATATTATTTAAATATAAAAAAAAGTTTAAAGGAGAAAATGGAAATCACCCATAATTTCATCTCATAGAGGAAACCGCTCAATCTGATTTTTTTTAGTCTCTTTACATATAACAACATTTGTCATACACATGAACACAAATACAAAACTGGGGTCATCTTGCATATAGTTATATTGCATTTTCCCATGTTATTAAATATTTTCTGGTTTAAATATTGCCTTTGTTTTTTCCCCTTACTCTTTTTTCTCCCTCAAATGGATAATGTGCCAATGCCCTAACAAGGTTTGAGGAAGGCACATCTCACATATGAGTGTGCAAACCCAATCATCACACTTATGAACTACAAAAGGATCTCCTCTTACTCTTATAGACTATGTTTTGATTGCGTTTATACTTTCCATGGCTTAGAAAGCATGTAACTTGCTTTAAATTCTACTAGTGAATAGATTTAAAAATTACTCTTTAACCTACATTGCTTTCTAATTATCAAAGTTAAGACTGAAATTCTATCTCTTTGAGACACCCTTTTCCTCTTTTATTTCATTTGGAATTTGAGACTCGGACTAGTTATGAAATTACTTTTTATATACATTAGTTTTCATTACATTATATATAATATCTTTATTGTATTCATTAGTTTATAGGCTATCTTTTTAAATATGAAAAGTGGAAGAAGATACATATTTTAGCAGCAGGCAAAGTTCATCCCGTCTTAGAAGAAACCAAAACTTCTATTTTAACCTGACCTATATTAAACAAATCAATTAGCCAAACAGAAAAACCTTCAAAAATTATTGATAAATTTATAGGAAAATTACTGTGTCTAGTCTTAAATTATATTTTGCAATTCCAAATATTCAAACTTTGTTTTAAGACCACATGTACTAATAAACATCATACAAAATATTTACAGCTTCAAAACTGAACCTTTACATTTATTTAACACAGGTTACTGTAACATATATAATTACTACTAATAGTTTCCAGCAAAACTCCCATTTAAGAAGACTGTCTATGACTTAGGGACTTACAACAAACTGGGTACTACTTCTACACTGTTTAGTTTTTCCAGCAGTGTTTATATAATTAAAGTAATACTAATGCTAATTTTAGCATTAATGAGAGTAATGCTAAAATTAAAAGGCATGTTGTAGCAAAATATCCCAAGCCACTTTTTCTTTGTGTACACAAAGCCTTTCCTACTTTCTAAACATTTGTTTTATTTTGAAAGAGTCTCAAACTTAAAGAAAAGTTGCAAGTACAATTCAAAAGTTCCAAGTACCTTTTAAAAACCTGAGGCCGGGCACGGTGGCTCCCAGGTGGCTCCCAGCACTTTGGGAGGCCGGGGCGGGTGGATCACCTGAGGTCAGGAGTTCGAGACTAGCCAGGCCCACATGGTGAAACCCCGTCTCTACTAAAAATACAAAAATTAGCCAGGAATGATGGTGGGTGCCTGTAATTCCACTATTAAGGAGGCTGAGGGGGGAGAATCGCTTGAACCAGGGAGGCAGAGGTTACAGTGAGCCGAGATTGTGCCACTGCACTCCAGCCTGGGCAACAGAGTGAGACTCCACCTCAAATAAACAAACAAACAAAAACAAAAAAGAAAAACTTTTAAAAATCTGGAAGCACCTCAGAGTAAGTTGCTAGCACCATGCTGTTACTCTTGAACATTTTAGCATATAATTTCTACAATATAAGGGTGGTTTCCTAGATAACAAGACAATCATCAAAATCAGGAAATCAGGGCTGATACATTACTAACATTTAATCCTCAGACCCCATTCAGGTTTTGCCATTTGTCCCAATACTATCCAGTTCAGAATCGTGTGCTATATTTAGCCACCATGTTTCTTTTCTCTCCTTTGATTTGGAAAAATTCCAGTGTTTCCTTGGCTTTTATGACCTTGATACTTTTGAAGATTACAGGGCAGTTATTTTGCATGGGAATGTCCTTCAATTTGGGTTCCTCTGGTGTTTCTTTGTGATCAAATTCAGGTCACACATCTTTGGTAAGAATATCACAGATGCTGTGTTCTCGCTGCATCCTATCAAGTAACACGTGATTTTTATTTCATTACTGCTGATGTTAACTTGATCACTGGATTAAGGTGTTATCTGCCAAATTTTACCATGATTCTTGTTTCTCTTTTGTAGACAATGAAAATTTTGTAGGGACCTAATTTGGAAGTATGTAAATATCCTGTTCTTCATCAAACTTTCAATGTATTCATTTATTTATTCCCTCATGGTTTCCTATTTTTTATAAATATATAATCAATTACTGACATTATTGTGTTTTTTGGACATGTCCTCATCATTCTTTGAGCACTTTCTTACTTTCTGGCCCAACAAGAAGTTCCAGATTTATCCTGTTCTTTCCCTACCCCAGCCTTGGAACCTGCCAAAGAGCCCTGGTTTCTTTTAGTCCTACCCTTCCTATGTAGACACCTTCCTCATCCTACTTGCACTCTTGACATCCCATGCCAGTCACTCCTCCACAGGGGTGCAATTCTCACCCTGCTTGGGCTCTGAAACCCCATACTGGTAGTGTTCCCCATCCCACACCTTCTGAACCTGGTCAGCTTCCAACACTCTGCTCTGTGCCACTATAGCTCCCCAACTTTGGCGTGGATGCCTACCTTGCTTGGGCTCACCTAATGGCTTTAGGAATTAACTGCTTCAAAAAAGGAGAGGGAATAAAAAAGGGAAAGAGATATATACATACGTACATATATATGCACACACACACATATTCATATATATATTCAATTTTAAAATCAAACTTAGAATGATTTACACTTGAGTGTCATTTCTCAGTCTTATTTAATTCTCAGATTAGATCTCTATACAGAAGAGTCCCACAGACACCTTTCTTCTCTTTATTTTCATGTTTATTGTTCAATCTGTAAAAACTGTATCATGGTTGTCCCTCACATTGCTTGTTATTGCAGGGACGGCAAACTCAAAAGCTTACATGGAAGGTAAGGTGGAATGCAATTCAACCTTACTGCTTAAAGATCTGATTTTTCAAGAGAAGCAATATATCCGAATTTTTATTTAAAATCTATTTTTAAATGCTGGCAAACTTGTGAGAAATTTCTTAAAACAATGTGTAGAATACACAAAACATGCTGACAGGGCTGAATCTGGCTTGGAATTTAAAACTTTACAATCTACTTTCTAAAAGCCACTTCTTGAGACTGCCAGATTTTTTTTTAAGTTTTATTTTGTTTTCTATAAAAATTGTGTTCAGAGCTCTGCTCTCCTTGTTAGTCTTTAGGATGATGTTCCCATTCCTTTATTATATAGGTATTCCATAGACTCCTATTGTTTTTTGTTTTTATTCATCCTCAAATAACAGACCTGCTACTTATCGCAAGACAGGGTAGAAGGCCACCCTCAGTCTGTCAAAGCAGTACACGACCATTTTGAGTAATGCAGAAAGTTTAGCATCCCTGGCCCCCAACCATCAAATGCCAGTAGAGCCCCTTCAGTTACTCTGACAACAACCGTACATTTCCAAACACCTGCTGGGGAAGTGGTAACACCTCTAATGTGAGCCAATCCATGAGTACAAAGGCTTAAGAGTTTTCCTACTAGCTTTCTCACGATGATGGGCAAGTTGGGTACAGGAGACACACTTCTCTTCCTAAAGTCATTATCATCTTCAATATATTTCCTTCCTTCATCTTTACTTTCATTTTTATGAAAATATGGCCATCAGTGTTATGGCTACCTAAAATATGGAACTGACCATGTTACTCCTTCATGTCAAACCCTTCTTCGAATGCTTCCCACCAAAGATTTCCAAGATAGACCACTATGTAGGAGAGAGGAAAAAAAGCAAAAGCAAAAACTTGAGCACACGATAAAGTACAGCAAAGTGTATATGATTCCACCTTTTTAAAAAGTAAATATCCTTACAGTGGTATAGACAGTTTCGAAGAATACACAAGAAATCCATCCTAGAAAGATTGGGGGTCCAGGGTTAAAAAAAAAAAAAAAAAAAAAAAAGGCCTACTTTAGAATGTATTACTTTGTCAACTAAAAAAAGAATAATCAAACTTTTCAAAAGAAAAAAAGTAGAAAAAAATGTTTTGCAAAATTCATACTTCTGTGACTTTTTCACATGCTCTGTCCCCATAAAATATTTCTGTACTCTCTACTTCTACTAATTCTTAAGAACTTAGCTTGGCCGGGCACGGTGGCTCATGTCTGTAATCCTAGCACTGTGGGAAGCCGGGGCGGGTGGATCACCTGAGGTCAGGTGTTCAAGACCAGCCTGGCCAACATGGTGAAACCCCATCTGTGCTAAAATACAAAAATTGGCCAAGCATGATGGCAGGTGCCTGTAATCCCAGCTACTCAGGAGGCTGAGACAGGAGAACCGCTTGAACCTGGGAGACGGTGGTTGCAGTGAGCCGAGATTACGCCACTGCACTCCAGCCTAGGTGGCTGAGTGAGACTCCATTTCAAAAATAAAAATAAACAAAGAACTTAGCTCTGGCGTTATCTCCTTAAAGGCTTTTCCTAATAGGTTCTCCCAGTTCTGTGAAAACAGCACACAGACTGAAGATATGTTTCTCTGGCCTGTCTTCTCTATCCCAAACTGACCTGTGAGCTCCCTGGACTTATATCCTATTACCTCAGTACCTACCCAACAAACAAAATACCTGTTGAACTAGTTATTACAAGTAAGTCATTATTTAAATATTGACCTTGAAACATAACTAACAGCTCATTTATTACTTCCAGATTGCCTAACACATACAAATAATGTGACAAGGCCGTTACAACAGAGATAGGACAGTAAAACTGGTTTGGATATATTTAATGATAGTCTTTTTAGTACCTACACACTCTTTTTTTTCTCTTTTAAGAGACAGGATCTTGCTCTGTTGCCCAAGCTGGAATGCAGTGGTGCAATCACGGCTCACTGCAGCCTTGCCCTCCTGGGCTGTGGTGATCCTCCTGAGTAGCTGGGACTACAAGGTACATGCCGCCACACCCTGCGAATTCATTTATTTATTTATTTGCACACACAGGTCTTGCTAGATTGTCCAGGTTGGTCTTCAACTGCTAGTCTCCAGCAATTTTCCCTCCTCAACCTCCCAAAGTGCTAAGATTAAAGGTATAAGCTACTGTACCTGGCCTATAGATTTAAATAAAGAGCCATACGAGTACACGCTATGGCAGTAAGAGAGGCAGATTGGAGACAGAAAGCCCAGATTTAGTAGTGGTTAAAACTGTAGAAAACAAAGGTAAAAAGAACCTAGTCGCAGTTTAGATCAACAGATGTATAATAAAATATGGCACTCAAGCCCTTCAGAACTTCCAGTTCCTTCTAGCACAGTGTTCCTGGCTTTCTTCTAAATTTTTTCAGGTAACTATGTATCTCACAAGCCCAATGCTTGAGATGTTTTAGTGCCAATGATAGTAGCTTTTGTGAATTTAGCGTGTGGGGAAATGGAACATGGCAATAGACAAAAGACAGTAAGAAAAACTAAACAAAATAAATAGTGCATCTGAAAATATTAGTAAGTACGGCCACCTTTATAGTTTTCCTTTTTAAAAAAAGAATGAGTTAAATGCTAAATTACATGCTATCCCCTTTAAATATACTATAAAATCAGGGAAAGGAATACTAACTAGGGTAGTAAATGTAAAATATGCATTTCTCTCAAAAGAAAAGATCACAAATTGCCCACCTGTTAGTCTGAAAGAAAGGGGAGCTGTCATTCATTCAATGAACATTTACTGAGCGTAAACTGAGTGCCAGGGTCTTATATCCCAGAGACAAGGGTGTTAAGCAAAACTTTAGGGACAAAGAGAAGACATCCAACCATTTTTCAAAAACTCAAGAAGTTTCTCAACTCAGAAAATAATTCTACATAAGAAAAAGAGAGATGATGTTCAATACAGGCACTTAAACATAGCCAATAATAAAGTAAAAAGTCAAAATTAAATAGTCTAATTTATTATGTATTAATTACAATAGTATTTAATTTGATAATCTAAATATAAACAAAAAGAACCTATATGGTAACAAAATGACAAAGCAAGTATCATCTAAAAAAAAGTGCATGAGCGAGGACAGGGAAGACATGCACTCAAGTCTCTTCAGACATAAGATAATCTACTGTTCTTAAAGACCTCCAGAAAGTCAACCATATGATCCTTTCAATGAATACTGCAGTGTTCAACAACGCTCACTCTCAGCAAATGCATTCTGGACTTCCCATGGGTCACAAGACCATGTGGGGCCCAGAGCTCCTTGCCATGATACTGATTATGTCATCCCTATAGGGGCAGAAAGTTTCCTTTCAATTTTTCAGAAGACATAATACTATAGTCTGGGCTTTGAATATATACTCCTCCTATCCTTCAAACTCCCACCACCACTAGCAGCAGCAGCAACAGCGATCTGCCAAGCAGAAAGCAACTTGCTACTAAACTTTTGGTTACTTTAAGCTCAACCTGGGCAAGTAAGATAAAATACCACTAACAGGAACCTGAAAACATTCCAGTTTCAAAGTTAATATGCACAAGTTTTACTCTTTTCCATATAAATTATTACATTTGAGAAATCTGCTTCATTCATCTAGCAAATGTATACTGTGTCCTCACTATATGCTGAAAACCTTACAATATCATTATATCTTTGTTGTTAAAGTTTCATTAAGTGCTATGCTATGTGGTCTGTTCCACAAAGCAATGAAACCACCTTCTATTTTCAACATATCAAGATGATAAAATGGAAAATTTCTGTTACAAGTCTTTTTAAAAAGGAGTCACATATCACAGAGACTGAAAAAAATGGCAGACAAACTATTAGCACGCACCATCACCTACTGACTCAGTGGGTCTGGAATGGAACGTAAGAATTTGCATTTCTATGAAGTTCCCAGGTGATGCTGATGCTGCTTCTCAGGCCTACACTTTGAGATCACCGCTCTCGATCAGGAGTTGGCAAATATTTCCCATAAAAGCCCAGATAAACATTTGAGGTTTTGTGGGGCCATACAGTCACTGTTGCAGCTACTCAAAGTGCAAAAGCAGCCAAAGACAATGTGTAAACAAATGGGTGTGGCCATGTTCCTATAAAATGTTATTTATCAATACTGAAATTTGAATTTCATATGATTTTTAAAAGAATGTTTTGATAATTTTTAAATTTTTTTCAATCATTTAAAAATGTAAAAACCGTTCTTAGCTTCTGAGCCATACAGAAATAGGCACGGGCTGGATTTGGCCCATGGGCCATAGTTTGCCAACCCCTGTTCTAGATGAGTGGTTCTTAACCCTGGCTCCTCATCAGAATTAACTGGAGAGTTTTAAAAGACCCAGATACTTAAACCCAAGAGATTCTGATTTAATTAGTCCAAACCCTAGGGTGATTCTGGTATACAATCAGGATTGAGAACTACTGCTATTAATCAATATTTTTCCAAATGACATCTAAGGATATTTAGGACTTAGTCTTTTCATCATAAAAGTTTCTAGGGTTAGGTAAGTTTGGAAAATGAAGTTTAAACGATTTATTTATTGCAGGTCTTCTCACAAATCTCCAAGAAAGGTCTATAGTATGGAGTAGTTTTCCAGATTCATTTGACCATTGAAGGCCCAGAACATCTAATGGAACTAGTGTTCTGTTAAGCATTTGGGAAACAGTGCTCTAAATCTTTCATTCATAAAGAATACCAGATACTTACTACTTAGATGCATAAAATTATAGCAAAATATGACAGCAGAAACTAATTTTAAAATGAGAATGTGTTTGACTCTTGATAAATTAGCAATACAAAAATACAAACTCCTGATAAATCTGAACAAGTTAAAAAGAAAAAAGCCACAAAATCATCAGGCAATGATTTTTAAAAGGAGGGGAAACACAACAATACATTTGAACAATAAAAGTCAAGGTAAGAGGTAGTTTTCTACAATGTCAAACCTAACATGAAAGATACAGAAAATCAGAACACATCAACTATAGAAGAAACTGGAAATGAATTACCAATGCCCTCAATCCCTAATTAAAGAAAAGGAGATGCTGAAATAAGGTCTCAACAGATTTACTGATGAATGCTCTTAAATGTTTCAAGAACTAGATGACTCTTTGATAAATCCAAAGGATGTTTATCATTTTATCCTGTCCAAACACACAGTAGGCACTCAGCAAATACAGTAAATGTATTTGGAAAAATCAAAACATAGTTGTCAACACAGAAAAGAAAGTATCACTTCCGTGGTACCAGTAGCAGCAGTCAATAACCCATGCCCTGAAGTTCTAAATTGTTAAGGTTCTTCCTACTCTACCCTGCATGAGGAGAAAAGCTGCCATAGTGTAACACAGAAAGAAGACAAAACGCCACCAGGCACCACTGGAAAGGAAAGTAGTGAAACTAACCCCTCACTTCTTTCACAGCTTCTTACACAAGAGCATCCTGATAATCTGTATTACTAACTGGAAGGGCACTTCCCTAACATGATAAATCCCGGTATGCAAGTAAACTATGCACATAAGCAAATGAGACAAGTAACTTGTAAAGACCAGATGTTTATTATCTTACTGCTTGATGTGGTTAATGCCCACAAATGCACCAACAGCCTAGCGGTACTCTTCACACATTATGAGCATGCTATTCGAAAGACTGGCATATGCCTGTCAACAATGATATAAAATAAAGGCATGTTCTATCCCACACACACTTAAAGTCAACGTCTATGAACTTGAAAGTGTCTGATTAATTAGTTCCAGAGCACAAGAAAGGACTTCATGTTGCCAATTCATTGTGAAACATTTCATTAATCCTCACATCTAAAATATGGGGAGAAAAGGTCTTAAAAATACTTAAAAGATCATGTCTATTAAATATTTTTAAAGTGAAAATAAATGGGCTTTTGAAATTCTAAATAATGTAATGAGTGAAAATTAGAGATAACAGAGAAAAGTAAAAAAATGCTATGTTTAGATATGACTTAGTACCCCAAAAATCTAAAATATCTAGCACAATATATACTCAGTAGAATGTAATTCTGAGATCTCCTTTCGTTTTCTGTATACACTGTCTTCTACAGCAGACAAGTATACCAAATTTCAACTTTTCTTATTAGAGACAATCAGAAAAAAAAATAGCTGAGTTGAAAATAAAGAAGGGCCAAGAAAGGTAAGCTGCTTGAAGTCACAGAATTGATAAACACCAGAAAGATTATTTGAATCCTTACGTGATTCTCAAACATGTGCTCTTTCCACTGCACCATGGTACCAGAAGACAACTTCAGTTTGACAGGTATTTACTAGAACTTACCACGCAACAAGCACAGGAATTTAAAAAAAGAGTAACATGTTTTAAGGAAACCTAAGTTAAGTCAACTGCTCAAGTATTTGGTTTGAAACCTAGGTAGATCTCCTAAATCCAATTTCAACAATCCTTCTACTCCATGATCATTACATATCTAAAAACCACATATCCTAATGTGTCCTAGGAACGGTAAACATCATTTTAAATGCTGGGGTTAACTATAAAATTTTTACTCTAGAATGTTATTAGAAGAGTACAAAAAAGGCTGACATCCCACACAAACAACATCTTTTGTGCTTTAAGGCATCCATAGTTCTGAACACACACATACATACATACACACACACACACATACACACTAATTTGAGAAAGGGGAATGTGAGTTATAAGTCAATTTCCAAAGCAAACTACATTCAGTTCAATTATAGCACATTCTCAAATATATCATTTGCAAGCTTCCTATAGATATTTTAATGTTATCACTTTTAAAGCATGAACACTTAAGTTGAGATAGTCAATCTTGACAATCTTTTAAGAAAACATCAGGTAATTCTGTGTTTGTACAACTTGGAGATATGTGGGCTTAAAAATAAGCGTTCAGTGGATTACTGCTGGATGAACATCCATAATCATTAGTAGATCTACAAAAGGCTGTGTATCTGATCTTATTCTGTTCAACATTTCCTATTACAAACAAGATAAAGACCCAGAGATTATACTGAAAGATCAGGAAAAATCACCAATTAGTCCACGATTTGGGCAAATAAGTTGTCTTGAAAAACAACAAAAAAAAATGTTTTTTAAGTCCCATGAAAATGCCCTAATAATATGCACCAAAAGAAGTAACCCATCCAGGAGATGAACTAAGGAGCACGGTAAAACAGAATGACTCCCATCACCTACTAAGCAATCTATGAATGATACACATGATTCTGATCACTTCAGAAGGAAATAATAACCAGAAATATTAGAACTTTAAAAATCTTCATATAAAGTAATTCTAATATAAATAGTTAAGTTGTTTTCTCGTAACTTTGATGACTTCTGGCCAAGTAAAATTAAGATCAAACCACTTTAAGTTTTCTTTGTAAATAAAAAACATACTTACCACAATCCATTCAGCAATGTTTTCATAGAGCTCTGGACTAAAAATTGCTTTTTTAAGCCTAGCTAGAGGACCATCAGCATCTACTAATCTGCACCGCATGAAAACATCACAGTAACCTCTAAAATCGTTGCAAGGGGATCCAGGTTGCAGGGTGATGGTTCGACCACTGAAGTGCCTACTCCACTGCACAGACCCTGTACTGGCACAAGTTGATGGGTCCACTGGAAAAGAAATGCCAAATATAAGCTGAAGGTCAGATTCAAATATAAGTTGAAGATCAGATTTCCAGTTGTGCAAATACAAAGAGGGAAAAAAAACTGAAATCATTACCATAACATGTTATACAGACCTTCTCTAGTTAGGCTGGGTAACGCCATCAGTAATTCATATTAAATGTTACAATGTAAACAAGCAACCAGCAAGTCTTGACTCAGTGTCCACGATGACTTAAAGTCTAACAGTGTTTATGTAAATTACTGCTGTAAAGCTGGCAACGTTTTGTCTAGTTTATCATTTTTAAAACATTGTAGAGACCATAATAATAGAGACACAATGCTACGTTACATTTATAATCTCCTCAAGAGGACAGATTTAGCTGGAAATTATCTGGCCAAACTGTAGGTCAAAGTTTTACACTTAAAATTTAGGAGAAAATAATAGTTTGAGGCAAATTTTATACTCTTGTGTTTTTAAAAGCCTTACTTTTCTTCATACAGCATACATGGCATAATTCTTTATCATCTTTGCCATCAGAACTGGCACACGTACACTCCTCTAAGCCATATTTCTCACAGATAGAACCTGCACATTGCTAGAAGAAAAATAAAAGACAAATTGTTTAATCCCTATACAGTCAAACCTATTTTTTATAGTAACAGACAGGCAAGTATGAGCTTCCAATGTCAAAATATTTAAATGGAAATGAAAGTGAAAAACAAACAGAGATGAGTATCAAAACTGAATTACATAAATACATTTGAAAAAATTTGAAAAACAGTAAATCCAAGAAAGATAGTAAATCTTTTAAAGCAATGGCAACTTAAAAAAATGAAATAAAAGCAGAGCAAGAGATTAGATGAGGATCGATTTTATGTTGGTTATTACGGCTCTTCTATAAAGAAAGAAAAATTAAATTTTTTTCCTGTAGAGCAAAGTGATATTCAGCCACAAAAGCTTTGAAGGTTTGATATTCAGAGAAGATGACCAAAGAGTTCTTTTATTTAGGCTACTGAAATATTATTTTATAAAACTTAAATATTATAGACAAATCACATGCCGAGTTGTACAACTATGTTTCTCTAGAGAATATCAACCACATGTACATGGAAAGATGAAAGACAAATTAGTAGCTAATTGAATGCCACATAATATATTCATGGTTTTGTGAGGGAATATTACTTAAACAGAGACCAAGATTAATTACTTTAACTATGTAGCTTTAAGCATCAATAATTCTTCTGAAAAACAAGTTTTCTAAAATTAAATTTTAAAACATATAGTTAAATGCTTACCCCATTAATGCACACTTGTGTATGCCTATTACAGTCTGTGAAGTTTGGTTTAGGGTCAGATGCTGGGCAGAGAGCTGTGAAGCCATTACATATTCCTTCCCTTGCACAGTCTGAATCATCCCGACACTTCTCAGACTTTGACTTGAATGCACACTGTGCTGTACAACAAGGACCTTGACTTGGACTAGAGGAAACATTAAGTGATTAAACAAAGTAAATCACTAGTTATTCCCTATATACTATTAGATATTAGATTAGATCCACATTATTAGACATAGTACCAATTTTTAAATCCTAAGTCTCATCACTTAAATGATAAGTATGTTACTGGTATACAACTTCAAAAAACTGAAACCGCACACCGCCCTCCTGAGTAAACAGTGCACTGGTGGAGCCGTGTGTCCCAAAGAAACAGTGCCTGGGCCTACACAGAAAAGTCACACCCTGCAGGGTATGAGATAAAGCAGCACATTGCTCCTTCAGGTAATAATGCCTTGGCCAAGTTGAGGAGCTGTGCATTCCAGGGCTAAGCCAACACAGTAACTCACATCCCAGGGAAATATCAGTGGCTGAACTGGGATACTATGCCTACAGGCCAAACAACTCTAGCACCCTGCTTCCCTGGAGCTAGACTAGCCCCCTAGAGTCTGAGCTGCTGAGACACCCTTCTCCCCACAGTAGTCATCACTGTGCTGTTCCCTGCCCCCTAGGGCCCAAATGACAGCTGTGCTTGAACATTCTGAGGTACTTGCTGTTGCTGCACCTGGTCTCACAGACTTTGGGATACCACCAAGCCCCACCATCCCAGGGTCTAGACTCACCACCACCTCCATCCCCGGTGACCCAACTCGTCACTGAGTCCTATTGGCTCAGGCTCCGAAATTACTGCCATGCACTGTGCTCTGGGCTCAAATCTCCAGAGCACCTCTTCCCTGGACCCAAGCCCGGGCTATACCCTGCCCACAAAGTGTATAATCCCAGCTACAGACTGGCCCGCTGGGCCCAAGGTGCTAGGGAGTAACCCAGAGTCACAGATCCTGGTGCTATAGGCAACCTACATTCAATCTTGCCAGACAGTAAACATGCACTGCAAGACACAAGTACCATAATAGGTTTGTGAGATCCTGAGCCTAGAACTCCAGCCCCACAGTTACTCTACGCATCCGCAACTGGAAGCCAGCACCGCAGCAGGTGCTCGTAGGCCATGTCAGACCTGACACCAAGAGGGATCCCCTTGGCTAAGTCTCACCATTATGGGAAAAATGAGAATAGGAGGGCCCCAAAAGGCGTTGCCACTGAGGACATTAACAACCTACACCACCAGCATCCATTACCACAAACTTCTACAGCACAGACCACTGAGGTGCCTACAGTTATTGATGATGTTGAATACAGCTGAAGAAGCTGCATGGAGACTATACCACTGCACCTACCTGGAAAAAGAAGCACCACACCCTTCCCGACCAGCACACTAAGACCTAGCTACAGGTGAGAGTATATCTCCATGAAAGTCACTCTAGAAAATTTAGATGAGACGACTGTTCCACCAGACAGGCACACAGACATGAACACAGGGACTCATGAAACATGAAAAAACAAATATATATGACACCACCAAAGGAACATAATTAACTCTCTAGCAACAGGTCCCAAAGAAAAGGAAATCAATAAATTGCCTAAAAAGGAATTCAAAATAATGATTTGAGGGAAAAGACACAAGAAAATATAGATAAAAAATTCAATGAAACTAGGAAAACAATTCATATGAATGAGAAATTCAAAAAAGTAATAAATATCATTAAAGAGAAACAAAAATCCTGTGGCTTAAGAATTCAGTGAATAAAATAAAAATATATAATAGACAGCTTCAACAGCAGACTTGATCAAGCAAAAGAAAATCTCTGAACTTCAAGATAGAATGTTTGAAATTACTCATTTAGGGGAAGGAAAAAAAAAGGAAGAAAGTCTATAAGACTTATGGGACACCACCAAGTGAATAAATTTTCATATTATAAGAGCTGCAGAAGGTTGGGTGCAGTAACTCATGCCTGTAATGCCAGAACTTTGGGAGGCTGAGGTGGGAGGATCACTTGAGCCCAGGAGTTCAAGATCAACCTAGGCAATGTAGTGAAAGCCCATCTCTGCAACCAATCAATCAATCACTTAAAAGCTACAGAAGGAGAAGAGATTTAAAAAGGCACAGAAAACCTTTGTTTTGGCTGGGGTGCACTGGCTCACACCTGTAATCCCAACACTTTGGGAGGCCAAAGCAGGTGGATCACTTGTCAGGAGCTTGAAACCCCGTCTCTACTAAAAATACGAAAAAAACTAGCTGGGCATGGTGGCACGCACCTGTAATACCAGCTACTCAGGAGGTTGAGGCACAAGAATCACTTGAACTTGGAAGGCAGAGGTTGCAGTGAGCTCAAACTGTACCACTGCACTCCAGCCTGGGTGATGAAGTTAAGACTCTGTCTCAAAATAAAAAGAAAGAAAAAAGAAAGAAAAAAAAAAGAAAACCTATTTATTAAAATAATAGCTGAAAATGGAAGTCTTCCTTGAGGATTTATAGTCAAATTGTCAAAAGTCAAGGACATAGAGAATTCTAAAAAAAACAGCAAGAGGAAAGTATCAAGTCACATATAAGGGAGCATCTATTAGACTAGCAGCAGATTTCTCAGCAGAAATTTCACAGGCATGGAGAGAATGGGATAATATGTTCAAAGTACTGAAAGAAAAAACAAATTGGCAGCCAAGAATCTATAAGACTTTATTTGTCCCTCATTTCTGAAGGATAGTTTACAAATTAGCAGCCAAGAGTCTATACCCAGCAAAACTAACCTTCAGAAATGAGGGACAAATAAAGTCTTTCCCACACAAGCAAAAATAGGAAATTCATCACCACTAGACTGACCCTACAAGAAATACTCAAGGGATTCCTGCACCTGGAAGCAAAAAAAACCAATAATCACCATTGTGAAAACACACAGAATTATAATGCTAACAACCTACGTACACCAACACCGCCATTACCACAAAGCTGTACAATACAGGCCACTGTGATATACAAATGAGAAAAAGAAGAGTCAAATGTTACCACTACAGAAAACTACCAAACCACAATGCTAAATGAGAGAAAAAAAGAAAGAAGAATATGCAAAAACAAAACAAAACAAAACAAAAACAGCCGGGTGCAGTGGCTCACGCCTGTAATCCCAGCACTTTGGGAGGCCGAGGCAGGCAGATCACGAGGTCAGGAGATCGAAACCATCCTGGCTAACACAGTGAAACCCCATCTCTACTAAAAACACAAAAAATTAGCCGGGCGTGGTGGCAGGCGCCTGTAGTCCCAGCTACTAGGGAGCCTGAGGCAGGAGAATGGCGTGAACCCAGGAGGCGGAGCTTGTGGTGAGCCAAGATTGCACCACTGCACTCGAGCCTGGGCTACAGAGCAAGAGTCCGTCTGAAGAAAAAAAAAAAAAAAAAAAAACCAGAAAATAATTATCAAAATGATAAGAGGAAGTCCTCACCTACTGATATCAATCATGAATATACACCAATGAAATCCCCCTACTTAAAAAGACACAACCTGGCTGAATGGGCCTATTTTAATCTCTTCTCCCTCTGTAGCTTTTAAATTACTTATGTATTCATTTATTTGTAGAAATGGGATCTCACTATGTTGCCTAGGTTGGTCTTGCACTCCTGCTCAAGCAAAACTCCCGGCTCGGCCTCCCAAACACATGACACATCCACCTATATGCTGCTTACAAGAAAATCATTTTACCTCTAAAGACATATATAGACTAAAAGTAAAGGAACAGAAGAAGATATTTCACTCAACCAGAAACAAAGTAAGCAAGACTAGCTATACCTGTATCAGATAAAACAGATTTTAAGTCAAAAACTGTGAAAAGAGGGCCAGGCACAGTGGCTCATTTTGTAATGCCAGCACTTTGGGAGGCCGAGGCGGGCAGATCACCTGAGGTCAGGAGTTCAAGACCAGCCTGACCAACATGGCAAAACCCCGTCTCTATTAAAAATACAAAAATTAGTTGGGCATGGTGGTACATGCCTGTAGTCCCAGCTACTAGGGAGGCTGAGGCAGGAGAATCGCTTGAACCCGGGAGGCGCAGGTTGCAGTGAGCCGAGATCATGCCACTGCACTCAAGCCTGGGTGACAGAGCAAGACCCTGTCTCCAAAAAAAAACTGTGAAAAGAGACAAAAAAGATCACTATATAGTGATAAAATGTTCCATTCAGCAAAGGGATATAACAATTCTAAATCTATATGCACCGAACACCAGAGCACCCAGATACATAAAGCAAATACTATTAGATCTAAAGAGAGAGATCAACTCCAATAAAGTAACGGTTGGAGACTTCAACAGCCCATTCTCAGCACTGGACAGATAATCTAGACAGAAAATCAAGAAACACTGGATTAGAACTATACTTTAGACCAAATAGATCTAACAGACATTTACAGAACATTTCATCCAACAGCTGTGGCAGAATACACATTCTTTTCATTAGCACATGAAACATTCTCCAGGATAGACCACATATTAGGCTATAAAACAATTATCAACAGATGTTCAAAAACAGAGATCATATCAAGTATCTCTTCTGAACACAACAGAATGAAACTAGAGATCAATCACAAGGGGAACTTTAGAAACTGTACAAACACATAAAAATTAAACAACTTGCTTCTGAACAACCAATGAGTCAATGAAGAAATTAAAAATGAAGTTTAAAAGCTCTCTGAAACAACTGAAAATAGAAAAACACAACATACCAAATACTATGGGATACAGCTAAAGCAATATTAAGACGGAAGTTTATAGCAATAAATGTCTACATAGAAAAAGTAGAAAGATAAACAACCTAACAATGCACCTCAACGAATCAGGAAAAAGCAAGAACGAACCAAACCCCAAATTAGTAGAAGAAAAGAAATAATGAAGATCAGAGCAGAAATAAACAAAATTGAGACTAAAAAAATACAAAGAATCAGGCCAGGCACGGTGGCTTATGTCTATAATCCCAGCACTTTGGGAGGCCGAGGCGGACAGATCACAAGGTCAAGAGATTGAGACCATCCTGGCTAACACGGTGAAACCCCGTCTCTACTAAAAACACAAAAAAATTAGCCAGGCGTGGTGGCAGGTACCTGTAGTCCCAGCTATTCCGGAGGCTGAGGCAGGAGAATGGCGTGAATCCAGGAGACGGAGCTTGCAGTGAGCCGAGATTGCACCACTGCACTCCAGCCTGGGGAAAAAAGTGAGACTCCGTCTCAAAAAATAAAAAAATAAAAAAATAAAATAAAAATATATCAACAAAATGAACAGTTGGTTTCTTGGAAAGATAAAATCATCAATCCATTAACTAGACAAGGAAAAAATATCCAAATAAAATCAGAAACAAAAAAGGAGACGTTATAACTGATACCACAAAAATACAAAGAATCATTAGAAACCATTACAATAAACTATATGCCAATAAATGGGAAAACCGAATGATAATTAATAAATCCCTGGACACATACAACTTACCAAGATTGAAATAAGAATAGAAAACCTGGACAGATCAATCACAAGTAACAAGATTGAATCAGTAATTAAAAAAAAGTTTCCCAACAATACTTCCTGATCACCAGGTAAAATAAGTAAGAAAAAAAGAACTAGAACAAGACAAGAATGTCCACTCTCACCACTGTTATCAATATAGTAATGGAAGTCTGAGCCAGAGCAATTAGGCAAGAGAAGAAAATAAAGGACATCCAAATTGGAAAGGAGGAAGCCAAACTGTTCCTGTTTGTAGACAGCATAATCTTATATATATAGACAACCCTTAAAGCTCCACTGAAAACTCTTAGAATTGATAAATGAATTCAGAATAGTTGCAGGATACAAAATTAACATTAAAAAACCAGTTGTGTTTCTATATACAAGAAAATAGCAGAAAATCAATCTCATTTATAATAGCTGCAAAAAAAAGAGTAAGTTTAATAAACGCAAGGAGGTGAGTTTATTAAATTTCTAGAAGGAAAACTATGAAACACTGATGAAAGAAACTGAACAAGTCAAAAAAAAAAAAAAACACATTTCATGTTCATGGACTGGAAGAATTAATACTGTGAAAACGGCCATACTACCAAAAGCAATCTACAGATTCAATGTAATGCCTATCCAAATACCAATGACATTCTTCACAGATAAAGAGAAAACAATCCTATAAGTCATATGAAACCACAGAAGCCAATAGCCAAAAGAATAAAGCTGGAGGCATCACACCACCTAATTTCAAAATATACTACAAAGCTATAGCAACTAAAACAGCATGATACTGACATAAAAACAGACACATTAACCAATGAAACAGAATAGAGAATTCAGAAATAAATCTATATATTTACAGCCAATTGATTTTCGAGGTGATTTTTGAACATTCAGTGGGGAAAGGACAGTCTCTTCAATAAGTGGTGATGGGAAAACTGGATACCTATATGCAGAAAAATGAAACTAGACCCCTATGTCTCACCACATACATAAACCAAATCAAAATGTGATGGAAATTTAAGACCTGAAACGATGAAACTACTAAAAGAAAACATTGGGAAAAGATATCAGGACATTGATCTGAGCCAAGATTTTTGAGTAAGACCTCAATACTGCAGACAACAAAAGCAAAAATAGGCAAATAGGGTTACACACACTAAAAAGCTTCTGCACAGAAAAGGAAACAATCAACAGAGTGAAGAGACGATCTGCTGAATGGGAGAAAACATTTTCAAATTATTCATCTGACTAGGGACTGATAGAATGTACAAGGAACTCAACTCAACAGCAAAAAACTAAATAATCTCATTAAAAAGTAGACAAATGACCTAAATAAACATTTTTCAAAAGAAGACATATAAATTGCTAACAAGTACATGAAAAAATGTTCAATATCACTAATCATCAGGGAAACACAAATCAAAGCCACAGTGAGATACACCCAGTAAAAATGACCATTATCAAAATGATCAAAAAAATAAATAAATAAAGATGCTGGCAAGGATGCAGAGATCAGGAACCATTAGTTTACTGCTGGTGGGAATATAAATTAGTATAGCCACTGTGTAAACTGGTATAGAAGTTCCTCTAAAAACTAAAAATAGATCTACTATATGATCCAGCTGGGTATACATCCAAAGAAAAGGAAGTCAGTATATAAAAGGGATACCTACAGCCCCGTTTACTGTATCACTATGCACAATAGCCAAGATACAGAATTAGTCTAAGTGTCCACCAAGAGACAAATGGATAAAGAAAAGGTGGTATATATTTGGTCACAAAGAAGAGCAAAATACTGTCATGTGCAATAACATGAACGGAAATAGAAGTCATCATGTTAAATAAAATAAGCCAGACATAGAAAGACAAACAGCACATGTTGTTACTCATATGTGAGAGCAAAGTAAGTTGATCTCATAGAGGTTAGAGAGTAGAATGGTGTTACAAGAGGATGAGAAGGGTAGTGGAGAGGTGGATAAAGAGAGATTGGTTAATGGGTACAAACACATAGAAGGAATGAGCTCTAGTGTTTGATAGCACAGTAAAGTTACTACAATTAGCAATAACTAATTGTAAATTTCAAAATAGAAGATTTAAAATGTTCCCAAGACAAAGAAATGATAAATATCTGAGGAGATAAATATCCTTATTACCTTGATTTGATCATTAGATATTGTATGCATGTATCAAAATATCACATATACCTCATAAATATGTACAATCATTATGTATCAATTAAAAATGGAATAGGGGCCGGGTGCAGTGGCTCACACCTGTAATCCCAGCAGTTTGGGAGGCCAAGGCGGGAGGATCAGGAGGTCAGGAGATCGAGACCACCTTGGCTAACAAGGTGAAAGCCCATCTCTACTAAAAATACAAAAAATTAGCCAGGCGTGGTGGCGGGCGCCTGTAGTCCCAGCTACTTGGGAGGCTGAGGCAAGAGAATGGCGTGAACCCGGGAGGCGGAGCTTGTAGTGAGCAGAGATCGCGCCACTGCACCCCAGCCTGGGCGACAGTGCAAGACTCCATCTCAAAAAAAAAAATTTAAAAAAAGGAATAGGAAGCTACTAAGCCAAACAGTCAAGAAAAGTGTGCGACTTTTTTTTTTAATAGTCAAAGCATACTACATTCCACATTCTTGCCCTGTTCACCTTTAGGAAAAGGCTACAATGGAAAATGGATTTAATATTAGGCAATTTATCAGTATTTTTTCAGTTACATCACACATTAGTTAATTTATCGCTTTCTCTCCCATTTTCATACTAAAATCAAACTAGGATATACAGACCAGCCGTTTAAAACATATTGAACTGGCCGGGTGCGGTGGCTCATGCCTGTAATCCTAGCACTTCGGGAGGCGAAGGTGGGCAGATCACTTGAGATCAGGAGTCCAAGACCAACTTGGCCAACATAGTGAAACCCCAACTCTACTAAAAATACAAAAAACTAGCCAGGCATGGAGGCACACACCTGTAGTCCCAGCTATTCAGGAGGCTGAGGCAGGATAATTGCTTGAACCTGGGAGGCAGAGGTTGCAGTGAGCTGAAATCATGCCACTGCACTCCAGCCTGGGTGACAGGTTTTTCTGAGACTCCATCTCAAAAAAAAAAAAAGTATTGTGCAAACAATTGCTTACACTGCTACCAAAGTAAATTTGACAAGTGAAATAGTTATAACTTGCCAAGTTAGAAAAGTAAATGGATTCCACATTAACTAAATATTTAAAGTTAAGATTTTTAAAATATGGAAGATAGTTACATTTTCACAATAAGTAACTAAAGAATATGTATTTTTTTTTTTTTTTTTTTGAGACGGAGTCTCGCTCTGTCGCCCAGGCCGGACTGCGGACTGCAGTGGCGCAATCTCGGCTCACTGCAAGCTCCGCTTCCCGGGTTCACGCCATTCTCCTGCCTCAGCCTCCCGAGTAGCTGGGACTACAGGCGCCCGCCACCGCGCCCGGCTAATTTTTTGTATTTTTAGTAGAGACGGGGTTTCACCTTGTTAGCCAGGATGGTCTCGATCTCCTGACCTCATGATCCACCCGCCTCGGCCTCCCAAAGTGCTGGGATTACAGGCGTGAGCCACCGCGCCCGGCCAAGAATATGTATTTTTTAGGATTCTTTTTAGTATGTCCTTTGAGTATGTCCTTTTGTTAACATTCACCACACAAATTACTATTAAAAGTAGTCCAAACAAGCCTGGGCAAATGGCGTAACTCTGTCTCTAAAAAAAAATACAAAAATTAGCTGGGTGTGGTAGCACATGCCTATAGTCCCAGCTACTCAGGGGGCTGAGGTGGGAGGATCAATTGAGCCCGGGAGGTGGAAGTTGCAGTGAGCCGAGATCATGCCACTGCACTCCAGCCTGGGCAACAGAGCGAGACCCTGTCTCAAAAAAAAAAAAAAAAAAAAAAAAAAAAGTAGTTCAATCTGCCAATAACAGAGCAGTAACCAACACTACTTCAGAAAAAGAAAACAAACAACAGATAAAAGCAAAGTTTCAAAACCATATGCATCTCTTAATCTCAGTTTTAAATTTGTCATAACTGCATTGAGGTAACTTTACAAGAATGTTAACATCACTGAAATTAGCAAGGTACCTGCACTGTTTCCCAGGTTTCAGTTTGCATTTTCTTCCCTCTGGTTGATTTGCATCGAAGCAGCATTCATCTTTACACTGGTCACTATAGCCACAATCACATTCTTCACCTTGTTCTACCATTCCATTTCCACAAATAGGTTGGCCAGATTCTGAGGAAAATAAACAAGACAAAGTAAGCATTGTGTGCACACATTAATTTTATTTAAAATTCACAAATTCTTTAGATCATCATAACAAAGGGATAAAGGAAAACTTTGATGAATAAGTAGAACAAACTAGGAATCTGGAAATTACGAGACCTAATTCTAACAGGGGGTCTGCTACTAACTAGCAATGCAATCTTGGGGTCTTCAGTTTCTCAATCTGTACAGTGAGAGGATTTGACAGAGGGTCCCTTCTAGAAGCTGTAACTTGCAACTTAGGCCATGCTACATTGAGCTTTATTGACTGTTCTATTCATATCACACAAATACAAACCAAGTTAGTGCTTCACTAACCAGGAAAAAAAAAAATTAAGCCTTTTTTTGCAACAGAAAATTTCAAACACACCTAAAAGTAATAAAAGAATATGTACAATGAATTCCCATGTACCAATCACTCATCTTTAACAACTATCAACAACAATATGCTGTTCTTGTCTCACTTACTCCCACAGTTTTTTTCTGGAGTATTTTAAAACAACCCCACCTAACATATTATTGTCCCTGTAAATACTTCAGAATGTATCACTATGACATAAAGTTTTTTTCTTATTTAAACCTAACCATAATAACCATGATCATATCTAACAAAATTAATAGCATGCTTAATAACATCTAACAGCCAAGCCATGTTCAATTTTCCTCAAATGTCTCTTTACAATTTGTTGCTGTGAATCAAGTTTCAAACCCAAGGTTCCCCTAACCCCAACTCCTCCCCTCATGGTTGCTTTTTGACAGGTCTCTTATGTTCTTTTAACGTGTAATAGATTTCTCCATTTTTATTTATTTTTACACCATTGATCTGTTAAAGAAGTTGGGTGATTTTGTCTATGAAATGTCCCACATTCTATTTAGCTGATTGTAATACAATCAGTAGGTAATTTTTTTTATGTACATTAGTTTTGCTGCTGAACTAAACCAAGCTCCTTAAGGGAACAAACATGTATTATTTATATCTTCTGTATTCTCACAGACCTTAATGGTATTGAGCCAGATCTTGGTTGATTAAGATTAGACAGTCTCATCTAAGCATAGTGAATAATTTTAGAAAATTTCTTCAGCAGTCTTCTAAAGTTCTTTGATTTTTGTCAATGGAATTTAAAATTGGAATAGAAATGCTCCTCTTTGTAAGATCATAAAATCAAAGAGCTTTAGCAACTGCAGAGAATGATAAAAATCAAATGCCTTAAATGTTCTAGGAAATAAAACTAACTTCCAAGGAGTCTGTAACTTGCTAGGGACCATATATCCCAGTATAGGCAAAACACAGACTATATCTAGGGTTTTCTAGGTCTACGATCTGGTGCTCTTTTCTTTCTCCTACACCAAATCGACATGGAAAACAGTCATTGTACAGGCTTTAAGTTGCGAATTGAATAAGTAGAAGGGAACACATACATCTCAACACAGGAACCCATACATCTCAACACAGGAAACCCACATGAGGCCTATCTAAATCAAAAATGTTCTAGAAAGACTGGCTTTATATTCAGATAATTATTTCTTTATGGTAAATTATCTTCCTTTATTTATATGTGCAATATAAAACAGAAGCTTGGCACAAACATATGCACTCACATCAGCCCAGAAGAAAGGATCTGGGACAAAGCCACTTGGCAACAGGACTGGGAACCCAGACCCTCAGGGCACATAGGAGCCTAGCTGAACCCTGATTTCAGGGCCCCCAGGGATGTTGCTGTGGAGGCACCTGCTCTCCAGAGCCAGACTGGCCTAGATGAAAGCAGAAAGTTCATTCTTAACCACATCGACTATTTTTTAAAATCTTGGAGGTCATCGAAGCTTCATCCCTGTTTCACTTTAAACCATCTCTTTCGTTCTCAAAAACCAGAAGCATGCACTATTTATAATAGCAAACACATGGAATCAACCCAAGTGCCCATCAATGATAGACTGGATAAATAAAATGTGATACATATACACCATGGAATACTACACAGCCATAAAAAGGAATGAGATCACGTCCTTTGCAGGGACATGGATGAAGCTAGAAGCCATCATACCCAGAAAACTAACACAGGAACAGAAAACCAAACACCACATGTTCTCACTCATAAGTGGGAGTTGAACAATGAGAGCACATGCACACAGGGAGGGGAACAACACACACCAGGGCCAGTCCAGGGGTAGAAGGTGAGGGGAGGGAGCGCATTAGGACAAACAGCTAATGCATGTGGGGCTTAAAACCTAGATGATGGGTTGATAGGTGCAGTAAACCACCATGGCACACGTACACCTATGTAATGAACCTACACATTCTGCACTTGTATCCCGGAACTTAAAGTGAAATTTAAAAAAAAAAAAAAAGGGGGGGCCAGGCGAGGTGGCTCACGCCTGTAAATGCCAGCACTTTGGGAGGCCGAGGCAGGTGGATAACAAGGTCAAGAGATTGAGACCATCCTGGCCAACATGGTAAAACCCCGTCTCTCCTAAAAATACAAAAAAACCAGCTAGGCGTGGTGGCGCACTCCTGCAGCCCCAGCTACTTGGGAGGCTGAGGCATGAGAATCGCTTGAACCTGGGAGGGAGAGGTTGCAGTGAGCCGAGATCGTGCCACTGCACTCCAGCCTGGTGACAGAGCGAGACTCTGTCTCAAAAAAAAAGCAAAAACAAAAACAAAAAAAACTAGAAACATGCATCTGCACATATATACTAGGTGAATAATGATTTTTACAAGTCTAGTAATAATTTTATAATTCACATGACACGTAATTTATAAGAAAACAAATAACGAAGTCAGAAAATGTTACATACATTATTTACTACATATTAATTTTTATTTCATATAAAATTAGTACTTCAAGTTAGTTATTTGCTAACAGTTTAAACAACAATGAGGTACTGTTTGTTTGTTTGTCTGAGACAGAGTCTCGCTCTGTTGCCCAGGTTAAAGTGCAGTGGCACGATCTTGGCTCACTGCAACCTCCAACTCCTGGGTTCAAGCAATTTCTTGTGCCTCAGCCTCCCAAGTAGCTGGGACTACAGGCGCACGCCACCATGCCTCACTGATTTTTTAATTTTTTGTAGAGACAGGGTTTCGCTACATTGGCCAGGCTGGTTTCGAACTCCTGGCCTCAAGCAATCTCCCTGTCTTGGCCTCCCAAAGTGCTGCGATTACAGGCATGAGCCACTCTGTCTGGCCTAAAAATACTGTTTAAATGCAAAAATTATAATAGGTACACATTTTGTTATAATTTAAGAAAAAATTTTCTTTCCTGTTAATACCTACAAAGCAATATGTACATTTTTAAAAGTCAACTTATTTCAGAAGGTTTACTGTGAAAACCCAGTTTACAAATGAAGAATCTTAATGTACCTGTACATTAAGAAGCATTAGAAAAACAACCACTGACAATAACAATAACAAAAATGATAACATCAGTTTTTGAAGATTGAAGATGTAATTTCAATCTGCCCTTTTAAAAGAAAAAGATAATGCCAATCAATACAATAAAAAACTGATTAACTGGACCTCATCAAAATGTGAAACTTTTGCTCCACGAAAGAACTGTGAAAAGGGCGAAAAGACAAGCTACAGACTGGGAGAAAATATTTGCAAACCAGTATCTAGGACTAGTATCTAGACTATATAAAGAATTCTCAATACTCCAAAGAAAAGAAAAAAGTCCCACTAATGATCACTAAAATGACCAAAAAACATGGACAGACATTTCATCAAAGATGATTTATAAATGGCCAATAAGTACATGAAAAGATGTTCAGCATCATTAGCCACCAGAGAAATGCAAATTAAAACCATGAGATATCACAGCACGCCCATCAGAACAGCTAAAATAAAAAACTGTGAAAACTCCAAATGGTTGTGAACATGCAGAGAAACTGGATCATTTGTGCAGTGCTGGTGAGAACATAAAATAGTATGGCCACCCTGGAAAAGAGTTTGGCAGTTTTGTACAAAGCAAAACAAGCAATTGCTATATGGTCCATCAATTCGATTTGGGAGCATTTATCTCAAAGTAAAAACTTATATGTTTATACAAAAAACCTGTACATGAATGTTTACAGCTGCTTTATTCATAATAGCCAAACACTGGAAACAGCCCAGATGTCTTTCAAATGGATGGTTAAACAAATTGCAGTACATACATACCATGGAATACTACTCAGAAATAAAAAAGAACGAACTATTGATAAAGGCAATAATTTAGATGAATCCCCAGGGAATTATGTTGAGTGAGAAAAGGCAATTCCAAAAGGTTGTATGCTGTCTGATTTTATTTATATAACTTTTTTAGAAGTGACAAAATTTTACATATGGAGAACAGGGTAGCAGGGGGGAGGAAGGGACAACAGAAGGGAGGTAAGCATGGTTATAAAACAATGAGGGATCCTTGTAATGACAGAACTGTTCTGATTCTTGATTGTGATGGTGGATACATAAATCTACGCATGTAATAAAATTGTATAGAGCTAAATACATACAAAGAGAAATGAGAACAAAAAAAAAAACTAGGGAAATTGGAATAGTATCTATGGATTTTCTCAATATCAACATCCTGGTCATGATATTGTACTACAGTCTTGCAAGGCATTACCATCGGAGGGAACTGAGTGAAGGGTACAGGGAATCTATTACTTCTTATGAACTGTATGTGAATCTATTAATTATCTCAATAAAATTTCAATTAAAAACAAAATCCCATGCTTATCTGGAAATCTTCCTGAATTCTTTCTCCTTTGCTGTCACATGTTTAACCCCTCTTTCAGTGCTCTTAATGTACAAAGATGAATAGGCCTCAGTGTTTCCCCTAAAGAAACCTATGGTCTTGTGAAATAGGACAAGGACACACACACACAAAAAAACCCTAATACAAAGTAAATATTTAGAGTATGTTCAATGCCGCAAGAAAGACATAACAGATGACTGGAAGAACAAAATCTGGTCTATACATACAATGGAGTATTATTCAGCCGTGAAAAGGAATGGAACTCTGATACATGCTACAACACAGATAAACCTTGAAAATATTATGCTAAGTGAAATAAGCCAGGCACGAAAGAACAAATATTGTATGTCCCCACTTACATGAGATACCCAGAATAGGCCAATTCATAAAGACAGAAAGTGGATTAGAGGTTACCAGGGGCTGAGGGGAAGACAGAGCATTACTGCTTAATGGTTATAGAATTTCCATTGGGATGATGAAAAAGTTTGCAAATGAAGAGTGAATGTAATTGATTACATTCACATTCAACATTGTACCTATAATTAATGTCACAGAACTGTACATTTAAAATCAGTTTAAAATGGCACACTTTATGCTATATATATTTTACTAAAATAAGAAATAATTTCATAGTAACTTTATTCACATTAGCCCAAATCCAAGGTATTCATGATAGGAGAGTAGATGTACAAACTAGGACATATTCATACAACGTAATAGTACTCAGCAATAAAAAGGAGTATAATACTAAAGATGAATCTCAAAGCTGTATACTGAGTTAAACAGCCTTCCACAGAAGGGTATAAACTGTATACTTTCACTTATATGAAGACAAAGCCAATGTAGAGTGAAATAAATCAGATAGTGGTTGCCTCTGAGGGTGTGTTGGGACAGAGCCTGATTGGGAAGGGTGATAAAAGAAAGTTCCGGGGTGACAGAAATGTCCTGTATCTTGATAGGTAGTTTACAAAGGTAAATGCATCTGTCAAAACTCATCAAATGATGCACTTAAAATTTGTGCATTTCACTTATGCAGAAAACAGAAAAAGAACTATAAACAATATTGAACTCTAGTTAATGATTTGCAGACTAAAATGTTTAGGTGTGAAGTATACTGATGGCTGCAACTTACTTTAAATTGCAATAAAACATGAATTGAGAGATGGCAAGATTAAGAAATAACGAGATAAAGGGAATACAGCAAAGTGTTAGCAATAGTAAAATGCAGGTGGTGGGTATGTCAGTAATCACTATAGAATTCTTTCAAGTTGTCTGAATGTTTGAAAATGTTCATAACAAAACGTTAGGAAAATATACATACCAACAAAACAGTTGTTTCTCTTCTTCTCAAGAACTTGGCTTATATTTCTAATACTACAGAGTGAGAATTTATTGTTGTTAAGTTTGTCCCCAGATGTTGCTCTTGCATACATGATGTAATTGCCATTTTCTTTTTGACCCAAATTCTTAGATTCTCCTGGTGTGCACTCTGTTCCAGAATCATGCTGTCAAAAAGAATATAAAGTTACATAAACAGGAAGTAAAATAAGGTTTTCAGGTCAACTGATTAAACGTAATGTTCTCATCAGGAAAACAATGGAAGCTTGTGGACTCTCCTTTAAAAAGGATCTTACAATTGTTTTACACCTTGAGTAGGAAAAGAATTTGCTCTTTTAGGGGTCACTGTCTTAGAAAAGGAGGAAAATCAGTGGAGGTCTAGCCATAACAATTTATAGCTTTGTAAGCAGGGACTAGAATTGAGGACAGACTGTCATAAAAGTCTATTAAAAATAAGCTCACATACTTTTAAAACTAGTAACAGTAAAATAAACTACTTTAAAACTACTAAATAGTCTCTAACACATATGTTAAATTACATGTTATGAATAGTTCAGAGAAGACAGAGGTGGGGAAAGACAAAAGAATCAAGAGACTGACATGGGGCTAAATACACACAGAACAGGAATCTAAGACAGCTAACTTAATAGCCAATATATAGGAAAGGTAAGTAAAAATGCTGACTAGGAACAGAAACACAATGATATATTTTTAAATGAAAAATGGTAAAAGCCTAGAGATAAAACCAAAATACTGCTTTGCCAAATAAACAGAGTTCTGTGTACACGTAACATATAAATGCACATAAGTGGTGTTCGGTTTTGATAAATTTTATTGAAGAGTCAGATACATACAGCATAGCTCCCTGAATTTTCTCAAAGTAATGCTTATGAGACCAAGCAACAGAACACTACTACCAGATCCCAGCAGCCCCTACCATCCTGGGGATATGCACTAAAACAACCCTCACAATGCCCCTCAAACAATTCAGAACACATCAGAAGGGGCAAAAAACACTGGACACTAGAGTAATTGTGCTATTTAATTAAAATCTTGTTTTAAATACCCAACAACCCCACTCTCAAGAAAGAAAAAGACTGCCCAAGGACGTTCTGTTTTTTCCTAGAGCCCAACTAAGTTACTTTCATTTTCTATTCCCTCTTCTGAGGCAACTGTTAAATTAAAAAATGTGTCCTCTACTATCACCTTTATTCTTCCTGATACCTCTTGCCTTTCTTCTGAATCTAGATGCAGCATTTAGCAACTCTATACTATTCACCAATATTATCTTGCTTTATGTTTTCAACCTATAAAATTCAACTCAGTTTCTGAAAAAGGTGTAGCACTAGAATTATTCTCAGCATTAGAGTTTTAGAAAGGAAAGAAAAAAATCCCAATTCTGTATAACTCTTGATGTCATCACAGAATATCTTGCCACTTTTCAATTCAGTAAATATTAATGAATGTCCAGTGCTATAAAAGGAGGCACTAAAATATAAAAATATAAAGATGAGAAAAGTATTATCCCTAGCCTTCAAGGCACTTACCTTCTATTTTTAAATGATAGCAAATCTTGACATAACTGCTTAGTCTGACTTGCTGCTGCATAAATCCATTACAGATATTGCTAGTCAATTATTATTTTACTAGGCCAGGAGATATTACAATAGATCACCATTAACAGGAATAGAAGGGGAAACAGGTTGTAAGCAAGCATGCCAGCTATTTGCCATCCTCAGATAACGAATAAAACAAGCACATGAATAAGCAAAACACAAAACAGAACATAAAGGCCATCTTGACTGGACTCGCACAAGTATTCAGAGTTCAAATCAAGAGAAGCGTTTCACTAAGAAACTATAATCTTTGTGACAAGAAAACAGAAAAATTTGTCTAACTATAAGAAAGAAAATTAAGAAAACAAAAATGCATAAATAAAAATTCAATCATAATCTACCATGCACTATAACTATTAAAATTTTGATCTATTTCCTATCTGACTTATATCTAGCTGTATCACATTTTAATTTAAAATTTGGACTATACCATGTGTACAGTTATAACTTTTTTTTTTGAGACAGAGTCTCACTCTGTCCCCCAGGCTGGAGTGTAGTGGCGTGATCCTGGCTCACTGCAACCTTGGACTCAAGTCATCCTCCCCGACCTTAGCTTCTCGAGTAGCTGGGACTACAGGTGCAGTCCAGCACACCCAGCTAATTGTTTTTGTGTGTATTTTTGGTAGAGACGGGGTTTCGCCATGTTGCCCAGGCTGGTCTCGAACTCCTGGGCTCAAGCAATCTGCCCACCTCGGCCTCCCAAAGTGCTGGGATTACAGGTGTGAGTCACCACAGCTACCCTCCATGTGTACAGTTATACACACCTTTCTTTCAGCTTAACAGTATAAAATGAGCACTGCAAAACTTGGTATTTAAATGACTGCAGAGCATTCCGTGGTATTTTCATACTGTAGGGCCATCTAGGCTGCTTAAAACTTTTTGGTATTATAAATAAAACTATGATGGTCATATTTTCTTAATTTTTATTAAGGGCCATATTCATTTACATCATATAACAACACGGATCAAGATTTCAACAGGCAGACATGGGAAGGAACTGACTTCCTAGCGGAGGAAAGTTTTAAAGGTCTGTGAATTAATTTGACAGATGAGGAGAGATAACACTAGAAATATACTTAAACCCCAAATTATCAAACACCCCAAACATTAAGATAAGGAAATTGTATCAGCAATATTAGAAAGTAGTAGAAGTGAGTTAGTAAGCAGAAGTGGCATTATTAGAACTGTATTTACATGAAGGTGAATCTGGTGAGAGTAGGTACATATTAGAATTTTCACCCTGAGAGACAGGAACTTTGTCTCATTTATGATTACAACTTCCTACAACAAAGTTTATAAAGCAGTTTATAATAGGTGCACAATAAATATTTCAGATAGGATAAATACATTTAAGAAATAATGTGAACCACTCAGAAAAAGTAACATTGACATTACTACAAACGTATAAGAGAGAAAGAGATTTCAGATAAAGATGTTAAGGGAGACAGGTTCAGGTGTTTATGATTCTGGCTGATCTTACTATTAAATTACTCAACAAATATTTATTAAGCATTGTATAATTTGGATGTCTGTCCCCCCAAATTTGATCCCAAAGTTGTTAGTGGGCCTAACAAGAGAGGTCTGGGTCATGGGGGCAGATCCCTCATCAATAGATTAATGCTCTTCCTGAAGGGTTGGAGGTGGGTGGGTGAGTGCATTCTCACTCTCTTAGTTTCTGCAAGAGCTGGCTGTTAAGAGCCTAGTACCTCCTCTCTCCTTGACCCCACGCTCCCACCACCTCCACTCCCACCATGTGATCTCTGCACATGCCAGCACCTGTTGCCCTCCATCATAAGTGGAAGCAGCCTGAGGCCCTTACCAGAAGCTGAGTAGATGCCAGCACCATGCTTTTTGTACAGCCTACAGAATCATGAGCCAAATAAACCTCTTTTCTTTATAAATTACCCACCCTCAGATATTCCCTTATAACAACACAAAACAGATGAAGACAACCATCTACTACGGATACAGATGGCAGAATTAACAACATGTGCAAAAGAATGGGGTACGATTGAGCGTGGTAGGCAAAGAGTGTGAACCAATTTCTCCATTAAACAATAATATAACATTAATTGAATAAAAACATCTCACTGGCAGCTAGGTAGGAAAGAGATTACACAAGAAGTGAAAAGAGAATGGTCTAGATTCCCTACTGCAGTGTGGTTCACAGATGAGCACCAGCAGCAGCAGCAGCAGCATTATGTGGGAGTATGTTAGAAATACAGAAACTCAGGCCCCATCAAAGACCTACTAAAAAAGAATCTGTGTTTTAAGATTCTCAGGTGATGTATATGCACATAAAAATGAGTGACCTGGGACTAAAGGCCAGACAAGTAGCTGGAGGAGTACTAAAATTCCCCTGGTAAGGCCTGGAACCAAGATGACTTGGGGAGAAGAGAGGACACTTATCTGCTCTTGAAAATGCAAATCAACTATGAACAATAATTCTCTGCTCATCTCTAAAATTCCAAGTACTCTTTTAAGAGAAGATCACAAAAGCAGTCAAGAGTTACAGAGATTAAGCACATTTTAAATACCTTATCCAAGAACATTAATAATAATCTATCAATTTCTGATTGGGATGTAGAAGAAGAAAGACTTGCAACTTAGTGAGATGGCACCTATTTTACAAACATGGGAAAAATTAGAGAAGTGCATTTGGGGATTTTAAGCTACAAGTAGACAACTTATTTTTAAAATCATAAAAATTTGCACTTTTGCAAGTGATAAGGTGAAAGTAAAATGAATTTACATACAGTTTTCAAGTGTACATTTTCAAAATGTTATCTTTAATAAGCTCTACCAAAATCACAAAGACAGAGTATCATTCAGTATTTCATATTTCTGTGTTGTACTGATCTTTAAGGTCACTTAAAAGATCAATATAATGGACTGGATATTAGATAATATCAAAGATCGCTGTTAATTTTGTTAGGTGTAATAACCACATTGTAGTTGTATTAGAAAATGTCTATTTTTTCAGGAATGTGTACTGAAATACGTAAGGATAGATAGAGTTCCTTTAAATACCTTAGCAAAGAAAAAGAAATACAGATAGAAGATATGTCAAAATCTTCACAATTATTGGCTCTGAATTAGGGGTTGACAAAGTAGCCAGCAGCCTGTTTTTATATGGCTTAACTAAGAATGGCTTTTCCATATTTAACAAATTGTAAAAGCAACAAAGACTGTACAACAGAAACCAAACACTGCCCCTGAAGCCTAAAATGTTTACTAGTAGGCCCTTTACAGAAAATGTTTGCTGATCCCTGTTCTGAATCATGGGCGTATAACGCTTTGTTGCACTATTTGTTCTACTTTTGTGTATGTTAGAATTTTTTCCTAATAAAAGATTTTAAAATATCAATCTCATTCCACGGTAGAGAAAATACTTTAAATTATCAATCTCATTCCACAGTAGAGAAAAGATTTTAAAATATCAATCTCATTCCCTAAAAATGCTTTAACAGAAACAAAACAAAAAAAGAATTTCTCACAATTTGCTGAACATTCAAAATGTACTTTTAAACAATGAATAATGATTCTCATTCAAAAGATATTTGAGTACATTATGTACTAGGCATTGTTCTAGGGCCAGGAGATATAGATATTTTGTCTGAATAAGCCAGATGAAATCCCTTGCCTTCACAGAATTCTAGCACTGTTATGCTTACTTTTCTTACTTTAACCACAAACATTCTATCTTCCTCCCTTTCAGTATGGTCAAATACATTACTGTGCTCTGACATAAAAACTAAACACTCGTAAGTACATTTGTTTTCACGGTGAATTTTAAATAAATCACTCAACATAAAAATTAGACTAATAAGTATTTTTTAAGCTAATAATTAGACAATACTTACTGGGGATCCAAAGTTATGTCCAACTTCGTGAGCAAAAGTAATGTGAGAGACTTTGGGAGGTACATGAGACCCATAGTTCTGAACAGTAATAATTCCAGTGTTTAAGGACTTCTTCTTACCATCTGAATAGAGTTTACTTTTTTCACATATTCCTCCAGAGCTTCCTAATCCAGAACAAAAAAATGGCTAAATTAGTATCTGTTTCCCCTTACCCCCAAAAAGGTAATACATGCTATATTAAATGAAAACATTTTATATTTTAATCTAAAATAGAACTGGTACTCAAACGTATCACATATGCAAAAGTTTCTTTGGTCCAAGACTAAGAAGTCACTTCATATAAAAGTTTTAATGACATTCAGAAAGAAACTCCCAGGACTGAGTACACAGCCTTTACAAAATGTTCTTCACAATCAAAATGTCCCCCAAATGTTATTCCCATTAATTTAGGAAAACAAATATTTACATTTCCTTTCAATTTGAATATATCAGTATTTACACTAAGTCAAAGTGTACATCCTTTCATCTTTTAAAAAGAAATCTTATGATTTAAGTTAAATGAAAGTTGAACAAAATATCCTCAAGAAGATTCTGAGAAAGTCACTTCTACAAGAAGCAGTGAGGCACATGAGCACATGATTCCCTGTCCTGAGATATGACATACAATGTATTTGTAAAAATAGAAAATAATCATGTCAAGAAGGTTAAAAAAAAAAAAAAAGAGGGGGTAGAGGAAAGAAGGAAAAAGAGAAGATGGGTGGGAAGGAAGGGAGAGATAGAAAGCAAATGCGACAAAAGGTTAATAATTGATTAATCCATCAAGAATTCACCACTGCTGAGCGCAGTGGCTCACGCCTGTAATCCCAGCACTTTGGGAGGCCGAGGCAGGCAGATCACTTGAGGTCAGGAGTTTGAGACCAGCCTGGCCAACATGGTGAAACCCCATCTCTACTAAAAATACAAAAATTAGCTGGGTGTGGTGGTGCACACCTGTAATCCCAGCTACTCGGGCAGGAGAATTGCCTGAACCCAGGAGGTGGAAGTTGCAATGAGTTGAGATTGTGCCACTGCACTCCAGCCTGGGCGACACAGTGACACTCTGTCTAAAAAAAAAAAAAAGAAGAAGAATTTCACCATACTATTCTTGCAACCTTTCCGCAGGTTTGAAATCTTCAAAAAAAAATTAAAAACTGAATTATGATTGTTCCAGTATGTCTTTAGGACACTATCAAATTTTAAAAGAAAAACCATATTTCCACTTAAATATTTTTATCATTTTGTACTTCATCTATTCATTAACAGGGACTTTAGAATTTAACAGCAAATGACAGTGCTTTCACAGCTAAAATCAATTAAGAGAAATCAGAAAAATAATAATAGGAAAATCAGAAACCATCTGGTCAATTCATGCCTTTATATAGACATTACACTGGTAAGATCATATTTTCTTTTAATTAACTTTATTATAAGATTTTCAGTGAGAAGTTATTTAGTTTATATTTATACTTAAAGTTTTCCCTATTTGATTTTTAAAAGAAATACAATCAAATGGATAAGCGTATTACGATAACTGCTCTAATTAGCTTTCTATAGACAAGTTACAACAAAGTTACTAAACCATTTAAAAAAAGTCTAATATTGCTTCTCCTCCCCTTCCCATTCTCCCCACTTCAAAAACAAGTCTAGTATTTAGAATCCCTAATAAAGCATGTAACAGAAGGCAATTCAAAATAGGTCTGCAAGAACAGCATTATACTACGACTGTTGCCTTGCTCCCATTAAATATAATAAATATATGGCAACAAAATACAAATTTGAATTACTGTTAAAATTCAGAAAGCTGAAAAGAAAAATGTGTTTCAAAGAAACACAAGGTCAGGAGATTGAGAACATCTCGGTGAAACCCCATCTCTGCTAAAAATACAAAAAATTAGCAGGGCATGGTGGCAGGTGCCTGTAGCCCCAGCTACTCGGGAGGCTGAGGCAGGAGAATGGCGTGAACCCAGGAAGTGGAGCTTGCAGTGAGCAGAGATCATGCCACTGCACTCCAGCCTGGGTGACAGAGCAAGACTCTGTCTCAAAAAAAAAAAAAAAAAAAGAAAGAAAGAAAGAAAATACAAATAACATGCCCCACCATTTTCAATCCAGAACTCTGCCCACCTCAGGTGATGTATATGCACATTAAAATGAGTGACCTGAGACTATAGGCCGGACAAATAGCTGGAGTCACATGCAAATTTAACCCAGCAAGGGGTTGAGAACTTTTATGATATTCAAAATTTAATACCTTTTCTACACTGACAACTGAGTAGAGAGAAAATACCAAATAATTTGTGAGAATTTAATATATTTTCTTCAAGCTAGTTCTACTTTTGGAGCTCAGTCCTGAGAAGCACATCATTATTTCTGGAAACCAGAAAATATATAAATAAGTATTCTGTATATAATAATTATTGTACACACAGCATAGTTTTAAACAAATAGTAAATTAATATCCTGCCTTAGTGAAGATTTGTCATGTGCAAATTGGTCCAATGCAGTACTGTCAAACTTGAATTAAGCATAGAAGACTCCACACTTCAAATCTTTATCAGTTAAAAAAAAAAAAAGTAAATAGGCATATTTTTAAATCTCTGATAATATACATTTTTCTGCACTTTTAGGGTCTGGCTAATTTAAGAGAAGAGTATACATAAATTAGAATATACTATTCTGAAATATAGTAATTTATATATTGCCTAACTTCTTAAACAACTGCTTTTGGTCTTTATGATTATCGCTTATATGAAAGTTTAAAATGGCCGGGCGCAGTGGCTCACGTCTGTAATCCCAACACTTTGGGTGGCGGCGGCAGGCGGATCACCTGAGATCAGGAGTTGGAGACCAGCATAACCAACATGTTGAAACCTCATCTTTACTAAAATTACAAAAATTAGCCAGGCGAGGTGGTGCATGCATGTAATCCCAGCTACTCAGGAGGCTGAGGCAGGGGAATCATTTGAACCCAGGAGGCGGGGGTTGCCATGAGCAGAGATCATGCCACTGCACTCCAGCCTGAGCAACAGAGCGAGACTTCGTTTCAAAAAAAAAAAAAAAGGAAGTTTAATATTTGTTGCAGGCTAATAGCATATGTTGGAGTAACTTGATTATACAGGAAGAAATAAAATACTATTTGTAACTCTGAAAGTTATGGTTTAATTTTTTTAAATACTGCAACTAGTTTTGATATGCCAGAAAACTCAGTAATGAGGTATCATATATACCCACAGCTAAACCATTAACTCAAACTCAATTGCTATATATTTTAAATTTAAGATTTTACTATACATATATTTATCACTGACAAATACATAAGTTGTGAATAACAATGAGAAGGGTGAAACGTTTTCAATTCGGGTCAAAAGTAATTATTGATGAAGGATTCAATAAGCAACAAAGAAGTATAATGACAATTTTCTATCTACAGGATAGTTTGAGAGCTAAAGTTAGAGTATCTGTCCTAAACTTCAAAACAGACCCACTCCACCCCACCCCCCAAAAAAAAGTCTTAGAAAAAAATACAAGAGTAATATGATACCTTGACATATTCCATAAATACAGTTTTGATGTGAGGAGGCCAAAAATTAATAGTAGCATGCTGATCATACAATATTAATGTAAGCAATAATTCTGGACCAGACCATAGTAATACTCCCACAAGTGATACCAGGAAATGTGAGAGCACAGGCATTTGGCTTTCAAGTCTGGAGAGCACTACTCACATGCAATGGGTAGGGATCAAAGATGTTAAATATCCAAGGGATCCAGACAAGCATTAAATGCCAATAGCAAGTGTCCTATTGCAATATTTCAATGATGTAATTTTCCCAGCATTTGAAGTTATACTTTTAAACTATGGGTTAAGAATTCAATAAGCTGTGGGTTATCCCGAGAACCCTGTGTTAAGTTCTGTACGCTCTCAAATTTTAATATGTAATATCAAACTAAAACATCTAATCTAAAGAAAACAGAAGAGACTATTTCTACCAAATGAAATGCCTCAAAAGATGTTCTTCACAAATAGAGGAGTACTGAAGGTTTCAGGACTAACTGTAGAGATGAATTCCAAAGCCAGCCTCATTCAACGACCAAGCCGAACTGAGACTATGTTCATTCAGTTAACTGATAAGACCTATAGGTAGAAACATGAAGACTCAAAAGAAGGGCAAAGACAGAACTACAATGAAAAAACAGCCAGAAGCAAAATGATTTTCCTGAATTTACAGACAGAAAACACACAAGAATCCTGTCTCCCAGCTCTCAGTCCATTGCTCTTCCCATTATGCCATGACAATTACCCAAAATTATATCAAAATATTATAGCTTAGTATGATTTTATAACTCTTCTCTCTCAAGAAAGAAGAAAACAGATTCCACCAATGTATAACCTCTACTAAGAAGCAGAAAACATTTCAGCTTCTTATTTGAAACATCAAAGAAAAGGCTAAGATGTTACTGTGTGTGTGTGTGTAGATTGTATTTATATATATATAAAATACCTAGTAATATAATTACCAAATGAACTGAATCTGGAGTCAAAAGGTCCAGATTCCAGATCCTGTTCCACCTCTAGCTGTGTGGTATTAGGTTGGTCACAAAGTTTCTGAACACAAGTTTCCTCATCTGTAGAAGGGAGACAATAATACCTACACCTCATAAGGGTATTGAAATAATCAAGAATAAATATATAACATTCCTTGTTTTAAAAAAAAAAATGTCAAATATGAAACTCAGTTCAGCTAGTAGTAAGTGCAAAGACAAGTGAAGAAGCTGGCAGTGTTATTTCAAGGCAGGTAACCTACACTCGAAAAAGTTGGACCAAAGGAACAAAGATCCCTTTTCTTTCCCACTATGGCCTCTATTCTTCTGTGCCTGCCTAGCCCCTCCCCAGCAGCTCTTAGAAGATGGCTTCCAAGAGCTGAAGTTGGGGGTTTAACATAGAGTAATGGAAGCGGACATCTAATGTCTGAAAGAAAGAGAGATAATAATATAAAAGGAAAAAAAGCAGAGGGGGGGAAAATGGGGATACAAAGTTGACAACGGGAGTCTTCGTTTTCTATTCTGGTTGCCAATCACCATATTTTTGCTCATGAAGTACACAGGAAGTATCTTGTTTCACCTTTAAGAAGACCCTAATAATGAAAATAGAGGCGGGCGGATCACGAGGTCAGGAGATTGAGACCATCCTGGCTAACACGGTGAAACCCCATCTCCACTAAAAATATAAAAAATTAGCCACGCATGGTGGCGGGCGCCTGTAGACCCAGCTACTCGGGAGGCTGAGGCAGGAGAATGGCGTGAACCCGGGAGGTGGAGGTTGCAGTGAGCGGAGATCGCGCCACTGCACTCCAGCCTGGGTGACAGAGCAACACTCTGTCTCAAAAAAAAAAAAAAAAAAAAAGAAAATACAAGTAACATGCCCCACCATTTTCAATCCAGAACTCTCCCCACCTCAGGAAAATGAGCAGCATCACAAATGGTGATCCAAATATCACAAACAATGAGACATAAACACTGAGTGTCCCAAAAACCCATAACTACAGTTTAATCATAAGGAAAACATCAGACAGATTCCAAATAGGGGAGCATTCTAAAATATACCTCATCAGTACTCCTCAAAACTGTCAGGGGAGGGAGGAAGGAGATTTGAGAATACCTAATCTGTTCAATTTTTTGTAAATCTAAAACTGCTCTAAAAAATAAAGCTTACTTTTTACAACAAAATGAGTAGCTGAATCTAAAGACATGAGAATATCTGAAGATTTAGGAAGAATTTTACCAAATTCCTACAGAATCATTACATCCTTAAGTACAATAGTCTGTAACTGAAAATGCAAAATGGCAGAAAGTTTTTAGTTTAAGATCACATACTCACTTACCCAGGAGGCATTTTGTGAGCAAGCTTTAGAGACAAAAATATTAATGTGGTGCTTCTCAAACTTCACTGTGCATCAGAATCACTTTGAGAACTTGTTCAAACTAAGACTGTTGGGCTCCACATCTATAGTTTCTGATTCAAGAGACCGGGGTAGTGCCTATGAACTTATATTTCTAACAAGTTCCTAGGTGATGCTGATGGTGCTAGTCCATGGATCACACTTGGAGAACCACTTGTTTGAGACTTCACAGCTACTGTATTAATGGATAATATACAAATAAAATCATATGAGACCCTGAGTTTTTAGTAGTACTTACTAATGAATAGGGAGAAGAAATCACAGACTTTGTGATAAAATCATCCAACCATTGAAGGGGCAAAGAGGTTTCAGAGTATGAAAGTTTCGAACATGAAAAATCATAGGAAAGAGTGAGCTGTACAATCTGCTGACTAATCCAAGTAACAAAAAAGTACAGATTATCATAAAAGACAAATATCCAAAAGTACTGCACTATTAATATGCAGCCCATGACATAAACTTATACTTTAAAATGACATCATGAAATTGAGTACATTTTAAAACATAGAAGAAAAACAAAAGAAGCTATGGAAATTGTAAAAGTATTGACTTAAGATACTGACTTTTAAAAAAGGAGAAAGAAATACAAAGGAAAATACAGCACTACTTAAGATCTTAAAATATACAAAACAAATCAAAGAATAAACTAATAAGAATAGGAATACAAAAGCTTCTCTTACTCTGGATAAAGCAGAAGTTTTTTTTAAAAAAAAAAACATAGAAATGAAGTATCAGAAGGAGAATCTGTTGTATATAGCTCAGAAGATAATATACTATTGATTAAACTCTACTTGGCACAATTTATATTCAAAGAGCCTGGGGTCCTTTCCACTCATCTTTCAATTAATAAATTTGGATTTCTAAACTAGGCAACTGAACTTATACAGTAAATCACAGCTCCTCCACAACACTCCACCCCCACTGTAATGGGAAGGGTATTGTCCCATCCCAACATTATCAATGACAATAGCTTTCATGGCTAAGGCAGAGACTCGGCAGAGTATGAACCCAGGTGATGATGTCAATGGAGTTGTGGGTACCAGGGGCTTCCTGCCTACATCTCTTTCATGCAGTGCTTCCCTTTTATTAAAATAAAGGCTAGAAATAAAATAATAAAGGCAGGCTTTCTTTTCCTTTTACCTGCCACTCTTGATGAGGATTTCTCTCCTCTTTATCTCACTACAGAAGAGAGAGCAAGACACAGTTTTCCTCTTTTGATTCTAAGTACCCTATTTTGGAGGGGAAAAAAGTTAATAAATATATAACATTTATTAACTTTTGTGGAAAAATTAAATTTCCCTTTGGGTTTCAGAATTACCACTTTTTCTCATAAAATTATTTATTTCATTTGGTCCATTCAAATGTCAGGAATCAGGATATTTCCCTGTATGCGTTTCAAAATAAAAAGCTCCTTCATCTATTGTGGCTTTTACATTATGCTTATGAGTCTTGCCTAACTCAAGTAGCATAAATTAGGATATTATACAGGCATCACTTTCTCCTATACTTTGAAAATTCAACATTCTCTGAAAACTCCCCTTTGTTTCAAGTAGTAAGTTAAGACATATTTAATATGATAAACTACCTGAAGGTGCTCCAACCCAAGCCAGACCAAGTACGCCATCATCAAAATCTCGGTCTGTGAAGACATAGGCCAAACAGTAGTCATCATGATTCTGCTCAGAATTCAATTCCAGAAACTTCTCCACACCAATATTTGGGAAACGGAAAGGATTTGTAGGGTCCTTCTCATCAGCAGTTGTATTGATCTAAAATCCAAAACAATAATTTAGTAAGTAATTAATGTTAGCAGAGCTTTAGTGTGAATGTCTGCTCACCTTCTTCTGCGTACACCTGGACAATATGCTCCCATGGAAATCAGGCCTGAATTAAGGCTTCTAAGGTTGTTCCCACTGCCCACATCCCTGAGCTGATCACAGAAGGCAAAACAATAACAACAAATAAAAAAGAAAGGCTAGGTAGGGAAATTAAAATTGAAGATGTTAAATTTCTGAGCAAGTATTCACCAGATTCCTGAACACTGAACACTTGGGAAGAAAAAACAAGTTTTGCTTTCAAAACCTTTAGTAAAGGAAGTATAGTTTTTCAAATTTAATTCTCTGAACAAGTCTCCTTTAGTCCTAATCTCCTACATATGGTGACACTTACAAGGATATAAAACCCTGTATTTTAACTAATTACTAGAATATAAAATAGGTATCAAACCCAAGACTGTCAGTTCAGCAGACAAATCATTTTCCTGGTTTTCCTTGCCTAGAGAGTCACATGAGCCAAGCCAAACTAACTGCAAATTTATTTTTTTTTCCTGAATGTGGGCAAGAATTTTGCTAATTTAAACTCACTTCTTTTACTCTTTGAAGCTGAGTTCTTCCAGAATGTTTCTTTTGATACTTAGCTACTATACTCCTACCACAGGTTCCTCCTTCAGAATCTGAATAATCTGTTCTAATACCAGACTTCTATTAAACAAAAGCTTTTATTTATTAGCCCCTGCATCCTTTCAGAGACCTGTGTGTCTCCTCTGAAGTCCTAGAACGATTTGGCTTTCCCCAGGTAAGCCAAGGAATTACAATATGAAAGTAAATGTTTTTACCGAAAGGCAAACCTCAGTCTGTTTGAAAATGTTGGCAGTAAGAGGATGACATAATGGTTGATACAACAAGAGCTACAGGTCTCTTTATGACCTGTACTCTCCAGTAAAACCAAGAGGCTCAGAAGCAGGGAGGCAAAAACACCATTGAGGGCAACTGCTTAAGAACAGATTTCAGAACATCTGGTTTATCTATTAACAATTAACGAAAAACAATCAGTTACGGCCATTTAACACTAAAACAATTCAAAAGCAAGCACACTGTATGTTACAGATAGTCCATGCTTGAAGACATGCTGTAGATGGCTTTCTCCCACTAAATATAAAAATGAAATTTCCTAGTAATTCTCTAATACTGGCTATAAATAAAAATTGCATGTAAGGCCCGTCACAGTGGCTCACGCCTGTAATCCCAGCACTTTGGGAGGCCGAGGCGGGTGATCACCTGAGGTCAGGAGTTCAAGACCAGCCTGGCCAACATGGTGAAACCCTGTATCTACAAAAATACAAAAATTAGCCGGGCATGACAGTGGACGCCTGTAATCCCAGCTACTCGGGAGGCTGAGGTGGGAGAATCGCTTGAAACTGGAAGGCAGAGGCTGCAGTGAGCCGAGATTGCGCCACTGAACTCCAGCCTGGGCGACAGAGTGAGACTCCTTCTCAAAAAAAAAAAACAAATTGCATTTAAATTTTAATTACCTATATTTAAATGGATTATTAATATAGCTGACAGAAATTTTAAATTAATAGGTTATGAACAATCTTCAACAGATAAAACTTTACTAAAGTTTTAATAAGAGGTAAGGTCTAAAAACAACCAACTACCACATCATTTACTTATATACATGCATTTCTTCATAATACATATCATTTTCCTCAAAGGTGCGTCACTAAAATGTGTTCAGGTGCTCTCTACTTTTCATTACTTGCATTTTATTGCTCTGCCTACTAAACAGCAACACTTATACCTCTTATCACTGTTACTTGCTCATTTAAGGATTTATATTGTTCACAGAATACATGAAAGCAATTAATTATGAACAATTCTTATACTGTAAATCAATAAATCATATTTCACCTTAAGAAAATCCAATTTAAGATTTAATCACACTGCTTCTAAATTTAAGGACTACCTACAGCTATGTGGCTGAATGTATATACTAAACTTCTCTAGTATAGACATTTTATCCAACCACATTTGAAGAAAAATAGGAAAGCATAAATATTAAGGAACCCTGTGGCAAATACTTTTGTGAAAGGATGATTTTTTTTTAAGTTCGGTTGTTTATTTAGCATATAAATACTGTTTCTTTAAAAGCTATACATATATATTTAGAATATTCAGAAATCTTTTGAAAAAATAGCCTAAATTTGTCAGTAATTTAATATTTATTTATTTACCTGTAATTTATAACATTAGAACTCATACTACGTGACCCTATGGCTCCGGATCAGCTTTTCTCAAAATGCCTAAAGTATTTTGGAATCTGTTGATGTTAATATATTTTTTCTAAAAAAAAAGTTTCATGGTCAAAAATTTAGAAAAATATGGGTTTCTTTCCTGAAAGACTTCTCAAAACTTGATATATGTTACTGTGAGTTGTGAATTTTCAAGAAGATTATAGTACTAAGGGTTTTTCCAACTTCCAATTTTATTTAAACACTGTATTTATCCTTTTTCTCCCCTGGAACACCAAATGGAACATACAGTGAAAAACACTGCACAAAGCAAATTTTAGGAAACTGAGGGATAATTGGGGAAAAGTCAAGCACTATAGCCATAGTTATTGAAGGGTCAGAGCTTTCTTAATAATATGTTAATCAGACAGACTGAATACACACTTTACCTCTACTGTAGACTGGATTAAGACCTTATACATTTAATTCTTAAATCATAAACCCAAGTATCTGTGTGTGTGTGGGTGTGTAAATGCCAGGAGTAAAAAACTGCATCAACAGATACAATTAAACTAAACTACTTAATTCATAAAGATAAAATTAAAAGCAAGCTTTTGTGTGTGTGTGTAAACATAGTCTGGACTGTTTCACTTTTTAAGTGTTTTTAACTATTTAAGTTCCTTACTCTTATGCGTTTCACCATGAAACTGATGTTACGGATTCCGGAGAAGTCTGTGGTCTGGTAAATTGTATCAATCGCTTTAACATGACTGGATATCTATGATTTAAAAAAAAGAACATTTTAGAGGCAATGTTGAAATATGAAAAAGATTATAAATTTCCATTTCCAAAATCAGTAATTATTCATGTCCTGCCACATTCAAATTTTAAAATGTCAACATTATATACTGGACATAAATATAAAAAAGATTAGTGAGCTGCGCTGGGAAGGGAGATTCTACTTTCTTTTCCAGACTCCTCTGGCCAACAATAAACATGCATACTTCTTTGCGGTTTTTTTTTTTCTTTTTTTGTTTTTTTTTTTGGAGACAAGAGTCTTGCTCTGTTGCCCACGCTGGAGTGCAGTGTTGCAATCTCGGCTCACTGCAACCTCTGCCTCCCAGATTCAAGTGATTCTCCTGCCTCAGCCTCCCAAACAACTGGGATTACAGGCGCCTACCACCATGCCCAGCTAATTTTTGTATTTTTAGTAAAGACAGGTTTCACTATCTTGGCCAGGCTCGTCTCGAACTCCTGACCTCAAGTGACCCACCCACCTGGGCCTCCCAAAGTGCTGGCATTACAGGCATGAGCCACCACAACTGGCCTAAACATATACTCTTGTTTCAGTCACATAAAAATTTTGTTTCCTCAATCCAATCCTACAACGTCACACGTCCATTCCTTTTCACATATTTCCTATGCGTAGAGTATCCTTCTCTATTTATCCTTCAGACTCAGCTCAAACATTTTTATAAGAACTTCCCTGATGGCTCAGGACACACAGTCATTCCCTGACTTTAATCCTTCTATTGCTGCACATTCTGTAAACTTTGTTGACCCCTTTCTATATTCTTGGCACTGTTTTAGGCACTGGGGATATAGTGGTGAACAAAATACAGAAGGTCCCTATAAATTTACAGAGGCTTACTTTAGTAGCGGAAGAAAGGAGGGAGATAATACAAATATAATAAACATACATTCAGATTTTGCTAAATTCTACAAGGAGATAAACGATGATAAACCCAAAAGTATCCGTTTACCTAGCTGACCCCCAACTAAACTTTCTGACTTCTAAACCACTCTGTAAACAACCTTCCCAACTTCATTTACAAAAAGTACTCTTGCTACCATTTATGTGAAAACATGTATGTATAGTCTCAAAGTTATTTTCAAAGAAATTGTAAAAACATAAACATAAAACATAAAACAAGATGGTCAAGTAAAAGCATTAACAATAATCATTTCAAAGGTAGCCCACGCTGCCAAACACTGCTAATGAAATTCCTAACTGCTCATAGGGCTCATTATAAAATTCACGCTATTTTGTCTTGAAATTTATTTGTTCCTTGGTAAATCCTACAAAATCTCCTACCTTATTACTATTATGTTTTCCTCACTAGCTTCTCTTCCTCAACCTATTCACCATATACAGATAGCTCCAATTTCTTCTCCTTTGGTTTCATTCTTTCCACATTCAATCTCTCAAGGCTACCCTTCCCTCAAGCTCTAGTTTCACATTTTCAAAATCCTAAGGGAAGAACTACCTAGCTTTTATACATGTTTAAAAGGAAGTTCATCCTCACCACCAAAATGATTCATTTATACTAGTCGTACCTCCATCTTCTCCATTTCAAATCCTTTGAGTCAAAAGTTCATTCATCAAATTCTCACTGGGTACCTTCCACACGAAGGACATTTTGAAGGGCACCCTCAAAATATTTATACTTTAATGAGGGTTGAGAAGACACAAGTACAAATAATAATGTAACTTAGAAAGTGCTACATACAATAAAAATACAGAAAAAAAATTAAATACTTCCAGTTGGAAGGATTCCTCCAACTTTCCCTCCTTTAAGACCACAAATGAAAATTCAACTCTCTTTCCAAAGCTAAACTTCAGTGTCATCATCTCCTTCAGGAAATCATTGTCTTACCCCTCTCTTTTGACACTAAAATATCCCAACTGGTCTTTCAGTTATCCATGTACTTATCTTACACATTTTATCACATCACAACTGAAAACACATACTTTTTCCCAAAAAGAGAATACACTAACTTAAATTTTTAAAGGAAAGAATAGGCATTATAAAACAATATGGGAACTACTAAAATAGCGCATAATCATAAATACCTGGGCAATCACAGCTTCTCGTGTTCCGTAATATTTAAAGAACAAATGATCAGTCTGAATATAAAGCTGACAAGTATTTTTTTCAGCTGAAGTTGTACGTTTTTTCCTCAGAAGTTCTGGACCATTAGCAGCATGTTCTTCTTGAGGTATCTATACATCAAAAAGTCATTTCTGACAATTAGTATGCTTCAATACTATCATTTTATCTAATTAAGAATACATACTATAAACAATTTCATATTCTGCTTTATATAACACCATAGGTATTTCTGCTGCCATTAAAAGTTCATAAAATCACTTTGTCTCATAATCTTCTCCATATAGATTATTTACTATCTATTCAAGGAACTCCTTCACTTTTAAACATTTTCAAAACATGTATTTTAATATGTATTCATTTAAATCTAAAGCAAGTTGTATAATAGCTTATACTACTTTGATATCTTCTCTACCTCACATCTAATACCCATCTACCATCCAGTTCTGTCAAATTTATCTCCTAAATACCTAAGGTATCTACCCATTATCTCTGGCTCCACCACTCTAGCCCAAGCTACCATTACTTGTTACCTAGAGTACTGCAGTAAGATCAGTTTAATCAACCAATAGCCACTAATGGCCTTACATCTCTTCTCCATATTGCAATGTTTTCAAAACGCAAATTTGAATATGTCATCCACCTCAATAATGTATTTCAATGACTTCCTATTGCTCTAAAAGATTAAGCCCAATATTCTTTATATGCTCCCCTAAATATCAACATTACACAGCCTCTACTTAACTATCCAGCTTTTCTCATTCCACATTACTTCACAAAGAGACCCTACATTAGCCAACTCTAGCTGTCTGTGGTACAGCTATATAAGCTTTCTTTCCAATCCTCCACACACAGTCTATCTCCTGCCAGTCTTTGCACATGCTGACACTACCTCTTCTGATCTTGTTAATGGCTTCCTTCTTTCCTTAGACTTCGAGAAGGTCAATTCATCCATTATACCACTCCATAGAATCATACACCAATGTCTCTTACATAGTGCAACCTTACATTTATTTGTGGGATTATTTAATTTCTGTCCACATCCCACTTCACCCACTAGAATGTAAGTTCTGGAAAGAAGAAATTATCTCTGTTTGATCCTCACTGTAATGCTATCACCTAACACAGGCTTGGCAGCAAAGAGTAGACACTAAGTATTTTTTTTTTTTTTTTTTTTTTTTTTTTTTGAGACAGAGTCTCACTCTGTTGCCCAGGATGGAGTGCAGTGGCACGATCTTGGCTCCCAGCAAGCTCCGCCTCCCGGGTTCACGCCATTCTCCTGCCTCAGCCTCCGGCATAGCTGGGACTACCGGCGCCTGCCACCACACCTGGCTAATTTTGTTTCTGAATTTTTAGTAGAGACAGGTTTTCACCATGTTAGCCAAGATGGTCTCGATCTCCTGACCTCGTGATCCGCCCGCCTCGGCCTCCCAAAGTGCTAGGATTACAGAGCCACCACCCCCGCCAAGTATTTCTTTTGAGAGTCTCACTCTGTTACCCAGGCTGGAGTGCAGTGGCATGATCACAGCTCAATGCAGCCTTAAACTCCTGGGCTCAAACAATCCTCCCGCCTAAGCTTCCCAAGTAGCTGGGGGACTACAAGCATGTATCACCATGCCTGGCTAATTTTTTAATTTTTTTGTAGAGACGGAGGTCTTCCTATGTTGCCCAGGCTGGTCATGAGCTCCTGGTCTCAAGTAATCCTCCTGTCTCAGCTTCCCGAAGTACTGGGATTACAGGCAGGAGCCACTGTGCCTGGCCTCAATTAAGTATTTCTTCAAAGAATTACCACTGCTATTGAATCCAGTCAAACATTTGTGAACACCTAAAAGGATCATCTTAAGTATTTTTGATGGCACAGTAATATAGAACCCAAATTGAATTTTAAGTCACAATTTCTTCTTCCTTGACATTTCCTTCTCCCTTAATAATTCCATGTGAACATACACAAAATGAAAAATTTGTATTATATGCCAAACACACAAAAAAGGGTAACTATGTGAAATGATGGAAATGTTTATTTGCTTCACTATAGTAACCATTTTGACTATCTATATGTGTCCCATAACATCATGTAATATACCTGATATATACACAATAAAACTTATTTTTAAAACAATTTGTATTATAGATGGGTACCAACACTACTGAAACAGTGTAACATTTGGGGGAACTGTCCCCAAAGCCTACCTTGAATACTGTTCCACTCAGGATTTTGATTTAGATGGTCTCCAGGTCTCAGTTTACACAGTTTGTAAATGACTCAAACATTGAGAAGTATTTCAAATCCATGTTATTTGTGAAATGCAGTTTATATTTACAATCATGTTATTCCACACAAAAAGGAATTTATCTTAGCTAATGGTGAAGTTTTATGTGTGAAAGATTTTCTACTCCAGACCAAAGGAAAAAAAACTGGATGCTTTAATGTGAAAATTCTATTTAAAGAAAGGTTTTAAATAAGAAAACAGTCTGAAATATGAAAAAGTGTTCCAAGCAGAAAAAAATAACATAAAGGTGTTCAAGTTTATTATATCAAGTAGTTCAGCTCTCCCATATCTTCACTGGGTTTTATTTTTTGTACAACTGTTCTCTTATTTATCATATGATTTTTCTATTATTCCTTCCGGTTTTGTCAACTTTTGCCTTACATATTCTGAAGTTATAATATTACGGACATACAAATTAAAGGCTGCTATAACATAATGGAGAACTAAACTTTTTATCATTATGACATATCTATTTTAGTAATGCTTTTTTTTTGCCTTAAAATCTACTTTGGCTGATAATAGACATATTTTTGTTAGAGTCATCAAAGTTTACATCTTGTGCTGTTTTACTTTCCATCTTTTCTGCATCCTTATATTTTAGGAGCAGTTTTTGTAAAACAGTTTGTGGGGTTTTGTTGCTGTTAAATCCAATCTGATAATATTTATCTTTTAATCGGTGCATTTAATCCATTTACCTTTAATATAATTACAGATATTTTGGGGTTTAAATCTCCAATTTTATTATCTTCTATTTGTCCTGCCTGTTCAATAGTCTTCTTTAACTTCTTTCTTGCCTTGTTTTGGATTTTGAATTTTTATTCTATCCCTTCCCCCATTAGCTTGTTAGTTATATATTTTACTAATACTTGACTTACCAAAATCAAATATAAATTATAACATTTACTTGTTCCTAGAAAAGAACCTCAGAACACTTAAATTACATTTTTCTCACTCCAATTTTAACTCCCTCTATATCCACATACACAACATACAAATATATACCACCCTACAAGTCTTTACTATTAGTGCTTTGTAGTATACAGTCAATACTCAAAATTATCTAATGTGTTCTTTATTCAATACTTCATCTACAAGTTAGCATTTGAGCCCGCAATCTTTTCAACAGGAAAAAAACTACTTTTAGCGTGTCAGATGGTTATATATTCCATTTGAAATGTGTTAATTTTACTTTGATCTATTCTTCTGAGTAGAGCATCCTAGAGGATGGCAGTTTCTCTGTTTCAGCATATCCTACTGTCTTCTGTCTTTTTAACTGCTTCCAATGAGAAATGAGCTGCCATGTTTACTGTTGCTTAAGAGTGATTAAACTTTTTCTCACCGGCTGCTTTTAAGATTATATCTTTGGCTTTCGGACTTCTCAAATAATGTGCTATGGTATTGTTTTCAGTGTAAAGCATTTATCCTGCCCTAATTACAGGGCTTAATGAATGTGTTGTTTGATATCTCTCTGTTACATTGGAAAAATTCTCAGCCATTACCTGTCCTTGACTCTCCATTTTCCTCCTTCTAGGACATCAATTACATAATACATATATCAGACCTTCTGAAGGTATCATCTATTTCTCTTATGCTCTTTTCTGTATTTTCCATCCTTTTCTTAGCAGTTTGCTCTATTTTCTTATACTATCCAAATCTAAATCCATCAAATTCCTAATTTTTGTTGTTAACATTTGTCAATTCTAAATTTCCCATCAAGTTCTTTTGTTAATTTTCAATTTTCTGCTAAAATTTTAAATTTAGTCTTTATGACTTGAATATATTAAAGTCTGTGTCAGATAATTTTCTTATCCAGGTACCATTTCCTTTGTCAGTTGACTCTCTTGTTCTTCCATCATGTTGTTTTGTTTGTTCATATACTGGTTACATTGAACTGAGTGCCAGGCTATGTATATGGATAACCACAGATTTGATGTGAAGTTGTGATTGACACCTTTCTCAAAAGATTTACTTTCACTTCTGGTAAGCAGAGTTAGGCTTGGTGCACTAGTAATCCTGGATCACCTTAATCCAGTTAGGGACTGAGATGTGGTGTGAAACTTTAATCCCTGTGAAGAGAGACTGAACATTTTATAATTTATACCCTTATTCTTAGGGAGTAGTCCTTCAAGGTCCCAACCAAAAGCTCTTCTGGGCAGATCCTAAACAATATTTTCATCCTCAGCCTCATGTGTCTGCACAGTTCTACTCTCCCTCTCAGTCTCTCAGCCACCTCCTCAGAAACTCAAAGACACACCTGGAGAAAAGGTAGAACCAAATACCAGTATCACCATTCTAGCTGTATACTTTTTTCTGAAATCTTGGCCGCGTACTACTTCACAGTCATGTTATCTTTCCAATGCCTTCAAATAAATACACACAAATATACAAAACACGTATATGGAAATATACATACACATATATTTTTAAAATATTTTTATTTTCAGGCCAGGTTGCTATATATTAGTTGTACTAATCAGTTGTTCTCTACTTCTTAAAAACAATTCTTTATTAATTTTATACATTGTGAAAGCATAAAATTTTATACAAAGTTTATAACTTGTCTTCACTTTAAGGTGTCTTTTATTTTTAATATTCATATAGTGAAATATATTCATCTTTTTTATACTGAAAAGTCTTACATATTCAAACCATTTCTCCAGATCAAAATCCAAAATATTTTATAATATCTTTTGTGAAGTGTCTTTTCAAATGTTTTGCCCATTATCTATTAAATTTTTTTATTTTTTGTTTTTAAATTTTGTGAATACATAGGTATATATATTTATGGGGTACATAAGATATATAATACTTTGATAGGAATGCAATGTGTAAATCACATCATGTTAAATGGGGCATCCATCCCCTCAAGCATTTATCCTTTTTGTTACAAAAAATACAATTACACTCTTTTAGTTATTTTAAAATGTACAATTTAATTATTATTGACTATAGTTGCCCTGCTGTGCTTTCAAATACTAGGTCTTATTCATTCTTTCTAACATGTTTTTGTGCCCGTTAACCATCCCCACTTCCCCCACCACTGCTCTAATACTCATTGCACCCTCTGGTAACCATCCTTCTACTCTCTATCTCCATGAGTTAAATTGTTTTAATTTTTAGCTCCTACAAATAAGTGAGAATATGTGAAGTTTGTCTTTCTGTGCCTAGCTTATTGCACTTAACATAATGACCTCCAGTTCCATCCATGTTGTCGCAAATTACAGAATCTAATTCTGTTTTATGGCTAAATAGTATTCCATTGTGAATATGTACCACATTTTCTTTATCCATTCATCTATTAACAGACACTTAGGCTGCTTCCAAATCTTGGCTATTGTGAACAGTGCAGCAACAAACATGGGAGTGCAGCTATCTCTATGATGTATCTCTTCGGGTAGATGTGCAGCAGTGGGACTGCTGGATTATGGTAGTTCTATTTGTAGTTTTTTGAGGAACCTCCGAACTATTCTCCATAGCAATTGTACTAATTTGCATTCCCACCAACAGTGTGTGGCGGTTTCCTTTTCCCCACATCCTCACCAGCGTTTGTTATTGCCTGTCTTTTGGATAAAAGCCATTTTTACTGAGGTGAGACGGTATCTCACTGTAATTTTTATTTGCATTTCTCCAAGGATCAATGATGTTGAGCACCTTTTCATATGCCTGTTTGCCATTTGTATGTCTTCTTTTAGGAAATGTCTATTCAGATCTTTTGCCCATTTTTTAATCAGATTAGATTTTTTTCTATAGAGTTATTTCAGCTCCTTATATATTCTGGTTATTAATCCCTTGTCAGACAAGTAGTGTGCAAATATTTTCTCCCATTCTATGGGTTGTCTCCCCACTTTGTTAATCGTATCCTTTGCTGAGCCGCAGCTTTTAACTTGATGTGATCCCATTTGTCCATTTTTGCTTTGGTTGCCTGTGCTTATGGGGTTTTACTCAAGAAATTTTTGTCCACATGAAAGTGGGGAGTTTCTTCAACGTTTTCTTGCAGCAGTCTCACAGTGGAGCACTTAAATTTAAGTCTTAATTCATTTTGATTTGATTTTTGTATACGGTGAGAAATAGAGGTCTAGTTTCATTCCTCTGCATACGGATATCCAGTTTTCCCAGCACCATTTATTGAAGAGATTGTCTTTACCCCAATGGATGTTTTTGGCACCATTGTAAAAAATGCACTGTAGGTGTATCAATTTGTTTCTGAGGTCTCTATTCTGTTCCATGGGTCTACGTGTCTGTTTTCATGCCAGTACCATGTTGTTTGGTTACTATAGCGCTACAGTATAATCTGAAGTCAGGTAATATGATTCCTCCAATTTTGTTCTTTTTCCTCAGGATAGCATTGGTTATTCTGAGTTTCTTCTGGTTCCATAAAACATTTCAAATGGCTTTTTCTATTTCTGTGAAGAATGACAATGGCATTTTGGTAGCAATTGCATTGCCTTTTGTAATTATGGACATTTTAACAACACTGATTCTTCCGATATACGAACATAGAATATCTTTCCATTTTTTTCTGTCTTCTTCGATTTCTTTCACAGTGTTTTATACTTTTCATTGTAGAGATCTTTTACTTCTTTGGTTAATTCCTAGGTATGTAATTTTATTTGTGGCTACTGCAAATGGGATTGCTTCTCTTTTTCAGACTGTTTGTTGCTGGAAACAACAGTAGAAATGCTACTGATTTTTGTACGTTGATTTTGTATCCTGCAACTTTACTGTATTTGTTTATCAGTTCTAATAGTTTTTTGGTGGAGTCTATGGGTTTTTCCAAATATAAGATTATATCATCTGCAAACAAGGATATTTTGACTTCTTTGTTTCCAATTTGGGTGCACTTTATTTCTCTCACTTCTCTGATTGCTCTAGCTAGGACCTCCAGTACTATGTTGAGTAACAGTGCTGAAAGAAGGCATCCTTCTTGTGTTCCCAATCTTAGAAAAAAGGCTTTCAGGTTTTGCCCATTCAGTATGATACTAGCTATGGATTCACTGTACATTACTTTTATTATGTTGAGATACGTACCTTCTATACGCAATTTTTTGAGCATTTTTATCAGGAAAGGATTTTGAATTTTATCAACTGCTTTTTCAGCATCAATTGAAATTATCGTATAAGTTTTGTCCTTCATTCCATTATGATGTATCACACTGACTGATTTGCATACGTTGAACCATTCTTGCATCCCTGGGATAAATACCACTTAGTCATGATGAATGATCTTTTTAATGAATTGCTAAATTCAGTTTGCTAGTATTTTGTTGATAATTTTTCTACCAATATGCATGAGACATAATGGCCTGTCATTTTCTTTTTTTGCTGCCTTTATCTGCTTTTGGTATCAGAGTAATACTGGCCTCCTAGAATGAGTTTGAAGTTTTCCCTCCTCCTCTATTTTTTGGAATAGTTTCAGTACAATTGGTATTAGTTATATTGTAAATATTTGGTAGAATTCAACAGTGAAGCCACTGGGTCCCAGACTTTTCTTTACTGGAAGACTTTTTATTACAGCTTCAATTTCATTACTTGTTATTGGTCTGTTCAGGTTTTGAACATCATGGTTCAATCTTGGTAGGTTGTATGTGTCTAAGAATGTATCCATTTTCTCTACATTTTGCAATTTATTGGCATATAGTTGCTCAAAGTACCCACTAATGATCCTTTGAATTTCATCTATACCACTTGTGATGTCTCCTTTTTCATCTCTGATTTTATTTATTTAGGTCTTTTTTTTTTCTTAGTCTGGCTAAAGGTTTGTCAATTTTGTTTACGATTTCAAAAAACAACTTTTTGTTTCTTTGATCTTTTATACTGTCTTCATTTCTATTTCATTTACTTCTGCTCTTATCTTTATTATTATTTCTTTTCTTCTACTAATTTCGGGTTTGGTTTGCTCTTGCAAAATGCATTGTTAGTGCATTTATTTGAAGTTTTCTTTCTGGATGCAGGCATTTATAGCTATATAAACTTTCCTCTTAGTACTGCTTTTACTGTATCCTACGCGTTGTGTTATGTTGTGTTTTCTTTGTTTTTGAGACAGCGTCTCCTTCTGTTGCCCAGGCTGCAGTAAAGTGGCACAATCTTTCTCACCACAACCTCCTCCTCCTGGGTTCAAGCAATCCTCCTGCCTCAGCCTCCCAAGGACCTGGGACTACAGGCATGCACCACCACACCTGGCTAATTTTTAAACTGTTTGCAAAGAAAAGGTCTTACTATAGACCCCAGGCTGGTCTCAAACTCCTGGGCTCAAATGATCATTCCACATCAGCTTCCTAAAGTGCTGGAATTACAGACATGAGCCACCACTCCTAGCCAGTAAGTTGTGTTTCCATTATCGTTTGTTTCAAGAAATTTTCCAATTTTCTTTTTAATTTTTTCACTCACCTATCGGTCATTCAGGAGCATATTGTTTACTTTCCATGTGATTGTATAGTTTCAAAGACTCCTTTTGTTATTGATTTCTAGTTTTATTCAAGTGTAGTCAGAGAAGATACCTGATATTATTTCAATTTTTTGAATGTTTGAAGACTTGTTTTACAACCAAACATATGGTCTATTCTTGAGAATGATCCAGGTGCTGAGGAGAAAAAAATGTGTATTCTGCAGCCATTGGAAGAAATGGTCTATAAATACCTGTTAGGTCCATTTGTTCTATACTGCAGATTAAGTCTGATGTTTCTTTGTTGATTTTCTGTCTGGAAGGTCTATCCATTGCTGAAAGTGGGGTATTGAAGTCTCCAGCTATTACTGTATTGAAGTCTATCTCTCTCTCTTTAGCTCTAATAATATTTGCTTTATATATCTGGGTGTTCCAGTGTTGGGTGCATATACGTATTAGGCCATTTTTGCGTTGTTATAAAGAAATAACTGAGACTGAGTAATTTATCAAGAAAAGAGTTTTAATTGGCTCATCGTTCTGCAGGCTTTACAGGAAGCATGGTGCTGGCATCCGCTTGGCTTCTAGAGAGGTCTCAGGAAGCTTATAAGCATGGGCAGAAGGTGAAGGGGGAGCAGGCACATGACATGCTGGAAGCAGGAGCAAGCAAGAGTGTCTGTGGGGGAAGATGCCACACACTTCTAAACCACCAAATCTCATGAGAACTCACTATCACAAAAACAGCACCAAGCCATGGGGGATCTGCCCCCATGATCCAAACAACTCCCACCAGGTCCCACCTCCAGCACTGAGGATTACAATTCAACAGAAGGTTTGGGCTGAGACAAATATCCAAACTATATTAATATATATTTACAGTTGTTAAATCCTCTTGCTGAACTGATCCCTTTGCATACATACATACATACATACATACATATATATATTATATATAGTATATATATATATAGTATATATATATATATATATATATATATATTCTTTTTTTTTTTTTTTTTTTTTTGAAACAGAGTCTTGCTCTGTCACCCAGACTGGAGTGCAGTGGCCGGATCTCAGCTCACTGCAACCTCCACCTCCTGGGTTCAAGTGATTCTCCTGCCTCAGCCTCCTGAGTAGCTGGGATTACAGATGCCCACCACCACACCCAGCTAATTTTTCTATTTTTAATAGAGACAGGATTTCGCCATGTTGGCCAGGCTGGTCTTAAACTCCTGGCCTCAGGTGATCCACCCACCTCAGCCTCCCAAACTGCTGAGATTACAGGCGTGAGCTGCCAGGCCCAGCCCCCTTTATAATTATATAGTGACTATCTTTGTCTCTTACAGTTTTTGTCCTGAAATCTATTTTGACTGATACAAGTATAGCTACTCCTGCTCTTCTGGTTTCCGCTGGGATGGAATATCTTTTTCCACCATTTTATTTTCAGTCTATGTGTATCTTTACAGGTAAAATGTGTTTCTTGTATGCAATAGATCATTGGATCTTCGGGGTTTTTTAATCCATTTAGCTACTCTATGTCTTTTGATTAGAGACTTTGGTCCACTGACATTCAATGTTATTACTGATAAGTAAGGACTTACTCCTGCCACTTTGTTTTTTTGTTTTCTGGTTGTTTTGCGGCCTTCTCTTCCTTCTTTCCTTCCTGACTTCCCTCTAGTGAAGCTGATTTTCTCCGGTGGTATGATTTAATTTCTTGCTTTTTATTTTTTGTGTATCTATCATATGTTTTTTGATTTGAAGTTACCATGAGGCTTGCAAATACTACCTTACAATCCTTATTTTAAACTGATGACAACAGTGATTGCATAATTATAGAAGCAAAAAGAAGACTAATAAAAACTTTACACTTTAACTTTGTCCCCCTGCTTTTTAACTTTGTTTCTATTCATGCCTTATTGTAGTGTCTATATCCTGAAGAGTTATTTTTTATCAGTTCATCATTTAGTCTTTCTACTCAAGATATGAGTAATTTATATACCATAATCACAGATACACAATATTCTGTGTACTTATTATTACCAATGAGTTTTGTACCATCATATAATTTCTTATTGCTCATTCACATCCTTTTCTTTCTGACTGAAGAACTCTATTTAGCACTTCTTGTAGGACAAGTCTGGTGTTGATGAAATCCATCTGTTTTTGTTTCTCTGGGAAAGTTTTTATTTCTCCTTCGTGTTTGAAGGCTATTTCCCTGAATATACTGCTATAGGATAAAAAATTTTTTCCTTCAGCACTTTAAACATGTCATGCCACTCTCTCCTGGCCTGTAAAATTTCTATTGAAAAGTCTTCTGCCAAATTTATCAGAGCTCCATTGTAGGTTATTTGTTTCTTTTTTCTTGCTGCTTTTAGGATCTTTTCTTTATGGCCTTTGCTGGTTTGATTATTAAATGCCTTGAGTTAGTCTTCATTGGGTTAAATACGCTTGGTGCTTCATAACCTTCTTACACTTGAATGTTGATATCTTTTTCTAGGTTTGAGAAGTTCTCTGGTATTATCACTTTGAATAAACTTTTTACCCCTATCTCTTTCTCTACCTCCTCTTTAAGGACATAATTCTTATGTTTGCCCTTTTGAGGCTATTTCCTAGATATTATAGGTGTTCTTCATTCTTTTAGAGTATTCCTTTTCTGTCTCCTCTGACTTTACATTTTCAAATAGCCTGTCTTCAAGCTCACTAATTCTTCTGTTTTATCAATTCTGTTACTAAGAGACTCTGATGCACTCTTCAGTATGTCAAGTGCATTTTTCAACTCTAGAATTTCTGCTTGATTCTTTTTAATTATTTCAATGTTTTTTAAATTTATCTGATAGTATTCCGAATTCCTTCTCTGTGTTATCATGAATTTCTTTGAGTTTCCTCAAAACAGCTATTTTTAATTCTCTATCTGAAAGGTCACCTATCTCTGGATCCATTCTCCAGGATTTGTCCCCAGTGCCTTATTTAGTTTCTTTGGTGAAGTCATGTTTTCCTGGATGGTCTGGACGCTTGTGGATGTTGGTTCACGTCTGGGCATTGAAGAGTTACGTATTCACTGTAGTCCTCACAGTCTGGGCTTATTTGTGCCTGTCCTTCTTGGAAAGGCTTTCCAGGTGCACTGTCCATTTTTTAATTGGGGTTTGTGTTTTTTTTTTTTTCTTAACTGAGTTATAACAGTTCTTTACTATTCTGGAAAAAAGCCTTTTATCAGAGACATTGTGGACATTTTCTCAGTCTGTGGCTTGTTTTCCTATTTTTCTTAACTATGTTTTTTGAGGCAAGGTTTTTCAATTTGATGAAGTCAGTTTATACATGTTTTTCATAGGGAATTTTTGTGCCTTGAGAAATTGTTATCACAAGTCACAAAAATTTCTCCTATGTTTTTTCCTAGTTTTAGTTTTAGCTTTGGCATATAGGTCCATTTTCCATTTTGAGTTAATTTTTGTATAAGGTGTGAAGTACAGGTGAATCTCAATTTTTTTTTCATATGGATATCCAATTGTTCCAGTACCATTTGTTGAAAAGACTGTTCTTTCCTCTTTTAAATTACCTTGGGACTTTTGCAAAAATCAACTGACCATGTGGACTCTCTATGTTGCTACATTTACCTACATGTTTACCCTTAGGTCAAGATGACACTATCTTGATTACTGTAACTTTATACTAAGTCTTAAAAACCAAATACTATTAAATCTTCCATCCTTGTTCTTTTTTGAAAATTGTTTTGTCTATTCTAGATCTTTTACCTTTCAGTATAACTTTTAGAATCAGTTTGTCAACTACTAGATAAATGTCCACTGGAAGTCTTGATACTGACTGCACTGAATCTGCAGAACAATTTGGGGAGAACTGACATATTAACATTGAGGATTCCAACCACAAACAAAGTTTATTTCTCAATTTATTTAATCTTTAATTTTTCTTGGCAATGTTTTCTAGTTCTTCATGTACACATCTTGCACATATTTTGTTAAATTTATTCTACATATTTTATATTTTGATGCTATTTTAATTTTTTTCATTTTCTAAATATTCATTGCCAGTATATAGAATACGACTGATTATACCAACTTTTAGCCTATGTCCTTGATAAGTCTGCTTATTGATTCTAGTAACTTTTTCTAGGTATACTCTTGTATTACCTTTAACTACTTCCTTTATAATCTGTATGCCTTTCATTTATTTTTCTTGCCTTATTATGGTGGCTAGGACTTTGTGTATAATGCTGAGTAGAAGTTTTTATTCCTTGGCTGGGCGCAGTGGGCTCACACCTGTAATCTCGGCACTTTGGGAAGCCGAAGCAGGCAGATCATGAGTTCAAAAGTTCAAGACCAGCCTGACCAACATGGTGAAACCCCATCTTTACTAAAAATACAAAAATTAGGTGGGCGTGGTGGTGCGCACCTGTAATCCCAGCTACTCAGGAAGCTGAGGCAGGAGAATCACTTGAACCCGGGAGGTGGAGGTTGCAGTGGGCCGAGATCACACCACTGCACTCCAGCCTGGGAGACAGAGCGAGAATCCGTCTCAAAAAAGAAAAAAAAAAAGCTTTTATTCCTGGTCTCAAAGGAAAAGGACTTAGTCTCTCACTTTTAAGCATGGTATCAGCTGTAGGTTTTTTATAAAAAGCTCTTACTAGCCTAAGAAAGCTTCCTTCTATTTTTAGTTTGCCATGTGTTGAGTGCTGAAATTTGGCAATGCTTTTTTACTAGTCTACTGAGATAATCAGAGGGGTTTCATCCTTTATTATGTTTATGTGGTGGATTACACAAATTTTCTAATGTTAATCAATTTTGCATTTCTGGTATAAACTTCATTTGAGCATAATGTGTTTTTTTATATATATTGCTGGATTTCACTTGCTAATATTTTAAGAAATTTTACTTTTATATTTCTGAGGAATATTGCCCTGTAGCTTAGTTTTCTTGTAATGTCTCTGGTATGACTATCAAAGTAACACTGCCCTCATAAAATGTGTTATGAAGTTTTCTCTTTCTTTTTTTGAGACAGAGTCTCACTCTGTCGCCCAGGCTGGAGTGCAGTGGTGCAATCTCGGCTCACTGCAAGCTCCGCCTCCTGGATTCATGCCATTCTCCCGCCTCAGCCTCCCCAGTAGCTGGGACTACAGGCGTCCGCCACCACACCCAGCTAACTTTGGTTGTGGATTTTTAGTAGAGACAGGGTTTCACTGTGTTAGGAAGGTCTCGATCTCCTGATCTTGTGATCCGCCTGCCTCGGCCTCCCAAAGTGCTGGGATTACAGGTGTGAGCCAATACGCCTGGCCGTTCTCTCTTTATTTTCTTAAGGACTTTAAGACTGTCTTTAAGGATAAACTCTGAGAATATGGATCCATAAATTAATTCATAGCATAATTAACTAAACCCAATTTCTGTTCCATCATTTTATGACCCAAATCCAAAACAATTAGCTATTTTCTTTTCTTTTTTTTCTTTTTATTTTTTTTTAAATAGGGTCTCACTCTGCAGCCTGGGCTGGAGTACACTGGTGCAATCAATCATGGCTCACTGCAGTCTCAACCTTCTACATTCAAGTAATCCTCCTACTTCAGCATCCTGACAAGCTGGGCCTACAAGAGTGAACCATCTCACCTAGCTCTTTAAATGTTAAAACTGTGTCTTTTCATTTAAATTGCATTTCTTTTACGCTCATTTGGTCTTTTTTTTTTAATCACTCTAACCATCTCAGTTTCTTAATTAACGTGCTTAGTCCATTTATATTTTTTTAATTAAAAAAAATTGAGACAGGGTCTCGCTGTGTTGGCCAGGTTGGTCTTGAACTCTTGGCCTCAAGCAATCTTCACACCTCAGCAGTCCATTTATATTTAATGCAGTCATCAATATGGTTAGATTTAAACTTACCACCTTGCTATTTATTTTCTATTTATCCCATCAGTTTTTTGTTCCTTTTTCTCTTCTTCCTAACTTCTCTTAACTGTTTTTAAATACATTTGATTTATTTTATTAACATGTTAAATTATTTCCTCTTCTTTTTTCAATGGTTGCTCCAAGGGCAGAGGAAATTCCTGCAAACTTTTTCTGAAAAGGCCTAATAGTAAACATTTAGACTTTTGAACAACATGTAGTTGTTCTCTATCACAACTCTTCAATTCTGCCACTATAATGTAAAAGCAGCCATAGACAACCTATCAATGAATAGGTGTGGCTGTGTTCTAATAAAACTTTACTTACAAAAGCAAACATCTGGCCCACAGGCCGTAGTTTGCTGACCCCGGCTCTACGGTTTACAATATCCATCTTTATCACGGCACAGTTTACCTGTCAAAATTACATCACTTCACAAATTGTTTAAGAAACATACTTCTATTCTTCTTTCTCTTGTCCTTTGCACTACTGTCATAAATTTTGATTCTCTGTATATTACAAAATCCATTATACCTTATTATTTGGACTTAGGTAATAATCTCTTGAAGGTTTTTTTAAATGAGAAAAAACTGCTTAATATTTATCTATATAGTTACTATTTTATGTTCTTCACTCTTCTGTGTGTATCCGAGTTTCCATCTGGTATCTTTTTCTGCCTGAAGAACTTCCTTTAATGTTTCTTACAGTGTAGGTCACCTAGACACAAATTCTCTCAATTTTTATTTAAAAAGATCTTTAATTTGCCTTGTTTTTGAAAATTATTTTCACTGAATATAGAATCCTAGTTTGGCAGGTTTTCTGTCAACACTTTGAAGATGTTATTCTATGTCTTCCAGTTTGTACTGTGTAATGAGAAGTCACCAGTTATACTTATCTTTGTTCCCCTGTATGTAAATGTATCTCCTTTTCTCTGCCTGCTTTTATGGTTTTTTATGATTTTCAGGTGTTTCCAATAATTTAATTGTAACATACCCTGGTATGGTTTTCTTTGTGTTTATCCTGCACGTGTTTCATTGAGTTTCTTGGACCATGAATTGAAATTTTTCCTAGTATCTAAAAATTCGGAGGCATTAATTTTTAAATATTTTTTTCTGCATCTCTTCCTGCTGGACGTCAATTATTTTCCCTCTGTGCTTAGATATGGATACTGTCTATTTTATTTTCCTTTACTCAAGTATATTCATATTGAGTTCTGCAGTAATTAATTTTCTTTTAAGCCTATCCACTAAATTTTTTACCTCAGATAATATATTTTTCACCCTAGAAGTTCCATTTGGTTCTTTATTAGAATTTCCATTCTCTCCTTTTTGTGTTCATGTCTTTAATTCTTTGAACATACTAATAATAGTTGTTTTAAAGTCCTTGCCTGTTAACATCTGTAATTAACAGACGTTGTGTTTCTATTTAGGTGGCTTTTCTCCTTATTATGAATCACGTTTTTCAGTTTCTTGTCATCTAGTAATGTTCTTTGAATGCTGAACACTGAATGTTATACTGCTGAGTAACTGGACTTAGTGTCCTCCTTTAACAAATATTATTGAGCTTTTCTCTGACAGACAGCTAATTTATTTGAAAAGCAGTTTGACATTTTTGAGGTTTGTTTTTCTGCTTAGGAAGGGCAGGTCTGAAGTAGCTTCTACTCTAGGGCTAGGTTAGCCCTGCTACTACCACGGCTTGGGATATCTAATAAGTGTAATTTTTTTAGAGACAGGGTCTCGCGCTGCTGCCCGGGCTGGGGTGCCATGGCACAATCATGGATCACAGCAGCCTCAACCACCTGGGCTCAAGAAATCCTCTCGTCTCAGCCTCCAGAGTAGCTGAGACTACAGATGCTCATCACCACACCCAGCTAATTAAAAATAATAATAATTATTACTATTATGGAGATGAGATCTGGCTAGTTTGCCCAGGCTGGTCTCGCACTCCTGGCCTCAAGTGGTCCTGCTGCCTCAGCCTTCTAAAGTGCTGGGATTCACAGGCATGAACCACCACACCTGGCCCAAGTATTGTTTTTGACAGTTGTTCATTTCACAGAGTCCAGGTAGTTTTTCTTTGTCTCATGGTTTTCTCAAAGAATTTCATCCCGTGCAGGCAGGCACAGCTTAGTATTCAGCTAAGACTCAAGGAAAGCAACACCTGTGCAGATATCTGGAGCTTTTTCTCAACACAGCTCTCTCCTCTCAGGTATTGCGCCCGTAAGTCCAGACACCTCAGTCTTCCTGAACTCTTAATTCTAACTCTTCAACTCAGCAACACTGCTGTGTTTTTATCCTTCTTGAGATCTCCTTCTGTGTGTCATATCTGAAATTTCGACTCCAGCCAAGAAGGCAGGGAAATCACAGAGATATTTATTTCCTCACTCAGATATCAATCCTGCAATGCTTGTTTTCTAATGTTTGAAAATAATTGTTTGAAATATTTTGTTTGGTTTTCTAGTTGTTTGTTGTAGAAAGCCTAGTTAGATATCAGTTACTCTATCACAGCTTGAAAGGGAAATCTACAAGTTTCAAAGTTTTCATTTTAGACATTTAAAACTTCAATCCATCTAGACTTTTTTGTTGTAAATATGGACTTCATTTACAGCCTGGACTTTATTGTTGTAGGATGGTGATCCAACTTCATCTTTTTTCAAATAGATAAACATTTTTTTCTGGATCCATTTATTCAATGGTCCTCACTTTTCCTTACTAATTTGAGATTGCATCTCTACCACATAACAAAGTTTCATATACGCATGGGTCTTTTTCTAAGCACTCATTTTTATTCCGCTAGTTAATTTGTCCATCCTTGTGCTATCACACTCTCAATTATTATAGCAAGTCTTAATACCTCCTAGGGTAAATCCCTCTTTCCCTCTTTCCTGTTCATCGTCTTTAAATGGGCCCTACTTCTTCTTAGTCCTTACTTTTCCATATAACATTTTTGACCCATTGAGTGTTGTGAATAAGCCTGTTGTAATGTGTATTGGACTACCATTGAATCTACAAATCAATAAAGGGAGAACTGATAATTTTATAATATTATTATTTCCCATTAATATGGTATATCTCTCCATTCATTTAAAATCAATCTTCCTTAATATTTTTATAAAGTTTTGATTTTCCTTACATAGGTCTTATAATTCTTTGTTACATTTATTCTATAATATATAATATTCTCTGACATTATTAACAATGTCCACCCTTTCATTATATTTCTGGTAGTCTACTCGTGGTATAAATAAATGCAACCTACTTTTGTATATTAATATTTTATCAAGCACCATGCTAAATTCTATCATATCTAACAGTCTATAATCTCAACCCCTCTATCCAAATTGCCAATACATTAGTACAGGCCACTATCACTTCTCAACTGAATAACTACAACAACTTCTCATTAGTCTCCTAAAATCTACTCTTAAACTCTACCCTCATGTTAAAAATTCTTTACTGATCTTTCTGTCTCCTTGGCCTTTGTATGTACTGTTCCTCCTGCTTGGAATAGTCTTTCCATATCCTCATGGCTAACCTAACTCCTACTTATTCTTAAGGTCTGATTATTGCCTTCAAATACTTATAAGGCTAGATTAGCTATTCCTCTTGTGTGTAGAATATCATCCTATACTTAACCCTCTCCTACTACTCTAAATTGTTTCTCTGTGTCTCCAATTAAACGATAACCTTTTGAGAATAGCCTTCATCTTAATCTCCACATATTCCCAGAACTTTCCACAGTCTCTGACATATGGCAGAAGATCAATATGTACTTCTTCAATACATATAAGAATAAAATCTCACTTAACACTAGAAAGACCCACCTGAAACAGAATTGTTTATGCCATTTTACAGATCAAAGAATAGATCTGAATACAAATATTCATGGCTCAAGAAACATAACTCTACCATACTACTTTTAGAAAGGATGTCCAAAATATATGATAAATGTTTTATCATAAAAGAAAAAATGTTTTCTCATTTTGAACTTATGTTTTGAATAACTATAACCTGTCACCTATGACTAAAGAAAAAGGAAGGGAAAAAAATAATTAAAATACGAAAAGTCCTGAGATTTTTATTAACATGACCAACCAGATTGTCTGCTGACACACAACGTTCAGTGTTAAAAATGAGGAATACCTTGGCAAACCAAGGCAAGTGGTCACTCTAATTTTAATGCTAATAAAAATATTTACATTTATATAAAACATTTGTTTTCTTTTATAACAAAACATGTAAAGGATAGTATATTTTAGACTTGTAATGTCTTTTGGGTCACATATATTTGTATTCAAACCTCAGTCCTATCTCTTTATTATTGGCACGTTACCTGGCCTCTTTGAGCATTAAAAAACATTCCCCACAGTGGTGTTAAGTCTTTCAGAAATCCTAGAACATATATTTTAAATGTAGATATACATCCTCAAATTCATTTCCATTTCCTAAATGCAAGCTAGTGTTAAAATCCTTACCTGTGTTACTTCCTCTACACCAGTCATCTGGTATTTCCTCATTCTTTCAAATACTGAATGATCTGCACAGCCCCCCTGAGGACCGTATTTATGGGGATAGTCTAAAATACAAAGAAGAAACGTCATTACTATCACACATTTAGGTATAACCAATTATAAATGAGAATTACAAGTAAAAATTTAACTGTCTTAACTAATGAAAACCATAAATGCTTATTAAGCACCTATGGAAAAGGCATTATGCTAGGCATTTTAATGCTAAAACCTAGCAGGTTCCTAAGCTCTCCCTCAATAAAAACCACTGGTCTTTAGCTTTTTGTCATATAGATGATTTGTGAATTCTAAAAAAGGGCAATAACCACTCATTATTCTGACCCTATCACCAATATATTGCATTCGGCTGTCACCAAGAGAATATCTATGTTTCTGGACCATCATCTGGCAGGGGTCAAGAGAATCCTTCTGCAGTATTCCTGAGCTCCATCAGGAGGACTCTAGCAAATATAAAAGAGAACCCCAAAACTCTTCCTACTCTTGGGAAGATACTCCCCACCCCTCATTTCACAAAACACAACTATCTACCACTTTCTCCCTTAGGACCATTAAGACTATTCTCATAGTAGCTCAGTTTTACAGTTACGTGACTGTATCACTGACTACCCCAACTTATTACAGGCATTTGTTGTCACCCAAGTCATTACTGCCCTTATTTCCTTATTTTTAGATCCTGACTTACTGTCAGTCTCTCTGACACCACCTCATCATCATGACTGATGACATCATTCATCATTCATTCATCATCATTCATCATTCATGACGATGATCCTTCCACTACACTCAGTTCTTTTCTCCAATGATTTTTTCCTACCTCAGTTTCTCATTTCCATAGTTACTCTTCTGAACTTGTCACTATTGATAACTGAAAGCACTTCATAATCTCAACTTCTAGTATTCTACTTTCTTTCCACCACTTATCTTTTCAGCACATTCCCTCTAGGTTCCATCAACCCTTTAACATCAGTGAGACCCTTTAATCCACCAATGCTACCACCTTATTGTCTATCACCAGATATTCTTTCTCTTCCTTATTCAGTTTAAATCCCACAGTCAATTATTATTATAATTACACCACTGCATTCACCATCAACTCCCTTGTGCTCCACCCCAACGCCCCTGAAGGGAGTTGATGGTGAATGCAGTGGTGTCTTACTTACTTCAGAAGTGTAACTATGAAAGAGAGAAGCTCCTCCTGAAGCTGAATGAGGCTAAAGAAAAACTAGTAATTCCAGTCTCATTCAAAAGTCATGATCTATAACCTCAAGCAGTTCCTTAATGCCAGCTAGCAACTGAATTTCCAGAGTCTATTCTCAATTTCATTCACCTAGTTAACACCAGGCAGTCCTTGCTTTGCCACACCAGTAAGTGCCAGTCATAAAACTGACCATGCAAGCTGAAACTATGCAAAATGATCTTAATAATCAATGGGGAAAAAATTACAACTGTTCTGTGACCTTTAAAATCTTTCGTCAAAACCCTAAAACTCACTTACCATTGGTTATTAATGTATAGGGGAACAAAAAAAAACATTTATTTAGTACATTGTTACTTAAAACATTGGGATTTTAAAAGAATTAGTGTTTTATTTCTTCGCAAACTGAATTTTATATATCACGAATTAAAAATATAAATTCCTTTTGAAAGCTTGAAACTTAGGGTAAAAAAAATTTCCAAATATTTCCAAAGCAACAAAACAGTATTTATATATGCTTCAAATTCTGTCAGCACAAAACTCTCCCAATAGAAAGGGTCAAGCATGCAATTTTTCCCATATACTTTCAAAATTTCTAAAAGATGCTGTTTTCCTTGGACACCACATTAACTATAAAAATGGACAATGACATTTTCCCTCTAAAATTACTAACAATATAATCCTCATTTCTAGAAAAAGCCTTTGTTCAACTAATGAATAAGCCCTCATTGAGATGCTAAATCATAGGATGCACTGTAGTTCCCCTGAAAAGGCCAAACAGCATATTCTTTCACAAACAATGAGTCATGGGTGTAGAATATTCGGCCTATTTAAAACAAAGATCAGCTTTAGATCTATTGCCTTTCTTCCAGTTCCTCTGCCAGCCTCTTGCTTTTGTTTTGTTGTTCAAGACACAAATATAAATAGTACATATATTGTGACTCTAACTCAAGCAGGAAATAGCTCTAGTTAACTCTCAATCATCCACTCTTTCAAGGAGGAATATTTACAGTTCAGATTCTCTGTCAACAGAACTAGGCATAAAATACTCACTTTTTGCACCCTCACTACCTCCAACAGGGTACCCCTCAGCCTTATGTGACTAGCAGCTCAGAAACTTAACTGCAAACATCCAAGGCCTTGGCTATGAGATGACCCTCTAATAGTCAAAACTGGATGGTAATCCCTCCAATAATATGCCATGAATCACCAAAGCCAATTTTTAAAAATCTGCATTAATTGAATTTAAAATAGAATGACTTCTATAGAATAATATTATTATGCATAAAAATTATTTTTGTTAGTATCCAGAGTATCATGAGGTGGGGGCCTTGTCCATGAAAATCGTCATTTATTCCCAAAGTTGCCTACATCAACAAGGATTCACTGATGGAGAGTAGAAGAAAGGATAGGCTTTTTTTTTTTTCTTTTGAGAAGAAATGAAAAGTTTGGAGACAGGAAAGAACTCCAAATGTTCTTCCTCCTAATTCCAGTGGATGGGAGGCCGTTTCTCCCGGGTACCAATTCTCATGTCTTCCCAATCCCCATGTCTAATTTCTGTTTTGGGAGGGTAAGTGGGCATAAGAAAAGCACAGAGTGATTGTCCCTAGAAAGAGGAGGAAGTTGAAAATGACCCCACTTTCCACAAGCACTCACAACACTGATCTCTCTGGAAACAGAGATGAGGAAGAGGGCCAGACATGTCCCTTCTCACCCCATGGGTTTTAGAAAGAAAGGGTTACTATTGGCAGCCAAAGGATAATGGGAGTCAGGTCAACCAGAGAAATGTTGCTTTATTATTCTGATCAATGACAAACAGAATTACTAGACTCTAAAGTGTTTAAGGCAGAACCTTTGCCCTATTCATTATTGTATGGATAGTTTCTAAAAGTGTCTTGTACAGATTAGGCACTCAAAAAATGTTTATTAACAAATTAATCAGTTGTTAAACCTGTAAAACTTACAACTGACACTTGGAATGAAAACTTGTAACATACTAACTTTAAGTGACCATTATTTACGTGTATTTGACTTGGGACTATACAGCTATACACAGGGGTGAATGGGTGACTAGGCCAAAGAACATGCGAATCTCTTTTCCTTTCTTTAGTTCCCAAGCTGTGACAACTGAAAAGAAATATTGTTGCAGCCAGAGTAATAGGGCTGAGGCTTCTCCTGTGATCACAGATTCTCTCCTCTAGCAATCAAAAGTCTACCCCTTATCTTCAAGGTTCAAGTCAAATTCCACCTCCCCAGGGAAGTCTTCCTAAATCTCCCTAAAGCTCCCTCACTGAGGTAGTATGCACTACCCCAGGGCTTTGATAACATTTTTGTTATAGCATTTACCACATTTTGACTCTCTATTACTGAAAATTCCCCTGAAGGTTTTTAATCTTCAGGGGAAATTTTAAAATTCTCTTTCCTGTATATTCACAAACCAATAAATACTTGTTGAATTTAATTTTTCAGCCAGTATGTGGTTTCTATGCCTCTTTTCAAAGGTCATCCATTAACCAAAGACCTATAAACTGCTGGCTCCCATAACCTCCTTTTAGCCTTCATTCCACCTACAATAAAGAGGAATTGTCTAACACTTTAAATTGTTTCTACGGCAAAGTGTGTTCTAAATTCCTAACTGCTTTACAGATTGACTATAACATACAGAACATTCAAAATTAACAGCTGTGTACACATAAATCTCCTAATCATATGTCAATGTTATTTTTAACTGCATTAATTTATTAAGCAAACAATTAAGAAAAATTATTATATACCAAACAAAGGGATACAAAAATAAATGACATAGAACATGCACTCTCAAGAGCTGTCAGTCTAGCTGAGGTGTCTGACATGTAAACAAGCATGGCATTTAAGTACCAACTTCCCAAGTGTTAAGGTCTCCCGGCAATCATCCACAGTTTATTAAACACTGGTTGAATTTAATTTACTCATCCAGTCAACAGCTGGTTTCCTTCCATGCCTCTCAAAGGTCAGTCATATGATCAATGACCAGTAAACCACTGGATTCAAAAGATAGGGAAGACTTATCAACACATAAACAGCAGTAAAGAGAGGATACCCAGAACTGTGAGGTCAGGAAAAAATTCTAGGAGATTACACCTAAGTTGTATTATCAGCTTGGAGGAGAGAGAATGTACATGCTGTATATGCTACTAGCTTAAATTAAAATTCTTTGGGTATTTTGCTTGTCTTGTTTCCAAATGCCCCCTCTCTAGAGCTCAGGCAACAGAGCAAGATTTTTTGGTCCTTAGTAGTTATTTCATCCCCTTGCCTCTTCAAAATTTATCTTCTCTTTAATCGACCAATACTTGATGAGTTAATATTAAAAACCTTAATTTTGTCTGTAATAACCCAACCAAAATGTCCATTAACAGGCAAATGTATTAACAAATCATGGTATCCACACAACAGACTACTATTTATCAACAAAAAGTTATTAACTTTTAATACATACAACATGGACGAATCCCAAACTATTTATGCTGAGTTAAAGCCAGACTTTCTTAAAGAGTACATAATGTATAATTGTGCTTATATAACATTTCAGAAAGTGCAAACTAACCTAGAGATTAGTGCAAGAGGGTAGCGGGGAGTAGAGGAGAGAAGAATTACACTGAAAGCTTTTGGGGGTGATGGGCATGTTTATTATCTTAAATGCTATGATAGTTTCACAGACATAAACATATGTCAAAAGTTATCAATATTATAAACTTTATATATAAGCAGTTTATTGCTATCAATTTTTCCTCAATTAAGCTGTTAAAAGAGTAATACTGACTACAGAGATGTGACACTCAAAGGCAATGTGTAGACCCTGATTAAATCCTGTATTAAAAAAAAAAAAATAGGAGACATTTTTGTGAAGTAATTGGGGAAGTGTGTCCACAGACTATACATGAAGGTATTATTAAGTCAATATTTAATTTATAGGTGTAAGAGTATAAATCTGTGTAACCTTTTTAAAGAGATATCTGGCAATATGTATCAAAATGCAAATGTCTGACAATGCTACTTCTAGGAAATTAATCTTAAGGAAATAACCATAAAAATATTGAGGGGAGAAAATATGTGCAAGAATGTTACCTGTTGCAATTTTTAACAGTAAAAAAGAGGAAACAATCTATACATCCATTAGTTGGCAGGCTGGTAAATAATACATTTATCAAGGAAACAGCAGAATTTTATGTAGCCATTTAAAGGAAAAATGTAGAGCTATGTTTATTGACACAGAAAGAGATCTAAGATATAACTGTACATGAAATTTAAAATGGTATATGAGATCTGAAGGGCTATTCATAAAAATGTTAATGGTGGTGGACACATTTCATCTTAATATACTTAATTTACATACAAGAATACTTAATTTACTTAAGAAAAATACTTAATTTACATACAAGAATAGCCATTTTATATAGTCATTTCCCAATCAGCACAAAAATATTTTTATTTTTACTTTTTATTTGTCAGCCATGATCAATCAAGATATTTCCAACTTTAAAGGAAAAGTAGTTTAGAACCATTAACTTTTAGAAGAGATAAGAGATATTAGCACCATGATCTAACACCCTCATTTTATACCTGAAGAAAATGAGACCAAGAAAAAGTACATTACCTGTATAAGGTTATAAAGCTATTCTAACATATCACCTTGATTTCATTTCTAACTCTTTTCATATATATGCCATGCCTCAGTTCTTTGACATATTACCTCTTGTGCCTTCTCCCTACCATGTACCAAGACCACTAACTTGTATGATCTTGAGCAAACAAATTAAACCAAAAAACAGTTTTAACTAGTAGATCTACAAGCTTGCCTATAAAAAATGATTCTAAGAAGTCTCTAGAAGCTAAAACCAGTAAAATCCACATCTATAAATTCTAGACTTTTATGTTCAAATATAAATACAAGATAGCAAGACTGCTTATGGAGATTATCTAATCCCCCAATTTATAAATCATGAACAGAATATAACATGTCTTTAATAAACCAGATCTCACAATGCCTCTTTAGAAGCAGCTTTTTAGAGGGCCAGAGTCCTGGACCAATGTCCTCAGGCACTCTTATAAGGTCACTGGTACAAACATAAATCTATGAATTATGCTATCAGAGATGTGAAAGGCTGAGGTTTAGCTCCGAGTATCTCTAGGACATACACGCACACATACTCCTAAATGCTATTTCTTCTAGTTTTTCTGTAACTCATCACTTATAAGAGTTGAGCCTTGGCCAGGCATGGTGGCTCACACCTGTCATCTTAGCACTTTAGGAGTCCGCGGCAGGAGGATGACTTGAGCTCAAGAGCTCGAGACCAGCCTGGCAACACAGTGAGACCTCGTCTCTATTAATAAATATATATATTTTTTAAAGTGAGCCTAAAATATAAATTTGCTTTTTCAGTAGTAAATATGGCTCACCTTCAAAATCAATGATACCAAAAATAACTTTTTTTTTTTAATCCTTACTGTCATTGTCTCTATTGTCATTAAGTTCTTGGCCTTTTAGCAGCCTTTAAACTCTCCTAACTCAGAATGTAACAGAAATAAAGCACTGGAGTGGCAGCCAAAAGACATGGATCCATGTCATACTGCACAAGTTTTATAACTCTAGACTTCAGTTTCCGTCATCTTTAGAGTGTTGAATCTAGTGCCTTTTACAATACTAAAATTATAAAATTCCTTACTCAATTTATTTGTAAAACAAAATAAAAGATAGTTCTCAAAAGAAAAAACAAAAATTTCAAATATAATTTTACTTGTTAGGGTGACTTTCAAAGTTGCTTTACAACATGAAAGCTTTTTTTATTTTCATATAATCATGTATTTCTGATAGCCATTACAGTACATTGACCTCCATGGAGACAGTGCTGGGGCAAATGGCAGCCAGATGTGCACTAGGTGACTCTGTGCTTCTCTGAGGAAAAATAACTAAACTTGGTAAAAGAAGATCCTAAGAAGCCAAGAGGCAAAAGGTCATCATATGCATTCTTTGTGCAAACTTCCAGGAGGAGAACAAGAAGCAGCACTCATGCTTCAGTTAACTTCTCGGAATTTTCTAAAAAATGCTCAGAGAGGTGGAAAGCCGTATCTGCTAAAGAGAAAGGAAAATCTGAAGACATGGCAAAGGGGGACAAGGATGGCTATTAAAGAGAAACTTACATCCCTCCTAAAGAAGAAACAAAAAAGTTTAGGGATCCCAATGTACCCAAGAGGGCTCCTTCAGTCTTTTCATTTTGCCCTGAGTACTGCCCAAAAATCTAAGGAGAATATCCAAACCTATCCATTCGTGATGTTTCAAAGAAACTGGGAAAGATGTGGATATGGTGCATATGACAAGCAGCCTTATGAAAAGGCTGTGAAGCTGAAGAAAAACTAAGAAATGGATATTGCTGCATACTGAGCTAAAGGAAGGCCTCATGCAGCAAAAAAAAAAAAAAAAAAAAAAAAGGGAGATGTCAATGCTGAAAAAAAAAGAAGAGGAAGGTGAGGAAGTTGAAAATAAGAAGGAAAAGGAGGAAGATGAAGAGGATGAGGAAGAGAAGAAAGATGAAGATGATCATAATGAATAAGTTGGTTCTAGTGCAGTGTTTGTCCTTGTTTATAAATTATTTAGCACCCCTGTACACAACTCACTCCTTTTAAAGAAAAACCTTTAAAGGTAAGGCTTTGTTTTTAAACTGTACAGTTAACACACTAACAGTTAACCACACTATCAAATGTGTCTCTAGATAGCCCATCCTTGACAGTCAGTTGATGAGAGAGCATAAAGAAAAAAAAATACAGATGGATGGAAGGACAGACAGACGGACAGACAGCCCATCCTGGTGGTATTTTCAATAACCACTAACTTTGCCTGAAACAGTATGAGAGCTGTAAGCCAGCATGAAAATCTAAAGCAGGTTCTTATTGGTGCACAGCACAAATGAGTTATATATGGAGATGGTAGTTTTTCACCTTCATTTCTCTCTGATGCAGCTTATACAAAATAAGTATTACTCTTAACTGAATACCACTCTGTAATTGCCAAAAAAAAAAAAAAAAGCTGCAGCTGTTTTTTTGACACTGTAAATGCTTCTAATAACAATTTTTTATTTTAAAAATCTTATATTTCTGAAATAATTCATTGTATTTCATTATAGCTAAAATATTTTATATTGATGTTTTAAGATAAATATATATGAATATACATGTATACATATACATACATATATATAACTAATCAGAAAAGAACTTGATCTAAAATTTTCAACTGTTATCCTATTTATATAACGTTACGTAATATGAAATGCATAATATGCATAATATGAAAAGTCTAAGCATATTTTTTCCAGATTCTGCTAAAAAGAATTAAGCCCCTCACTGTCTCTTTCTCTCTCTTTTTTTTTTTCTGAGACAGAGTCTCACTCTGTCGCCCAGGCTGGAGTGCAGTGGCATGATCTCGGCTCACTGCAAGCTCCGACTCCCGGGTTCACGCCATTCTCCTGCCTCAGCCTCTCGAGTAGCTGGGACTACAGGCGCCTGCCACCACGCCCGGCTAACTTTTTGTATTTTTAGTAGAGACGGGGTTTCACTGTTTAGCCAGGATGGTCTTGATCTCCTGACCTCGTGATCCGCCTGCCTCAGCCTCCCAAAGTGCTGGGATTACAGGCGTGAGCCACCATACCCAGCCACTGCCTCTTTTTTTGTGATTTTTTTTTAACTTTCCAATTTAGTATCCTACATTTCTAATTAAATATTATTCTTAAAATAACTCCCATATCTGTGGCCTTCTCAACTTTTCGGCTTCTGTGCCTGTGAGTTGTTTAGAAAAATTAATTTATACTTCCCAAGAGATTAACTCAGAAAAAAGGAAAAGACAGAGTCAACAATACCACTAAATTTTTATATTTCTTTCAAATACTATCACTGTGCTTAAATAAGTTCAGTATCTAACATCAATGCTTAGTAAAGCATACAAATTCAAAACATATAGTAGAGAGATTAACCAATACACTTGTATGCACTGTGGGAGTTCAGAAGTCAAACAATCAGAGCACTCCACATCTCAACTTTTCCAGTTGGCTACATAGTTTGTCACAACTCAATATGCTTATGCAGATTTCCAATCTCCAGACTGGACCTAAGTATAGCCAGAATGCTTTCTAAAACAGTTTTCCTGTTATATGTGAATGATACAAACAATGCTAGCTATTATCAATACTTACCAATTCAATTATTCTTCCCTCTTGTATTCCTTCCTTTTGTCTCTCCCTGTCACTAACAGTGACAGAAAACAACTTCAAAAACACAATATGGAACTAATTGACATTTTAAAAGTTTTAGATGCAACATCCTGACATTTCCACAAATGAGGAAGCTTCTACATGAATGAAGAGGCCTCCATCTTGAAATGGTAAAATAAAGTTTAACAATCTTAATTTTTCAGAACAAGAAATAGGAGGTCTTCCCATTGAAGCACAAGAGAAAGAAGAAATAAGTATAGGTATGGCTAACACACATTCTAAAGTAGGGGTGCCCTACTACTATAAGGTATAGACAAATTCAGGCCGGGCACAGTGGCTCACGCCTGTAATCCCAACACTTTGGGAGGCCGAGGCGGGCGGATCACGAGGTCAAGAGATCAAGAGATCGAGACCATCCTGGCCAACATGGTGAAACCCCGTCTCTACTAAAAATACAAAAATTAGCTGGGCGTGATGGCACATGCCTGTAGTCCCAGCTATTCACAGGAGGCTGAGGCAGGAGAATCACCTGAACCCAGAAGGCGGAGGTTGCAGTGAGCTGAGATGGCACCACTGCACTCCAGCCTGGGCGACGGAGGTATAGGCAAATTCAACCTCTCTGGGCTTTTCTATACCCCACAAAGGAAAATAAATAATAAATTTGAAATGAAAGCAATAAACCCAAATAAATTATTCTGCAGCTCTTCATATACAATTAAAATATATTTTTTAATTTGGAGATTAAGTATTTCTCTATAAGTATAGAATAAAAAAATTACTCAGACCTTTAGCTCTTGGATAGGTAGTACACAAAAAAGGTGTAAGGGAATTATTGCAAGCAGTCATATAGTCAGATATTCCTAAAACCTGTTCATGTTAATAACAATACTATTCTAGTTTATGGAACAATGTTTTTCTCAGTTTCTTTAAAATAAACTGTGCTAAGGGGCAGAGGACTAAGTGGTATTCTTACCTTGTCATTAACTGTTCACACTACCATGTCCTAGGAGAGAGTGTTTTTTACTAAGTACAGAATTAAATAAGTATGCATTTTAAGCTGATAACAATATATATTTATCACTATCACATCTAGAGAAATTATTAAGTATTTTCAGTGAAAACTATCCCTGTGTTCTGGTACAGTCTCAGAAGCCATTCCCCAAGGTTCTGGAGAATAGCAGTATCATTTTTCATGATGGTTCTATACATTTATGCCTTCAGTTGCAAAAACAGTATTAAGAAGAGGGTAGCCAAATTCTCATCAAAAGGTATATCCAAGGTTAGTATGCCTCCCCTACCATTTGCTTCTTTTTGGTAAGGATAACATATACAACGATACCAAATCCAATTAAGAACATTCACAGTGATACAATAATGCAGTACTTTACTTCTGAAAATAAATTATTAGTACTTAAACCAATTATATAAAAATAATAATACACATTAAAGGGCATCCTTTGCCATTTAGTTATAAAATAAACACTGCTAAATATATTAAGGAGAGAGTTTGGCTTAAAACAGCAATAGATGCAAATGTATGATTTTAGAGAGGCTTACAGATTTCAGAAAAGCCCCAGAAATCCTTGAAGTAAAGGCAGTGAGAATTTACAGCTTTCTTCCATGAGTGAAGCAGAAGAGCACAGGGTAAAGAACAGGAGGTCCACAATCAAGTGACATAAGTTTTCTAAGCCTCAGTTTAAGCCTTCACCTATAAAGTGGGAATAATAGGTGTGCCAGTATCTCATAACGTTATTTTGAGAATTCAATTCAATAATGCAAGTAAAGATTTTTATACACTGTCAGGTATATATTAAGCCATAATAATTATTCTTACTACTGCTGCTACTACTACTACTTCTAGAACCTGTCATATTCTACACAGAGAATTTAAAGAACCAATTAAAGTAATTATTAAATTTAGTGAGCCCTCCCATCTGTTTTTGTTTGACATGAAAACTAAGGGTAGCTTCCACATTTTTAAATGGTTAAAGAAAAAATCAAAAGAATGATATTTTATGTCATATGAAATATATATGAAATTAATATTTAAGTGTCTATGAAGTTTTATTAAAAACAGCCATGCTAGCTGGGAGCAGTGGCTTATACCTGGAGTCCCAGCTACTCACAGAGCTGAGGTAGGAGGTTCACTTGAGCCCAGGAGGTTGAGGCTGTAGTGAGGTATGATCACACCACTGAACTCCAGACTGGGCAACAGGGCAAGGCTCTGTCTCCAAAAAAATAGATAAATAAATAATAATTTCTTTAAAAAAAGCACCCATGCTTATTTATTTATGTGTTTCTTTGGCTGTTCTCGTGCTACAATGGCAGAGCTGAGTAGCTGCAATAAAACATACAGCTCTCAAAGCCAAAAATATTTACTCTCTGTCCCTCTGCAGAGAATTTGCGAACCACGGTCTAGAATATAAATATAGCAACTATTTAGAATAAAAGACTAATACATGAATGTTTTCTTGTCTTAAACCATGGTTCACTTGACAGATTTTTAGGTAGTTTTTCACAAGTAATTGTCTAAATTTGCAAACATTAAAAACTCTGTTTAAGGGAACTCCTTCCGTACTCCCATCCTCATATCCTACAATTTCAATTACCTGAGAAGCTACAAATAAAATCACCTTAAAGATTGCTGCTTTTAAATTCTAACCCCACTACTGATATGTAATAATAAAAAGAATGTTAAAAAGTTCTCCTTACCACAAACATATATTTACTTAAACAAGTATAAAATAAAAGCTGATATCAATGATAAAGCATTTAAATGCCAAAAAGAACAAAAAATCAAGTAACATCCAGTGTCATTCATCCTCCAAGCTAACTCATCATCTTTGGGGAAAAAAAAAGATTGACACCTATTAAGATATTTGGAAATTACTGTTGGATGCAATATGCAAAAAATACAATTATATTACAAGAAAGAAAGAAAAGTGGGAAAAAAGAATATTCTTAAACTACACACAAGTAGATAACAGAAGAAGGAAAACATGAGAGAGGCACAATAACAGAAGTCAAAACAGGCAGAACAAATACAGTAGAGGGCACTGATAGCAAGTAGAAAGCAATGGAGAAAGTATAATTACAATATGATAGAAAGGAAAAAATAATCTGGCAGATTACGCTTTTCCTCTCCTTCATTCCTCAAAAGGTTTTCTTTGATTTTGATAAAACATTCTAGAAAAATATTCCAGTATTTCATTAAGTATTTATGAAAAGCCTGCTGCACAGACAAATGATACTTGCAATATTACAGGAGCAAAAGAAACAGAAACTATACCTGAAGAACTTACATACCCTGATAGGGGAGGTAACCCTGCAAAAAAAGGTTAAATTACTAAGAAAGCTACAAAGCAAGACACAAACCAGGTAAATAATAATTTTGTCAGCAGAAAGAAACGAAAGCAAAGGAATTCATATTCCTACTTATGAAGGAGGATGATAGCTTAGAGCTTGAAAAGAAAGGTAGAGTTTGAAATACCAGGAGTTAAAACTGGAAAAGGAATCAAATAGTGGTGAATGAAAATACAGGGAAGTAGCATTAATGAGCTTATGATTTAACAAGTAGCTAAAAATCATAAATGCATCCTACCTAGTATACATATGTTATTTTCTATAGCAATCTAGCAGCAGAGATAACAAGCAGTTGGACAGATGAAGTACAAAAACTGTCAGAGCTGATGGAGCAAAAAGTCAAAATGGTTAATGCTTGTCAGTGTATTACTAGGGGTAAGAATAAAATCATTGACAATAAATTTCTGTCTATACAAAGGAAAACGTATGTAGGAAGAAGCTGCCAAGTTAGGAAAGCAGGCAAAAATTGAGAGACTAGTCTAATTACAGTCAAAAAATAATAAATGGGTATTCAAGAGCTATATAAATTAGAGAAATTTATTTCTGTGGTACTTCAAAGAAGCATTCCCAATAACTGGATAACTGTGGATATACGGACAATAGAATTAAAAGGTAAAGTCTAAATACATTTTCTATTCTTAGAAAAATATCATCATATAAAGATGGTAGAGAACAAAATCCATGATAAACGTGGACTCTTGAAGTCAAGTCATTACCTTAAGATTCTAAAAAGAAATACTCAATGGACTTAAAAATTACAAAAATACCTAAAATATTCCTTAAACACTACACAAATATCCACACTGAAATTTATGTAAGTAGTAATGATGCTCTTCTACCTTCAATAGGTCATACACACAAAGGTATTAGCATTACACAGACTGGCTGATGTCAAAATATACGATTTCCAGTTCCGTCAGATTTGGTTGACTCACACAGTTCAAACAGAATTAGTTATGTCATATCAGCAAAGTAGTACTGGCAATGGACTGACAAGGAAATTGCCTCATTACATATATCTACTATTCCTTAAATAGCAATTGCTAGTAAAAACTATGTTCTAGCCTGATTAGTAACTCAGGAAAGAAAACAGCTAATGCTTCATTTGTCTCCACACAGTTTTAACTATCATATGCCTTTTGAAAAAGGCTACTTGATAAAACTTAAGTACTTACTAATATCATCTTCATGATAAATGACAGAGTGAAATGGCAGAGTTCGGTCTTTAATATATCTCTCTGCTGGCTCAACATAAAATGTGCCACCACGAGTCTGGATGAATCCTTCAAATCTTCCATCAATAACAGACCCATGGCTAAAACTTCCTTCTTCACCTATTAATGAAAGCAACAAATTCTTGACAATTTAATTTGCACATGAATGTTAAATTCATTCATATATATGTATATATGTGTGTATATATATACACACATGCATACATATATACACATATATATGGTTAAATCTTGAATATAAATTTACTATGGAAATTTTCACATAAAATATATCAAGCAGAATGTGAGATGTGAACAGCAACTAGTATTTAGTTAAAATATATACAATTACTAATAACAGCAATGAAAAATAGAGTATCTGCCTTGTTACCAACCACATTCCTTGCACCTAGCTGAGTGCCTAGCATGTATGCAGTAGTCATCAATAATTGTAAATTGGCCCAGCACAGTGTGGTTCACACCTATAATCCCAGCACTTTGGGGGGCCGAGGTGGGCAGATCACTCGAGGCCAGGAGTTCGAGACCAGCCTAGCTAACATAGCGAAACCCTGTCTCTACTAAAAACACAGAAAACATTAGCTGGGCCTGGTGGCACATGTCTGTAAGTCCAGCTACTCAGGAGGCTGAGGCAGAAGAATCACTTGAACCCTGGAGGCGGAGGTTGCTGTGAGCTGACATGGCACCACTGAACTCCAGCCTGGGTGACAAGAGCAAGACCTTGTCTCAAAACAAAACAAAACAATTAATTGTTAAATTAACTTAAAAGAAGCAAGCAAACCCACTGATAAAATACACACTTTCAGAATAAAGACATCCAAAGCATCTTTTGAAAATTTTGCTACAGGTACCACAAGAAAAAAGCTCCTTTTCCATCCGATATATTGTGCATGGGCCAGGCCTTTTGGCTTCTGCGCTATGCTTAGGGGTTTGTTTTGTGTTTTGTTTTGTTTTGCTTTTGAGACAAGGTCTTGCTCTGTCACCCGGGCTGGAGTGCAGTGACGAGCTCATGGCTCTGTGCAGCCTCAACCTCCTGGGCTCAGGCACTCCTCCCACCTCCGCCTCCCTAGTAGCTGGGACTACAAGCGTGCACCGCCACCTCCAGCTAATTTTTGTATTTTTGGTAGAGACAGGGACTTGCTATGTTTCCTAGGCTGGTCTGGAACTCCTGGGCTCAAACAATCCACCTGCCTCGGCCTCCTAAAGTGCTGGGATTACAGGCGTGAGTCACCACGCCCAGCCTATAAACACATTTTTAAATAGAACAGTGTCAAATATTTCATGGGCACTTTGAACAAAAGTATACCAACAGTACTTTTAAAGATATTGGACAAAGATTTGTAATACTATCCCATCAATTACACTTCTCCAGTGAAAGGAAATAATAGGAAAAAAGGTACTTTTGGTTCTTAATATAATCACAACGAAAAGGTGAGCACCAAAATCAAATGACATAAAGGGTGAAAGTAGAGGGAGAGGGCTTTAAACCTTGAATTTACCCATTACGATTCTCTGATTAAAATAAAAATCAGGACTTCCACAATTTCTAAGTTGTAGAATAACATTAATTAGTTGCCTCTGAATTAATCATAGACTGGAGGTAAGAGCCCAAGACGCTGATATTTGGAGTTTTTTGTTTTGTTTTGTTTTCTTAAATAGACAGGGCCCCTCTCTGTCCCCCAGGCTATAGTGCAGTGGCACAATCATAACTCACTGTAGCCTCAACCTCCTGGGCTCAGCAATCCTCCCACGTCAGCCTCCCATCTAACTGAAACTACAGGTGTGCCACCACAACTAAATTTTTATGTTTTTTAGAGACAAGGTCTCACTATACTGCCCAGGCTGGTCTCAAACTCCAGGTCTCAAGCAATCCTCCTGCCTCAGCCTCCCAAAGCACTGGGATTACAGGTGTAACTGCTACCATGCCTGGCCTAAATAACATGATTTTTATCTGCAATCTCATTTACGGCCTCGGACTTTTCTTGATCTCATCACCTAGCGAAAAAGGGCAGGAACTACTAAGTTATTTGCCCAGAAAGATAAATAATCAAGAAGACAATATAACACTAAAGTCTGACATTGAAAATCTACTGATGAAAAACGCTTCATTTTGGTTACAGAATTGTAAGAGTACAAAAAAGCTAAAGAATTTAATGATTAGGTTTATTCTACAAATGAGAAAGTTTAAGTATAGAAATGCCTCATTTATCTGGCACAATCGAAAAATGAGAAAAAATTCTTTAAGCATTTAATTTTTCATGTTACTATTTTCAGTAGAAATCACTCGTGTAGAAATAATCTCAAACAGTTTAACACTGTCTTAAGTGAGAATCATCTTGAGTACTTACTAATGTACAGTTATAAAACAATGACATTTTGCCTCTCTCCAACACCCCCAGAAGATTTTCATTTTTTAAGCTTTTTTATGACTTCTATAGTTGTTCTGTTCTTTCAACACTACTAGTAGATGTAACTTTCTATTGGGTTAAGTGTGCCACTGATGCCCCCCAACATGCATTTTCAATTTGATGCAGCAAGAGAAATTTGTTAGAATTGTGAATAAAGCAAATAGATTCTGAGGAAGAAGGGCCTTGGGAGGATTTTCCTACAGATGACTCTGTCACATTATTTTTGGCTAAGATCATCTTTACTGTTTCCTTTTAGACTTTTCCTGTTTTCTTATAAAACACAGCAAAGTTACTATTAATTTCTTACTTGGAAAATCAGAAAATTACAGAAGTCGTTAAAACTTTTGAAAACTCTAACAGTTTAGAGGTACTGAGTCAAAATTTCACCCCTTTCAGAAGCCAGATATTTCATAATTCACTATTAAACATACATGTAAAGATAGGTCCAAACATTACTTCATTTCTCAAAGACCATTACCCTTCATATGAATTCAACCTCCTCTGGATTTATAACCTTTTCTGAAATATTTGCTTACACTTCAAAATGAGTATCTTTGTGTAGAAAAAAAAAAATGGAAGAAAAGGGTTCTGTTAAGGTCCAACTTACCATAAATATGTCCAGTGTAAATATGAGAGGTATCATAATCAAGTACTTTATTTGATGTTTCTACTTTAAATTCATCACTGAAAAGGGAAGTGTCCCTCTTCATTCGTAGGTTGAAATGTCTGTAAAATGGGATGGGAAGGGGGAACAACTGAAATTAAAAAGATCCAAATTTTAAACAATTATTTTTTATTTTAAAAAGTCTACAAAATGTGGACTGTTATGAAATTTGTCTATTTGTGAAATACGCTGACCAAGATTTTTAAAGACATATTCTGCTCTAAAAGTCAACTTAGTAGCTGTGGTAGGACTCTAAATGAGATAAAATTAAACAGTAACTGTCTAGGATGTTAAAAATAAATGCCTATAGACTGATTCTTACATGGTAAAACAAGATATTCAAACAGCAAATAAGTTACTTGGAGATTAAAACAGGCTTCCTGACCCAATTACTATTATCTACCACTGCCTGTCTTCTCTCTCTAGTAATTCTGCTATTTTGCTATTCTCCCTTACTTTCTACAAGTTAAATAAGAAAATACAGAAGAAAGCAGCATCTATATGGGGTATTTAACATCTCTTCTCAGAAAGACAAGTGTGTATGCTCTTTGTTTTACCCTGGGGCTTCTAATTCTTGCAAATTATAGAAATCTTCCTTAATTCAATTTGGGAATGCCGAAAGACCAGGATAATGGCTGAAATCAGAGGAATTTTAGTCCTCTACACAAAAAAGGGAAAGATCAAAATACTAAAGTAAAATTAATTAAAGATATGACAAAAATCTAGAGTTTAGAATCGAATTGGAATCAAATCTTAAGCCTAGAATTTACTAGCTCAGGTTCCTGTCTGTGAAATAAAGGTAATATAAATTCTATACACCTTGTAAAATTACTTTAAATATTAGAGATTTTATAACGTATATAAAGTCATAACAGTACCTGGCACATTGGAGATATATGATAAAATGGCAACAAATTAGCTAACATTACTCAACTCTGTTAAAAGTATATCAAGTCTTTTATAATTGTGAACATAATAGAATTTCTACTTAATTTTTTTGACAATTACAACAAAGTATTACGTCTTTTTTTTTACATATACATGTTTTGCAGAGTACTATAAGAACCTTGTTTTTTAAATTACTTAATAAAAATTTGTAACATAAAGTTGTATGGGGAAACATACAGTCACTTCACACATTTGTGACATGAATAAGTTGGTACAATCTCTATGGTGGGAAAACTGGTTTAAAAAATCCAAATTACAAATGTACATAGCCTTTGATACAAGAATTCCATTTCTAGAAATGTATCTTACATATACTTGCATGTAAGTGAAATTACTTCCATACTACAAAGAATGTGGCATAATAAGAAATATAAAGTTAAGCCAGGTGCAGTGGCTCATGCCTGTAATCCCAGAACTTTGGGAGGCTGAGGCAGGTGGATCATCTGAGGTCAGGAGTTCAAGACCAGCCTGGCCAACACAGCAAAACCGTCTCTACTAAAAATACAAAAACTAGCCAGGCATGGTGGCTTGCACCTCTAGTCCCAGCTACTGGGGAGGCTGAGGTAAGAGAACTGCTTGAATCTGGGAGGTGGAGGCTACAGTGAGCCAAGATCATGCCACTGCACTCCAGCCTGGGTGACAAAGTGAGGCTCCATCTCAAAAAAAAAAAAAAAAAAAAAAAAGAGAAGGAAATATAAAGTCATCCCTCAGTATCCACGGGGGATTGGTTACAGGACCCCCAAGGATACCAAAATCTAAAAATGCTCAAGTCCCTTATACAAAATGGTACAGTATTTGTATATAACAAATGTATTTGTAGAGTATTTGTATATATACATCCTCCTGTACACTTTAAATCATCTCAAAATTACTTATAATACCTCACACAGTATAAATTCTATGTAAATAGTTCTTATACTGTATTGTTTAGGGAATAATGACAAGGAAGAAAGTGTACATGTTCAGTACAGATGCAACCATGCGAATTATTTTCAATCCAAGGCTGACTGAATCCACAGATATAGAGGGCCAAATCTATTTGACCTTTGTCCCCAGTTCCTGGCACAGTGCTCCTAAAACCCTTGGAATATCCTCAGTGATAGGTGTCTCTTCACTCATTCATAATGAGTCTGTTTCACTCACATCTGAGTTTATGCTAATGAGGTGACTTAGAGTGGGGCCCCTAGATGACCTTGGAATAGAGCTGGTCACCAGAAAGATCAAATAATAAGAGCAATGGAATTTCAGCCCTAGCCACTGACTCCACCCCAGAAAGTGAGGTGGGAGAGACAGGAGATTAAGCTCTATAGAAACTCTTGAACAATGAGATCTGATCAGCTTCCAGGGTTGAACACACTGAGTTGATTGGAGGGTAGTGAACCCAGAGAGCGCACAGAAACTCTGTGCTGCCTCCCACATTCCTACGCATCTCTTCCACTTAGGTGATCATGAGTTGTATCCTTTATAATAAACCAGCAAGAGTAAGTAAACTGTTTTCCTGAGTTCTGTCAGCCAGGTTAACAAATTATCTAACCTTAGGAGGAGGTTGAGGGAACCCCCAATTTATAGCAGGTGGTCCGAAGTACAGGTGGCGCAGGACTTACAAATGGTGTCTGAAGTGGAAAGCAGTGTTGTAGGAATGGGCCCTTAAGCTGTGGGGTCTGCACTAGCTCCAGATATTTACTGTGAGAACTGAATTACGCTGAATTGTTGAACACCCACTTGGTGTCTGGAGAATCAAGAGAATTGGTTGCTGGTGTTGGAAAATAGCCCAGAAAGATTATTCACCTTAGCACTATTTGAAATAGTACATGATTAGTAACAACAGAACTAGTTAATTTGCTTATGGTACATAATCGTATTTATGGGTATACCCATATAACTGTATACTACAAAGCTGAAAAAAATATATAAAATATTTACATGTAATCAAATCATAGACCTCTAAGTTATATTAAGTAAAAAAAAAAAAAAAAAAAGACCAAGTGCAGTGGCTCACGCCTGTAATCCCAGCATTTGGGGAGGCCGACGCAGGCAGATCATGAGGTCAGGAGATCGAGACCATCCTGGCTAACACAGTGAAACCCCATCTCTACTAAAAATACAAAAAATTAGCCGGGCGTGGTGACGGGTGCCTGTAGTCCCAGCTACTTGGGAGGCTAAGGCAGGAGAATGGCGTGAACCCGGGGGAGGCAGAGCTTGCAGTGAGCCGAGATCACGCCACTGCACTGCAGCCTAGGTGACAGAACAACACTCCATCTCCAATAAATAAATAAATAAATAAATAAGATACAAAAAAGAATATAGTACGTTACCTTTTTTTAAAAACAAGAATATGAAGGAGAATATATATATATATATATATATATATATATATATATATGTATATATACATATCTCCACATTTCTGTGTAGAGAATTTCTGAGTAAGATACACATTATAAGAATGTGCATCAAATTTCTTGACAGATACACAATAAACTAGTAACAATGGTTGTCCCCAAGAATGGAAAGTGGGTGACTGGGAAATAAGGGAGGGAAGGATACCTCATTGTATATCTTTTGTGGCATTTAAATTTTAAAACATACGAGCATATTTCTTATTCAAAAAATAAAATGTAAGTTAAAATAACATCTTAAGACACAAAACAAAAACTACTGCTCTTTGGACAGATGAATCAATTTTGACTTTCAAATTACTAACTTAGAAATAAACAAAAAGTTTTGTTGCCACAATGGTGGAGAAACCATTACTGGACTTGCCTACCCACCTCAAAAATACAGTTTTTCAGTTACATAAATGAAACAACTGCTTTCAGACAATAGACAACAAGCAGTGAAGGACTATGATTTAAGAAAAAAGGAAGGTGCAACAATGAGAAAGAACTCCAGAAATCTGCACAGGCGTTCACCTGTAGTCTGTGGCTCAATACTATCGTGGATGCATAAAGAGAGACTCCACAAAGGTGGGCCCAAAAACAACTATTAAGGAGCTGTTAGTTGACCAATTACTGGATCTTACAAGAGACAGGGATACATCGAAGTTGTGATCAAGCACAGAAGACAGACTTTGTTGTCATTTAATAGAGAACCCAGAAAAGCCACTCCTTGGAAATAGGAACAAACTATTCCTAGAATAAAGGCTACTTCAAACCTATCCTAATAAAGCTTAAAAACAAGGCTGGGCCCTCGGAGCCCAGCGCCGCCACCATGTCCTCTGGGGCTAGCGCGAGCGCCCTGCAGTGCCTGGTGGAGCAGCTCAAGTTGGAGGCTGGCGTGGAGAGGATCAATGTCTCTCAGGCAGCCGCAGAGCTTCAACAGTACTGTATGCAGAATGCCTGCAAGGATGCCCTGCTGGTGGGTGTTCTAGCTGGAAGTAACCCCTTCTGGGAACCCAGATCCTGTGCTTTACTCTGAAGACTCTAAGAGAGAAGTTTGCTGAGGAATGCCTTCAAGCACAAAGTGATGAATGACTGCCTTCAAGTCTCAAGAAAACACTTTTCCCTAACTTTTAGAGATATTTCAGCCCTTTCCTGTGGCCCCGTCCTATAGCCAAAATCACAGAAATTCATGAGTTTCTACTTGAGTGAGGAAACTGGGTGAAGGAATAGAGTTTTAAATAGTAATAGCTTGTTTTTTTGTGCAAGTACTTTTATACATAAGATAAACAAAAACCTTACCACCAAACATACCAAAATGCACCTCTTTCATAAGTGAGTTACTAAGATTTCTATACCTGGAATATCATGTATGTTTCATTTACTGGATGTTTACATTTTAGGAAGGAAAATAGTTTTGTTTATTTAAACAATCGAATACTTGTAAACTGTTGTTCCTGGAAGATATTTATACCATAAAAAATTTGTTCTTTTCTCATGAATTTACAATTCCTAAATGAAGACCAGAAAGTACAAATTGCTGGGAGGAAGAATAGGCTTTACTAATCAACTGATGTCTTGATTTTTCTAAATGGGAAGATTGTTTTATTTTTAACACTAATTATGGGAGCAGATTCTTAGCAAACTTGTTTGGAAAAGTTAATGTTATGATGTGCATTAGGCTGCCCCATCGTGTATATAAATGAAGCAGATTTGGTCTTTGTATTCTTACGTTCCTCTACTTTGTAGCTGTGGCTGTACTTAAAGAAATACAGAATTTCATATATTTAAAAATGTTTAAAATGTGACCCACAGAACATTGTAAATGATTAAAAACTAACATAAAAACATTACAACCTAAAAGAATTCTTAACTTCACAAGGGTTTTACTTTGATGATGTGAATCTGATTTAATTTGGGACACTTTTTTAGAAGGATACATTATTTGTGTTTGTAACAGTCTTTGAAGAGCTTGGAAATAAAATTTCTGCTTAATTAATCATAAAAAAAAAAAAGGCTCAAAAGGGTCAAGCTGATCCACAAGTTACTCAACTATCTAACAAACAAAACTCCATACTTTTTAAAAAAAAAATACGAACAGTTAAACTGTGGTATATCCATACAATAGGATAGAATTTAGTAATAAAAAGGAACAAACTATTGATAAACACAACAATTTGTACAAACTTCAAAAAAATTATGCTGAGTGGAAAAGTCAATCTCAAAGATACTACTTGCATAATACGATTCATGCGACAATCATGAAATAATCTAATTATGGAGATGGAGAACCAATTAATGGTTGTTTAGGATTATAGATGGGGGAGGGGATGAATGTGGCCATAAAGGGATAGCACAAGGGAGTCTGGTGATGCTACCATTGAGTATCTTTGATTGTAGGGATAATTACACAAGACTACCCATGTGACAAAATTGCACAGAATTATGCACAGGCACACACACATGCACGTACATGTAAAACTGATGAAACCCAAATAAACTCTATGCATTGTACCAATATCAATCTTGGTTTTGATGTTGTAATATAGTTATATAAATTGTGAACACTGAGGGAGACTGGGGGAAAGATGTCCAGGACTTCCCAGTAGAAGCTCCTGTGACTCTACAATTATTTTTAAATTAAAAGTTTTTTAAAAATCCAGACACAGGTGGGCACAGTGGCTCACACCTGTAGTCCCAGTATTTTGGGAGGGCAAGGTGGGAAGATTGCTTGAGCCCAGGAGTTTTCAATCAGCCTGGGCAATGTAGCAAGACTCCATCTCTAATTTTAAAAAAAACAAACAACGACAAAAAGACACTAAATATTAATCAAAATGTGAAATATCCAATTAAAAACCACAAACTATTAAAAAAAACAAGGGGTAAAAAAACCAAACCACTAACTATAAAGAAATGTGACAAAGAAGAAGAAAATTAGTCCCCCCCAAAAAAAGTGAGAATGAATGATAACGGAATTAGCAGACAAGGATTTAGTGATTTAGTGTCTATATATTGTAAATATGTTAAAGAATTATGGGGAAAATATAAGCACAATAAGGAGAAACCAAAAACTGTCGAAAGAGGGGAGGGAAGGGGAGGGACAGGGAAGAGAGGAGAGAGGGAAAGGAATGAGAGGGGAGGAAACTTCCAGAATTGGAAAATATAATTTCTAAAATGAAAAAAAAAATTATATATATATATATATATATCTCTCTCTCTCACTGGACTGACTTAAGAGCAGATGAGATACTGCAAGAAAGAATATCAGCGAACTTGAAGACAGGGTAACAAAAACTATCTAACTTGATGTACAGAGAGATAAAGAGTTTAAAAAAAAAAAACCCAGAGCCTCAGTAACCTATCAAACAGTAAATAAATAAAGAAGCGAGAGGAGACAGAAAAAAAAATTTGATAAAATGATAAAAAACTTCCAAACTGATAAAACTATAAACACAAGTCTAAGTAACTCAACAAACACCAAGAAAGATACACACAAAGAAAAACCCACAAAACACACCACAGTCACTGCTGAAAATCAGCGTTAAAGAGAAAATCTTAAAATCCATCAAAGAGACTGATTATATGCAGAGTGACTGCTGATTTAACATTAGAAATAATGCAAGCAGGCCGGGCGTGGTGGCTCACGCCTGTAATCCTAGCACTTTGGGAGGCCAAGGTGGGCAGATTGCCTTAGCTTAGGAGTTCGAGACCAGCCTGGGCAACATGGTGAAAGCCTGTCTCTACTAAAATACAAAAAATTAGCCGGGCATGGTGGTGTGCATCTGTAGTCCCAGCTACTCAGTAGGATGAGGCAGGAGAATTGCTTGAACCCAGGAGGCAGAGGTTGCAGTGAGCTGAGATCATGCCACTGCACTCCAACGTGGGCCACAGAGCAAGACTCTGTCTCCACAAAAATAATAATAATAATAATGCAAGCTAGAAATTATTGGAGTAACTTTTTTAATGCTGAAAGAAAAACAATGTCAATCCAAATTCTACAGCCAATAAAAAAGATCATTAAAAAATACATTGTCAATGAAGAATAAAAAAGAAAACATCATTCCAGTACTGCAGACATTGAGTGATAAAGTAATATTATGAGCATAATGAAAATAAATTCAATTACTTAGATAAAATAAACTCCTTAAAAGGTACAAATTATGAAAACTATCACAAAATATAGAAAATCTGAATAAGCCCCTATCTACTGAAGAAAATGAATTCATGATTTAAGGCCTTTCCACAAGAAAAATACCAGGGCCAGATGGTTCCCCTGATGTCCTATAAAACTATTTTAAGAAAACAGGAGGGAAGAGTACTCAACTCATTTTATGTGGCTCACTCTGATTCCAAAACCAAAGACAGACCCCCCCCAAAAAAAAAAAAAAAAGACTGATATTCCTTATGAACATAAACAAAAAAATCCAACCAAAAACTAGAAAACTGAACAAAGCAATAAATAAAAAGGACAATACATCATAAGCAAATGAAGTAATAAGAGGCTGGCTTAACATTCTAAAATCATCAATGTAATTCACCGCATTCAAAGGGGAGAAAAGCCACAAAATCATCTCATTAGGTACAGAAAAAGCATCTAACAAATTTCAGCACCTACTCATGATAAAATTCTCAGCAAACTAGGAAGAGACAGGAACTTCCTTAACCCGATAAAATGCAACTACAAACTCCAGTTAACATCATACTTAAAGATGAAAGACTGAATGCTTCTCTCCTAAGATTGGGAAGAAGGTAAAGATATTCACACTTGCCACTTTTATGCAACTCTGTAACATTAAGTATGATGTTACAGATACCACAACAAGCCAAGAAAAATAATCCTCTTTTAGTTGCTAATCCCCAGAAATGGTAATCTTTTGTGTTGTTTTACTGTATAAAAACAGCATATTCTTTATTTTACATACTTTCAGAACAAAATAAACAACAACAAAAAAACAGGATATACAACATCCAATTCTGCTGTCAAAGTAGAGAGGGAATGGGGCTTGATGCCCTTGTTTCCTGCCTTAGACACAAGGACAGAAGAGAAAAAATACTAGATATCAGCAGAGAGAGCCAGGTGGGACAGGACCACTCAAAGCTGCAGTGGGAGCCATGGGGACACTATGCAAGGGCACAAGGTTTGCAGGTATAAACTCTTAATCTACTTCTTCCATGTGAAACACATCCTCAGGAACACATCACATCAGGAACAGCAGCACTGAGTTCCTCTGTTGCCACTTCATCTTCATCAATAGCTAACCTAGCTTGATCATGTGGTAGATGCAGCTGGATAGGTCTGAGGATCCTCAAGGGAGAAGCCAGAAGAGAGCAGTGTGGTTTCAAACAGCAGCACCACCGGGTCACTGACAGCCTCGTTGTTCTTGTCTGCCTCAGCCTTCTGCTGTAGTGTCTCCACAATGGGGTGGTTGGGGTTGATCTCCAGGTGCTTTTTAGCCATCATATAACCCATCATAGAGTTGTCCCAAAATGCCTGCGCTTTCATGATCCACTTCATATTGGCTATCTAGCTGTAGGTGCTGGTCACAATGCGGCAGGGTGAAGACACAAGCCTACTGGAGATTGTCACCCGCTCAACCTTCTTATCTAAGATTTCTTTCATGAGCCTGCAGAGGTTCTCAAACTTTACGTTGCTCTCCTCCATTATCTTCTTCTCCTCCTCATCCTCAGGTAGCTCCAGACCCTCCTTGGTAACTGACAGCAGGCTCTTCCCATCAAATTCCTTGAGCTGCTGCACACAGTACTCATCAATGGGCTCACTCATATATATTACCTCGAAGCCCTTCTTCCACTCTTGCTCCACAAAAGCAGAGTTGGCTACCTGCTCTTTGCACTCACCAATGATGTCACAGATGGACTTCTGTGCCTCCTTCATGCAAGACACATACTCTGACAGAGATGTCATCTCATCTCCAGACTGGAAGGTGTGAGACCACAGCAGTTCAGACAGGTGTCGCCAGTTAATAGAGTCCTCATGGATTCCAAGCCACGAGATTTTAGAGAATACCTCATCTAATTTCTTGTTATTCTCCTTGTCTTCTGCCAGCCCAGAGAAGCTAAGCTCAAGCCACTTCTTCTTCTTTTTTTTTTTTTTTTTTTTTTTTTGAGACAGAGCCTTCTTCTGTCGCCCAGGCTTAGTGCAGTGGCATGATCTTGGCTCACTGCAACTTCCGCCTCCCAGGTTCAAGCAATTCTCCTGCCTCAGCCTCCCAAGTAGCTGGGATTACAGGCGTTGTGCCCAGCTAATTTTTGTATTTTTAGTAGAGACGGGCTTTCACCATGTTGACCAGGCTGGTCTTGAACTCCTGACCTCAGGTGATCTGCCCGCCTCAGCCTCCCAAAGTGCTAGGATTACAGGCGTGAGCCACCATGCCCAGCCGGCATTTCTTAACAATGTTTTTGCAAATGACTTCCAAGATTTTGCTCTGCTGGAGCATTTCCCGGGAGATGTTTGGGGAAAGATCCTTAAGAGTCAACCATACCACGGACAAAGCCGACATACTCTGGCATCAAATCATCAAAGCTGTCCATGATCCACACATGATGGACACAGAGTTGTTCATTTTCCTCTTGTTCTAAAAAAGGTCAAAGGGAGCCTGATGAGGGATGAACAGCAATGCCCTGAATTCCAAATGACCTTCTACAGGGAATTGCTTGACTGCCAAGTGGTCTTCCCAGGCACTGGTGAGGCTCTTGTAGAATTCTCCACACTCTTCCTGGGTGATGTCATCAGGGTTTCTGGTCCAAATCGGCTTGGTCTGGTTTAGTTCTTCCCGATCAGTGTATTTCTCCTTGATCTTCTTTGTTTTCTTCTTATTATTCTTATCAGTGTCATCCTCCTCATCGGAACCCACATCTTCAGTCTTGGGCTTTTCTTTATCATCTTTATCTTCCTCTTCTTTCTCACCTTTCTCTTCCTCATCATCACTGATTTCCTTCTCTGGTTCCTTCTCCAAATAAACGGCGATAAGACAGCCTATGAACTGAGGGTGCTTCTTCACTACTTCTTTGACCCACCTCTCTTCTAAGTACTCTGTCTGATCTTCTTTAAGGTGAAGGATCACTTTGGTATCCCTGTCAATGGGCTCACCATGGTCAACATGTAAAGTGAAGGAACTCCCAGCAGAAGATACCCAGGAATACTGTTCTTCGTCATTGTGCTTTGTGATGGCTACTTTCTCTGCCACCAGGTAGGCAGAATAAAAGCCAACACCAAATTGCCCAATCATGGAGATTTCTGCACAAGACTGAAAAGCCTCCATAAATGCTTCAGTACCAGACTTGGCAATGGCTCCCAAATTATTTATGAGATCAGCCTTGGTCATGCCAATGCCTGTGTTGACCAAAGTCAGGATGCATTCCCGAGGGTTGGGGATGATGTCAATTTTCAGTTCTTTACCACCGTCCAACTTGGAAGGGTCTGTCAGGCTCTCATAGCGAATCTTGTCTAAGGCATCAGAAGCATTAGAGATCAACTCCTGAAGGAAAATCTCCTTGTTGGAATAGAAGGTATTGATTATGAGAGACATGAGTTGGGCAATTTCTGCCTAAAAGGCAAAAGTCGCCACCTCCCCTTCTCCATGGTACACCTCTGCAGGCATCTTGAAAGGAAAAGGCTTACAAGTACTAGAGAGCAAGGTGGGCTGAGTGTCCAAAATGCACACGGCACCAAGGCTGCACAGGGGTGACTCAAGAGCTAATTCTTTATACTAAAATTTCATTCTTCAATTTACTGTATGGATTCTGCCTCGTAAATGGACCTTGCTTAGCACATGTACCATAAAGCTACAGTAACCAAACAGTGGCATAAAAATATAGACAGATCAATGAAATGAAAGACCTAAGAATATATAAATAGGTCTCAACATATATAGATCATGGCAATTCAAAGAATTGATAGGTTTTTCAAAAAGTGATGCTAAAAAATTTATATCCATGTGAAAAATATTACCCTTGACCCTTACCTCTATCATAAAGAAAAATTAAATTGAATTGCAATACAGACTTACATGTAAAACTGTAACTGGAAACATCTAGAAGAAAACTGTCATGGCCTTGGTAGTCAATGCTACCTTAAGAAACAAAAGCAAAAATCATAAAAGAAAAAAATTTTTTCATTAAAAGGGCTTCTTAAAAATTCAAAACTTCCGCTGAGAAATAGCTTTAAAAAAAAAAAAAAAGGCAAGCCACAGTCTGGGAGAAAACATTTGCAATACATATGGTCTGACAAAGAACTTATATTCGGAATATCTTTTTAAAAACCTCTTACAAATCAATAATAAGACAACCATTGAAAGACAAACAACAATGTGAAAAAATACTTCACAAAGAAGATACACAGGTGGCAAACAAGCATATGGAAACCTACATAACATCATTAGTCAACAAAGAAATGTAAATCAGAACTAGAATAATATATTATCACATACCCTTTGCTAGAATAACATCTCCAAATATTAGTAGGGTGTTGAGTACCTGGAACTCACACACTGCTGATGGGAATGGAAAATGACAACATCACTTTGGAAAACTGTTTAGCACTTTCTTACAAAGTCAAACATATAAAAACCAGGCCAGGCACAGTGGCTCATGCCTATAATCCCAGCACTCTGGGAGGCCGAGACAGGCAGATCACTGAAGGTGAGGAGTTCAAGACCAGCCTGGCCAGCATGTTTGAAACCCCGTCTGTACTAAACATACAACAATTAGCCAGGTGTGGTGGCAGGTGCCTGTAATCTCAGTGATTTGGGAGGCTGAGGCAAGAGAATTGCTTGAACCCAGGAGGAGGAGGTTGCAGTGAGCCGAGATCACGACACTGCACTCCAGCCTGGGAAACAGAACAACACTCCCTTTCAAAACAAAAACAAAAACAAACAAGGCCAGGCGAGTTGGCTAGTGCCTGTAATCCCAGTACTTTGGGAGGCTGAGGGAAACCCCATCTAAAACAAACAAACAAACAAAAAAAGCTTATGACCCAGCAATTCTACTCAAGAAAAAAGAAAACATAAAGCATATATCCACACAAATAACTGAACACAAATGTTAGCAGCAGCTTTATTTATAATAGCCAAAAACTGAACATAACCTAAATGTCTATCAACAAGTAAAGAGAAAGATGTATTCATATAATGGCAAACTACTCAGAAATTAAAAAAAAAAAAAAGCCAACTATTGAAAACACGCACTTTTGTTAAGACACAAAAGAATGCAGAGTCTAATTCCATTGATATGTAATTCTGGAACAGTCAAAATCTATCTAGTAGTGACAGGAAGCAAATCAGTAGTTGCCTAGGGTGGAGACTAAGAGTAAAAAGTAATGAGGGAATTTTGTGATACGACAGAAACATTCTTTATCTTGATTTCAATGGCAGTTGCCTAAGTATATACATTTGCCAAAATGCACCTCTAACTATATACCTAACATGAATATATTTTATGTAAGTAGGGGTCAGTAGCATACATTTACTAGCTTGAAAACTGTGTACATTTTTAAACATTGTCTATTTTCTCTTTTCCTTCATTTCACGTCAGTCTTGGCACCCTTTTAGTTTGAGGCTGTACTCACATTCCTCTTGCCAAATAACTCCCAGGGCTTCCCAGGTACAAGAACTCCAGGCTTTCTACTTAAAGCCTTAAGGACCCAAGCTACTGCTGTTAAGTAATCAACAAAGCCCAACACATCTTCTAAATGAGAACTCCACAAACTTAAAAATAGACTCTCCTGAACAAACAAGTATCCTGCCTCAACTTTTGCTGCCTATCATGTATTTTCATAAAATTACTTTTGCAAACTGATAGGAAATTCTAGGCCATATATGTGACTGTAAATACATAAATTATGTTTATAAAGGTACACACTATTTTGAAAAATCATTATCATATTTACACATTTACAGTTACTATAAAAACACTATCTCAAAACAGCATCGTCATTAAAATTTATTATTCAGCAAAATTGCACCCTGAAACCCCTGTTAAATGAAAGCACTAGTATTCTATATGGTAAAAAAAAATTGAGGGCAAAAGCTACAAAAAGATATTTAAGTTTTAATATAAGACCTGGCCAACAGAGCAAGACTTGTCTAAAAAAAAAAGAACGAACATTCTGGCCTGGCACGGTATTGGTGGTAATCCCAACATTTTGGGAGGCTGAGGCGGATAGATATTTGAGGTCAGGAGTTCAAGATCAGCCTGGCCAACGTGGTGAAACCCTGTCTCTATTACAAATATAAAAATTAAGCAGGGTGCGGTGGCTCACAATTGTTATCCCAGCACTTTGGGAGGCCGAGGCGGGTGGATCACCGGAGGTCAGGAGTTCAAGACCAGCCTGACCAACATGGTGAAACCCCATCTCTACTGAAATTACAAAATGAGCCGGTTGTGATGATACATGCCTGTAATCCCAGCTACTTGGGAAGCTGCGGCAGGAGAATCGCTTGAACCCAGGAGGCAGAGGTTAAGGTGAGCCAAGATTGCACCACTGCACTCCAGCCTGGGCAACAAGAGTGAGACTCCACCTCAAAAATTAAAATAAAAATACAAAAATTAGCCGGGCGGTAGTGGCACACGCTACTCCCAGCACTTCGAGAGGCTAAAATGGGAGAATCCTGAGCCCGGGAGGCAGAGGTTGCAGTGGGCCAAGATCACGCCACTGCACTCCAAGTCTGGGTGACAGAGTGAGACCCTGTCTCAAAAACAACAACAAAAAAAAACATTGTATGCTATACACCCTACCCAAAGAAATATTTATGTATCTATTAAGGTGTCTAAGTACAAGCTAGATAAACAACTTAGAAGGAAAACAGAAGTTAAGAACACTTGAAGTAGGCCCCTTACAGCCTTGATACTGATTTCTTTTTTTCTTTCTTTCTTTTTTTTTTTTTCCCAAGATGAGTCTCACTCTCTCTCGCCCAGACTAGAGTGCAATGCAGCGATCTCGGCTCACCGCAACCTCCGCCTCCCAGGTTCAAGTGATTCTTCCGCCTCAGCCTCCTGAGCAGCTGGGATTACAGGCATCTGCCATCATGACCAGCTAATTTTTGTACTTTTGTACAGATGCGGTTTCACCATGTTAGCCAGGCTAGTCTCGAACTCCTGACCTCAGGTGATCCACCCACTTCAGCCTGGGAAAGTGCTGGGATTACATGTGTGAGCCACCGCACCTGGCCAATATCGATTTCATAATAAGAAAATCATCTCATACTGACAAAGGGAGCTGCCTGGGGACCACACGATGATACTGCTCATGAACGGTCCCCTCCACTCCTTAGTCCTAAGCAGCTAGAGCACAGCACGTTTTGAGAGCCCAGCCCCAACAAGGCTGTACCCTGCCCTGGGGCCAAACAGCCCCGGCATCTCCATATCCCTGGAGTCCACTTACATCCCCACCTACAGCCACTGTTGTGATCCCATGCTGCCCCCAAGCCAAAGTGTAAACCACTGGCAGCAACCCCACTGCCCCCAGCAGCAGAGCTGCTATGCATTTTCATGTGCCCCAAGGAGGCCTAAGTTAGACTGTAAGACTCCCACCACCCAAAGCCACCACTCCTGCTGGCTGCTGCCACTGGTGCTAAACCACAAACTATTGGCAGTGACCCTGCTGCCCCAAGCAGTGGAGCTACTACACCTTTACAAGTGTCCTGAGGACAGACTACCCTGCCCACAGCTGCCACCTGGGGCCCAAAGACCCACTCATCAGCTGAATGTTTATGTCTGGTGCCACTGAAAGCAACCCTTCCCTCCCCAGTGGCAGGGCCCCACTCGAGCACTCCACTGGGGCCATGGGGATCACCCCACCCCTGCCTACCACAGCCAACACCCACACACATTACTAGTGGGCCTGAGGACAGGTCTACCCAGCCCCCTCCACCACCGTTAACATGTGAACACTTCTCCTAGGGGCCTGAGATTTAGCCCACTCAATCTGCCATTACATACCACAGCTGGTCCCCAACCACATGCACCACCTGCAGGCCTGGAGACTGGCCTGCCCAGCCCATTGCAGCCACTGCCATTATCAGCACAGACCACCTGGGAAACAGAGGGTTTTCCCACTATCAACCATGCCACATACGCTGCCCAGGAGCCTGAGAATCTGCCCACCCAACTGGCCAACCACTGCCCCTACCAACACCCAAGTAAGCCACCTGGAGGCCCAAGAATCAGCCCACCTGGACCTGCTAACACCAGTGCCAGCATATGTTGCCCTAAGGCCCAAGGACAGGCCCACTTGGTGAACCTGTCCCCAGCTAAGCCTCACCACAGACTCCACTAACAAACCAAACCCTACATCACTGAGAAAATCAGACACTATTAACGCTGTAAACAGCCGAATAATTTATACGGAGACTACACCACTGCATGCACCCAGATTCATGCCAAAATGCCCTACCCAATCAACATCATAAACACATCTTCAGGAAAAAGCCCTCGCCTCAGAAAGCGAATTCAAAAAACTGGGAAGAAGTGACTGTTATACCATATGCGCAATAAGGACCCAAGAAACATGATAAAGCAAGGAAATATGACCTAAATAATTCTGCAGCAATAGATTCCAATGAAAAAGAAATTTATGAGATCCCAGAAAAAGAATTCAAAATAATATTTAAAAAGCTAAGTGAGGTACAATATACAGACACAATACTAAGAAATCATAAAATTTAGAATACGAATGAGAAATTTACCAAAGACAGATATCATAGGGCTAGGCTCACATCTGTAATCCCAGCACTGTGGGAGGCTGAGGCAGGTGGATCGTTTCAACCCAGGAGTTTGAGACCAGCCTGGGCAACACGGCAAAACCCCATCTCTAAAAAAAAAAAAAAAAAAAATTAGCCCAGCATATTGGCGTGAACCTGTAGTCCCAACTACTCAGGTGGTTGAGGTGGGAGGATCGCTTCAGCCCAGAAGGCAGAGGTTGCAGTGAGCCAAGATCGCATCAATGTACTCTAGCCTGGGCAACAGAGTGAGACCTTGTCTCAAAAAAAAAAAAAAAAGATAGACAGATATCATAAAAAAGAACGAAATGCAACTACTGGAAGTAAAGAATTCATTGAATGAAATACAAAAATTATTTCAAAAGCTTCATCAATACACTAGATCAAGCAAAAGAAAGAATTTCACAACTTTAAGACAGGTATTTTGAAATAATCCAATAACATAAAAATAAAGAAGAATAAACACAGCATACATGACATGTAGACACTATAAAGTGACCAAATATTCAAATTTTCAGTGCCCCAGAAGGCAAAGAAAAAACAAAAGGGATAAAAAACCTATTTAACAAAATAAGAGCTGAAAACTTCCCAAATCTAGAAAGCAATTTTGACACCCAGATATAGGAACCTCAGAGACCTTCAAATAGATACAACTCGAAAAGGTCTCTGCCAAGGCACATTATAGTCAAACTGTGAAAAGTCAAAGACAAAGAGAGAATTCTAAAAACAATAACAGAAAAGCATCTCATCATTTACAAGGGAACTCCTATCAGACTAACAGCAGATTTCTCAGCAGAATCCTTACAGGCCAGGAGAAAATGGGATGATATATTCAAAGTGCTAAAAGAAAAAAATACCTGGCAGCCAAGATTACACCCAGGAAAACTTTCTTTCAGAAATGAGGGAGAAATAAAGTCCTTACTACACAAGCAAAAACAGGTAATTTGACACAACTAGACCAACTGTACAAGAAATGCTCAAAGGAATTCTGCATCTGGAAGCAAAAAGATGATGATCACCATCATGAAAACACACAGAAATATAAAGCTAACTGGTAGAGCAGATACACAAATGAGAAAAAGAAGTCAAATGTTACCACTAAAGAAAACCACCAAACCACAATGATAAACAATAAGAGAAAAAGAAAGGAACAAAGAATATACAGGCTGGGCACAGTGGCTCACATCTGTAATCCTAGCACTTTGGGAGGCCGAAACAGGCAGGTCACTTGAGGCCAGGAGTTTGAGACCAGGAGTTTGAGACCAGCCTGAGCAATGTGGCAAAACCCTATCTCTACAAAAAATTTTAAAAATTAGCCAAGCATGGTGGCGTACACCTTTAGTCCCAACTATGAAGGGCTGAGGTGGGAGGATCACCTGAGCCCAGGAGGTCAAGGCTGCAGTAAGCCATGTGTGATTGCACCACTGCACTCCAGCCTGAGCAACACAGTGAGAGCCCATCTCAAAAAAGCCAAAGAAAACCAAAAAATATACAAAACAACAAGAAATTAATAAAATGGCAGGAATAAGCGCTCACATACCAGTAATAACCTTAACTGTAAAAGGATGAAACTTTCCACTTAAAAGATAAAGATTGGCTAAATGGATAAAAGAAACATGACTCAGCTATATGTTGCCTACAGGAAACTCATCTTACCTGTAAAGACACACACAGACTGAAAGTAAAGAGATGGAAAAAAATATTCCATGCAAATGGAAACCAAAAGCAAGCAGGAGTAGCTAAATATATATGCACCCAACTACAGAGCACCCATTACGTAATGCAAATATTATTAGATCTAAAGGGAGATATCAACTGCAATACCATAATAGTTGGTAGACTTCAACACCCCACTCTCAGCATTAAACAGATCTAGACATAAAATTAACAAAGAATCATTGGATTTAAACTGCACATTGGACCAAATAGGCCTAAAAGACATTTACAGATTTCATACAACAGTTAGAGTACACAACATTCTTCTCATCAGCACATGAAATACTCTCGAGGATAGACCATATGTTAGGAAACAAAACGTTTCAACAAATTTTTTTAAATAGAAATCATATCAAGTCAGACTACAAAAGAATAAAACTAGAAACCACGAACAAGAACTTTGGAAACTGTACAAATACATGAAAATTAAACAAACATCCTCCTGAAAGACAACTGATCAAGAAAGAAATTAAGGAAGAAATCAAAAAACAAATGAAACGAATGAAAATTTGAAACACGACATACCAAAATCCATGGGATACAACAAAAGCACTGCTTACAGGGAAATTTACAGCAATAAATGCCTACCTCAAAAAATATGGAAAGATTTCAAATAAACAATATAATGAAGCACCTCAAGGAACTAGTAAAGCAAGAACAAACAAAACCCAAAATTAGTAGAAGAAAATAAATTATAATAATCAAGGTGACTCAGTGACTCAGTGCCTGAAAGCCCAGCACCCTGAGAGGTGGAAATGGGAGTATCACTTGAGGCTAGGAGTTCGAGACCAGCATGAGCAACATAGCAAGACCCCATCCCTAAAAAAATGTAAAAAAAACAGCCCAGAGCCCTGTAGTTCTAGTTACTTGGGAGGCTGAGGTGGAAGGACTGCTTGAGCCCTGGAGTTCAAGCTTGCAATGAGCTATGATCATGCCACTGCACTCCAACCTGGGAGACAGAACAAAATTCCAACTTAAAAAAAAACAAAAAAACAAAAAAAAAAAAACAGGGCAGAATTCAACAAAACAGACACTCAAAAAACAATAGGAAGGATAAACAAAACCAAGTTTTTTTGAAAAGATAAATAAAATCAATGACCACTTGCTAATCAAGAAAAAAAAACAGAAATAGCCTGTTGAATAGAAGAAAATATTTGCAAACTATTCATCTGAGAAGGGACAAATACCCAGAATATACAAGGAACTCAATAGTTTAAAAAAAAATCCCATTAAAAAGTGGGCAAAGGACATGAACAGACATTTCTCAAAAGAAGACACAGAAATGTTGGTTTGTGTCCTTTGAGATGAAAAAATAAAGAAGAAAAAGACATAGAAATGGCCAAAAGGTATAAAAAACAATGCTCAACATTACTTACCATCAGGGAAATGCAAATCAAAACCACAATATATCATCTTACCGCAGTTAGAATGGCTGTTATTAAAAAGATAATAAATAACAAATGCTGGCGAGAATGTGAAGCAACAGTAACTCTTCTATACTGTTGATAGGAATGTAAATTAGTACAGCCACTATGCAAAACAGCATAGAGATTTCTCAAGAAAACAAAAATAGAATTACCACATGATCCGGCAATCCTGCTACTGGGTGTTTATCCAAAGGAAAAGAAATCAGTATGTCAACAGGATACCTGCACTCCCATGTTTAGTGCAGGACTATTTACAATAGCCAAGATATGTAATCAACTAAGTGTGAATCAACGGATAAATGTTTAAAGAAAATGTAGCATATATACACAATGGAGTACAATTTGACTATTAAAAATAATAATAATAAGGCCCGGAGCAGTGACTCACGCCTATAATCCCAGCACTTTGGGAGGACGAGGTGGGCGGATCTCTCAAGGTCAGGAGTTTGAAACCAGCCTGGCCAACACAGCAAAACCCCATCTCTACCAAAAATACAAAAATTAGCCAGGCGTGGCGGCGCACACCTCTAATCCCAGCTACTCAGGAGGCTGAGGCAGAAGAATCGCTTGATCCAGGGAGGCGGAGGTTGCAGTGAGCCGAGATCGCACCATTGCACTCCAGACTGGGCAACAGAGCGAGATTCTGTCTCAAAAAAAAGAAAAAGAAAAGGAAATCTTATCATTTGCAGCAATATGAATGGAACTAGAGGTCATTATGTTGAGTGAACTAAGCCAAGCACAAAAAGACAAACATCCCATGTTCTCACTCTTATGGGTGAGATTAGAAAGTTGATCTCATGAAGGTAGACAGCAGAATGATAGATACCAGTGGCTAGCAAGGGTGAGTGGGTGGGGCTTGAGGGGAGATGAAGAGAGGTTGTTAATGGGTACAAACATACAATTAGATCGAAGTAAAAAGTGCAAATGTTTGATAGCAGAGTAGGGTGACTACAGTTAACAACAATACATTGTATATTTCACAATAGTTTAAAAAAAGAGGACTTGAAATGTTCCCAACACATAGAAATAACGAATACTTGAGGTGATGGACACCCTAAATGCTATGAATTGATCATTTCACATTGTATGCATGTAACAAAATATCACAAGTACCCCAGAAACATGTACAAGTATTATGTATTTAAATTTTTTAAAATAATTTTTAAAACAAAATAATGTCTAAGATACAAAACATTCCCAGTATTGATTTAAATTGGATTAAAACCACATATAAAATCAGTTCTCAAGTATATATGCAGTCAAGTAGCAGTGCAGATAATTTAAAAATCAAATTTAAATCACATATCAAAATTCACTGCTTCTATTAACATCAAAATTAACTTGTATCTAAAACATACATGAACAGAAGAAGGAATGAGGGAGAGCCCAGAAGGCAGGTAAATAGTAGAAAGAAGCCAGAACAAATTAAAGATTGTCACAATCCATAAAATAGTAAAACCACAAATGAATAATCAGGAATTTGACATAATTTATTCCGTTAACCAAGCGACTGGATTATAGCTTTCTAATTTTAATTCTACTACAATCTGTTTGACAGTCCACATCTTTATGCTATTTTAGCATTTTATAAAATGTAAATCTTTGCAATATTCCTGTTGGATAACATGTCATGAAATAATAATAAAAAGTAGCTGACAGGAACAACCCAACCACATACTACCTTTTTAGTTTTTTAACAAGCCCTCAATAAAAAGCTATCTGAAAACAACCAGATTCTTTAATTGTTTAGACTTCGACTCAACAGTCAGAAAAACTGCAGTATATATTGCCTTATAATGATCACTGTATTCCAGGAAAACAATTTGGTATTCCCTCAAAAAAAAAAAAAAAAAAAACACACAGAAATACCATATGATCCAACAATTCCACTTGTAGGTATATACCCAAAGAAACTGAAAGCAGGAACTCAGATAGTTGCACATCAATGTTCATAGCAACACAGCAGACAAAAAATGAAAACAACCCAAATGTTCACAAACAGATGAATAGGTTTTTTTAAAGTATGTATGTATACATACAATAGAATATTGTTCAGCCCTAAAAAGCAACCAAACTCTGATTTTTGCTACAACATGGATGAACCCTGAAAACATCATGATAAGTTAAATAAGTCAGACATAAGTCAGTGAAATAACTCAGACATTATGGTGAGTGACATGGTTTGGCTCTGTGTCCCCACCCAAATCTCATGTTGAACTGCAATTCCCAGTATTGGGGGAAGAGTTGGTGGGAAGTGATTGGATCATGGGGGCAGATTTCCCCCTTGCTGTTCTTCTGATAGCGAGTGAGTTCTCACGAGATTGTCCCTGCTTCCCCTTCTCCTTCTGCTATGACTGTACATTTCCTGAGGCCTCCCCAGCCAAGCCTCCTGTACAGCCTGCAGAACCATGAGGCAACTAAACTTCTTTTCTTTATAAATTACCCAGTCTCAGGTAGTTCTTGATAGCTTGTTTGGAGGTTCTAGCAGGGGAGCACAGCTACCCATATACCCTTGACCAAAGACCAGTCCTCCTCTATCGAGGATGGTCGTCCTCTTCGACCAAGCATGCAGCTTCAGGAGGGATGCACATGGAGCAGTGAGGGAGGAAGGGGACACCCATCTAGCCAGCCAGATCAGTCGAATGAACGCTGGAGATTAATGGGGTGACAAATGTTGCAGCCAGATTGCCCTCACATCCTCAGGTAGTTCTTTCTAGCAATGTGAGAATGGACTAATACAGTAAGTGAAATAAGTCAGTCATAAATAATCCATGATTCCACATATATGAGGTACCTAGAATAGCAAACTCACTGGGACAGATAGTAGAATAGTTGGTTGCCAGGGACTGGAGGGAGAGAAAAATGGGGAGTCACTGTTTAATGAGTACATACTTTCTGTTTGTGATGATGGATATGGTGACGGTTGCACAACGTTGTGCATGTACTTAATGCCATTTAATGCATTCTTTTAACTGATGCCATAATGGGACATAAAGCCCCAACCAATGAACTTTGGCAATACAGAGAGGAAACCACAGGGCAAAAATCTTGCTCTTTACCACTTAAAAATGGTTAAAATGGTAGCTTTTCATTTTACTACAATAAAAATAAATTTTTAAAAATCACTGCATTCCAAAAAGCTGGGGTATAAAATCAAATTGTGTGGCCATGTTTCATAATGGTTAAAGTCTCAAGGGATTTGGTTGGGAAGATGGTATGTGAAGATAATGATGAGATTACAACATTCTTCTTAAATGTATACAGCATAGAGGCTTGCAGTTTTCAGAGCACTTTTACATATATTACTGCATCTTACCCTCAGAGTAACAGTACAAAGGAGACACGATGAATATTTTAATCAAAGGGTATGACTCAAGGTCGTAAGACTAAAATTAGGAGTAGAACTCTAGTATTTGGTTGCCGCATATTGCTCTTTCTACTGTATCAAGAATGCCTCTCAAGCATATGATGGAAAAAGTCAAGCTAACACATGCGGAGTGTTGTAGTAGTCTTAAAGTAACATCATTAGTCTCCAGCAAGTCTTTGAAAACTGAACAAATGCAAGTAAGATATAGAAATAAAAATTATAACCTAATTTGGCTTTCACTGAAAATTGTGCTTTACAATATTACCACAAAAAACTCTCTTTGATTTTTAATGCTTGAGCCACTTTCAAGACTATGGCTAAACTCTGTCCACTACTATGTTTCTTTCAGCAAGTTTAGTTTTTATTATTTTATAATATACTACACCGTCATCAAAAATAAACTGTAGATTTCCTTGAGGAGGTAAGATGTCCTGTATAAAGAACATTATTTCCACTGGGAATGTTTTCCTACCCTCAGATTTAACCACTGTATTGATTTTATGAATCAGTAAGTATTATGTTTCTCATCTTGATTATAGCGGTTCTATTATGATTCTTTTTTTGGCATTGGCTAAGTAGTAAAATTGTAAAGAATGGAGTGAAGTTATAGGAGGACAAAATCAGTTTAACAAATGATAGCAAATTTTTAAAATGCACCAAACAGATACTGAGTCCCTAGTCTTAGTGCTCTGAATATGCAGTTTTACCACGTCGTAGTAATAGCTGGTTTTTCTTTCTCAAGCTTTAGAAAAGCATTTTACATCCAAACCAGACAAATAATAGACATACCAGAACCACCTTTGGTGCAGAGCAACAAAATAAATTATGTTAGGATGTCATTCCATAAGTTTTCAGGAAGGTTATGTACCTCCTACATCTTAATATACAGAAATACTTTCTATAGGTTAGAATAGTTAGAATATAGAGTAGTCCCCTCTTACCCACATTGTTTCAGTTATCCACAGTCAACTGTGGTCTGAAAATAGGTGAGTACAGGACAGTAACATATTTTGAGAGAGACCACATTCACATAACTTACAGTAGTTATCATAATTGTTCTCTTTTGTTATTTGTTATTGTTGTTAATCCCTTACTGTACCTAATTTGTAAACTGACCTTTATCATAGGTATTTATGTAAAGGAAAATTTAATATATTTAGGGTTTAGTACCATCCACAGTTTCAGGCATTCATTGGGGAATCTAGAACCTATCCTCTGCAAACAAGGATGGACTACTGTAGACTAAAAAGAAGTTGCCTTTTCCCAAGGGGTTGCTATTTTAGCTAAAGACAGTATGGTTCTAATACTCAGAAGAAAACAAAATACAGGGTGCATCCTTTTAACTGAAGTCATAATGGGACATAAAGCCCCAACTAATGAAGTACGTTGCCAATACAGAGAGGAAATTTGAGGGCAAAATCCTTGCTTCGAGGTACTATCAGAGTAATCCAGGAGTCCCAGAGACAAGCAGTGTGTTCATGAATAGAGTTCTATCATATCTAAAATGAAGCAGGCCTATGACAGGCCTGGGTTAGTGGTTACTAGGAGTAACTGTACTTAACTAAGGCATTTCTGATGTTTCCAGATACTCATTTCCTCTTAACTTTCACCTTCCTAATTAAGATGCTTGAGAGAGTCTCCATTCAAATTATTTTTTAAGATAAGTTGCCAATATTAACAACAAATATTATTTTGAGCCAATTATCTTCCACTAGTATACTTTTTAAAATAGAAAAGTCATTTTTTCAAGTTATCATAGGGAAGGGAAAGGAAAAGGAGAGGAGGAGGGGAAGAGGAGAGGAACTGGAAGGGAAAGGAACAGGTCTGCAGAGGAGGAAGGGGGAAAGGGTAGAGAGTCAGCCAATGTACACCCCACCAGGCATCTTCCACAGAAATTCTAGGGCTCGGCCAGGTACGGTGGCTCATGCCTGTAATTCCAGAACTTTGGGAGGCCAAGGCAGGTGGATCACGAGGTCAAGAGTTTGAGACCAGCCTGGCCAACATGGGGAAACCCCACCTCTACTAAAAATACATAAATTAGCCAGGCATGGTGGCGTGCATATGTAATCCCAGCTACTCAGGAGGCTGAGGCAGGAGAATCGCTTGAACCCAGGACACAGAGGTTGCAGTGAGCTGAGATCGCGCCATTGCACTCCAGCCTGGGTGACAGAGTGAGACTCCATCTCAAAAAAAAAAAAAAAAGAAAAGAAAAGATAAAAAGAAAAAGAAAAGAAAAGAAATTCTAGGGCTATAAACTTTGGGGGGGGGAAAAAAGCTCAGCCAGGCACAGTAGCTCACGCCTGTAATCCCAGCACTCTGAGAGGCTAAGGCCAGTAGATCACCTGAGGTCAGGAGTTCGAGACCAGCCTGGGGAACAAGGGGAAACCCCCATCTCTACTAAAAATGCAAAAATTAGCCGGGCGTGGTGGCGTGCCCCTGTAATCCCAGCTGCTCAGGAGGCTGAGGCAGGAGAATCACTTGAACCTGGGAGGTGGAGGCTGCAGTGAGCTGAGATCACGCTACTGCACTCCAGCTTGGTCAGCAGAGCGAGACTCCATCTAAAAAAAAAAAAACAAGAACAAGAAAAAGGAAAAGGAAAACACAGTTCCAGGCTTAACCGATGGCCCTGAAGTAAATGAATTACCTCAAAATAAGCAAAAATACATAAACACAAATCTACAAGAGTTCCTAAGGAAGATAAAAGTAAAACTAAAACTTAAAATGAGTAACTTCATCCTATGTAAGAAGACAAACAGAACAACAACGTGAGTCTCACGTAAAGGAGGGCCAATGGAAAGAACCTGTCATGATGGCATAATTACAGAACACATGGTTACACCTATTATACATGATTACAGAATAAGTTGATTTATCTACTGAAAAGAAAAAAGTTTTCTATAAACACTTTCCAACCTCGCACAACTATGTAATTAAATAATTGGCAAGTAAACTACTATGTATAAAACATTAAGGGCCTGGTGCAGTGGCTCACACCTGTAATCCTAGCACTTTGGGAGCCCGAGGCAGGTGGATCACTTGAGGTCAGGAATTCAAGACCAGCCTGGCCAATATGGTGAAATGCCATCTCTACTAAAAATATGGAAATTAGCCAGGCGTGGTGGTGAGCACCTATGATCCCAGCTACTCAGGAGGCTGAGGCACAAGGATCACTGGAACCCAGGAGGTGGAGGTTGCAATGAGTGAAGATCGCGCCACTGTACTCCAGCCTGGGCAACAGAGCGAGACTCGGTCTCAAAAAAAAACAAAAACAAAAACAAAACAATAAAACAATGACAGGATTTAAGAATAGAGGGAGACTTCCACTGTTCAGGTATCTAATGTAAACCAACTGTATAAAATAACAATCACCTAAATTTACTAATTTAACAAACTGATGAAGTGGACTTGACCAAGAGCACACAAAATCAGAGTTTAAATCTGAAACAGTCTTTCCGTCACATCAAACTATAATTCCTTGCTTAGGATATATAAGGGAGCCCCCAGGATGGCAAAATGCTGAACATCTTCCTGGTGACAGATAAAAAAAAAATAATTGAGGCCACACCCGGTGGCTCACACCAGTAATCCCAGCATTCTGGGAGGCTGAGGTAGGAGGATAGCTTGAGCCCAAGAGTTCGAGACCGGCCCGGGCAACACAGCAAGAAGCCCTATCTACAAAAAAAATTAAAAATTAGCCGAGCATAATGGCACACATCTATGGTCCCAGCTACTCAGGAGGCTGAAGTGGGAGGACTGCTTGAGCTCAGAAGTTTGAGGCCAGCCTGAGCAACAAAGCAAGACCCTGTCATTCATTCCATCCTAAATAAATAATAAAATACCAACCTGGCAATTGATACTGGCATATAACACAACTATCTGTCCCACACCATGATAACTAAGATTCTTGATTTGCTAGACCTTGTGTTTATATTTGACTTGTTGGTTCAATATAGACTATTTTGGAAACTTACTAGTGCAAAGTGATTATAATTTCAGATTTCAGAGATGCACACAAATTAACAACTTTATTCCTGCATACAAGTATCAAAAATGTATGTCAACCTGCAGAGGTACAGAATGACTTTAAGAAATTAAACAGGTTATAATACAATTAACTGAAGAATAAGTATTCAGAAGCTATATCTAAAAGGAACTGTATATATGATGACCAAAGAATTTTTAATCAGTTTAAAGCTATTACACTATAATACAAGGTTTCCCTGATGCTTAATAAAACACACCAAACAAGCATATTCAAACCAATAAACTAAACATATTCAACACAGTTACTATAAAAGATTTTCAGGTATAATGAAATAGGATAAACATTAAAAGAACCTTTAGTCACATAAAATCCTTGCTGCACCTTTAAGAAAACGCCACAACAACCTTATAAGGAGCTTAACCACTTGAACAACAGAAAAATCCAAGGTTGACTATGAATCTAGATAAAATCTGAGCTAGGGTACTTATCTCACAAAAGATCCAACTGAACATGAAACATTTTAGCATGAAATATAACATAATTAAGAAAAACAATATATAGGCTTTTCTACTAGGCATATACGTAATTTCTGACATTCACTGTCTAGGTCACCAACTCTAGAAACTCTGGCATTAAAAACTACACCACTGGCCAGGCACGGTGACTCACGCCTGTAATCCCAGAACTTTGGGAGGCCAAGGTGGGCAGATCATCTGAGGTCAGGAGTTCGAGACCAGCCTGGCCAACATAGTGAAACCCCCATCTCTACTAAAAATACAAAAATTAGCCAGGTGTCGTGGTGCACACCTGTAATGCCAGCTACTAGGTAGGCTGAGGCAGGAGAATTGCGTGAACCCAGGTGGCAGAGGTTGCAGTGAGACAAGATTGCACCACTGCACTCCAGCCTGGGTGACAGAGCAAGACTCCACCTCAAAAAATAAATAAAAAATAAAAAATACACCACTAAATAAGCCATCAGATATAAGCCTGTTTTAGATTACCTTTTAGAGGAAACAATTTCTCCAAAGAATTAAAAACAGCCAGAAAAATACTTTCACGCTCTTACTTCCATACCCTTTTCAAAGGAGGAGGGAGAAAGTTGAGTTTATATTTTAAAACAACAACAACAACAAAAACCCTCATTCCCTCTCTTCCAGGTAAGGCCTGGTTAGTGCTTAAAAACATGTAAAATAGGCCAGGTGCAGTGGCTCACGCCTGTAATCCCAGCACTCTAGGAGGCCAAGGCAGGCGGATCATGTTAGGAGATCGAGACCATCCCGGCCAACATGGTGAAACCCCATCTCTACTAAAAATACAAAAATTTAGCTGGGTGTGGTGGTGCACGCCTATAGTCCCAGCTACTCGGGAGGCTGAGGCTGGAGAATCACTTAAACCCAGGAGGCAGAGGTTGCGTGAGCCAAGATCACACCACTACACCCCAGCCTGGAAAAAAATGTGGAAAATAAAATTGATATTTCATATTAAAATTATATCTAAGACACTAAACTCAAAGCAATGATCAGCTCCTAATAACCTTTAGTCATATAAAATTCACATACCCTTTTGTCAGCAATATTAGTTACTTTTAGTCATACAAAAATAACATGAACACAGATCAGCTTTTCCTTTTCCTTATGCTTCAGTAAGTAATTCAAGTAGCCATTATCCCTTCAGATTTCTTTACAAACAGCTTTCTTGGGATTTTAATTTCCGTATAAAGCGGAATCAGGCAAGAATAAAGAATACCATATCCTAGAAAATCCAATACTGAGATAAAAAGCAATGTAAAATGTACTTTAACTAACGTATGTTGCACTATACCTGACACGAAGTAGGTACTAAATAAATATTATTTTCCTTTGGGAATTTTTGCTCAAATTTTGTTGGAAGAGATTTAACTACCATCAGTATTTTTTAAATTTTTGTTTTTAAACATCTATAACAATAGTATTTTTACACCATTCAAATTTATTCCCTAGCTCTTCTCTATGATCAGGCATTCATTTGTGTTCCCTAGATTCTTACCTCTGCTTCTCAAAGTCTGCTGGTTTGTCTACAGATTTAAAAGTGCCCTAGATTTCTGCTACCTGACTCATGATATAACAGAGATTAAGTCACAGACATCTCCAGACTAACCCAACTCCAGGCAAGAACCAGTGAAGGGAATATTTATGCCTTTTACAGGTTACCTGGGCCATATTCTTGAAACCTTCATATTTCAGGAGTAGGGAGAACTCAAATCCCAAACCACAAAGAAAACTTCCAACCAAATGTCTAATCATTTGTTTTAAACAGTTTGGAAATTTACTCTTAAGGCTACAGGAAGAATTACCTTGTCAATTCAGAAAAAAATAAAGTTGTATATTCTCCAAACAATTATATTGCACTTAAGGAAAGTTTTTGGTTTCTTCTATATTATATACAAATCACATATTACATAAAAATCATTTCTGATGTATGGACTGAGGTACCCAAATAAATACACAGGCAGAAAAATATGGTTTATTACTGACTAGTGTTTTAATGTTTTAAACTTAGTATACTAATATATTTTGTAGAATTTTAAAGCATAAAGGAGCTTAAATATTATCTTGTCTAAACTTCAAGGTTTTACTAATGAGGAAACTGAGGCTCAGAAGAAATCTCTAGATTTCATGTCAAGTCAGAAGGAAAGTCAATTAGTCTGAATTAACCACACTACTCCTTTCTCCATCCAGTTTATGACTACTCCAATACATATATAAAATCACAAAATTCTTTACTAAGTGGCTTCCTACTCAAATGCAAAGTTGGTGGCTGTAAGCTACCAACTCTATCAAAGACAGTCAAGTTAGCAAAGTGGCGAGAAGACCAGAAAATAAAGACAAGATGCCTACCCCAAAGTACATAATTTGGAAAACAAGATATGAAGAATGAAAAGGTTTAAACGTACATATACATACAACCACAAAAATAATTCAATATAATAGTGTATATATACTTCCTACCAAAAAGATAAACTATATCATAACAGACAATCGTTTTAAGTAAGAGTCTCAGATACTTCATTTTACTTATTTTTTTAATTATCACTTTGAAACGGTGTTTCAGAAAATTCCTACAAGCTCTATTAGGAAGAAGAAAGAGTGGAGTGATCCCTTATGCTTCTCTTCAATGACAGGTGCAAACAAAAGGCATAAGTTAAAATATATATATACATACAACGTAAGAATCATACTAAAAGCTATAAAAGCGATCAATCTTGCAATGAAGTTTTTCTCATGCTATATTAATAACCTTTGTTAAATCTAAGACAGATATTTATTCTTATTTTCACCTATATCAATATAGGTGATACAGAGATATTCCAACATGTTATATAGAATCAAAACATAAACAATATTAACCTGCATTTTACAAAAACCACGTAAGAAAAATTTCTGGAAATTATAGTATGCTAAAGTACATGATGGTTAAGATAGGAATGGCCAGGCACGGTGGCTCACACCTGTAATCCCAGCTTTGGGAGGCCAAGGGAACCTGGGCAACATGGCAAAACCCCATTTCTACCAAAAAAAAATATGAAAATTAGCTAGGCATGGTGGTGTGTGCCTGTAGTCCCAGCTACTCAGGAGGCTGAGGTGAGAGGATGGCTTGAGTCCAGGAGGCAAGAGTTTCAGTGAAATAAGATCTCACCACTCTACCCTAGCCTGGGCAACAGAGCCCGGCCCTGTTTCAAAAAAAAAAAAAAGGCCAGACGTGGTGGCTCACACCTGTAATCCCAGCACTTTGGGAGGCCAAGGTGGGCGGATCATGAGGTCAGGAGATCAAGACCATCCTGGCTCACATGGTGAAGCCCCGTCTCTACTAAAAAATACCAAAAAAAAAAATTAGCCGGGAGCGGTGGTGGGCGCCTCTAGTCCCAGCTACTCAGGAGGCTGAGGCAGGACAATGGCATGAACCCAGGAGAGGGAGCTTGCAGTAAGCCAAGTTCCCCCCACTGCACTCCAGCCTGGGTGACACAGCGAGACTCCGCCTCAAAAAAAAGAACAAGACAGGAACGGCAGGACAACATGGTATCTAAGAACAAGAGAAGGGAAATTACAAGACAGTCCCTGATACATCACGCACTTTCACATGAACACGAGGACTGAGAGAAAACAAATTTCGAACAAAAATCCTGCATCCCACAATATGACAAATCTGCTTACTACTTAGTCATTAAGAACAATTACCGATGAGGATGACATAGAGTATAAAATATTTAAGAAGAAAATCTGTTTCCTAGTATCTATGTACTTAAATGTTTTGTTGGTGGTGTTTTGTTTGTTGAGACAGGGTCTCACTCTTGTCGCCCAAGCTGGAGCGCAGTGGCACAATCATGGCTCACGGCAGCCTCAACCTTCCTAGACTCAAGTGATCCTCCCACCTCAGCCTCCCAAGTAGCTGGGACTATAGGCATGCACCACCACACTTTGCTAAGTTTCTTCTAATCTTTCTGTAGAGTCAGGATCTTGCCATGTTGCCCAGACTGGTCTCAAACTGCTGGGCTCAAGTGATCCTTTCACCTCAGCCTCCCAAAGTGCTGGGATTACAGACATGAGCCACCATGTCCAGCAATTCACTCACTCAATATAACTAAAATGACCATCATCGACATCAAAAAGATGAGTAAGATTCACACTCTGCACTTCAAGTTCACAAGGAGTAGAGGACATATGCATGTAAATAAAGTTATAATAAAATAAATGCCATAACTGACATATATACAGCATTGCTAAGTGAGCAATCCAATTCATCAGAACTTATTCAGTGATTTCTGAAACTCAGAAAACTGATTCTTAATTTCTCAGCCAAGCTAAGAGATGTATTTTACCCTAATATCTATTATCAAAACAGTTTAATCTTCTAGTAAGTATTACTGGAGTTGTTTCCTTAACGACTATGGCACTGACTCAAATGGTACTTTTATTTTCAAACAACTTTAAGCTTTATTTCAAGAGCAACAGCTTTTCATAGAATTCTTTTCTTTTTTTTTTTTTTCTGAGATGAAGTCTTGCTCTGTCGCCAGGCTGGACTGCAGTGGCGTGATCTCGGCTCACTGCAACCTCTGTGTCCCTGGTTCAAGCGATTGTCATGCCTCAGCCTCTTGAGTAGCTGGGACTACAGGCGCATGCCCAGCTAATTGTTTGTATTTTTAGTAGAGACGGGGTTACACCATGTTGGCCATGATGGCCTCGATCTCTTGACCTCGTGATCCACCCGCCTCAGCCTCCCAAAGTGCTGGGATTCCAGGCATGAGCCACCGCACCTGGCCATAGAATTCTTAAGAATGGACTTTTGGTTTGGAAAAATATAAACGTTTCTTCATTTAACAGTAACATCTGTAAACATGGCATATAATATACTCTGTTAATCAGAAAACTTGGAAGCCATGCTGAAAGTGTGTTCATGTGCTTAGACATAAAAACCACAAAAAATTACTTTAATACTTATACATACACATACACACACACACACACACACACACACACACACACAGAAGCTGTGCTACTACCCAGAAATGTAAGTCACAACTGTATAAGCAAAACCCCTTCCAAGTATATTCTTCTTGGTATGTCTAAGTTAACTGCACAGTATTTAATATATTCTATTATGTGTTAAAGTATACTGATCAGATTCTAGGGGACTAAAGCCTATTATGTGAATAAAAAAAATAAACTCTACTTGATATTTTTTAAAGGGTGAAATACAGAAAACAATTCTAGCCACAATGTATAAGACAGTACAATTTTATAGGCTGGGCTACAAGATAGTACACATCTTATAGGCTGGGCTACAAGTAACTCTAACTCAAAGTCATTTCAAAGTTATATTTATTATGTGTTGAGCCAATCTACCTAAAAATAAAAATAAAACATATTCGTATTAAATACAAAAAATAAAAATTTATAAAAATAAAATACAAAATGTTATTAACAAATAATAAATAATTTATATACAGATAGAAATCCTGTTAGGAGGAGTTACAGTGTACCAAGACTAATATTTGTTAGACGATAGAAGAGGAAGAAAGACCTAGCAGGAAATCTGTAATTATACTACTCCAGTCATTTTGTAGGCCTATTTTCAAGGAAAGGGAGGAACAAGATCATCAGCCCTTTACATTTTTAAGTAAAGTATTTTAAAAGGTAATTAAAATGACCACGGTTTAGGGCAGAAATTCTGAGACAGAGTGAATATATAAAAATTGGGAAAATAAACTAAAATATCTGAAATTGGATGAATTACAGAAAATACAGTAAGTTTGTATAGTTAATTAAGCAGATTTGTGTTAAAAGCACCCTAAAATGGGCCAGGTATGGTGGCTCATGCCTGTAATCCCAGCACTTTGGGAGACCGAGGTGAGCGGATCACTTGAAATCAGGAGTTCGAGACCAGCCTGGCCAACATGGTGAAACCCCGTCTCTACTAAAAATACAAAAATTAGCCGGGCATGGTGGCGCACACCTGTAGTCCCAGCTACTTGGGAGACTGAGGCAGGAGAATCACTTGAACCCAGAGGTTGCAATAAGCCAAGAGAGGATCATTACACTCCAGCCCAGGCAACAGAGCAAGACTCTGTCTCAAAAAAAAAAAAAAAGTACCCTAAAATGACCTGTATAAATGAGACCACATTACATGAGATTTCCTGGTTTCAGGTCCTTTTTTAGTGCCTCAGCAAGAAGTTCTCCCTCCTTTGAATATCTATAGCATTTTATCTGTAATGTAACACATCACATGTGCCTTATACAATAACAGGCACATCTAACTGCTCCTATGAGATCTATGTTTGATTTATGTTTCTATCACCCACAGTCTATACTAAGTAACTTTTCACTAGCAGTCAGTAAACATTTTTTGGACAACTACATGGCAGCCCACTCACTCATGCAAACTCTCTCGCTTTCCCTGCTCTCTCTCACTCACTGACACACACACAAAGGAGCTAGGGATTTAGTTTTGCCATTTATTCAATATGAATTACATGACACAGCTAACAAAAATCTAATTATATAATAGGAATAGATATTTAAGCCAAAAGCAGCTAAAATCTTTTCCTTTTGGCAGTCAAACCATATTTGGTATAGATTAATATAATTAATAATACTAAGTATATTTTGAGATGCTCATTAAAAACAGTAAGACTAATGATTGCTTGTAATTTCATAGTACATAAATACACTAAAATGTTTATCTAGAAGAAAAGACCCTGAAATAAATCTTTTTCCCTCCTTCAGATAAAGAAGATTTTATAACTTAAAAGTAATTTTTTCAACAATAATCATTACTTTTGTAATACGGAAAATACATTAATTTAAGTGACACATTTATTTTCATGTACAAAATACTTTAAGTTTCACAGCATTCCTAATTATCTGATTTTTCATCCATTAAAATGTTTAAGCACGTGTACCATATGTGCAATATAATGGATAATACCAAATAGTAGCCAGGATGCCTGCTGTGAGGAACAGAAAACACGGTTATGGAAAAATTAATAAGAAGTACCCACAAAAAGGAAGAGGGCACAAATGATGCCAATGATTCAGATAAGTAACTTTAAAGTTTAGACGGAATTAAAAAGTAAAGTGTCTAAGAGGCAGAAGTTGAATTGTACATTAAAAGATGATCAGGATTTAGGACAAATGACACAGAACAAAGTTTACATGGTATATTCACAGACTAGAAGATCATTCTGGGTGAAATACACACTTGATGCTGGCAAGTAAAACAAAGTAAGTTTAGAATAATAGACTAGGATTAATTTACAGAGAAACTTAAAAGTCAAATTAAGAAAATCTGGCTAACAATCATTAATTGAAGACTTTAGATCAATAAGCTGACATGAAAAAAGAAGTATTTAGAGAAAAGTCATCTCATAGCAGTAGAATAGCTTTATTGATAAACAGAGCAGAAGCGGGGAAACTTATTAGGAAGTGAACACTACAGTAATCAATCAGGGTTACATCAGTACAAAAAGTACAAAAGGAATAGATTTAATAATTACACATAAGACAGAGAGGGCTTCACAAAGATCCCCAAGATTCTGTAAGTGTCCCTAACAGATAGAGAAAAAATAAGGGGTGTTCAGCCAGGTCTCGGTAAAATCAGTGCTGTGTAAGTTATTTAACTTCTCTGAGCCTTAGTTTCCTCGGATATAAAAAGCTATTTACCTCTGTCTGGATGTTGAGAAGATTAAACAAGAAAATGCATATAAAGCATCTAGAACACAACAGGTACTCAATAAGTGATTTTTTTTAACCTCTCTCCCTTGACTCCCCTTTATCACTTAACAATTCTGTTTGAGAACTGAACAAAACAGCAGGTAATCTGTCTACCAGCTGTCATTTTAGAACTGGTAAAACTGAGTAAATGATGTATTCAATGGCATATAAGTAGTTACCTTCACTGCTGGCACCAGTAGATAGATATATTGACCATAAAACATATAAAAAGTAGTCAGAAACTATGTACACAGAATCTTCTTTAAAGACATATCTTTTACTAATGTAAGATCTGATTCATAAATTCAAAAACATTTAAATTTGACTGTTTCCTCAACAATATAAAAGGGCAATCCATTTTAAAATAAGTCATTTTTTAATGCATATACCAAATTCCAGTGGAAATGGAATTTCCAAATGAAGACCTTGCATTAGAGAAGGAAAATTAAGGATATAAATCTCCTCTTTAACTTAGATTGAATATAGAGGAACTTCAGACACAGTCAGCAATAAATTTACTTACCTTCCATGGGCATGGAAATCTAGACGTAAAAATTGGTCTTCATGTGAGACTGCTCTTTTGGCACGCTGGTGTTTTTGGTGTAATGAATCCACATTGTAAGATAATCCTTCATAATGTCTGATATATTTATTTAAAGGATTCCCATACTGACCTATAAAAAAAAAACAACATTCTGAATTAGTATCATCTTGAAGACCCCTTCTAGTTCTAACACGATTATTCAAGTATCTATGAATATGTATGAAACAACTTCTCCCTAATCCCAGCACTATTATGAATTCTGCATTAATATTAACACATATATTATTAAAACTTATTGTGAGGGTAATTCCAACCGCACACACAAGTTTGGATGTTAGCCATAGGTTTGTTTTAGATGTCCTTTATCAAGCTGAGCAAGTTCTCTTCTATTCACATTTTGCTGATAAAAACTATCAGGACCAGGTGCAGGGGCTCACTCCTGTAATCCCAGCATTTTAGGAGGCTGAGATGGAAGGACTGCTTGAGGCCAGGAATTCCAGACCAGCCTGGTCAACATAGCAAGACTTCATCCCTAATAAAAATAAAAAATAAAATAAAAATAAATAAAAAGTATAAAAATAAATAAAAAGTTAAAAAACTATCGGGAACAAATGCTTATTTCTGTACCTGCTCTTTCTGCAGCTATTAAGATGATCATATTTTTTCTTTTTAATGTATTAATATGGTGAATTAAATTTTACTGATTTTTGAACGTTAAGCCAACCTTGCATTACTGAGATAAACCCTACTTGGTCATGTTGTCAGATTCAATTTACTGTAATTTTGTTTAGAATTTTGTTTTCTGTGTTCAGGGTATATACCGGCTTACAGTTTTCTTTTCTTGTACTATCTTTGTCAAGTTTTGGTATTGGGGTAAAAAAAAAATGTGTTGAGAAGTATTACCTCTTCTTCAATTCTCTGGACAAATTTATGTAGAATGAGTGCTCAGTCTGGGGCTAATTATTTCCCACTACTGAGGCAAGACCTATCTCAGTAGTCTACCCAATGCTCCATGAACTGAGTTTTTCCAGTCTACCTGGTAAGAAAAGGCACTACTTATAGCCCTATCTGAGCACCAGGTACCGTTCAATCTAATCTTTTGGGATGATTCTTTAGCCTCAGGTAGTTTCCACATATGGGCTGATTAGAGCTCTGCTGAACACTACAGTGGAAGCCTCTGCAGATCTCAGGGATCCTCTGTGCAGCTCTCTCTTCACCCTGATATTCTGTCTGTGAACTCCAGCCACTTTGGTCTCCCCTGACCCTCAGCTTCATCTCTTCAACTGAGGAAGTTCCCTGGACTCTACCTAGGTTCCCTCTCATAGTACCACAACCCATAAATCTCTCAAGGCAGAAAGCTGGCACAATCGAAGGGCCAACCTTACTGTTTCCCCTCTCAGGGTCCTTCACTACCTGATGACCAATGCCTTAAAAACCATTGTTTCGCTGGGCGTGGTGGCTCACGCCTGTAATCCGAGCACTTTGGGAGGCCGAGGCAGGTGGATCGCCTAAGGTCAGGAGTTCGAGACCAGCCTGACCAACATGGTGAAACCCTATCTCTACTAAAAATACAAAAACTAGCTGGGTGTGGTGGTGGCTGCATATAAACCTAGCTACTCAGGAGGCTGAGGCAGGAGAATCACTTGAACCCAGGAGGCAGAGGTTGTAGTGAGCCGAGATCATGCCATTGCACTCCAGCCTGGGCAACGAAAGTGAAATTCCGTCTCAAAGAAAAAAAAAAATTGTCTTTCTGTATTTTTCCTGGTTTCCTTGTTTCCTTTCATGCAGGAAAGTAAATTTAATCCTTATTTCTCCATCTTCAAGAGAAGAAAAAAAAAAGTGATTCTTTGACAAATCAAGTAAAATTTTTAACTAAATTGTCCTCTTTTATAAAACAAGTTGTCTAAAAATGGTTCATCTATTATCCAACACTAAATTCTGTGATCCAACACTAAATTTTCTGTTTATGCACTATGTGGTTAAGGGCATAAACTCTGATGTCAGATTATCTGGGTTCAAGTTCTAAGATTTGTTAGACAACAATGTGAATATACTTAACACTACTGAAGTGTATACTTAGAAGTGGTTAAGACAGTACATTTTACCTTAAGCATTTTTTACTAGAATAAAAAAAAATGATCTGGGTTTGAATACCACTACCTTCAATCATTAGTTGTTTCCCAGATCGAATAGAAAACTACTCAGGTTCAGTCTCCTGTCCATAAAATGAAGAAACTAGAGTAGCTCTCTCTTAAGACTCACAGATTAAATGATTTAAACCATGTGTGACAATTAATATTAGAGAGCCTACCAAAGAGGCAAGGTTCAATAAATTATCCATCATCATCATCTCTTCCCCCTTCCTCCTTTTCTTCCTTCTCCCACACTTTGCCTTTCAGACCAATATACACACACTGAAGCCAAGAATTCAGGAAGAAAAAACAAAACTGGGTTGAATTCTGACACTTCCTAGCCATAACCACATGAGCTAAGTAATTATTTAACTTTTTTAAATCTCAGGAGGTGGTTTTTTAATCTGTAAAATGGAGACAACAATGCCTACCTTAAATGCATGCAAAATGCTTACGAGCACAAAGAGCGGCATAAAAGGACAATTCAACTTAAACTACTATTGAGTTACTTCCTTCTCCTCTTGAACACACTCCTCCCAAGAGAGGTGAGAAGAATGAGTCCAAAACTATCTTCACAAGTAGCAAAGAAATTTCAGTGAAGCCAATGTCTAAGAGATAATAAAACCCACTAGCATGAAACTTTTATTTTATTTTATTTTATTTTATTTTATTTTATTTTTTTTTTTTTTGAGACAGAGTCTCGCTCTGTCACCCAGACTGCAGTTCAATGGCACAATCTCGGCTCACCGCAAGCTCCACTTCCTGAGTTCACGCCATTCTCCCGCCTCAGCCTCCCGAGTAACTGGAGACTACAGGCACCTGCCACCACGCCCGGCTAATTTTTTGTATTTTTAGTAGAGACGGGGTTTCACCATGTTAGTCAGGATAGTCTCGATCTCCTGACCTCGTGATCCGCCCACCTCAGCCTCCCAAAGTGCTGGGATTACAGGCATGAGCCACCACGCCCGGCCTAGCATGGAACTTTTAAAAATCAAGACTAAATAATGGAATCAAATATACCAATGCATCTTCTGTATCCTTTAAACATACTTATAAATGTAGTATAATTGAGTTTAGCAAAAAAGAAGAAATCAATAATGGGGAAGAATGAGAACTTTTGAATAATTTCTTTCATTTTGAAAATTTCCACTGGATTACTGAATTGGATTTAAGTGGTCTGAGTTGCCATAGCACAAGCTTGGCTTTGCAGAACTGTGGATTCCACTCCTTTTTCGGCACCAAAGGCGTCAAGCTGGTTTTTATTTCTGTCTCTGCTGCTTAAATCAGGAAAAAGTCAAGTTTTTAAGTCGCAGTTCAGATAAAGTATTCTGTCACTTTTGATAACTTAAAACAATAACTATTGCTGTTCTGAAGCACTCATGACAAAAGCTCAACGATTTACACAGCTGAAATTCTACTGGGAGAGTTATTAAACAAAGTCATCTTTTCTCTGTCCCACACACAAATTTTATAAAAGCAACATACTATTCACTTTCACTGGCAAAAGACCTGAGTAATGATTTTCTGAATCTTTGTAATTGAGATAGAACATGATTCATAGGGTTTAATTGGGAAAGCTAAAAACACTTCCCCGGGACACACAGTTACCAAGTCCATCTCATTATCATCTTCTATATAAGACCTATGAATGTTTATCTTAATTATGCCTAAATATCAGTATTTGTGTAATCTCAGTACTGTGGGAAAAAAACTTATATTAAGATAATGTATGAAATTGAATTACATAATTTCTATTCCCTAATACTTAATGAAGAGGGAAATAAGGGGGCCATGGGTAGAGGATAAAGCAGCCTACCTGCCCCTCTGCCCCCACCCCACACACACATAGAACAAACTTCAAGAACTGAAATCAGGTCAGATGCAGTAGCTCACACCTGTAATCCCAATACTTTGAGAGGCCAGAGTGGGAGGATCACTTGAGTCCAGGAGTTCAAGACCAGCCTAGGCAACATAGAAAGGCCCCTGTCTCTACAAAAAATTAAAAATTAGCCAGGTGGCCGGGTGTGGTAGTTCACACCTGTAGTCCCAGCACTTTGGGAGGCTGAGGGGGGTGAATCGCTTGAGGTCAGGAGTTCAAGACTAGCCTGGCCAACATGGTGAAACCCCACCTCTGCTAAAAATACAAAAAATAGCTGGGCATGGTGGCAGGTGCCTGTAATCCCAGCTACTCGGGAGGCTGAGGCAGGAGAATCGTTTGAACCCGGGAGGCGAAGGTTACGGTGAGCCAAAACCGCACCATTGCAATCCAGCCTGGGTGACAAGAGCAAAACTCTGTCTGAAATAATAAATATATATATGTAAATAATAGGCCGGGCACGGTGGCTCATGCCTGTAATCCCAGCACTTTGGAAGGCCGAGGCGAGTGGATCACCTGAGGTCAAGAGTTCAAGGCCAGCCTGGCCAACATGGTGAAACCCCCGTCTCCACTAAAAATAACAAAACTTAGCCTGGCGTGATGGCATGCATCTATAACACCAGCTACTCAAGAGGCTGAGGCAGGAGAATCACTTGAACCCGGAAGGTGGAGGGTGCAGTGAGCCAAGATCGCACCACTGCACTTCAGCCTGGGCAAGAAGAGCAAAACTCTGTCACAAAAAATAATAATAAGTAAAAATAAATAAATAAATAATACAAAAAAACTAGCCAGGAATGATGGCATGCACCTGTAATCCAAGCTACCCAAGAGGCTGAGGGAGTATCACTTAATCCCAAGAGTTCAAGGCCACAGTGAGCTATGATAACGGCCAGTGCACTCCAGCCTAGATGACAGAGACCCTATCTCAAAAAAAAAAAAAAGAAAAGAACTGAAATCAAATAAAAAAAGATAAGCAATTTGGCTGATACATGCTCATGAGTGTCAGTTCCCTTCCCAACTTCATGCTCTGTAACATTATGTTTGTAGCTTGAAATCAGCCATGAAGGGAGTATTTACACCACCATGGAAACTGACATTGAAAAGGCTACAAATTTGAGAACTTTTTTTTTTTTTTTTTTTTTTTGAGACAAGGTCTGACTTTGTTGCCCAGGCTGGAGTGCAGTAGCACTATCAAGGCTCACTGTAGCCTTGACCTCCAGGGCTCAGGTGATTCTCCTACATCAGCCTTCCCAGTAGCTCAGGCTACAGGCACGCACCACTATGCCTGGCTAACTTTTGTATTTCTTGTAGAGACAGGGTCTCACTGTGTTGACCAGGCTGGTCTCAAACTCCTGGGCTCAAGCGATCCTCCTGCCTCAGCCTCCCAAAGTGCTGGGATTACAGGTGTGAGCCACCATACCCAGCCAAATCAGAGGATTTTTTTTTTCTTTTTTCAAGACAGTGTGCTAAATACAACACTGGTCATAACCTAATAATATAATCTTTCAAACAGGCAGCCAAGGAATGAAATAATATTTTAATGAAAATGTAGGAAAGCATGGCACACTGGACTTCTGATGTTGCCCCTAGCCCTCAGATGCCACACAATTCACTTATTTAAAAATCTCAAGAGAATGGGAGTCCTGGAATTCTCAAAAAAATTATATATGATCACAGCCCCGTGACTGCAGAAACGTGAATAAAACACAAAATAATCAGCCCCTCAAACTAAGATTGGAAGGCGGAAAAAAAATACACTGGTCTCAGAGGCAGAAAGAAAAGAAAAAAGAAATCACAAGCCGGGTGTGGTGGCTCATGCCTGTAATCCCAACAATTTGGGAAGCTGAGGTGGGTAGATCACCTGAGGTCAGGAGTTTGAGACCAGCCTGGCCAACAGAGTGGTGAAACCATAGTGAAACCCATAGTCTCTACTAAAAATACAAAAAAAAATTAGCCTGCCGTGGTGACTGACGCCTGTAATCCCAGCTACTTGGGAGACTAAGGCAGGAGAATCTCTTGAACCCGGGAGACGGAGGTTGCAGTGAGCCAAGGTCACGCCACTGCTCTCCAGCCTGGGCAACAACAGTGAGCCTCCACCTCAAAAAATAAAAAATAAAAAATAAACTCACCCACTTTATATCATAGCAAAAAGAATAACTGGGTAGAGAAGAGACACACAACCATGAACATAACATTGTAAAAACACACTGGAGAAAAAAACCATGAAAGAAACAATAAAAGGAAAATAGAAAAAGAATCCAATTGAGAAGAAAACAAACGACATTTGGAAACAATCCTAGACAAAGCAGAATCAGTCTTAGATTATATTAAGAAATTCATATTGGCCAGACGTGATGGCTCACACCTGTAATCCCAGCACTATGGGAGGCCGAGGCAGGTGGATCACCCAAGGTCAGGAGTTCAAGACCAGCCTGGCCAACATGGTGAAACCCTGTCTCCACTCGGGAGGCTGAGGCAGGAGAATTGCTTGAACCCGGGAGGCAGAAGTTACAGTGAGCCGAAATCGTGCCATTGCACTCCAGCCTAGGCAACAGAGCAAGACTCCGTCTCAAAAAAAAAAAAAGAAAGAAATTCATATTAATTTTCCTTAGTACAACAACATTGTTATTATAAGGAGAAGGTTCTAAATTTTGGGAGGTTCATTTTAAATATTTAAGGGTAAAATGACACGATGTCCATAACTCACACTAGACAGATTCTAGGGTGGGAGGCAGGGTAAAAAAGAAAAAAATATGCAAATTATTAAATCACTAGCTACTTCAGGAGTAATAGAGACTGAATTTAGCCTACCACCATAAACAATTAGAAAACTAGATAAAAGATGTGACAAGAGAAACAAATGAAGTGAGATCTACTACAACTGGCCCAGCTTACTGCCTGTAAGCAGTCTCCAGGCCAAATGACAGGGAGAAGAAACCAAGAGCCTGAAGTTTCCACTTAATTGAGACAACCTCTGAGTTCAGGGAGATCAGGTATTTAGAATCTATGTGCCAGAGTGTCAGAAAGGAGGAAGCTGAACAGAGAGAGAGCTCCAGCCACCTCAAGTGGGGGTTCCCTAAGGGTTTGGCTGACTACTGATCTAAGCATGTGAGAAAATAAACTCCCGCCTCAGAAAAAATGAACCACCAGTAGAAGGAAGCAAAACAATCCTCAAAGCTCACACAGGGCTGGAAAATGTTCATATTTCTACCATCTAGAGAAGAAAGACCTTGTAATGTATGGAGCATTGCTACAGTCCTCAGAAAAATAACACCTTACTAGTGGAGTGAAATTAGCCACAGAGCCTGGGCACGGTGGTTCATACCTATAATCCCAACACTTTGGGAGGCCAAGGCGGGTGGATTGCTTGAGCCCAGGAGTTCAAGACGAGCCTGGGCAACATGACCAAACCCTGTCTCTACTAAATATAAAAACTAGCTGGGCACAGTGGCACATGCCTACAGTCCCAGCTACTCGAGAGGCTGAGGTAGGAGGATTGCTTGAAGCCCAGGAAGTCAAAGCTGCAGTAAGCTATGATCGTGCCACCACACTCCAGCCTGGGCAACAGAGCAAGACCCTGTCTCAAACAAAATAAATAAATAAATAAATCGTATTTATTATATGAATATAAAAAATAAAAGAAAATTAGGCATGGTAGTGCATGCCTGCAGTCCCAGCACTTTGGGAGGCTAAGGCAGGAGGACTGTTCAAGGCCAAGAAGTTCAAGATCAGCTGGGCAATATAGCAAGACCTTGTCTCTACCAAAAAAAAAAAAAAAAAGTAAAAATTAGCCAGGAATACTTTTTATTGCACACCTGTAATCCCAGCTATTCAGGAGGCTGAGGCAGGAGGTTCGCTTGAGCCCAGGAGTCCAAGGTTGCAGTGAGCTATGATCACAACAGCCTCAGCAACAAAGTGAGACCCTGTCTCAAAAATAAAAATTAAAATTAAAAATATAAATAAATAAACAAAAACCACATAAAGGCATGTCATAAGCTAATGACTAAAAACTAGGGAGAAAAAAAAATTCTTAAAATCATCTGTGGGTAGGGAAGCACTAAAGGAGCCAGAAAAAAAAGACACATTTTATAAACAGAGGAACAAAGATAAAACTGACAGCACACTCTATGTTAAGTCAGAAGAAAATGCAGCCACATATTTAAAGTACTACAAGAAAAAAAGAACTCTATCAACCTAAGATTCTATAGCCAGTGAAAATAACTTTCACAAATGAAGGTGAGAAGAGGAGGTGAAACGAAGCCCTTCTGGGCTTCAAAGCTTACAATGCATCACTAGTAGCCTCCATTAATAGAAATGATAAAGTTTTTCAGATAGAAGGAATAATACCAGATGGAAACCTACACTGATGCAAATAATAAAAGTGACAGAAATAATGAATATATAAGAAAATAAAAAGGATTTATTTTCTCATTTTTAATCTCTTTCAAAGTTAAGCGAATACATTTTTTAAACACACAATCTACTGTGGAATTTATGACACACAGAATTAAAATGTGTAACAATAACAGCACAACAGAAAACAGAGGAGAAACACAGTGTACATATACTCCATATGAAGTGAAGTAATATTATTTGAAAGTATACAGTGATAAGTTATAGATATTGTACACTGAACAACCTCTAAAAAATACAACAGGTATATCATCATAAAGCCAATAGCAGAGATAAAATTGAATCATTTTTAAAAGTTTATATTGAGAGGCCAAGGCGGGTGGATCACTTGAAGCGAGGAGTTCGAGACCAGCCTGGCCAACATGGTGAAACCCCATCTCTACTAAAAATACAAAAATTAATGGGGCATGGTGGCAGGTGCATGTAATCCCAGCTACTCAGGAGGCTAAGGCATGAGAATCGCTTAAACGCAGGAGGCAGAGGTTGCAGTGAGCCGAGATCGCGCCACTACACTCCAGCCTGGGCGACAGAGCGAGACCTCAGTCTCCCAAAAAAAAAAAAAAAAAAAAAAAAAGTATATTACTCCCGAAAAATGCAAGAAAAGAGGGGGACAAGAACTATGAACAGATGGAAAACAAATAGAAAGATGACAGTTTAAAACTCAGCCATATGAATAATTACATTAAAAGTAAATGATCCAGCTGAGTACATTAGTGTGCACCTGTGGTCCCAGCTACTCAGGAGAGTGAGGTGGGAGGACTGCTTGAGCCCAAGTTTGGGGCTGCAATGCACTATGATCACATTTGTGAACGGCCACTGCATTCCAACCTGGACAACAGAGAGAGATCTCCATCTCCGAAGGGGAGGGGAGAGGAGGGGAGGGGAGGGGAGGGGAGAGGGAAAAGGAGAAGACGAAGGGGAAGGGGAAGAGCAAGCAGAAGGGAAAGTAAATGATCTAACATAACAATTAAAAGGCAAAAGCTGTCATTTCGCTTTTTGATTTTTAAGAGACAGGGTCTCACTCATTGCCCAGGCTGGAGTGTGGTGACGTGATCATAGCTCATTGTACCCTCAACCTCCTAGCTTCAAGCAACCCAGTCACCTTAGCCTTCTGAGTAACTGGAAACTGGTGCACCACCATGCCATGCCTGACTAATCTTTTTTTTTTTTTTTTTTTTTTTTTTTTTCCCAAAAACAGCGTTTCGCTCGTTGCCCAGGCCGTAGCGCAACGGCGCAATCTCGGCTCACTGCAACCTCTGCCTCCCAGGTTCAAGTGATTCTCCTGCCTAAGCCTCCCCAGTAGCTGGGATTACAGGCATGCACCACCACACCCAGCTAATTTTTGTATTTTTAGCAGAGACAGGGTTTTGCCATGTTGGCCAGGTTGGTCTCAGACCCCTGACCTCAAGTGATCTAACCACCTCGGCCTCCCAAAGTGCTGGGATTACAGGTGTGAGCCACCGCGCCCAGCCTGGCTAATCTTTCTTATTTTTTGTAGAAATGGGGACTCGCTATGTTGTCTAGGCTGGTCTCAAACACCTGGTATTAAGTAATCCTACTGGCTTGGCCTCCCGAAGTTCTGGGATTACAGGCATGAGATGACACGCCAGCCTTGTTATTTTTTAAAAAAGGAAAATGTAAATATATGCTAACAGACACAAAAATAAAGATGAGTTAAAGTAAAAAGGACGGGAAAATATATAACATCCAAACCCTAATCCAAAGAAAGCTGGAGTGGCTACAGTAATAGCTGAAAAAACAAACTTCAAAACAAAACAAAAAAAATTATGAGGGATAAAGAGGGACATTTCCTAATTCAAGAAGAAAACACAACAAGCCTAAGTATTTATGTACATAAAAAAAGCTTCAAAGTATGTGAAGAAAAAGTTGATAGAACAGAAAAAAGCAGACTCTGTAACTAGAGTTGGAAATCATACCACTCCTTTCTGAACAAGCAGACAAAAAAATCAGTAAGATTATTAAAAACTTAAACACAAAGAACTTGACTAGATAGATAGAATATATTTCTTTTTAAGGGCACATGGAACAGTCACAAAGATAGACCTTAATCCTAGGCCACAAAGCACGTTTCCACAAATTTTAAAAGACTAAAATCTAAGAGTATGTTTTCTGACTACAGGAGAATTAAGCCAATAACAGATATGCAGAAAATCCCCAAATATTAGGAATTTACATTTCTAAGTAGTTCATGGGTCAAAGAAGAAATCAAATGGAAATTAGAAAGTATTTTGAGTTGACTGCAAATAGCCCAGGGAGCTTTTTGGATTGATATAAATGTTCTATGATTATGGAGGTAGTTATACAAGTAAATATACTTCTCAAAATTTATGAATTCGTACACTTAAAAAATTGTTGAATTTTATTGTATGTAAACTATACCTCAATAAAGCTGACTAGATTTTTTTTTAAATAAAAATATTGAGGCCAGGTGTGGTGGCTCACACCTATAAGCCCAGCATTTTGGGAGGCCAAAGAAGACAGCTTAAGGTGAGGCATTCGAGACCAGCCTGGGCAACATAGCGAGATTCCATCTCTATTTTTTAAAAAAAAAGAAAAGAAAAAAGAAAAATGTTGCAGCAAAGTGGTAGGTATATGGGTTTCTGGCCTTCCTACTTTTTCCCTAAGATATAAAATTTATAAAGTTACAAAAGTTATAAAATTTCCCTAAGTTACAAAATTTTTTAAAATCCAGGATCAAAAACAAAGACAAATCAAAAAGAGAATTCAAAATATTCCAAGTTATCTTCTCAGTAAAATAAATGAATTAACATTCTACCTACTTCCAATACTAAGCAGCCTGTAATGATTCAATATTCCTACATAACTGTAGTTTGCTAATAGGACATAAGTAGTAAGAGATGGGGAAATAAAAGATTAAATGACAACCAGTGACCACAGGTCTTAAAAGAACATTGGGGGAAACCAACATCAAGGCAAAATATCCATTGAGAAAACAGCAACTAAGCCATTTTCAAGAACTTCTTAGAAGACCAGAAGGTCCAATTCAACACTGAATCTAAAATAAAAGAAAATATGAGCCATGTGCAGTGGCTCACACATGTAATCCCAGCACTTTGGGAGGCTAAGGCAGAAGAACTGCTTGAGCCCAGGAGTTTGAAACCAGCCTGGGCAACATAGCGAGACCCTGTCTCTATTTTTTAAAAAAAAGAAAGAAAAGAAAATATGGAGGCCTACTACTCACTATGTGTTCAACTAACAAGTTCTTTCAACTACTATCACTGAGACTGGAAATTGTGTTTATGGATGTTTAAGTCTTTATCCAATTAAATCTTGTTCCGTATCTAGCATTTTACAATTTTCTGAACACAGAATCTTGTTAATTCAAACTGTTTTTCAGCGACTAACAGCATAGGTATCTCCGGGGAAAGTGTTAGCAATGCAGAATCCTAGGCTCCCAGCAGATCTACTGACCCCACAAATGACTCAGGCTCTACCCCAGACTACCCCAGAGTGATCTGTATGCACATTCAAGTTTGAGAAGCACTGTAACCTTTCTTCATTCAGAAATTCCGTGACTTCTACCAGCAGCTATACAGGTTGAGTATCCAAAAATCTGAAATCCAAAATGTTCCAAAATCTAAAATTTTTTGAGCTCCAACATGATGCTGAAAAGAAAAGCTCAGCCAGGCGCAGGGGCTCACGCTTGTAATCCCAGCACTTTGGGAGGCCAAGGCAGGCGGATCACTTGAGGTCAGGAGTTTGAGACAGCCTGGCCAACATGGCGAAACACCGTCTCTAGTAAAAATACAAAATTAGCCAGGAGTGGTGGCACACCCCTGTAATCCCAGCTACTTGGAAGGCTGAGGCAGAAGAACCGCTTGAACCCAGGAGGCGGAGGCTGCGGCGAGCCAAGACCGTGCCACTGTACTCCAGCGTAAGCAACAGAACGAGGCTCTGTAAAAAAAAACAAAAACAAAAACAAAAACAAAACAAACAAACAAACAAAAAAAAAAACTCATTGAAGCACTTTAGATTTTCACATTAGGAAATCGTAAGCATAATGCAAATATTCCCAAAATCGGAAAATTTAAAGATCCAAAACACTTTTGGTTCCAAGTATTTCAAATAAGGATACTCAACCTGTATATCCTTATTTCTACACACTTGCTTTAATGTAAGCATTTAACAATACATTAATAGGGATAGGTACACCATGGGTGCTACCATTTAAGCAAAAAATACCTCAACTGATGTCTCAGGCAATATACTGAGTAGAAAAAGTTTCCAAATAACGTAGAAGAAGGGTTGGCAAACTGTTACCCAAAGGCCAGTTCCAGCTGGCCACCTGTTTTTACAACACTGCTATGCTCATTCATTTACATATTTTCTATCTCTGCTTTCACACAACAGCAGAGTTGAATAAGCGAAGTATTACAAAATGTTACAGAACAGGTATTAAATCTTTGGTAAGTCACTTAAACACTTAGTTTCATCCTACAAAATGTTACAGAACAGGTATCAAATCTTTGGTAAGTCACTTAAACACTTAGTTTCATCTGCCTTTGGTTATAATTCACCTTTTTTTCCTCTACAAGAGGAATACTAACCTGAAATCCACAAACCTCTGTGTTAGTTAATTTTAGGTGTCAACTTGACTAGATTAAGGAAGACCTAGAGAGCTGGTAAAGCATTATTTCTGGATGTGTCTCTGAGGGTGCTTCCAGTGAAGACTGGCGGGTGGAGTGGTGGGCTGACTGGGGAAGATCCACCTGCACTGTGGGCAGGCACCATCCAATTGGCTAAAGGCCAGGAAAAAAACAAAAAGGTGGAGGAAAAGAAAATTCTCCCTCTCTTTCCCCTCGGGACATCAGGACTCCAGCCTCTGCGGCCTTCAGCCTCAGACAGAGTTAAAATATCAGCTTCCCTGGTTCCCAGACATTAAGACTAAAATGAGCCATACTACCAGCATCCTAGGGTCTCCAGCTTGCAGACTGCCTATCATGGGACTTTTCAGTCTGTATAATCGTGTAAGCCAATTCCCCTAATAAATCCTCTCTCATGTATCTATCTGTACATATGTATATCCTATTGGTTCTGTCTCTCTGGAAAACCCTCACTGATAGAGTCAGTCCTCTGTATTCATGGGTTCTGCATTAGTGGAATTCAACCAACTGTGGATTCAAAATACTGAAGGGGAAAAAAAATCCACAAAGTTCCAAAAGACAAAACCTGAATTTGCTGTACACTGAGTACTATGCTGAATCCACACAAATGAAGTGCTGGCATTATATTAAGTATTATAAGAAATCTGGAGATGGTTTAAAGTATATGGGAGGGGCCAGGTGCAGTGGCTCACACCTGTAATCCTAACACTTTGGGGGGCCGAGGCGGGCAGATCGCTTAAACCCAGGAATTAGAGACCAGCCTGGGCAACATAGCAAAGCCCCGTCTCAACAACAACAAAAAAAATACAAAAAACTAGCCAGGTGTGGTGGCACACACTTGTTGTCCCAGCTGCTCAAGAGGCTGAGGTGGGAGAATCACCTGAGCCCACGAAGTCGAGGCTGGGGTTAGCCGTATTCACACCACTGCACTCCAGCCTGAGTGAGAGAGTGAGACCCTGTCTCAAAAAAATAAAAAAATTAAAATTCAAGTATGAGAGGGCATTTTGCAGTGAGGCTCAGAAGGCAACAAGCACCCTGAGGTGACCCCACCCAAGGTAACTGGTATGGAGTGGAGGATGAACATGCACCTTCCAAGCAGGGTGTTTCTTTAAGAGTGTCACAGGTGAGAATTCCTAAGGCAGGTCAGAAAGCCCACCCCATGACATGTGCGGCCTGGTCTTGAAAGACGTTTTTCCATCTAGCTGGACAAGGGGAACATTCTCTGAATAGCAACCACACACATGTGAGTCATGGGGTGGAGACTTCTGGTTCACTGTAACCTAGACCAGATTCAGAGGCAGCAGACAGAAATCTTCTAGAAGGAAAAGAGCCTGGTGTTTGTGAAGATCTGCAGATCCTACATGTCAAAGAAGGTTTTCACTAGCAGGAAGGGTGGAAAATACTTCTTGAATAGCTTTGAAGTTTTCAAGCACCAGGCCCCTCCCAATGGGGAAGAAGCCACACCAAAGTACTGAGAGTAGGGAGGCCTTTCACACTGGACAAAGGGGCTGCAAGTGCAGTGATGTGGGAAAGCCTTCAACTGCAAAGATAAACTTGTTCAGCAACAGAAAATCCATGACGGAGTAAAGCCTTAGGAGTGTGGTGAATGTGGAGAAAACCTTTAGTCACAACTCCTACTTTACAGTACAAAGAAGAATTCACAGCAAAGAAATACCTTATAAATGCAGTGATTGCGGGAAATTATTTGGCTCCACCTCCAACCCTCATACTTTAAAGAGGTCATACAAAGAATGAGCTTAAAGCCAGGCATGGTGGCTCATGCCTGTAATTCCAGCACTTTGGGAGGTTGAGGAGGGCAGATCACCTGAGGTCAGGGGTTCGAGACCAGCCTGACCAACATGGTGAAACCCCGTCTCTACTAAAAATACAAAAATTAGCCAGGCATGGTGGTACACACCTGTAGTCCCAGCTACTTGGGTGGCTGAGGCAGGAAAATCACTTGAACCCAGGAAGGCGGAGGTTGCAGTGAGCCGAGATCTTGCTGTTGCACTCCAGCATGGGCAACAGAGCAAGACTCCATCTCAAAAAAAAAAAAAAAAAGAGTGAGCTTAATGTGATAAATCCTTTATTAGAAGATCCTATCTTGTTCAGCAGCAGAGAATTCATAGTGGAGAAAGGCCTTATGAGTGCAGATCATGTGACAAGTCTTTTTATCTATAAAGACACATTTGTTGAGCACCAGAAAGTTCACACTGGAAAAGAGACTTCTAAGTGTTGTAAATGTGGAAAATTCTTCAGCCACAATTCCTATCTTACAGCATATAAGAGAATTCGTGATGGAACAAGGCCTTATGTATGCAGGAAATATGGGAATGCAGAAACTTCCACCTTGCTTGGCACATGAAAGTTCACACAGAGAAAGGCCTTATAAATGTAGAAGTGTAGCGGATGTAAAAAAGCATACAGTCAAGGCCTAACCTCATTAGGCATTAGAGTTCACACTGGACAGAGGCCTTAAGAGTGCATGGCAGATGTTGTCTCATTGTTCAAAATAGCATGATCATAAAAGAGAAGAGCTGACAGTGACCTCTGAATGTGAGCTGTCAGCCAGAAGTTGAACTGCTCCATCTATCCACAATGTAGAGATTACCTACAACTAGGTGAGTGAACAAAACCTGGTGGTTCTTCATCCCCTCCCTCAGAGTGGTTTCAGTGTGGAAATGACCCAGCTCCTGCCCAAAAGACCTGGGTTGGGGTCTGCTGTGGATTTCCAGAGGTCCCCCTTTTTTGTGGACAATGGTAGCTGAGATGGATTTGTCTAGCCAGTTTCCGAATCAGCCAATCCTGGAACTGCCTGCCTCATTCTACCCTGATTTGTGCAGATAAAGGCCTTATTGTTTAACCCTTTAAAACAAAAATAAAGTACAGGGAAGGATGTGCACAGGTTATATGCAAATAGTATACCTTTTTATATAAGGGACTTGAGCATTCATGGAACCAATCCCCATAGATACTGAGGGAGAAACTGCATAACCTCTATAGGGGATTCATGAGCCCCTAAATTTTGCAGGCAAAATTCCAAAAATATTCTTTATTTTCTTTCTTGGCCTTTTATTGGTTCTGCTTTGCATATTTAAATCTTTTATTCATCTATTTATAATTTTATCTGTTTTTTAACTTACTACACTAACTAGGAGTACCAAACCATGCTGAATAACAAGTGTAGGCATGTTCACTTTGTCCCTGACTTTAATAGAATATCTTTAGTTTTTCATTACATTATATATATATATATAAAAATAATATTACACTAAGGCTGTTGCTTCTCATTCTTGTTTTAGAAATCCAATATATTCAAATTCACATTAAAATCTGGCTAACAAACATTTTTAAATGATTTTTTAAGTTTCACATTTCACATATTTAAAGGGGAAAAATTAAAAATCCCAAACTATATATCCTATTTTATTTTTAAAAGTATCCTAATTTCTTAAATGTACCCTGAAATCTTACCATGTACAGAACAATATCCTGATTACATCAATTTCTTGTTTAACTAAATTAAACAATAATGCTTATAAATTGGATGTCATGATAATTAAAATGTATCAAGCACTTGCTATCTGCCAGGCTCTGTACTGCTCTACATTTTTTTCATTTAAACCACCCAATCAAGTGAGAACTATTAGCCCATTTTAAAGAAAACTGAGGTTTGAGTGATATGTAACAAACCCAGTGTCACATAGCAAACAGGAGGCAGTGCCAAGAACTCAACTTTGATTTCAATGATTTCATGTTAATCTACGATGAGTCGAATTACCTTCATCATAAACAAGGTAAGTCACCATATTTCTGATATGACAAAAAACTGAAAAGACAGCCTGGGCAAGATGGCAAAACGCCATCTCTACAACAAATACAAAAATCAGCCGGGCACGGTGGCATGCACCTGTCATCCCAGCTACTTGGGGGGTTGAGGTGGGAGGATCGCTTGAACCTGGGAAGTAGAGGCCGCAGTGAGCCAAGATCGTGCCACTGCAATGCAGCCTGGGTGACAAAGTGAGACCCTGTCTCAAAATTAAAAAAAAAAAAAACTGAAAAGAAAAAAAATTATCAAAATACAGCACATGGCAAAAACCTTTCAAAAACTAAACTGACGTCTACCTCTAAGATGGGGAAAACAAGCAATGCAATACTAAAGAAGAATATACTTCTTATAGACAGAAAAATATACATATACATATACCCTTGATTTCCACAGCTAGTGATTGAAATGGGCATGGTTTACTCCACAGGAGCCCTGACTAATCTTCAACCCTTGTACTGCTTACTACCTCAGTCAGACATCACAAAATTGCCTGTTCCCACATGCAGAGACTGGACCTATCAACTGAGATTTATTTCTAAACTTTAGCAATCAGTCAAGAGCTCAGAAAGTATAGATAGAGCATGTGGTATCATCAAATCTCACTGAAACATGTTAACTATTCACCCATCTCTATCTGAACACAGCTTGGCCTCTGACCCACTCACCTTTGTATCTGGGAATCTCTCCTTGTTATAGATCTTCCTGATTCCCTAGTTCCAAGCTGCCTAATCGTTTACTCCGATTCCTTATCACCTACTCTATCCTGATCCTTACTACTTGCTAGACTCTCCCAGTCCAGGTTCTTTCATCACTATTAGATATATTACCTACGCAGGACAAAACGAACAACAAGTAAGGACTCAAAGAATGCCAATCTTAATTCCTAATTTTATCCCTCCTGATAAAGAATAAAATAAAATTGTCCCTTGGTATCCCTGGGGGGTTGGTTCAAGGACTTCCCACAGATATCCAAATCCATTGATGCTCAAATCCCTGACAAAATGACGCGGTATTTGCATACAACCTATGCACATACCCATGTATATTTTAAATAATCTCTAGACTACTTATAATACACAATACAATGTAAATCCTATATAAATAGTTGTTGTACTGTGTTGTGTAGGGAATAATAACAAGAAAAAAGTCTGTACATGTTAAGTACAGACTCAATTTCATTTTTTGAATTTTTTCATTCGTGGTTGGTTTAATCCATGAATACAAAATTCACAGACACAGAGGGTCAACTGGTATTTACTAATCTGCCTTTTAAAAATTTATTTTTCCTAATCACAGAAGTGCGTTATGAATCTTACTACCCAGCAAGTTGGTATCTGTTCTCTAAAATGATTACATATATATTTATCTATGAAAAAACTGAAATGGTTTTATACATACTTACAAAAGGCATTTTCACATAAAGACTTTAACAGTGGAGAAATACATGCTACCTGACAATGATGAAAATAAAATACATTTAACCTAGAGGACAATAAAATGTTACTAATCTGACATCAATGGAAAATGACAGCTTCCACTAAGGACAGTTTCTAGGTAATTATATCTTGCTAAATATCTTTCTATTTGATGGATGATTAATTTTCCTCCTACTCTAACATGTTCTTGTTAAGCCAGGCTTATCCTTATTAACATCTTCACCAGAAGAGGCCATAATGATGCAGTAACCTCAAGGCTATGTTATTGTGCTATTATTCCTACATAAAAACAGCTCCACCCTACAAGATAGTTACTCTGCAAAGTCAACGTCTTCTCCTTTCTCTTCTGTTACTTTATTTCACCTACACAGAAAAGCGCACCAACAGCATTTAACTTTCTTGTTCTCAGTTTTAGTTGCCAAAAAGCTAGCATATATTACAGTCACATGGTACTTAATACTTATAAGCCCCATGGGAAATCTGAAAAGCATATACTACAAAGCATATACTACAGTCACATGGCACCTAATACTTATAAGCCCCATGGGAAATTTGAACATCTCCACACTTAAGAAAAAAATCTCCTTAGTTATGTAGCAGAATGTCCTTACTTTTATGAAATGCAAGCATACTGAAGTATTTAGAGTACAACTTATTTTCAAATGAAACAGAGGGAAAAAAATAATATATTATTAAAAAGAGAGTAAATGTGGTAAAGGTAACCATTCATAAATTCAGGTGAAAGGCATACAAATATTAACTACTAGCATACCTGCAATCTTTTAGAAAGTATAAAAATTTTCAAGAATTAAAAAAAGAAACACAGTATATCGAAAAAAGCCTCTATGTAAAACTGCCAGAAGAATAACTAGATTGGATCTACGAGATAGAGAAAACAGATCCTTTATCAAATTTTATGTAATCCTAGCACTTTGGGAAGTCGAAAGTGATTGTTTAGGAGGATCACTTTAGCTCGGGAGTTCAAGACCAGCCTGGGCAACACAGTAACACCCCATCTCTAGTTTTTTTTTAAGGGGGAAGACTAAGTAATACCAAAAAATCACATGCAAGAGTGGCAGAAAAATGACCAGCAGGTTCTAAGAAATAGAAAAAACATAACTTGGCCTCCTTGTCACAGGAGAGCTTAGGAGAGCTCTCCCTTTTTACAATTTGAGAACAGTATTTTTATTTCCCTTAATTTTTCTCAAAGTCGCCAGGATACTGGTATTTACCAATCCGCCTTTTAAAAAATTATTTTTCCTAATCACAGAAGTGCATTATGAATCTTACTACCCAGAAAATTGGTATCTGTTCTCTAAAAATGATTACATATATATTTATCTATGACAAAACTGAAATGGTTTTATGCGTGTTCTTTCTGTAAGCTGCTTTTCTCCCCTCAAATGTAAACATTTTTTCACATCCAAAAAATAAAATACCTTCTATAAAGAACCTGACTGACTAAAAGGCAAATTCTTCAAATACTGTAAGTACAAAGAACCTAAATTACGCTTTAAGGGTAAAATTAGCCTACATGTAAAGGCAAGATCTGGCTTCCCTCAACTGATAACTACTATTTGACTTTCCTGACTCTGGATAAGTAACCCTCCCTGATCCTCCTCTCTCATTTATAAAATGAAAATAACAACACGTATCTCATAGAGATGCTGTGAAGACCAAGTTAATATATGATACACAAAATGATCTAACAACAGTGCCTGGCATTAAGTACCCCAACAAATGCCAGCCATTGTGATTTTTTTCCATATTCCATGGGTAGGTAGCATCTTACTTCCCAAGTACCCTTCTAAGCAAAAGCTTCCTTCCCAATCCTTGAACCCAAAACTTACAATCTTCTGTTCCAATCTACTAAATTAAAGAATTGTGCAAAAAAATACGGAATGAAAATTTCATTAACATCAGGAGAAAAAACAAAGAATAACTCTCTGATAGTGGGTCACCATCATCACCTTGGTGTGAGACAGAAATATCATATAACAAGCAAGTTTTTTCCTATCTATACCCAAAAAGTTGGCTATACAATCTTAAGAATGGGAGAGGAAAATCTGCAATAATGTTTTGATATTACAGATCTTCCTATTTACAGAAAAACTCAATTACAATAAATGAGAGGATATAAGAGTAAGCTAAGCATGGCATATTTGCATTCCTCAAAAAAAATTACTTGTAATCAACTTGTTTTCAACAGACTTTTCACTTGCATAATTTCAAAATGAGGTACCAACAGCATTTTTCCCCAACATAAAAATATATTTCCTTCCTACTGAGTCATCAACTACATGTCATAGGCATCATACTGTGTTGACCAATGCTTCCTTTATTTGATAATACATATTCACTCAGATCTTCAGGCACTAAATACCACTAACAAAACTGTTCTCCTGTATGACAAAGGTAGGCTTCCAGGAACTATCATGCCCTATATTCCAGCAATATATTTAAGTGCCTTTAATGCACTCTTTGAAAAGCTACTTCTACAATGTGAATTCAAACTTAAGCCAGTACCTATTTTTTCACTAGAAATCAGTCAAATCATCTTCTAGAAGCAAACAGCTACACCTAACAGTTACAAGTTAAAGTTCAAGATAGGAGGGAGTGTCTACAATTAAAAGCCTATTTCAACATACCCACTTTTTGAAATCAGCTAGTCTCTAAGAAGTAAAAATAACACAAGCTGGCTCAGAAGTCTAAGTAGCTCTTTTATAAATTATATACAAAGGGCTGAAAACACGAATGATTAAAATCTATTGAATGTATTAAATTTATACCACTAACTTATGAAATACAATTTAAAAATCAAAAAATTGAAATGTGTACGTAAGATTTCTATGCTGATTTGAAATTCTTTTATACAATCTTTTTTTATTCTTTTTTTCTGAACCTGTGGGTTATATTGAATCTTTTATACAATTTCTAATAAGACACAAGTACAGACAGTAATAGAGTATGACTTTCAACCTGCCTACATCACTTTCACACTCACACAGCCACCACCTCACTTTTGATATACATCTGTCCCACTCCCTGCATTTCATCTTAAACCCATTGTCATTAACTCACCCTTTTCCCATAAGATATCCCAAAACATCCGCCACTGCCCCTAGCTGAGAACCACTATGCCAAAGCTTGCTCTACATTAAAGAAAAAGGGCTCCTCCCTACTAAATGGCCTACTGCTCCTAGAGATCATGGAGTTACTAAGAGATTTCTGCTACTGGATGGATACAAGTGAATTTTATGGGCTACCAAGAAAATTTATAAATTCTTAAATTTTGGGCCGGGCGCGGTGGCTCACGCCTGTAATCCCAGCACTTTGGGAGGCCAAGGCAGGTGAATCACGAGGTCAGGAGATTGAGACCATCCTGGCTAACATGGTGAAACCCCGTCTCTACCAAAAATACAAAAAAAAAAAAAAAAATTAGCCAGGCATGGTGGCAGGTGCTTGTAGTCCCAGCTACTCGGGAGGCTGAGGCAGAAGAACGGCATGAACCTGGGAGGCGGAGCTGGCAGTGAGCCGAGATAGCACCACTGCACTCCAGCCGGGGTGACAGAGCGAGACTCCGTCTCAAAAAAATAAATAAATAAATAAATAAATATTTTCAAAAAATAAATTCTTAAATTTTATAAATTCTTGCCAAAATTAAATTCTGATTTCCGAACCAATTTATAAGCATCAGTGCCAATCCATCTCCAAAGCTGTCAACAAAACTGTCCTCTCCGTTATGCTAGATTAGAATACCTAACCTTTATAATACACATTTGAGGGTTCTGATAATATGCTGTACTAATTGGAGGAGGTCACTTTCTAATTTTACTACAGCAATATTCCAATTTTAACAAAAATCATTATGACATTCAGTTTCATGTAATGAGACTATTTCCATAATATAGCTGACAGCCAGTACCATGAAGGCTGCTTCACTAATGCCAATATCTGCTGAATGAAAACGGGTGCATAACATGTATCCAGAAGTCCAGTCCACTTCCTAAGCAATGTATTTAACAATTCTGTAGTCTTAATAACACATATTATAAAATCCTAATGTGAGTGAGACACTGTGCTAGGTCCTAAAACATGAAGACTAAGAATAAAGTTACTTCCCTCTTAACATTGTCTTTCTAGTGAAGACACAGATCAGTAACTTAACTATAAAGCTTGAAATAAAGAACAGCAATATCAAAGCTCGGCATGGTGGCTCATGCCTGTAATCCCAAAACTTTGGGAGGCTGAAGGAGGATCACTTGAGGTCTAGAGTTCGAGGCCAGCCTGGCCAACATGGTGAAACCCCGTCTCTACTAAAAATACAAAAATGAGAAGGGCCTGGTGGCAAGTGCCTGTAGTCCCAGCTACTCGGAGGCTGAGGCACAAAAATCGCTTAAACCCAGAAGGCAGGGGCTGCAGTGAGCCAAGATCGCACCACTGCATTCCAGCCTGGGCATCAGCGCGAGACTCTGTCTCTAGGGAAGAAAAAAAAAAAAGAACAGCAATATCTATAAAATAGAAAAAATATGGTATAAACAGGAATGACATGATTTCATTTTTTACTACTTATACATATCTCAGTGTCTGCTTTGCATACTTATGCGTTTTAACTACACTTTACATTTTTCTTGTATTTATTTATTTATTTTTGGCATAGAAACAGGGTCTTGCTATGTTAACCAGGCTGGTCTCAGACTCCTGGCCTAAACTAATCCTCCGAGCTTAGCTTCCCAAAGTGCTGGGATCACAGACATGAGCCACCACACCCAGCCATTAACTATACATTAGTTTTTTAAAGGTATACAGAACTACACAAATACTATAAATTCGTAATAGGCATTTTAAAAGACTACATGATTAATATTAAAAAGTGATAAAATTGTGTTGAAGGAGGAATTACGGATTTTCTTTAATTCTATTTTCTAATGTTTGGTAATGATGTTCTAATATTCCAACTACTAAAAATAGATTTTATCCATCTGTATTTTGTAACTAATAGATTCCAAATGAAAGCAGGTCTGGAAACGACATAATTTTAATAATATTTATATAGTACTTTAAAGTCTTTAGCACTTTTACAAATTATCCCACTTAATTCCTAGGAAAAGGGGTAGTAAATTAATACCCCATCAAATCATAGAGAATTCTATGTGTTCTTTTGAAAGCTAAATTCAAAGTTCAAATGTATGCACACGTGTGTCCTGCCATCATCAATACAAGCAAAAACAGATGGTAAGCAAATTCTGCTCCACAAATCACATATGCAAATTTGCCTAAAATGCAAAGATCGCATTATTTTCCCCTATTTGTCTTGGAAACAGAAGTTCATAGTTCACATGAAATCAAGAGTGTCAATCATATTTTTGAACTGAATAGCCTAATTCCAACTTAAGTAAGAAAAAAAAGTGTTAGTATATCTTTAAACTAATCTCTATCTCCACTCCAAATTCACTAAACTTCTATAATCCAGCTACCTAAAGCACTGCTTCCCAAATAACTAGCCAGAGATTAAAGATCTATGCAAAGTTTTATCCAGTTCCCAAGTATTAGCATGCAAATAAAATAAAATCCCAGACGCTGACACCCATCCCAACCTATAAGCTTCTATCCAGACTCAAAATCTTAAGACATTTTCAACTTCAACGACTGAGGTCTTCAAAGTTTTATAAAACCACACTCACTCCAATGAAACAGCCTAATATTTAAATTCAACAGAGTGAGCCCTCTATAAGTTTTGTTACTTTCACGTTAAACATTTGCCCAGTTTTATCAGTTTTTCTTCCATGTCATTTCTTGTTCTATCCTTACTTATTTCTACGATCATTCTAATCCAAGACTCAATCACCCAATTTGTCAATCATAACCTAACTCCTCAACAGGGACTCCACCCAACAGTCCATAATATTCTATCTCATAGTTATCATGGCCTAGAATAATCAGTCCTGATTATCATGGCCCAGTTAGCAATTCTCCTTATTTCCTGACACAGACTATCGATTCCAGGCAAGTAAACCTACAAGCATCTTATGTGTCATTCTCTTCCACCTCAGAAAGCCTTCCCCGCTTGCTGATGTCCCTCAAGCTTAACAAATCCTCATTTCAGGTGCAACTACAATATATAATTGGAAGTATATTTTTATATTTTGGCATTTCATTTACTCCAACAAACTCAGTATTTTTTACTTTTCTTCTCACTTAATACTGTGGCTTCACGACTCCTAACAGTCATAGACACATAATAAATCCTGGTGACTAAACAGCAATGTTCTCACTGTATACATCTCACATTGTTTACTTGCAGTAGTACAAGTGGACTGTATGTATGTTAACCAACTTACTATGATTCGTATTTTTCAATCTTATGATGGGTTGTGACATAACCCCACATTAAGTGGAGGAGAGCTCCTTAAAACTTAAATGGGGTTACAGTTTCTACTGCACGTGTATCACTTTCTCACCATCACAAAGTTGAAAAATCATACACTGAACCATCATCTCTGTTGCCAACATTACATACATTTTCGACTTACGATATTTTCAACTTATGATGAGTCAAGGAGCATCTGTAGTAGCTTCAAAATGAATTCACTCAGCATCAAAGGGAGACTACATTCCCTGAGAAATATTCTCAGCACCGCTATTTCCTGCAAACTAGCTGGGTCAGGCTATCCTAATACTAACGCAAAATCTTCACATTGCTGGACAGCAACGTCACTGCCCTTACAGGAATCCAAGTGGTAGGGTTATTATAGTTTTTCCACTTGTCCTTAACATTGCTTCCTTTTTCCTAATATAAAAATCAACAGCTAGACTACTTAGAATTACCACTGCTAGATTTTTGTTCAGAACAAGCAGAGTTTTTAGGGTTGCTTGGAAGAGCATTAACGATCATTAATTAAATCAATTACTCCTTTAGAAAACAACAACACAGCCTGGGCAACATAGTGAGACCTCATCTCTACAAAAAAATCAAAAAATTAACCAGGCATGGTGGCGTGTGCCTGTGGTCCCAGCTATGGAGAGGCTGAGGTTGGAGAATTGCTTGAGCTGCAGAGGTCAAGGCTGCAGTGAGCTGACATCACACCACTGTACTTCAACCTGGGCAACAGAAAGAGACCTTGTCTCAAAAACAAACAAAACAACAACAAAAACCTGGGCCTCTTTACCCCAGCATGTCACATAGAGCTGCCCGTGTAAAAACCAAATGAAATGCAAATCATTCCTACAATTTGGAAGGCCTGCCCCTGTGATTTTGGGCTTCGGTGGCGGGGGGCGGGGGTTCAGATTTGAAATCACTATGTGTTTTTCTGTCTGCAGCCTTTCCTATCCACAATTTATCTCACATAGGCCTCTCACTGAAACTTTGTGTTGGCAGCAGTGGCCAATGACTGCCCTTGCCCACAACCTTCTCCACACAAACTACATTTCTGGTACTCCACATAGACCATATTTTAAGCTAGACCCTTCCAAAACAATGCCCCAACTTTAGCAAATTTTTTTCTAACCATTATAATGTAATACAATTAAAGACAGACAAGAAATTTAACTTTATACAAATGTAAAAATCACCAAAATGGTAACACAGTTGCTGTAACACAGCTACTTACTAGAAACCAGCACAGTACCATAAGCCCCTGTCATCTACCTTTCACTGACTTTCCTTTAAACAAAATACTTTTTTTTTTTTTTGAGACGGAGTTTCACTCTTGTCGCCCAGGCTAGAGTGCAGTGGTGCGATCTCAGCTCACTGCAACCTCCACCTCCCGGGTTCAAGCGATTCTCCTGCCTCAGCTTCCTGAGTAGCTGGGATTACAGGCGCCTGCCACCACACCAAGCTAATTTTTTGTATTTTTAGTAGAGAGGGGGTTTCGCCATGTTGGGCAGGCTTGTCTCGAACTCCTGACCTTTCAGGTGATCCGCCTGCCTCAGCCTCCCAAAGTGCCGGGATTACAGGCGTAAGCCACTGTGTCTGGCCAACACTTTTTCTTAATTCACAATTTCTATTCCTGTAGAAAATATTACAGTTGGACATTTTAGAGTATGTTTAATACCAATAATCTAGTATATTAGTATAAAACCAGAGTACTCATGATTTAGCTCTAGGACACGATCTATCTGCAACCTAATGAGAATACATTTTATTTGCTGTACCTGCCTGGTTATTCATCAGTTTTTTCTCTCCATTCTTCCCTGTCTAACTGTAACTAGCAAAACACATTAGTACCACATCATTCCAACTGTTTAGAAAGTTACGATCCAGGCAACCTCAATGCTAAACTCTACAAAGCCAAGCTATACATATTGAAAGGTGAGGGGTAGGGGTGGGGGGCAGGGAGAAAGAAAAAACTACCTAAAGCCCATGTACTTCATTCCACAGAAGATTTAGAATTTATTTATTTCATTTCACATGCAAGCATGTTTCTCAAATATAATTATTTAGTTTTCCTACATAAAACATACTAGAAACAACCAATTAGAAGGTAACATCTTCAAAGTTTACAAGAAAGCAAAGAAACCTAACCAAAAAGTTGGAAATATTGCTACAACTAGATCCAAGAATAAAATCCACAATCATCTAGAATAAATTTAGAAAAATAATAAACTACCAGGCCATTTCAGTCATTTCTGGAAAAATTAAAAACAGAAACTACAATAGAACCCAGAATAACAACTGTTCTCCATATTAAACTTCAATCATGTAAGGTTAAATTCAGTCCATTTTAAGGAGATAGTAAATGTGTCTACAGTAAATTTTCCACATTTTAGAAAAACTTCCATCAAAAACACCCAAAACTGGCCAGGCACAGTGGCTTACACCTGTAATCCCAGCACTTTGGGAGGCCAGGGTTGGAGAATTGCTTAAAGCCAAGAGTTCAAGACCAGCTTGGGCAACCTAGTGAGACCTCATCTCTAACCAAGACCAACAACAACAACAACAAAAACACAAAAAATTTACAATTGTATTCCCAGCGGGGCGCAGTGGCTCATGCATGTAATCCCAGCACTTTGGGAGGCCAAGGCGGGCAGATCACCTGAAGTCAGGAGTTCGAGACCAGTCTGGCCAATATGGTGAAACCCCGTCTCTAGTAAAAATACAAAAATTAGCCAGGCGTGGTGGTGCGCACCTGTAGTCCTAGCTACTCTGGAGGCTGAGGCAGAAGAATCGCTTGAACCTGGCAGACGGAGGTTGCAGTGAGCCAAGATCGTGCCACTGCACTCCAGCCTGGGTGACAGAGCGAGATTCCATCTCAAAAAAATAAAAGTGTATTCCCAGAGTTTGTTATATGGACATCATCTCATATCTGAACCACTGATCTGCCAACAATGTTAGGAAAATGTAGCTAATTGCTGAAGTTATTGTTCCTCCATTTCATCACCTTAATTTCAAAAGCAGAGTTTATGTTTGTATCCTATTCTTAAATTGGTTTTTATTAATATGACCCTCAACTAATTTTTTCTGTGGTTCTCATCCCAGTAGAAAAAGAAATGGTTTCTTACTTACCCATTTAGATAAAGAAATGTGGAGAGACTGTAACGATCATTCTATATTAAAGACCTTCAAGCTGCTACTATTATGAAAACGGGTTTTTTTAAAAAACATCTAATAACCTAATGCTGAATAAAAAGTATTGTGTATACCATGTTCTTTTTAAACAAATCTTTAAGACTACAGAGAAAACATTGCAAAAAAATATTAAAAGTTGGATAAGGGGTCACAGTCAAACATTTTTTAAAAGTTGGAGCCATCTATACAAGATAAAGCTAAGGCAGAGATGGGAACAACATACCCACAGTACCCAAGCAGGTAACAAAAATGAGTGAAAAAGGCCAGGTGTATCATTAGGAATGATGGGGACTGCAGTAACCGGTAAGCACATACCCAGTTTAAAGAGGGTGGCTACTGCCCTACTGCTCAGCTCTGCACAATAGGAATACAGCCCACTAGTATCTGGATTTCCAAGTCTTCCCCGAAAATCCAGAAATCCATGAATTTCACTGAGAAATATCCCAATTTTTCAATGTTAATCATTAGCTCAAACTTAAAGACACTGTGAATAAAACATATCTCTAAGGTAGTTTAGTCCAGAGGCCACCTTTGAGCTAATGTATGAAAGCCGCTTTCAAAAAAGGCATGAAGGGGCAATGGATAAAAAGCTTATTAGGGTTTAAGGTCAAACCAGCTTGAGTTCGAATGTCCAATTCACCACTAAGTGGTGGATGATGCTAGAAAAATTATATTTCCAAGTCTGTTTCTTCAACTGCCTATCACCCCTCTCTCATAACTGTTGAAAAGTGAAACTCCTAACACAGTATTAGACACACAAAAGGCATCATGGAAATGTTCCATTTGCCCCAAGCCCTACAACCCTTAAGGTCCTTAGAAAAATTTTAAAGAGATCAGATAATACACATCCTTGAAGATCTTAAACAAGTTACTAAAAGCACATCAGAGAAGTGCCTGCCATGCCTGCTGGGAGAGGCTGTACACATACACACAGAAAATACCATTAATGTAGGCAATGGTACCTTCCTACAACTACAACATAGGATGGGACTGTGCCGGAAATGGGCACCATCAGGAAAGTTTACATTTTATGATTCTAAACACTTTAATTCTTCCTTCTGGCTTCCCATCCTAGTAATATGTAATATGTAAATTTTTCTTGTTAAGAAAAATGTCTTAAGACAAGGAATTGGCCAGTCAGGGTGGCTCATGCCTGCAATCCCAGCACTTTGGGAAGCCAAGGTAGGTGGGTCGCTAGGGACGAGGAGTTTGAGACCAGCCTGGGCAACGTATTAAGACCCCATCACTACTTTTTAAAATAAATAAACAAAATAAAACATTTTTTAAAAAAGATGATGGAGTTAACTGGACTCAAACTGAAGTTTTAAAAAGATGAAGAGTCAGAGATCCTTAAGGATAAAGACAAAATTAGTCTGTCTCTTTCATTAAATTCTTATTTGCTGGTAGATTCCGACTCAGAGTCAGAGAAAGTTTAACTGCTTAAGCTCTACTACCTTTAAAGCTCTGGTCAAGTTTCCAGAAAACTTATTTCTATTGAGCAGTAATGTACAAAGCTAAGCACTTACATCAGATTTTTAAATGTAAGAGACATATCATACTCTGAAGTTCATTTCGGGCATGATTTCATCAAACCAAAACATTATGGAATTTACTGCTACAGCTGAAATGCCTTTTGTGCTCTCAAACACACCAGTTAAATTTTAAAAATAAAATAAAAAAACATGGTTTGCTCCTACAACTACAACATAGGATGGGGCTGTGCTGGAAATGGACACCATTAGGAAAGTTTGTTTTATGATTCTAAACACTTTAATTATTCCTTCCAGCTTCCCATCCTAGTAATATACAGAGCAAGAAAAATTTCACACACAACAGTGACTGACAAATTGGGGAGGTGGAAGCAACAAAAAGGATTTATTAACTACCTGAAAATGATTTACATTTTAAGTTAAATTTCCACCACAACTTCTAATCTACACAAATTTCTCCTTTCTCTCATATGCTAAAACAAATACATTCAATCTCAATGTGCTGAAGTCTACAAATCATCATACAAAGATCTTACAAGTGACCAAAAATAGCTCAGATTAGTAGATAAAAATACCCCATAGTTACAATAAAATTACAAGTATCTCCAAGTACCCAAAAGCTAGAATCTTGATACTAATTTTAAAATAAAACTAATAAAACTTGTCTTATGTTTTTTGAAAAAGTTCTGCTTAACAAAAACACCAAAAATTAGCCTTTTAACCAATGCTTAATGCAATAAAGGACTCTGGAAATATGAATTTAGAAAATTTTTGTATAAGAGTTTTAACCCACAAACATGTTATTCAATTGTTTTTTCTTCAAATATAAGACTACATCAGTTTCTTACTGTTTTCATTATTTTTAAAAGAACATTTAGTATACTACTACTCAGTAAAGTGCCTCATGTGTTTGTCTTACTTTTTATTACCTTATAGAGAACAGTGTCTTAACTCCTGAATTTAATCACAAAAAGTGAAAAAAGATAGGAAAACGATTTGTTGAAAGCCACGTTTAGAACAGAAATAACAAATGTCAGATGAAAAAGGCTCCTCTAACAGAGAGTCTCCCGCACATAATCCTTTTTAAAACTAAACATCTATTATCAGCTCTTAATCTATAATGTGTGTCTTGCTTGATGAATTGGATTGAAAAAAATTAAATAAAACGTGTAACAAAAAAATGAACACTACAAACTATAACAGAAGTCTGCCTACGCAGTACCACCCTCGGACTCGGTAGAATACAGGACAGAAATACACTTGGTCCTGCAGTCATAAGTCAAAGTGGCAAAGAAAAAAACAGAAACAATACATTACATGAAATAGATATTTTCTAAATTATCAAAGGCTACAGACACTCATCCAAAGCATTCCTCAAATTTTTTCAATCGTTGCTTTTAGGCACACCTTGAGGTTTTTAAGTTTACTCTGGGGCAAGTCAAAAAGCTTACCTAAAATAAAGCACTTTAAGCAAGAATAAAATGATGCAGCTGGTCCTAGAACACACCGGAAATAAAAATCGTTGTCTTCAAAACCCGAAACAAGAAATGACATGCTTTTAGCAAATTTGACTTTCATGTGCAGGGGGGAGGGGGCACTGTTTTGACAATCCACTAACTACACTGTACATCTACTCCACCTGAAAGTTTAACGAAACTCTTCAAGTTGGGTCACCCAGGGACCGAACTTCTACTCTAAGAGACCCAATCCAGCCTACAAATCAAAGAACATCCCCAAATGGTTTACCCTTCTCCCGACCAAACCCTTTCCCCTGGGCGACAGAATGTTTTCAAGAACACCAACACACCCTCCTGTGATCTCTCTCCAAACACAGGACACAGGAAGAACCGAGGCCACTAGTCTCAGATAAGCGGGTGATGACTGCTGCCACTCCACGGGCGGCCCCTCTGCAGAATGGGGTCGGTCAGGACCGGCGCGCCGGGTAAAGAACAATACACGAGCCCAGCTGCAAACAACACAACTTCCCACGAGTCTGCGCGGCGGGTCTCGGCGGCGGAGAGGACTTCGGAATCCGCCACCGGGCAGGGGCTGGGGGAGGAATGGTGAGCAGGATGAGCGCTGAACGAGGACGGCGAGACCGCCAGCCTCGCTGCGGCTGCCTGCACCGGCGCCCGCCGAGCAGACTGGAGGGATGCAGCCACCAGCCTGGGTTCCACCGCTCTCACCAGGCGACGCGGATGCCCCGACTTCGCTTCTCTGGGAGGCGACCCCCGCCTCCCGGGGCCGCCAGGGCGGTGGGGGGCGGGGAAGGCCTCGCCGGAGGCTTGGGAGCCTCCTCGGCCCGCCACCGAAGGGAAAGCGGTCGGGGCGCGGGGGACAATAGGGAGCGGGGAGCGCGGCCCGCCAGAGTGGCGCCGCTGGCCGGCTGGGCTGACTGACGCGCACGCCGCGAGGCGCGACTGGGCTCCGCTCGGCCCGGCCGCCGCTCCGCCGTGGTCGCGGCGCCCCCGGCGCTCGCAGTCGTGCCTCACCTCCCATCCCCGCCGCCCAGGAGAGGAGCAGAATTAACACTCTCAGCAACACCATCTTCCGCTGCCGCTGCCGCCGCCGCCGCCTCCTCACGGGTTAACAGCAGCACATCGATCCGGAGGGAGAAGCTGAAGGGGCTTGGTCCGGAGCCTCCACGGGAAGCCGGGACCTCCCCTGGCAGGAGAAACGGCGAAGCACCTCCCTCTCGCTCCACTTCAGGGGCCGGCAACGCTCCTAGCTCCTCCAAAACAGGGACCTCCCTCCCCCTCGTTCGTTTCCTTCCTCCTTTCCCCGCTTTCCTTCCCTTGCTCGTTCCCTCTTCTCTCCCCCCCTCCTTCGAAACTCAGACCTCCGCCTCCTTCCTCACCACGTGACGCGCGGGCACCCAACTGGCACGCGGAGCCGCGCCCCTACCTCCCGCCCCTACCCGTCCCCCAGGCGCTTCAGGGGCGCGCGCATGCGCGCGGGGGACGGTTCCCGTGCTGCTAGGCCTGCCGCCGCTTCCTGTCCGCCGGCGGAGAGCTGGGATTGGGCTTGGGAGGCGGGGTTTGTCCTGGTCCCGCCCCGGGGCGGGAGCGCTCCTACGCGGAGATAGTGCTCCGCTACGTGTTAGAGCTGCTGAGGACCTTCCCTTGGGCTAAAATGGTCCGTGGAAGATGTAAGCAGGGCTGCTTTCGACTTCTTAACGTCACAAGTAACAGAGGTTTTTTTTCTTCTTTTTCTGCCTCTCTTGGTGCACCACAGCTACCAAGTAAACAAAAAGTCCCAACAAGCAGTAATTATAGCGGCAGCTGCCCCAGTGATGCGAACATAAATGCAAAGACCTTCAAGCAGCAGGAAAAAAAGACACCATGTCCGAGATGTAATTTTCCGAGCTCTTTACAAATTTATGTCACAGACTAAGGCTTTAGCCTTTGCAAAAGCATGCAACCTGAACCAGACTGTCTTGAATCTCCAGTCCAGAAAATGTCCTCTTTTCTCTCTGTCACATCTTTGAAGCGAATCCACGCACATCTTCTCCCCAACTTCTTAAAGCTTGTGTTTGTTTTCTCGTAACTCATTTTGATTCTTTAAACTTGGATGTCATGAACTAGAACTTTTTATGGCCATTTAATTAGATATTCTTCATCTATTTGGTATCGTGCTTGAGTAGGCCGAATTAGGGAGAGTGTGTGTGTGCGTGTGTGTGTGTGTGTATGTGTAAATTGTTTTGTTTTGCTTTCTAAAGACAAGGTCTCCGCTGTCTCGCCAGGCTGAAGTGCAGTGGTGTGATCATAGCTCACTGTAACCTCCAACTCAAGCCGAATTAGGGAGAGTGTGTGTGTGTGTGTGTGTGTGTAAATTGTTTTGTTTTGCTTTCTAAAGACAAGGTATCCGCTGTCTCGCCAGGCTGAAGTGCAGTGGTGTGATCATAGCTCACTGTAACCTCCAACTCAAGCGATCCTCCCGCCTCGGCCTCCCACAAGTGCTGGGATTACAGGCGTGAGCCACTGCGCTCGGCCTTAATGTTATTGATACTGTAATAAACTGGAATTCCTATACTGTTACCTGTATATTTTATACCATTTATTACCATTAACATAAGTGAAGAGAATTTTTTTTTTTTTGAGACGGAGTTTCGCTCTCGTTGCCCAGGCTGGGGTGCAATGGTGTGATCTCGACTCACCGCAACCTCTGCCTCCCAGGTTCAAGCGATTCTCCTGCCTCAGCCTCCCAAGTTGCTGAGATTACAGGCATGCACCACCACGCCCAGCAAATTTTTTGTATTTTTAATAGAGACGGGGTCTCACCATGTTGGTTAGGCTGGTCTCGAACTCCCAACCTCAGGTGATCCGCCCGCCAGCCTCCCAAAGTGCTGGGATTACAGGTGGGAGCCACCGAGCCTGGCCATAAGAGTCTTCTTTAATTCTCAGTTTGAGAAATGAATGATTCTAGTTTTGCTGCAACATTAATAGGCTCAAAAACGGACGTTTCAAAACCATCATAATTGTATCCATTTATAATGAGATACATGGAATCATCAAAGGATGGCAGAATCTCACGAATGGTTTTTTTTTCCTTCATTAAAATATTCAGTCTTAGGAAATAGTTACCTGCAGACATTACATCTCATATCACCTGTGCTTTTTACTAATCTCTTGTGGTAGTGCTGTCAACAAATGATATTTTTATTTTCCAGCTCTTAAACCACCTTATAGCATGTTTTCTGTTGCACAGTATTTTTATAATGAATTCCAGTGATTAGAGGCAAATGGCACTTTCCCTTAAAATTCAACTGGAAAAAACTCCAAAGCCATATTTTGCATTACTAAGATGATTACTGAAAATTACATTTATAAAGACTGTATTTTTTTTTTTAATTTTTAAAATGTATTTATTTTGGCCAGCCACGGGGCTCACAGCTGTAATCCCAGCACTTTGGGAGGCCAAGGTCCGCAGATCACTTGAGGTCAGGAGTTTGAGACCAGCCTGGCCGACATGGTGAAACTCCGTCTCTGCTAAAAATACAAAAATTAGCCAGGCGTGATGGCGGGCGCCTGTAGTCCCAGCTACTCGGGAGGCTGAGGCAGGAGAATGGCGTGAACCCGGGACGCAGAGCTTGCAGTGAGCCGAGGTCGCGCCACTGCACTCCAGCCTGAGCGACAGAGCTAGGAAAAAAAAAAAAGCCGGGCGTGGTGGCCTGTGCCTGTAATCCCAGCTATTCTGGAGGCTGAAGCAAGTAATCCCAGCTACTCAGGAGGCTAAGGCAGGAGAATCACTTGAACCTAGGAGGCGGAGGTTGCAGTGAGTCGAGATGGCGCCACTGCACTCCAGCCTGGGAGACAGGGCAAGACTCTGTCTCAAAAAAATTAATTAATTAATTAATTAAAAATAAAAATCAAATAGCCAGTGCAGTGGTATGCACTTGTAGTCCCAGGTACTCGGGAGGCCGAGATGGGAGGACTGTTTGAACCCTGGAGGTTGAGGTTGCATTGAGCTGTGATCACACCACTGCACTCCAGCCTGAGTAACACAGACAGACCTTGTCTCAAAAAAAAAGAAAAACTGTATTTTTTTTATTTGTCAAGCACGAATGGCATTACATACCAGCATGCACGAATGGCATTACATACCAGCATGATAATGAATGGTATTCCAGTGTTACAAGTTTGGGCTACTATTTTAACTTAATTCATTATTGATATTTTGCAAATGTATGGAAAACTGATGAAATATTAAAGTATAAGGTCTGCATCTACACTATCACAGACTGCCTGGGTTTCACTCCTAGCTCTGCCATCTATAAACCGTGTGACTTTTGCCAAGTTTTTTTGCCTTCTAACCTCAATATTTCTTTTCTTTTCTTTTCTTTTTTTTTTTTTTAGACAGGAACTCACTTTGTCACCCAGGCTGGGGTGCAGTGGTGCAACCACAGCTCACTGTAGCCTCAGCCTCCAGGGCTGAGGTGATCCTTCCCCTCAGCCTCCCAGGTAGCTGGGACTGCAGATGGGGGGGCCCCACGCCGGGCTAATTTGTTGTATTTTTTGTAGAGATGGGGTTTCACCATGTTGCTCAGGCTGGTTTCAGACTCCTGGGCTCAAGTGATCTGCCCACCTTGGCCCCCTCAAAGTGCCAGGATTACAGGTGTGAGCCACTGCACCTGGCCTCAATATTTCTTTTGTAAAATGACAATGAAAAAATATTTGCCTCAGCAGATTGTTTTGATGATTACATTTAAATTAGTTAATATCTGTTATTAGTTACTTTTAACTAATTTAACTAATAATTTTAACTAATTATCTTCTAATATTAGTTAATAGACCTGGAATATAATAATTGCTATGTAACTATTAAGTAAAAAAAATGTAACTATTATGGTCACTGCATGAACACTCAAACATCCACTTGAAAGCCGTAATTATTTTAATAGCATTATTTCCTCAGGAACAATACAGTTTTGATATTACCAGTATAATAAAAGTTATCCTCAAGTTTTAGTAATGGGAAATTCAGCTTTTAAGCAAATGCTCATATATTATACAGTGTAATAGACAAGTAATACTAGAGGAGAATGCTTGTTGCACAGACCGAAGGCCAATGCTGGTAAACATTTCAACAATTACATTGTGAATTTCCAAATTCTACTAAACTGCCTGCTGGATGTCCCACTGTCATGCCAAACTCAATATATTTAACTTCTTATCTCTGATACTGGCACTACCACTATCCCAGAAACCTGGAATCATTTTAGCCTGGGCACTGCAGCTCACGCCTGAAATCCTAGCAATTTGGAAGGCCAAGGCTGGAGGATCACTCGAGCCCAGGAATTTGAGACTAGCCTCAACAACATAGTGAGATCCCATCTCTATTTAAAAAAAAAAGGGGGGGAATCATTTTAGATTATTCTTTTGTCACCAAGTCATATTGATTATTCCCTAAAAATGTCTTTGTGCCTTTAATGCTCCCCTTCTCACTGCTGTTGCTCTGATTGGCTAGCACTCTGAAACTATTCCAGTGTTACAAGTTTGGACCACTGCTTTACTTTAATTATAGTATTTTATCTAGCTTAGATTGCTGCAGAACACCTAACTTATATCCCTTACTCCAGTCTCTCTTCCTTTTGGTCCTGCTTTTAAACTGCTTGTTAATCCACCGCAATTTGTTCCCACCTAGCTTTGTAAGAAGCTACTCTTGCTAGGGCCATCAAAGACATCAAAGATGTGTTAGTGATCAATTCCACTAGACATCTTCACTCCTTATCTTACTGGACCTTTCAGACAACACTCTCTCCTCAAAACTCCCTCTTCTAACAGTTTCCAAACCTTCACTCACTCTGGACTTTCTTCTTTACTTTAATTGTACTTTCCTCTACATCTTTTTCCTGTGACTTTTTCTTCTCTTTACTGCACAATTAGTGATCTTCAAGATTTTACCCTTGGCTTTCTTATCTTCTCATTTTCACTTGCATGATATTTTACTACCCCCAAATGTATGCAACTCATTAGGCTATAAACTCCGTGAAAACAAAGCCTGGGTCTGTCTTGACAATGCCTATCACATTGTCAGCACATTTCCTGGAACAGTATTCCAATCACTTTTTCTTGGAACATTTCCTATGCCCCCAAACCCAAGACCCATATCCTAGTTGCACAACTTCCTAGCCACCTGACCTTAGGTAAGTTAAGGCACCTGTTGCACAGTTTCCTAATCTTTACAATGGGGAAAATAGTGGTATCTACTTCAGAGCGTTGCTATAGGAGTCAAATAATTTAACAGATGTAAAGCACTAAGAACAGTGCATAGCATACAATTACTATTATAAAATATTTTAGATGTTGTTATTATTACATATCCAACTCTTACTAGTCATCTCCTACCTGAAATTACACAGCCATACTCCGTAACATGTCCCAAACTGAAAAACCCCTACATCAACCTACCCAAACCTTCTCTTCCTCCTAAATTCCCTATTTAGGTTAATGGCAACACCATCCACTCAATTACCTAAACTCCCATCCCAGTAGATAGATTATCAAGTCACCTTTATTCTCCATTGTATGAAGTCCCTCTACCTACCTTTACTGCCACTGCCCAAGCCTTGGTCTTCCTGTCTCACATACCCACTGCCTGACCTCCTGCCCACCGCTTCCCCACCTGCCAGTCTTTTGAAAATATAGATCCTTTTATCTGCAAGATAAAATACAAGACCTTCAGTCGGGCGCAGTGGCTTACACCTGTAATCCCAGCACTTTGGGAGGCTGAGGCAGGTGGATCACCTGAGGTCGGGAGCTCGAGACCAGCCTGACCAAAGTGGAGAAACCCCATCTCTGCTAAAAATACAGAATTAACCGGGCATGGTGGCACATGCCTGTAATCCCAGCTACTCGGGAGGCTGAGGCAGGAGAATCGCTTGAACCCAGGAGGCAGAGGTTGCGGTGAGCCAAGATTGCGCCATTGCACTCCAGCCTGGGCAACAAGAGTGAAACTCCATCTCCATCTCAAAAAAAAAACAAAAAAAACAAGACCTCATGATCTAGTCATTGTTTTCCTTGCCAGCTTTGTCTTTCACCACTCTTTTTTTTTTTTTGACACAAAGCAGTCTGATCACACATAGTCCAAGAATACTCAAAAAATAAATGAAAGAGAATCAGATGTTTAAGACTGGTCTTCAAACATTATAGCCAGTGATGCCATGTTTGCCTTTGTGCTCTTGGATATAAAATCACATCCACACCTCAGTGGCCACCAAACCATTCAGCATAGCTTCCTTAACTGTGAGCTGTTTGAAGCTATCAGTTTGAGAGTTACTGAGTGGTTTTTTTGTTGTTGTTTTGAGACAGAGTCTCGCTCTGCCACCCAGGCTGGAGTGCAGTGGCGCGATCTCGGCCCACTGCAACCTCTGCCTTCCGGCTTCAAGGAATTCTCCTGCCTCAGGCTCCAGAGTAGCTGAGATTACAGGCACGTAATTAGCATGCCCGGCTAATTTTTCTATTTTTTTTTAAGTAGAGACAGGGTTTCACCATGTTGCCCAGGCTGGTCTCGAGCTCCTGACCTCAAATGATCTGCCCCCCTCGGCCTCCCAAAGTGCTGAGATTACAGGCGTGAGCCACCGTGCCCAGCTATTTTTTTTAAAGCTCTGAATAACTAGGAATCTAAGCAGGACTTGGAGGAACCAGCTCAACCTTGGCACAGTGCCAAAATATAGCCAACCAGGTTTTCAAGTAAGTCACAGCAGTGTTCGTTGGTGGTGTTGGGGCCTTCTCAGTAATGTTTTAGACAAACTGGGCCATGTTTCTAGGATGAAAAGTCTGCTGTCCCCAATGTCCAGCTCTTTCCTACTTTATCTTCTAAAAGTAGCAATTGCAAAAATTACAATAACAATAATAGCTAGCAGGTCGGGAGTTCGAGGAGTGGTAAGGTAATGGCAACTTAAATAACTTGCCCAAAATCAGAAAGCTGGTGCATGGCAGAACCAATGCCTAAAGTTAGATCTGCCTCAAGAGCATGTGCTTTAATCACAATATGCTGCTGTTCAACTGCAGTTGGTTTCCCAAACACATATCACTTTCCTCTTCGACATCTCTGCACATGTTATTCCCTCCAGGAGGAATGCTTCTCCCATTTATCCTATAAATTCTATGAAATTAGGCTCAGAGAATCCTTTCAATAATTCATTTTAAGACACTTTTTTGTTAGGATTTTACTTTCTGTATAAAAGAGGAATCAGAGAAGAAAAGGACTTTAAAAATCCCTTCTGGGCCTGGGCACGGGGGCTCATGCCTGTAATCTCAGCACTTCGGGAGGCCCGGACAAGAGGATTTCTTGAGTCCAGGAGTTCAACACCAGCCTGGGCAATATAGCAACACCCTGTCTTCTTTTTCTGTTTCTTTCTTTTTTTTTTTTCCTAAGAGATGGAGTCTTGCTCTGTAGTCCAGGCTGGAGTGCACTGGCATGATCTCGGCTCATTGCAACCTCTGCCTCCCAGGTTCTAGCAATTCTTCTGCCTCAGCCTCCCACGTAGCTGGAATTATAGGCACATGCTGCCACGCCCGGCTAATTTTTTGTGTTCTAGTAGAGAATGGATTTCACCGTGTTGCCCAGGCTGGTCTCGAACTCCTGAGCTCAGGCTATCCACCCGCCTCGGCCTCCCAAAGTGCTAGGATTACAGGCATGAGCCACTGTGCCTGACCTTTTTTGTTTGTTTGTTTGAGACAGAGTCTCACTTAGTCACCCAGGCTGGAGTGCAGTGGTGAAATCTCGGCTCAAGGCAACCTCTGCCTCCTGGGTTCAAGCAATTCTCATGCCTCAGCTATCCAAGGAGCTGGGATTACAAGCATGCACCACCATTCCCGGCTAACTTTTGTATTGTTAGTAGAGACAGGGTTTCACCATGTTGGCCAGGCTGGTCTTGAACTGCTGACCTCAGGTAATTTGCCCGCCTCAACCTCCCAAAGTGCTGGGATTACAAGCATGAGCCACCGTGCTTGACCAACGAGATCCTGTCTCTACAAAAAATAAAACAATTAGCCGAGCATGGTGGCACATGCCTGTACTCCCAGCTACTTGGGAGGCTGAGGTGGGAGGATCACTAGAGCACAGGAGGTTGAGACTGCAGTGAGCTATGATCACACCAGTTTACTCCAGCCTGGGCAACACAGTGAGACCCTGTCTCAAAATTAAAAAAAAAAAAATCCACGTCTAGGGAAAAGAGAACAGTGAAATACGGTATTTATAACTTACAGCAATTAGAACACATTCCCTTAAAATGTAAAGGAATAGACATTCTTAAATATATGGCTCAGGCTTCTTCCCTTCTGTAAAATTTTAAACTTGCCCTCTAGACAAAACTTAATGTCTACCATTTACATAATTCTAATGTAGCTTTATCAAACTATATTGTATTTTTTAAAATATCTTCCCTATTCTATTTAGAATGTCTATTCTAATGGAATAGACAGTCTTGCTCTGTCACCCAGGCTGGAGTACAGTGGGACTCACCACAGCCTCAAGCTCCTGGGCTTAAGTGATCCTCCTGCCTCATCCTCCTAAGTAGCTGGGACTATAGGTATTAGGTATGCACTGCCATGCTCCACTATTTTTTTTTTTTTTTTTTTTTTGTAGACACAGGATCTTTCTATGTTGTCCAGGCTGGTCTTGAACTCCTGGGCTCAAGTGATCCTCCCTCCTCAACCTCCCAAAGCACTGGGAGTATAGGCATGAGCCATCGAGCCTGGCCAAAAATTTTTTTTCTCAATTATTCATCAATATTAAATAATTGTAAGGTTTCATGGTTAAACCAAGATTCTAGATTTTCTGTGGAAACTGAAAGGTCAAGCCGACCTAGATTCTTGCACAGAATCAATTGGCAGAAACTGAGTAGAGGCTGCCCTCTTTGGACAGGGTTTGTCTAATCTAACCCCACTCCAGTTATCCCTGTCAGTATTTGAGTTTATGACCCGTTTTAAAAACTAGACCAAGTTCAAAATGGTCCTTGAAGTTTTTTCCTAGATCCCCCTTGCCATAGTAATCTCAATCACATTTTAGTCTGAAACACCTATGATTTATATCTCTCATCTGCAATTAACCATGTGTTACTTTCTGGAAATTCTATTATCCCAGTGTTAAGGACAGCAGAGATAGGAAAGTTTTGAGGCAAAGCAGAGGACAACCCACAACGTTACAGGATGGCAATGATAATAATCATTCATTCATTTGACAAGTATTTATTTTGTTCCTACTATGGGGATTTCCAGATTACCAAAACAAAACAAAACATGATCCTGACATGGTACCAGGTACCTTGGTAAGAAATTTATGTACATGATTCCATTTACTCTTTGTAACAATGCTATGAATTAGATATATCTCATTTAACAGATGAGGAAACAGGCAGACCAGGCTTCTAATCGAAGTTTGTTTGACTCCAAATCTTGTAGTCTGGTCTTTTGAATTACTGGGTAAATGCATCCTTATTATCATTGCCATGGTCCAGAATCTACCTGTTAGCTTTCAAGGCCCAGAAGCTAGATTTTTCTCAGTGCAACCTGATTTGATCAACTGACAAGCACTAATTTATAGGAGCTAAACTCTTAAGGGACTTAGGTCTTAAAATGTCACCTCATAATTTTATGAGTTAGCTATTCATGTTAGCAAGTCAATGCATTATTTCTTGTCAATAGTTGAGAAGCTAAAGCATAATTCAAAGTGGCTTAGTAAGCAAGGCATCACTGAAGAAAAAATTAACTGAATGATTTTGCTGGCTAATTCATCCAACTATTCAACTTACCATGCCACAGTAGAATCTATCGAGGGAATAGATAGGTACCAGACCATCCACATGTTCAGGGGACCTCCACAATAGATGGTGATCAAAGCATACTTCAGCAAACCCTTACACTGTGGGATATTCTCTGGACTCCATGCAGACCACCGTCTCCCTTCCAGTTATTATATGCTTTCTTTGGGAATAATATAATTGTTTAGACCACTTTTTTTTGCATTTATTCAGACTTTGATTCTATTTCCAGCCTTACTCTCACTTCTTTTAAACACTGAACGAATCCTATCTTCTAAAGTAACTGTTACAAATAGCTAAGCTGGCTGGGCACCGTGGCTCATGACTGTAATCCCAGCACTTTGGGAGGCCAAGGCAGGTGGATCACAAGGTCAGGAGTTCGAGACCAGCCTGGCCAATATGGTCAAACCCCGTCTCTACTAAAAATATAAAAAATTAGGCCAGGCACAGTGGCTCATGCCTGTAATCCTAGCACTTTGGGAGGCTGAGATGGGCAGATTGCCTGAGCTCAGGAGTTCGAGACCAGCTTGGGCAACATGGTGAAACCCCATCTCTACTAAAATACCAAAAAAAAAAAAAAATCAGCCGGGCGTGGTGGCAAGTACTTGTAATCCCAGCTACGTGGGAGGCTGAGACAGGAGAATTGCTTGAACTCGGTAGGCAGAGGTTGCAGTGAGCCGAGACCATGCCACTGAACTCCAGCCTGGGCAACAAAGTGAAACTCTTTCTCAGAAAAAAAAAAAAAAATTAGCCGAGTATAGTGGCAGGTGCCTGTGGTCCCAGCTACTTGGGAGGCTGAGGCAGGAGAATTGCTTGAACCCGGGGGGCGGAGGTTGCAGTGAGCCGAGTTCGTGCCACTGCACTCCAGCCTAGGCAATAAGAGTGACACTCCATCTAAAAAAAAAAAATAGCTAAGCTGATTCATTCTGTTGATTTGGTTAATTATCATCTTACTGAGAAGCACTTCATACTACCCCTTAAGCAATGTCTATAGGGGTCATATTTTTATTTTACTTGTAGACACTTACGTTTTGTCTTCCTAACCACATTGTGACCAACTTGAGGGCAGTGGCAATAATAATATATTTGAAAATATCTTTATAATTTATAAACTCTTTATTATAAGTTCCATTTCTTCACAGTACCACACAGCAAAATTAACCAAGCTATTTTCCTCCTGGTTTTTGTTTCTTTGTTTGTTTTTTTAATAGGAACCATTCAGACTGCATCCTTTGCCTCTTACTCTCCCAAAGGAAGAGAAGAACAATCATCAATGGCAAATGGCAGTTGCAGTGAAGCAACACCAGGACCCGGCTTCACGCTCAGGAGAGAACGCTGCGCCTCCTCCTTGTGGTTTCTGGTGTTCTACACATTCAGAGAAAATTCTCTAGTAACGAACTATACAAATGATCCCTGAAAGTATAGTCTTCCTTTTTTTTTTTCTTTTACAAAATGTGAAAACTGAAGAGAGGTTAATTTACGAATTTAATTTTACCCAAGCTTGTAAAATTAGTCAGTGGCAGGACCAGGTTCTTGTGGTCTCCATTCATCACACTTTCGGTTACATTGGGTTGCCTCCATGTGACCATGCTTCATATTCTCTTTTGTGCCCCAAAGCACCACATCTAGATAGTCAGTGAAAATTATGGAGGTTCATTATTGTGATTATAAACCAAATGGGTCAGAATTCTTACTGTATGCATATTAACAATTGACAACTATACTTCTCAACAATGCAAGTAGTTTTTGACTGATATCATTCTAGGTCAGTGTTCCTCAATGTATAGCTAGTGAAATACCTGCATTAGAGTTACTTAGGATGCTTATCAAAACCACAGAGTCCCCAGCCTGGGCAATACAGAGAGAACTCATCTCTACAGATAATTTAAAAATTAGGTGTGGTGGCGCACCCCTGTGGTCTCAGCTACTCTGGAGGCTGAGGAGGGAGAATCACTTAAATTCAGGAGGTCAAGACTGCAGTGAGCCCTGATAGCACCATTGCACTCCAGCCTGGGCAACACAGTGAGACCCCATCTCAAAAAAAAAAAAAAAACCTGCAGATTACTGAGCTTTTCTCCAGTTCTGATGAATGGAGTTCCTGGGGATAGAGCCCAGAAACCCATTTTAATAGACTTCCCACATGAGAGTTAATTACACTAAAGTTTGACAACCACTGTTTTAAACAAACACAGTAAGAGATATAGTGAAAATAAAAGACCAGGTACTTCTGGAAAGTCAGTGTCAACATATAAAAATAGTAGAAAAGAGGATATATTTCCTCAATTCTAAGATACCCTCAATTGTAAGATACACCATTGATTTAATAGCAGCTTTTGAAGAAAAGAGTGGTTTACTAGTTTTTCTAAAAAATGGGTATGTTTAGGTTTTGTTTTGAGAAAGCAAAATTAGGCCAGGCGTGGTGTAATCCCAACACTTTAGGAGGCTGAAGGGGGAGGATCATTTGAGGCCAGGAGTTTGAGACCAGCCTGGGAAACATAGCAAGATCCCATTCTCTTTAGCCAAGTGAGGTAGTACATGCTTATAGTCCTAGCTACTCAGGAGGCTGAGGTGAGAGGATTGCTTCACCCAGGAGTTCAAGGCTGTAGTGAGCTATGATTGTGCCACTGCACTCCAGCCTGGGCGAAAGAGTGAAACCTTATCTCAAAATAAATAAATAAATAAATAAATAAATAAATTTCAAAATAGGACTTCTTGAATGTGAGAAAAATCAAACAGAACCACTTGACTGAGAGAATGATATTAATATGAAAAAAAACATGAGACAGACAAGAACCAAAAAAAATTTGACATCAGGATGATAAATATAGTCTTAGACATTACTTCGAAAATATATCTACCTACCTACACACACACACACACACACACACACACACACACACACACACCCCTCAAGGGAAAGTGTATAGAAAAGCATGGCCAAAAGAGCATTGCATAGTAATGAAAAATAATAGTGAATAGAGGGTGAATTTAGAAGCCTCTTGCTGTCTCTTGCTAAGGTTTATTTATTTGTCATGCAAGTGAGAAGGGGTTGCTTCCCCTAATGCTAGAGTAGTAATTCTCAAACTTCATCAAAGATCAGAATCACCAAGAGGTCTTGTGAAAACACACAGCTCCTGATTCTGTAGGTCTGCAGCAGGGCTCAAGAATTTTCATTTTTAACAAGTTCCTAGGTAATACTGACACTACCAACCCAAAAACCACACTTTGAGAACTAGAGTTAACAGATATCTGGCAAACTGGTGGGCTGGCAGGGCAGAAGTACTTCTGAGAAAAGTTCTAAGGAAAGAATGAGGCAGGCATAATACATGTGATTCAATGACAAAACTTTAACCATTGGCCATAAGACTAGGGAAGTAGGGATTCTAAGTTGAAGATGCCATATATTTCTTAAATTCATTTCTGGTGCAACCTACCTGGAATCACATTTCAGTCTCACTTTTAAAAAGGACTACATAAAGGACTACATAAGTAAAACTGAGAGAACTGTTTCATTAATACTGTCGCACATTAGGGCTATAATAAGAGGGAAGAGAAAAATATTTCCCTCCATTCACCATCATGTATTTTTAACATTACCAGGACAGATGGGCATCTGGTAAAACAGCATGGAGTAGAGGCAGCACCTGGTGGAATATCACAGGATTGGACTTGTTTCTAAACAGGTGTGGGACTCCCCATGGGGGCTCTCAGAAATAATTGAGTTGGGGATGTTCTTTGCAGGAGGCTGGAGTTTCTGCAAGCAATTGAAGGCCAGAGCCAGGGCAATTTGAGTTACATGGAAACCTTTGATTTTTAACTCAGAATTTTCTCACATATCTTGAAGAGAAGGTTAAAAGAGGAGGAGTAAATGTATATATACCCTGTACCTGTGCAATCTTCTGGTCTGAGCTAATTTTGATGCAGCTGACAATAAAGAACAATCAATTTATTTTCCATAGCATCATCAACATAATAAAGCCAAGATGTTTGAACTATAGCTCTTGTAGGTTTATGCAGAATAAGATAAGGAAGCGATCATAGGCTGGGGAATAATTAGAATGCTATTACACTCTAGTGGCAAGGAGATAAGGACTCGGGAGTGGCCCCAAAGAGAATGAAGGAAAGGGGTATACAATATCAGCAAGACTTTATCGATGAGATAGTCAACAGTAAACTAGCGTAAAAATCAAAGATGGCACCAAATTTTCTGTCATTGTAGCTAAAAATGTTATGATTCAACTAAGAAAAACTGAATTTTAGGCTGGGCATGGTGGCTCACACCTGTAAACCCAGCACTTTGGGAGGCTGAGGTGGGCAGATCACCTGAAGTTGGGAGTTCGAGACCAGCCTGACCAACATGGAGAAACCCCGTCTCTACTACAAATATAAAATTAGCCAGGCATGGTGGTGCTTGCCTGTAATCCCAGCTACTCAGGAGGCTGAGGCAGGAGAATTGCTTGAACCTGGGAGGCAGAGGTTGCGGTGAGCCGAGATTGTGCCATTGCACTGTGGCCTGGGCAGTAAGAGCAAAACTCTCTCTCAAAAAAAAAAAAAAAAAAGAAGGAAAAAAGAAAAACTGAATTTTAAAAGAATAATCATTTTGATATATTTTTTGGATTTCTTAAGCCTGAGGTAATAATCAGCCTGTTATTTTAATTAGACAAGCACTGTATAGCTTAAATCTCCATTGTTTCACACAAAAACTTTTTTCTTCATCTGAACTTTTATAACATTTACTGTTTGTGCTAGTCATTTAGTGTTCATTATAAAGTGAGTTTTATTCTCAGTGATCATTTCATGTGAACATACTTCTTAATTCCCCAAAGAACTTTGTACTCCCAAAGAATAAGTCCAATGTTTTACACTCATATCCCCCATATCTCTCTCCCTAGCACAATCACTAACTATATGTTCACTAAGTATACTTTTCTGAAGTGTATTGTTCAGATATCTTTTGAAAAATATAAAGGATATATTAAAAGTCATAATCAATATTCTAAAAGATGAAAGGTGAGGATGCCATTAAACAAAAACTAGAATAATTTATTGGAAATTAAATATGTAAAGTAGAAGAAAAAGATGAAGAGTGTAAAATCAGAGAAAAGATAAGAATTATAAAATAAAACCAGATAATTTCACAGAACTGAAGGACATAAGTTTCTACACTGAATGTGATCACACAAGTAGCCAGCCCAATAAACAGAGCAAGACTCACACAAAGATATATCAGATACTGAAATGTCAGAACATCAAGAATAAGGGAAGATCAATAAACTTCAGAGAGAAGGAAGAGGTTATATACAAAGTTTCTGGAGTCACAGTAACATCAGACTTCTCTATAATTACCTGGAAGCTAGAACACAATTGAATAATTACTTTAAAATGAAGAAAAAGTATTTCCAACCTTCGATTTTATACCCAGCCAAACTATAAAATGTAAAAACCTACAAGATCTACAAAAATTTACTTCCCTTGCACTCTTCCTCGGGAAGCTAATTAAGAATACACTTGGGCTGGGCGCGGTGGCTAATGCCTGTAATCCCAGCACTTCGGGAAGCAAAGGTGAGTGGATCACAAGGTCAGGAGTCCAAGACCAGCCTGGCCAAGATGATGAAACTCCATCTCTACTAAAAATACAAAAATTAGCTGGACATGGTGGTGGGCGCTTATAATCCCAGCTACTTGGGAGGCTGAGGCAGAAAATTGTTTGAACCCAGGAAGCGGAGGTTGCAGTGAGCCGAGATCTCACCACTGCGCTCTAGCCTGGGCGACAGAGCTAGATTCCATATCAAAAAAAAAAAAAGGCCAGGTGTGGTGGCTCACGCCTGTAATCCCAGCACTTTGGGAGGCCAAGGCAGACAGATCACAAGGTCATGAGATGGAGACCATCCTGGCCAACATGGTGAAACCCCATCTATACTAAAAATACAAAAATTATCTGGGCATGGTGGCACGTGCCTGTAGTCCCAGCTACTGGGGAGGCTGAGGTAGGAGAATCGCTTGAATCCGGGAAGCAGAGATTGCAGTTAGCTGAGATCACACCACTGCACTCCAGCCTAGTGACAGAGCGAGACTCCAACCCACAAAAATAAAAAATAAAATAAAAATAAAAAAGAATATGTTTGGCTGGGTGTCATAGCACATACCTATATTCCCAGCACTTTGGGAGGCCAAGGCAGGAGGATCACTTGAGGCCAGGAGTTTGAGATAAGGCTGCACAACATAGAACCTATGTTTACAAATAATTTTTTTTTTAAATGAGCCAGGTATGGTGGCATGTGCTTATAATCCTAGCTACTTGGGAGGCTGAGGCAGGAGGACCACATGAGCCCAGGAGTTTGAGGCTGCAATGAGCCACGATCATGTCACTGTATTCCAGGCTGGGTGACAGAGGGAGACCCTATCTCTATTATAAAAAAAAAAATGCATCGTTTTAGAAAAAGGAGATCCAAGAAACAAAGGAATCAACATAGAAGGGATTCCTCAAAAAGTGATCAAGAGAAATCCCAGGATGACACCTGTGTAGCAGGCTTATAAAAGAGAAGTCCGGAGCAGAGCAAGAGAAGTGAGTGTTCCAGGAAGGATGTACCCAGTATTAAAATGGACCTAAGGAATAACTTGGTATGATTGATCATACTGCTAACTCTGTGGCTAAGTTAGTGGGAAGAGAAGAATTAAGCAAATAAACAAAATAATGAGGCAACTGGGTTACTTTTGTTTTTTGTTTGTTCTTTTTTTTCTTTGAGGCAATTGTTAATTCCAAGACAGACAAAAAGTTTAACACAAAAATAAATCACAGTAAAATACCTGACTTAGTGGTGAATACTTACATAGCTCTAATGCTTTAATCTTTGAGTATGTAATAAAAAATTGTTTAATAACTGGAAGATTGGAGCAATAGGAGGAAGAATGATATGAAAGGAAAGAACTAAATCCTCATCTTCCATGGGAATAAATCAATAAACAATATATACAATTATTTTTTTCTGTCCAGTGAATGCAATACAGTGTTTTGGGTTTTTTTAGACGATCTTATTCTGTTACCCAGGCTGGAGTGGAGTGGTGCCATCGTAGCTCACTACAGCCTCGAACGCCTGGGCTCAAGTAATCCTCCCACCTTGGCCTCCCAAAGTGTTGGGATTACAGGCATGAGCCACAGCACTCAGCCTACAACTGTTAAATGTAGAAACCAGAGTGTAAACATGTTTCTCAGAAGCAAGGGTACAAAGAGCTAAAGAACAGCTATGAGGCTGGGTGTGGTGGTGAGCGCCTATAGTTTGTGCTACTCTGGAGGCTGAGTCAGTAGGATTGCTTGAGCCAAGTTAGAGGCTGTAGTGTGCCACAACAGCCACTGTGAATAGCCACAGCACTCCAGTCTGGGCAACATAGTGAGATCGTGTCTCAAAAAAAAAAAAGAAACAGCTATGAGTTGAAAGAGACTGTGAGGCTGTTTATAAAGAACAGGACTCAAGGGTCTGGAAGGACAGAACAGGGAAGTGCGTCGTTTTTATATAAACTATTTAACTTTTAAGACTATTATATCTGAAACTTTGAAAAATAATTTTTAAAATTTGGATAGCAGCCAGGTGCAGTGGCTCATGCCTATAATTACAGCATTTTGAGAGACCAAGTTGGGAGGATTGCTTGTACTCAGGAATTCAAGACCAGCCTGGGCAACATATGCTACAAAAATTTTAAAAACTAGCAGGGCATGGTGATATACACCTGTAGTCCCAGCTACTCAGGAGGCTGAGGCAGGAGGCTCACTTGAACCTGGGAGGTTGAGATTTCAGTGAGCCATGATTGCGCAACTGTGCTCCAGCCTGGTTGACAGAGTGAGACCCTGTCTTAAATAAATAAATTAATTTAATTAAATAAAATTTGGATGGTACTATTTAACTTAAAAACAGCAATCTTACCTCAGAGTTTACCTAAAGATACATATACGCAAAATAAGAATAAAATATCAGTTTGTCTTCTGGTATTCTCCCTAGATGCCACTCCCCACCTCCCTTAAAAAATAACTATGTACCTTTTCATGAACTTAAATAACTACCTATATTTTCACAGCTGTTTATCTAGGCTTAATTGTTGACAACAGCATGAAAAGAAAAACTGGTTCTGTTTGTTACAAAAAAAATATTAAATGATGCCATGTGAGCATTTGAAACGCATACCAATAAAAACTACCACAGCAAGTACAGGTTTATCCAAGTAAAGGTTTTGAAAAATGGTGAAGGGCCATTATTTGAGAAGTGTATGCCATGATTTTTGGCTCTCCTATGGCTCACAGGCCTATAAATGATTCATTCATTTAATTTATTCATATAACACAGCTTTATACATTTCCTTTTTACATTTGAGGTACTATGCTAAATTCTAAATTTCCTGAAATCTGTATTCCTTTTTTTTTTTTTTTTTGAGATGGAGTTACACTCTTGCTGCCCAGGCTAAAGTGCAATAGCGCAATCTCGGCTCACTGCAACCTCTGCCTCCCAGGTTCAAGCGATTCTCCTGCCTCAGGCTACCAAGTAGCTGGGATTGTGGGCGTGTGCCACCACACCCAGCTAATTTTGTATTTTTAGTAGGGACAGGGTTTCTCCATGTTGGTCAGGCTGGTCTTGAACTCCCGACTGCAGGTGATCTGCCTGCCTCAGCTTCCCAAAGTGCTGAGGTGACAGGCCGTGAGCCACTGCGCCCGGCCTTGAAATCTGTATTATTCTTATTTATATTTCATGGCCTAAAATACCGTAAAATGCTTAAACCAGCAGCATATATTTTAATCTATTAACATCTCCAATTCTTTTTTAGGCAGAAAATTCAAATTTAAGAACAGGATTTATTGTTTATGGATTGACATGGAGATCAAAAGCACACACAACTCCTAAATTCAACATTCTGAAAAAGCTCTCCATTATCTTTTCTAATTTTCCTGTTGTCCAAGAGTAGGATGTGGGTGGAGGATTACCTAGGTGCCGAGGCAAGAGACTGAAGGCACAAACTGTTTCAGTATAATAAAGAAAATAGTTAGAATAAGAATAGTCATAATACAAATTAGATATAGAGATGATCATGGACAATTATCAATCATTATTATAAACATGATTAATCATTAGCTTTTAATATTACTCTTTGTTGCATTACTAATATAACCTAGGAATAACCAGCGGGTATAGGGTCAGGTGCTGAAGGGACATTGTGAGAAGTGACCTAGAAGACAAGAGGTGAGCCTTCGGTCACGCCCGCGTAAGGGCCGCTTGAGGGCTCCTTGGTCAAGCGGTAACGCCAGTGTCTGGGAAGGCACCCGTTACTTAGCAGACCGTGAAAGGGAGTCTCCTTTCCTTGGAGGAGTCAGGGAACACTGCTCCACCAGCTTCTTGTGGAAGGCTGGATATTATCCAGGCCTGCCTGCAGTCCTGGGGCCTAAATCCCTCCCTGTGGTGCTGTGCTTCAATGGTCACGTTCCTTGTCCACTTTCATGCTCCTCCCATACTCCTGGTTCCTCTTTGAAGCTCGTAGTAGATAGCGGTAGAAGAAACAGTGAAAGTCTTAAAGTCTTTGATCTTTCTTGTAAGTGCAGAGAAGAAAATGCTGACGTATGCTGCCTTCTCTCTCTGCTTCAGCTACCTAAAAGAGAAGGCCCCCGCCATCCTGTAATCACGTGACTTGCTTCATCTTGTCAATCACTTAAAAGATTCACCCTCCTTACCCTGCCCCCTTGTCTTGTATGCAATAAATATCAGCGAGCCCAGCCGTTCGGGGCCACTACCGGTCTCCGCATCTTTACGGTAGCGGTCCGCCGGGCCTAGCTGTTTTCTCTTTATCTCTCTGTCTTGTGTCTTTATTTATTACAATCTCTCGTCTCTGAACACGGGGAGAACACCCGCTAAGCCCCGTAAGGCTGGACCCTACAGTTGGACATATACCATAGTATCATGTCAATGCGGATCACAAGGTCAGAAGTTAGAGACCAGCCTGGCCAAGGTAGTGAAACCTCGTCTTTACTAAAAATACAAAAAAAATTAGCTGGACCTGGTGGCGTGCGCCTGTAGTCCCAGCTACTTGGGAGGCTGAGGCAGGAGAATCACTTGAACCCGGGAGGTGGAGGTTGCAATGAGCTGAGATGGCGCCACTGTACTATAGCCTGGGTGACAAAGCGAGACTGCGTCTCAAGTGGGAAAAAAAAAAAAAAAAAAAAAAAAAGGGGCACAGTCTTCTGCATTCTCAGGTAAACAAGAATATAAGTATCCAACATTCATGTATTATATGTAATACATATTATGTGTGGCCGGGCATGGTGGCTCACGCCTGTAATCCTAGCACTTTGGGGGCCGAGGTGGGCAGATCACGAGGTCAGGAGATCAAGACCATCCTGGCTAACACGGTGAAACCCCGTCTCTACTAAAAATACAAAAAGTTAGCTGGGCGTGGTGGCGGGCGCCTGTAGTCCCAGCTACTCAGGAGGCTGAGGCAGGAGAATGGCGTGAACCCGGGAGGCGGAGCTTGCAGTGAGCCGAGATCGCGCCACTGCACGCCAGCCTGGGCGACAGAGCAAGACTCCGTCTCAAAAACAACAACAACAACAAATTAGCCAGGCATGGTGGCGGGCGCCTATAGTCCCAGCTACTCGGGAGGCTGAGGCAGGAGAATCGCTTGAACCCGGGAGGCGGAGGTTGCAGTGAGCCAAGATCGTGCCACTGCACTCCAGCCTGGGCGACAGAGAGAGACTCCGTTTCAAAAAAAAAAAAAAACAAAAGCAAAAACAAAAACAAAAAAACATATAAGTATGTATTAAAAAATAGCAATAAGAAAAAAAAAGACAGTAAGCTCCATGAAGATATAAGCTCCGTGATCCACTATGGCATCTCCAGTGACAGACAGCATCCAGCAACTTACTTGGTACTAAAATGTATTAAAGGAATGAATGAAATACTACTTTGCAATCTTGTCTGCCTTCTCTAACCAACAGAGGTGCAAAAATATCACATTCTAATTATGTATCAGGTATTTATATGTCTGCGAAGGAAGACCTGTCTCGTTAATTTTTTATCCCCAACAGCCTAGAAAATGTTGAAAGAAAAAAGATGGGGGAAAAAGCCCTTTTCTGTAACAAGTTAGAATAGGACCCACATACATTTTGTTACTAACAAAACGTCCAGCTTGTCTTTCTTCTTTGAAAACTGCATGGCCTTAAGAGGAGTCCATTCTAATTAGGAAAAAAGTCACCTTTTCAGAAGCAGGCGCTTCCCACTCCATGCAAAGTGAAGCCAAGTTAGCAAAACCGCAAAGACTTGGCTAATTCAAATACAAGCTAATTTATTATTATTGGCGCAAATTAGCCACTTTCTTTTGCTACGCATGTCAATGTCCACAATCATACCGACCCTTTCCTGTAGGGCGAATGTCTCACCAGTAGCTGGTGAGAAGCACAGCTCTTCTCAGCCAAAACCGACAGAGACTGGAATTTGTGCAGTGCAGTAATCCAAAGCCGTCGAGTAGATATGCCTGCTTTAAAATCTGCATCTCGTAAGAAATGCCTTAATTTTCCATATTAGGAGCTGAGAAACCAAGTCCCCTGAGCCCTTCAGGGACAAGTTCTTTTCCAAATACTACAACCACCTCCAACCACCCAACAATGCCTCAGGCCGAGGGTGGGCCACACGCGACCCAGCGCTAAAGGGTCACAGCCAAGCTGTCCGCCTCCTGCCTTCCCTTTAAAGAAGCCGCACACAAGGGAGCTGCCCGGGAGTTCAACTTCCGGCCACATAGTGAGAGGATGTTTTCCTACTGGAGCTGAGCCGCGGGGGCGCGCCCCCCGGCCGCGCCCTCCTAGCCACGCCCTCCACGCCCGGCCTTCCGAGAGCGAGCTCGGTCGGACGCACGGAAAGGGCTGGGCCACGTGGGCGGCTGCTGAGTGGTTCGCCTTCGCCTCTCAGCGCGCAGTCAGGCGGAGGCAAGCTCAGAGCGCACGGACAGAGCGGTAGCGCGCGCCCGCGCGCGTTCTTAGTACTCTCCCCGGTGACGTGCCTGACCGAGGCCGCGCCAGGGCGCTGTTGCTGCCAATACAGCTGTCATGGCGTCCAAGGCGCTGGCTGCGGAGAAGTGGCCGCGGTCTCCATAGAGCTGGGGGCGGGCGGCCCGGTATGGAGAGCAGCCCCGAGAGCCTGCAGCCGCTAGAACACGGGGTGGCGGCCGGGCCAGCGTCAGGGACAGGTTCTTCGCAGGAAGGGCTACAGGAGACCAGGCTCGCCGCTGGTGATGGTCCTGGGGTATGGGCGGCGGAGACCAGCGGCGGGAATGGGCTGGGGGCGGCGGCCGCCAGGAGGAGCCTCCCGGACTCGGCTTCTCCCGCGGGCTCTCCTGAGGTTCCCGGACCCTGCAGCTCCTCCGCGGGTTTGGACTTGAAGGACAGTGGTTTGGAGAGTCCTGCTGCCGCCGAGGCGCCTCTGAGAGGGCAGTACAAGGTGACCGCCTCCCCGGAGACAGCCGTGGCCGGAGTGGGTCATGAGTTGGGTACCGCCGGAGACGCGGGAGCCCGCCCGGATCTCGCCGGCACCTGCCAAGCAGAACTGACCGCCGCCGGCTCCGAAGAGCCCAGCAGCGCCGGCGGCCTCAGCAGCAGTTGCAGCGACCCGAGCCCTCCTGGGGAATCTCCGAGCCTGGACTCTCTGGAGTCGTTCTCTAACCTGCATTCTTTTCCCAGTAGCTGCGAGTTCAATAGTGAGGAGGGAGCGGAGAACAGGGTCCCTGAGGAGGAGGAGGGCGCGGCGGTGTTGCCCGGGGCTGTTCCTCTGTGCAAGGAGGAGGAGGGGGAGGAGACCGCTCAGGTGCTGGCGGCCTCCAAGGAACGCTTCCCGGGACAATCTGTGTATCACATCAAGTGGATCCAGTGGAAGGAAGAGAACACACCCATCATCACCCAGAATGAGAACGGACCCTGCCCCTTGCTGGCCATCCTCAATGTTTTGCTCCTGGCCTGGAAGGTACATTCTGCAGCTTTCTACTTCCTACAGCTTTTGGGGTGGAGGAAAACGGGGTGAGGGAGCTGCTGCATGTCAGGTGATGGCTTCCTTTCTTTCCTCATTCATCAGTCCCCTTCTTACATGAAATTCATTCCAAGACTTCCATGTTGAAGGAATATTCCTTTATACATATATCGAAAAGAATTGCCCCTAACCTCAGTCTTCTCTTGTAGTGTTTAAGAGTTCAACATTCAATTGTGGTTGATACACTTAGAAACAAGAAGGACTTAGAGCATCTTAAATCTTATGATTATTTTAAACTATAATTTCCTACATTTTCTTACTGACCTTATCACATATGCAAAAAAGTGAAGAATTGGAGAAAGTAATCTTCAGAAGTTACCATCAATCCGTGATATCATGGACTAAGTTTTCATGGTTATATTTAGTTTGATTTCCAACTAATGCCCCATTTGTGTGTAGATACTTAAGAGAATGGTGATGGGGAAGATGTGGCTCTTTAGACAAATTCCATTTAAGGAAAAGCATTGGTCTGAGACCCAATTACCGTAACTTCTTGGTTTTCAAAGATTGTTTTCATTTTATGCATGATTTTTACTTGCCTCATTTCTTTGGCTCTCCTTAAATGGTTTGGCATTATTACCAGTAACCATGCATCCGAATGTGTTAAGGGAGCTAAAACTCTAAAGAACTAAAATAAGAAAAGGTATGTCTAAGGTGAAGGAGCAAAAAAGGGAAAGACCCTTAAAAATAGGTATGTTGAGGACTCAGAGCGAGTTACCTGTCAAATGAAGTGTCTCATTTAAGCTTGCAGTGTTAGGGTGCTGAGAAGATGCATCTCACAGCACCTATTTTATTTTCAAATTGATAATTATATCTGTAGATGCAATGTTTCCTAGGAAAAAAAAACAAAACAAACTGGGTGTGGTGGTGTGCGCCTGTAATCCCAGCTACTCCGTAAGCTCAGCTACTCTGGAGGCTGACACAAGACAATCGCTTGAGCCCAGAAGTTTGAGACCAGCCTGGGCAATACAGTGAGACCCTATATTAAAAGAAAAAGAAAAATAACCTGGATTCTTCTAAACACTTAGGTAGAAAATCAAGTAAAGGGAATAGTGTTTATCAAACATGCCTTTATCTTCCTGTCGCTAGCAAGGACTGATAGAAAAGAAATAAAATTAGAAACCTTGCCATTGTCTGGTGCATAATGGCACTGAGATGTTTTAAGTGAAGACAGTACCTGCCCTTAAAAGGCTGTCAAGCTGTTTGAGGTGGCATCATTAACTTACTGGAAACTGTTTAAGAACAAGAAATAGTAAGTTATATGAGACAAGTGGTAGGTAAACTGTGGTAAATCTGTGGAAATGCATTTGATATTCAAAAAGGGGACATTTTCCTTTGGTATGGCGTAGTCCTAGAAAACTTCATGGGATTTATGGGTCTTGAACCAATCTTTTTTTTTTTCGTTTGTTTGTTTGTTTTAAAGACAAATTAGAGCAATTTAACAGATCTTTTAAGGAAGAGAATTTAGAATAACAGGGAAATGGAATTCCCAGGGGAGAGAAGAGTATAAACCAAAGGAATGAAAATAGAATGGATATTGTGTGTTTATATGTTTATTACATGACAGAAGTGGTAAGCTAATGTTGGAGAATAATGAAAAATAAGGTTGAAAAGGTGAACAAGAGCCATTTGATAAGGGCCCTCAACTAGGGAGTTAGTTAGACTTGCTCTAACGGGCCAGAGTCCCTAATCTTTTTTGTAGGAAGGAATAACTATTATTTTCCTTTAGTCTTTTTTCTTATGTAGTACTGCAGAAATTCAGAGGAAAGGGCAAGTACTGTGGTGTGGAGTATTTGGGGATAGATGCATATTAAACTGACTCATTCAATTCAGACAGATTCAAGTGAATGATCAAGTGTTTGGGTTCCCACTGTGCGTGAGGTACTAGAAATGCAAAGATGAGGCCGGGCGCGGTGGCTCACGCCTGTATTCCCAGCATTTCGGGAGGCCGAGGCGGGTGGATCACCTGAGGTCAGGAGTTCGAGACCACCCTGGCCAACATGGTGAAACCCCGTCTCTACTAAACATACAAAAAATTAGACGGGCATGGTGGTGGGCACCTGTAATCCCAGCTACTTGGGAGGTTGAGGCAGGAGAATCTCTTGAACCCAGGAGGTGGAGGTTGCGGTTAGCCGAGATCACGCCACTGCACTCCAGCCTGGGCAACAAGAGTGAAACCCCGTCCCAAAAAAAGAAAAAAAAAAAAAAAAAAGGAAATGCAAAGATGAGTATGATGCAAATCTGCCCTCGTGTAGCTGACTATCTAGTGGGATGACAGACATATAAACAATAATTACAGTGCAATGTGAGAAGCTCTAATATGCTATGGAAGTGCAGAGAAAACGGTAATTGGGGAGGGGATTATCAAGGGAAGACTTCATAGAAGAGATAACCTGTGAACTAGATCCAAAGGATGAGTGAGAGAAGACCTTCTGGGCAAAGAGAATAGTGTATTGAAAGATACTGAAGCAGAAAAGGGTTTCTTCTACTTGGAACCTTCAACCTTGGTTGAAGTGTGCAGCATAGGAGGTAAACGAAATGGTGGTAATAGCAGGACATAAAATTGATGGGTTTTATCAGACTGTGAATGAGCAAGCATGCTAATGAATTTGGAGATTATTTTGTAAATCTGTGGTTATCAGTGTTTTTTTTCTCCAGCCTGTTGATGCCCACAAAAACCAGTCATAAGTAATCATTGATGAAGAGATGGATAAGCGAAGCAAAGTAGAGCAGTATTCTCAAAGTGAGCCAGGGGTACTAGAAGTCAAAGCTATTTTTATGATAATACTAAGATGTTATTTGCCTTTTTCACTCTTACTCTCTTACAAGTGTCCGTGGAGTTTTTCAGGCTACATGATGTAATGACATCGCTCTGTCAGTTAATGCAATGTGTGCCTCTGTACTTTGTGTTTTAAATTTTTCTCAATTTTAATTTATAATAAGGTAGATATAGATAGATATCCACATAGATGAAAGTTATTGGGGGTCCTCAATCATTTTTAAGACTGTAAAGGGCTCTGGGAACAAAAAGTTTGAGAAATGCTTTAGTAGAGAAAAACAGTAAATGGGGTGTGAAGGTGGTTGTCAGATTTCAGAGGACCCATGGCTATAGGTGTTTAGACTTTATATATAGCTGATATTGGAGCTATTATAAATTGCTAGATAAAGAAATGACATGAAGAAAGTGGTCTTTTACTTTGATATTAGGCTAGAAGTAAGATTGTAGTGAGTGTAGCACGAAGAATTGATGCAGATAGCGCTTTGGTTAGAGAGTTCTTTGTCCCCCTCTTTGATGAGGATAATGTAGCGTTCCCAATGATGACTTCTCCCAATGATGACTATAAGAAGTGAAGACAGTAACAGCATTTTTCAAACCTGGGTAATAGAGATTGGCTGGATCTTTCCAAAGATAGGGAAGGTATGAAGGGAATTATTTTAGATGGGAAAGTTGATGCCAAAGTTTGGTTGTGTTGAGTTGGAAATGTCCAGTGGGGGGCATAAAAATATAAATGTTCGTTATGCTGTTAGAAGCATGGACTGGGTCTCAGTAAAGAGGCTAAATTTTTTTTTTTTTTTTTTTGAGACAGAGTCTCACTCTGTCTTGCCCAGGCTAGAGTGCAGTGGCAGGATCTTGGCTCACTGCAGCCTCTGCCTCCCGGGTTCAAGTGATTCTCCTGTCTCAGCCTCTCGAGTAGCTGGAATACAGATGTGTGCCACCACACCAGCTAATTTTGTATTTTTAGTACAGACAGGGTTTCACCATGTTAGCCTGGCTGGTCTCGAACTCCTGACCTCAGGTGATCCACCTGCAAGAGGCTATAAAATTATAGAGAAAAATCAAATTGGGAAATTACTACATAGAGTAAATATGGTAGTACTACATAGAGTAAATATGAGACTAAATGAATTCTCCAGAGAGTAGTGAGCAATAGTTCTCAACTTTTCTTCCATCCCAATATATGTGAGAGTGACAAATTGCCAGCAGAAACATCCTCTCCATCCTGCCTCAGTCTCCCCATTCCCTCTCCTCCCCTACCTCATTCTCCAGGAGACAGAGAGAAAACAGAGGAATAAAGATTACACTGGGGAAGGAGGGGAAGAATATTAAGGGTGAGAGAGTGAAAAACCAGCATGGGCACAATTTGAGATGTGGAATGAGAACTAGAAATAGGGCAATGTCATGATAGTATTCAGGGAAAGAGAATGTAATAAAAATGTAGTACATTACTATTGTCAAATGCAGCAGCATCAGAGAGCTAATAGAGTAGGGAAGATTCTGCTGAAAATGACAGGTGTAGGGACAAGGTCACTGAAAAGTCAGGATAACATGGAATCCTCAGTTCTCTTTAGAGGAAAGGAACAACAACCGTATTTTCTGAAGTAGTGGGAGGAATGGAACAAGAAAAATACAGAGACAAGGTCACGTTAAGATAGAGAGGTAGGCCGTGTGTGGTGGCTCATGCCTGTCGTCCCAGCATTGTGGGAGGCTAACACAGGAGGATCGCTTGAGCCCAGGAGTTTGAGACCAGCTGGGGCAATATAGTGAGACCCCCATCTCTGTAAAAAAAAATTATAATAAGGAAAAAAGAGAGGTAGATGAAAATTGAAGCCTCATATTTTTCAGTTTGGCAAAGTAACCATTGAACTAATAAGTAGTAACTATTGAACTCATTAATAATTAAGATTGTAAAGCATTTGACCCGGTGAATTTTGTGAGAAAAGCATATTGCATTTTAAAGGAGAATCTCAGTGGAGATTATGCTTAGGAATTTGAGGCACAAACAGAAAGACTGACAATTAGTAGCATGAATAAATTGAGGTTTTCTTTAAAAACTATTAGCATATCAGTTTTGCTTTGTTTTTGGTCTTTCCCTAGTTCGCTTATGTCCGGAAATAGGAGCAGGAAGAATGACTGGTTAGAGTTATCAAGACTTGGGCTTTTCTTTCAAGAACTGACACCTGGGGTATAGGGGCAGAGAATTAGAGAATTGAAAGTGAAAACAGCTGATCATCTGAAATTATTAGAAAATCAATAGACTGAACAAACCGGGAGGATTTGAGCAAAGGAGTAAGTGTAGTGGTTCTGGATGAGAAGTGACAGTAAAAATGATCAAACAGAGTAAGGACTGAGTTGAAAGTATTGGTTCAGAACTGCTAGAGAGTAGGCGATCATTCATAATCTATTAAGTAGTTGGCTAGGCAGTGTGGCTAACGCCTGGAATCCTAGCACTTTGGGAGGCCGAGGCCAGAGGATCAGTTGAGCCCAGGAGTTTGAGACCAGCCTGGTCAACATAATGAGACCCCATCTCTATAAAAGAAAAAAAAACTTTTTTTTAATTATAAAAAAAGAAAATCTGTTGAATAGTTGAGCTGTGATGCTCTAACATCAAGAAAGACATCTATTTATTACATTTAATTCGAGCTCAAATTTGTAATTTTGTTTACCTCTCATTTTCAAGAGATAGTTTCATCTACCTCTGTATTTTTCCTTTTTGTTGTTTTTTTATGGAGACGGGGTCTCACTATAGTGCCCCAGCTAGTCTCAAACTCCTGGGCTCAAATTACAAATTATACCAGGTAAATTTATCAAAATGTATGACTTAGAATACATTTTTGTTTTGCTTCTTTTTGACTATATTTGATTTTTAATAGTTTTTAAAAATCTTATTTTAGCTGTAATAAGTGCTATTTATAGGTTTATTTGAGGGCTGTGACCCATGTAATTAGGTGTTTATGAAGTTAAGCCAGAAGGTATATAACATATATATTTTAGTGCTTACAAAGATATTTCTTTAGTAATAGAGGGAATCCCTACTTGGTTATACTTTTTTTTTATTTTAGAAAGAATGTTATAGGTTCTGAGGCCAACATACATACAAAAAACTTACATGTAACCTATACTATACATTGTGATAGAGAAGATAGAGTATTGCAATATCTAGTCATTGTATAGCATTTTAGTAGAAAAATGAATGCACTAATTTAAGATGCTGGAAACACATCTCCTTTCCTTCTTAACTCTTTTTGGTAGGGAATTCTTTTCCCAATTTTTTTCTTTGCTTAGTATAAGCTGAGATTATCTCCTGTTCCAAGTCATGGGAGGAATGCCAGGGTCCTGAAGCAGGATTTTTTTTATATAAAGTTGGTTTCTCCAAACATCAAACCTAGAAACTGTAAAATAAGGATTAATATATTTGATTCTGTAAAATAAAAAAAAGCTTAAAAAAACAGACACACACCAAAAAAAAAAACCTCACCATAAACTAAATCAAAACACACTAAAAACTAAGGGAACTGTTTGCCAGATTATATGTCTAAGGGCTAATTTCCTTTTTTTCTTTTTTTTGAGATAGACTATCATTCTGTCACCCAGGCTGGAGTGTGGTGGTGCAATCATGGCTCCGAATAGCCTCGACCTCCCGAGCTCAAGCAATCCTCCCACCTCAGCCTCCTGAGTAGCTGGGACCACAGGTGTGTGCTACCATGCCCACCTAATTTTTTTTCTTTTTTTCTTTTTTTTTTTTTTTTTTTTGAGACGGAATCTCATTTAGTCGCCCAGGCTGGAGTGCAGTGGCACGATCTTGGCTCACTGCAACCTCTGCCTCCTGGGTTCATGCAGTTTCCGGCTAATTTTTGTATTTTTAGTAGAGATAGGGTTTCAGCATGTTGGCCAGGCTGTTCTTGAACTCCTGACCTCAAGTGACCTGCCCGCCTCAGCCTTCCAAACTATTAAGATTACAGGCGTGAGCCACTGTGCCCAACCATTTTTTTTTTTTTCTCTTTAGAGATGTGTCTCACCATGTTGTCCAGTCTGGCCTTGAACTCCTGGCCTCAAGTAATCCTGCCTCAGCCTCCCAGAGTGCTGGGATTACAGGCGTGAGTCACCATGGCCAACCCTAATTTCTTAATTTACAAAGAGCCCTTATAAATTAGAAAAGGGTGAACAGCACAATGGCAAAATGAACAAAAGGCTGTTAACAGAAAATTCAAAGTTCGAATGGACGTATGCTATTGTCTCATCACCTGCAAAGTGAGGCACCATGAAGGTGAGCCTCTTGCCAGGGCTGAGTTTTTGCTCTATTTCTCCCTACCTCCTTGATGACTTTTTTCCCTCAGATTCTTTCACATACTCTCCTAGTTTCCATCTAGGTTATGCTTTTTCCTCTGACTTGCAGAAACATTGTAATCACACAAATTTTCTCTTCCTGAAGTAGCACAGAGCTCTTTTGAGGTTTTCCAAGTGTGTTTATTACTTATAAAAAAGGAAAAACAGATGGTGAGCCAAAGGTTCCATCTTAGCCTCTGCCCACCTTGTTTTTAAATATAGATCCTGTAAAAAGAGATTAAAACTTCACACAATTGTGGGGTTTTGTTTACACAAAAGACTTAAGTAACATTTTCTGAGGCTTTCATTCCCAGTCTCCTCCAAGAATTAGAATTGGTGTTGTAACTCTGGATTTGTAAGATAAGGTAGACAAGGGCTGAGGAGAGTATAAATACCGCCAGTAGGAGTTGCCCTCTAATAGTGATAGATGTGTTCATTTTTTCTTCTCCCCTTGGTATGAGTAGTCTTTTAGTTAAAAACCTTCTCACTCCCCATTCAACCTTGTCTGTTGAGTCCCAGGTGAAGGACATTTGGGCCCAGGTGGTACTAGCAATCATAGGGGCTTTGAATAATAATAGTAAGTACTCAGTTATTTTTGTGTCCAGATACTGTGCATTATTTTACATGCATTGTATGTGTTTTCTCTTTTAAGTTTCTCAACCACATCATGAAATCCTTATGTAGACTATTGTTCTTATTTTATATATATAGAAAATTGAGGCCAGGTGTGGTTGGCTCACACTGTAATCCCAGCACTTTGTGAGGCCGAGGCAGGCGGATCACTTGATGTCAGGAGTTTGAGACCAGCCTGACCAACGTGGAGAAACCCCTTCTCTACTAAAAATACAAAATTAGCCGGGTGTGGTGGCACATGCCTGTAATCCCAGCTACTCGGGAGGCTGAGGCAGGAGAATCACTTTAACCTGGGAGGGAGGTTGCGGTGAGCCGAGATAGCGCCATTGCACTCCAGCCTGGGCAACAAGAGCGAAACTCCATCTCAAAAAAAAAAAAGAAAGAAAATTGAAGTGCATAAAGTTTAAATAACTAGTCCAAGGTAAGATTATCACCCACTCTAGAACCAGAGCTCTCACTCAGGATGTTTGATTGGGAAGATAAAGTTCAAGATAGCAATAAGTCTGGTGGACAGTAGGTCTGGGGCAAAACAGGGTGGGACAGCCAATGATAAAGTCAGAGAAGCAGAAATGGACTTCATGATTCCTTAGATCGATTCCTGGGATCTTGGTACCAGTTGGTCTTTATACAGACTCCGGTTTTTAGCTCTCTGTACTTTATCTTATGTCTCCTGAAGTGTCTGACACTTCTAGTTTCAGAGTCTCTTTGGGGCACTAAGGTGAATCAGCTGGCCTTTCCCATTGTAGTTTATTAAATATATTCTTGGATTTTTTCAGTCATTAGTAACTTCTGTTTCTACTGCTACTACCCTAGTTCAGGCCTTTATCTCTCACCTGGACTACCTTAGTAGCCTTCAAAATGGTCTCTTGTCTTACCCTATTCTCATCTTTCAAGCAATTAATGTAAAAGTTTTATTATCAATTTTTGAGGGGGGAGATATTTCAGCCTAGTAAGCTTGCTGAGCTTCTTAAATATAAATAGTGAATTCTGAATGGAAGATGCCTTCTTTTACTAGTTAATTTTTTTTTTCCAGACAGTGTTTCATTCTTGTTGCCCAGGCTGGAGTGCAATGGTGTGGTCTTGGCTCACTGCAACCTCCACCTCCTGGGTTCAAGCTATTCTCCTGCCTCAGCATCCCAAGTACCTGAGATTACAGACACCTGCCCCCATGCCCAGCTAATTGTTTTGTATTTTTAGTAGAGACAGGGTTTTACCATGTTGGCCAGGCTGGTCTTGAACTCCTGACCTCAGGCGATCAGCCCACCTTGGCCTCCCAAAGTGCTGGGATTACAGGCATGAGCCACCGCACCCAGCCTACTAGTAAATCTTTTATTAGTAAATCTCACTGCAACAACATTCTTTATTGCTCTAAAACACTTTGAAGTGCATATAAAATAAGACATTCTTGCAAATTTAATATGTGTGAATATATCTGCAGTTTCTGACAGTTTTAAATAGGCCTTGGTCTTACTCTGAGGATAGGGTCTAAATTATGATAAAAACTGATGAAAGTGTTTCAGAATTTCAAAGCCTTTTTAACTTGTGGGTTGTCTCCTAAAATTTTCCTGTTTTGAAATACTGATGGTGGCGAAGCGCAGTGGCTCATGCCTGTAATCCCAGCACTTTGGGAGGCCAAGGCGGGTGGATCACAGTGTCAGGAGTTCAAGACCAGCCTGGCCAAGATGGTGAAACGCTGTCTCTACTAAAAATGCAAAAATTAGCCGTGTGTGGTGGCGGGCGCCTGTAATCCCAGCTACTCGGGAGGCTGAGGCAGAGAATTGCTTGAACCCAGGAGACGGAGTTTGCAGTGAGCCAAGATCGTGCCACTGCACTCCAGCCTGGGTGACAGAGCGAGACTCCATCTCAAAAAAGAAAAAAAAAAGAAAGAAATACTGATGGCAAGTAGAAAGCCAATTAGATTCACTGAAAAGTCTGAATTTGAGTATTTTTAAGTATAGTATTACTAGTAGTAAATGAATAGTACATACAAGAAATTAAAATGTAAAACATGTGTAATAGCTTATAATACATAAATTTTTATTTGCTGGAGCCAGAATTAAAGGCATGTTAAAAGAATCCTTAAGTTTTTGAGTCCTTATTTTGAAAAAAGCGGGTAAAGCTTCTCTTTGATTCCCATTAATACTTCTAATATTTTCTAAAGAATAATTTCTTTACAATTTCTACTAAAAAATCATGAATACTATATATTCATGCTGAATATATAAATGCTACATATATACACACATGTGTATATACACTGCATATTTCAAATTAGTGAAATTTTGACTATTATTTAGTGCGTCCATTTTGCCTTACATAAGTAATGCAAAAATAGACTGCAAAATAAAAATCTTATCTTCTGTGTTCCAAATTCAACTCCCTGTTTGAATGTCAAACTAAAAATGTCACAGTTCCAAAGCAGACATCATTTTCTTCTACAAACTTAATCTTCACTTGCCAAATTTCCATTGTTATCAATTGTATGGATCTTAATTTTCAGAGTTTCCTGAGCCTTAGAGTCAACTTTTATTATTCTTTCCTCATCGTGCTTCACTTTTCACTGGTCACAAAGTTCTGTCAATTATGTTTTGTATAAGATTTCATTGAGTGGAAAGTGTTCTGCTGTTCTTAAAAAAGTCTGTGAGTATTGATAATTGGCTTTGGTAATTGGTAATTTGGTAATTGGCTTTGGTGTCTGATCTCACTTCTCATCACAGTACTTCTACTTACTTTGGCTAAATTAACTTTTTAAAGCCTTAGTTTATTCTTTGAATGGAGGTAATAATGCCTGCTTCATAGGATTGCTGAGGATTCAGGTAACATAAAATTGAATGACAATTAGTAGATGTTCAATATATTTAATTTTTTCTCTCTGTTTTTTTTTTTTTTTTTTTTTTTTTTGAGACAGAGTCTTGCTCTGTCACCCAGGCTGGAGTGCAGTGGCGTGATCTTTACTCACTGCAGCCTTTGTCTTCTGGGCCCAAGTGATTGTCCTCCCTCAGCCTCCTGAGTAGCTGGGATTACAGACACCTGCCACCGCGCCTGGCTAATTGTTTGTATTTTTAGTAGAGACGGGATTTCACCATGTTAGCCAGGCTGGTCTTGAACTCCTAACCTCAGGTGATCCGCCCACCTCGGCCTCCCAAAGTGCTGGGATTACAGGAGTGACCGACTCTGCCCGGCCCCTGACTTCTTTTTTCTAAAGAGCAGAGACTGGCAAATACTCAATTTTATATTTTCTCAAATATCTTCCAACTTTGAAGAGGTGTTGGAACTCAAACTGTGTGTTGTTGAGTACTTATTATATTGGTATTCTAATTGTTAAGCATTTAAAAACATTATTTGGCTAGTAGTAATTTTTGTACTTGTCATCACCTACATAAACTGCTTCTTATTTCTTAGTTATTGCTGAGTCCCCTGCATTTATCTTTTCCTTTGGATTATCAAAATCATAGGTGTCAAAACCTTGGCATATCACTCTTAGGATGTTTTACATTCCTGTTTAAGATTTCACTTACAGTTTAAACAGAAGGTTTTGTTGTTAGTATTTTTGGTCTTGCTTGAGTCTATTCCCAAATTTACTTTACTCTTTAGATGATTAAGAATTACAGAATGGTCCGGGCATGGTGGCTTACACCCGTAATCCCAGCACTTCAGGAGGCTGAGGCAGGCAGATTTAAGCAGAAGTCTGGGCTCCTGCTTGAGTCCAGGAGTTTGTTCAACATGTCAAAACCCCATCTGTACAAAAAATACAAAAAATTAGCCAAGCATGGTGGCGCACACCTGTGGTCCCAGCTATGTGGGAGGTGGAGGTGGGAGCATCACCTGAGCCCGGGGAGGTTGAGGGTACAATGAGCCATGATTTTGCCACTGCACTCCAGCCTGGACGATAGAATAATTGGGCTAAATTTTTGAGGTTTTACCTTATAATGGAATATTTGGAGTCGGAGTAGCTATTTTCTTTTATTAATTTAAATATTCTTGTGCTTATATTAATAATTTTCCAGGGCCGAGTGCAGTGGCTCACACCTGTAATACCAGCAATTTGCGAGGCTGAGGTAGGAGGATTGCTTGAGGCCAGGAGTTCAAGACCAGCTTGGGCAACATGGTGAAACCCCACCTCTATAAAAAATACAAAAATTAGCCAGGTGTGGTGGTGCGTGCCTGTAGTTCCAGCTACTTGGGAGGCTCAGGTGGGAGGACTGCTTGAGCTGGGGAGGTCAAGGCTGCAGTGTGCCATGATCCTGCCACTGCGATCCAGCCTGGAGGACAGTGAGAACATGATGTCTTAAAAATAATAATAATAATTTCCTCAGGAAATCTAGTTAATTCAGTAATATTTATAGGGTAGGACATTTTCCTAGATAATAAAAATTTATTTGGCCTCTATTAATTGGGAGCTATTTGTTAATATATGTTGAGATACTTTGTTCAAATTTTACGGAGAATATTTAAACTACTTAAAGTGCCTTCCAAGTGCCTTTGTATATGTTAAAGTACTTATTTATTTTATGTTGTAGATAATTACTAAAATAGGTCATAGTTGATTTGTCATTTTTTTCTTTCTTTTCTTTCTTTCTTTCCTTTTTTTTTTTTTTTTTGAGATCGGATCTCTCTCTGTTGCCCAGGCTGGAGTGCAGTGGCATGATAGCGGCTCACTTCAGCTTCAAATTCCTGGGTTCAAGTGGTGCTCCCACCTCAGCCTCCCAAATAGCTGGAACTACAGGCACGTGCCACCACACCTGGCTAAGTTTTGTTGTTTGTTTTGGGACTTTTTCTGTAGGGACATGGTCTCCCTGTATTGCTTAGGCTGGTCTCAAACTCCTGGGCTCAAGTGATCCTTTCACTTCAGCCTCCCAAAGTGCTGGGACTGTAGACGTGAGCCACCGTACCCAGCCTGTTATTTTTTTCATTGTAAAGCTTAAAATTTAGAAAATCAGACAGACTGCCACAACTGTTAATTCTGTATTCTTAGCCAACTATCTCATAACCTGTTTCTCCTTTGAAAAAATCTAAAAAGACAAAGGAGTACAAGCCTTATTAGGTCATTAAGAAAACCCTTGGCACTTGCTTTTGAAGTGATGGTGGTGAAGGAAAGCAAAAAAAAAAAAAAAAAAAAAAAGAAAAGCAAGCTTTTGGGAAGATCTTAGATGGTTAAAAAAATAATTAAGATCTGTGGATGGCTCCACAGTATTAGTGTGAAGTAGGCACTTTTTAGTTTTAATAAACATCCAAAGTACTTTACTGGCTATGATTCAGGAAATGAATATACTACTGACTTTGCTTGTAAGTAAGTGAGTCGAAATATTTGTGTATTTGCTTCTAAAAAAAAAATCATCTAATGCAGAGATCAGCAAACTTTTTCTGTAAAGGATCAGATAGTAAATACTAATATTTTAGGCTTTGCATGCCATACTGTCTCTGCTGCACAAATTCATCTCTGCATTGTAGTGCAAAAGCAGCCAGAGATGGTACATTAACAGATGAGAGGGACTGTGTTCCAAAAAAACGTTTATTTAGAAAAACAGACAGTCGACAGTAATTTGCCGGAGTTTCAGTTTAAAAATATGCCATATATGGGAACTCTCTGTACTTTCTGCCCAGTTTTTCTGTAAATCCTAAAACTGCTTTAAAAAAATAATCTATCGAATTTTTTTTTAAACAGAGTCTCACTCTGTCACCCAGGCTGGAGCGTAGTGGCACGATCTCTGCTCACTGAAGCCTCCGCCTCCCGGGTTCAAGCAATTCTCCTGCCTCAGTCTCCCAAGTAGCTGGGACTACAGGTGTGCGCCACCACACCTGGCTAATTTTTGTGTTTTTTTAGTAAAGTCCGTGTTTCACCAAGTTGGCCAGGCTCGTCTCGTACTCCTGACCTCAAGTGATCTGCCCACCTCAACCTCCCGGATTACAGGTGTGAGCCACCAGGCCTGACCTGAAATTATTTAAAAATGTCACAGAGAATAAAAATAATTTAGAATGAAATGATGATCAAACTTCAAAGACATCTCTTGGTTTTTACTGAATAATAAATCTACTGGATGACTAAATATAACTATTGACTGTCATATATGCTTACAGATGGCTTCAAACCATTCTGTTTTATAGGGATCTTTTTAAAAACTTATTTTACTTGTTGATTAAAACAAAATTGTGACATTATTACATTTGATAACGTAAACACCTAGAGGACCTTTTTCAACATTTGGGGGAATTGTTGGAGAAATTGCTGATTTAAAGGATTTCTTTGGATGAACACAAAATAATTGGTGAAGAATTTTTAACAATGTTACTATTCTTCTATCACTGATATAGTAATTACTTTGAGTTTCCATCCTACAGTATTTATTTTTTCTCCTAGTCTATAAATATATCCTGGAATGTGCTCGTCACTGTCAGCTAAAGTATTTACAATCATTGACTGTAATATCCATGTCATTCATTTGACAACGCATTTGAACAATTAATTTAGACTAATGTGTTGTTGCAGCTGAATTAATTTTAATGGATTTTCTGGGGTTTTTAGTTTAAATATCACTATAACGTATCTTTACTTTTAACCTTCTTATTGTGAAATATAACACATAGAAAAATACATAAAACAGATATCCAGTTTAATAAATTATTATAAAGCAAACATCATTGGAACTACTATTGCAGGTCAAGAAGGTCGAAGAACAGAGCATTGTCAGCACCTCAGAATCCCCTTAAAAGCCCCTTTCCAACTATAACTCCTTCTGTTACCACTGGGGATAACCATAATCTTGATTTTTTATAGCGTCCGTTTCTTTACTTAGTAATTTATTTTTTATTGAGATGGAGTTTCACTCTTGTCACCCAGGCTGGAGTGCAATGGTGCATTCTTGGCTCACTGCAACCTCTGCCTCCCGGGTCCAAGTGATTCTTCTGCCTCAGCCTCCCAAGTAGCTGGGATTATAAGCATGCGCCACCATGCCCAGCTAATTTTTGTAGTTTTAGTAGAGGCAGGGTTTCACCATGTTGGCTAGGCTGGTCTCGAACTCCCAACCTCACGTGATCCGCCTGCGTTGGCCTTCCAAAGTGCTGGGATTACTGGCGTGAGCCCATATGCCCAGCCCATTTCTTTACTTTTTTTTTTTTTTTTTTTTTTTTACTCTGTTGCCCAGGCCAGAGGTGTCACCATGTTGGCCAGGCTGGTCTCCAACTCCTGACCTCAAGTGATCTGCCCACCTTGGCCTCCCAAAGTGTTGGGATTACAGGCAGGAGCCACTGTGCCCAGCCCATTTCTTTACTTCTTAATAGTTTTATCTCCTATGTGTGCAGCTCTAAACAATATAGTTAAATTTTGCCTGTTTTTAAGCTTTGCATTACTTTTAATAGCAAAACCGCAATTAGTTTTGCACCAACCTAATAAATAGAATAATACAGTAAAGACTGGTTATAGGCTGGGTGCAGTGGCTCACACCTGTAATCCCAGCACTTTGGGAGGCCGAGGCAGGTGGATCAGAAGGTTAGGAGATTGAGACCATCCTGGCTAACAGGTAGAACCTCCTCTCTACTAAAAATACAAAACAATTAGCCAGGTGTGGTGGTGGGTGCCTGTAGTCCCAGCTACTCGGAAGGCTGAGGCAGGAGAATGGCCTGAACCGGAGAGGCGCAGCTTGCAGTGAGCCGAGATTGCGCCACTGCAGTCCACCCTGGGCAACAGAGCGAGAGTCCGTCTCAAAAAAAAAAAAAAAAAAGCCTGGCTATAAAGATTCTAATATATGTGAATGTTAATGTATAAGTATAGTAGATACATAATTAGACATAAGTATTTGTGTTTCTGACTGCAAGAAATACTTTAGTCACCTAAAACATTTAATTTTATAGAAATAATATTTTGTTTTTCAGGTGAAACTTCCACCGATGATGGAAATCATAACTGCTGAGCAGCTGATGGAATATTTAGGTTAGTGTTGAAAAGTGGATTTTATATCTCTTTCAAAACAAAAGTTTTCAAAGCTAGTTGATTACCCAGTCTCACCTTTCTGAAGTGCTATTATATAATCTATTTTAAAATTATAGTTTTGAATCTGCTAATTAAAAATTTTTATCAGTATGTTACTGTTCTTAGATGGTATAGTCTTCTTTCTGACCAGCATTAAAATTCTGTAATACCCATAAGGAATCTAGGTAACGTCTAGAAAACAAGATACATCTTAATCCCAATAAATTGTAGAATGGGAGATGGTACAGAATCGCTGACATTGCATGTAGAAAGTGTTCAAAAATATTGGGTAGACTTGAATTAAAGACAAAGGAGGTGATTTAGAGCAGTGCTACCGAAAGTGTGATTCATGGACCTATGCCAATCTACAAAATGTTAGTTATCAGGCTACAGTGAGGTAGAATCTTCTCCTAGGATGTAAAATATTTACATTAGTAAGCACACTGTTTATTTCAACTGAAATTTTTTTATAGGGAAATTTTCTTGTTGAAGGAAGTAATGTATTAAATTGCATTCTTCTCTAAGCTTCTTATTTCAAAACAGACCAGTAGTACAGTTTGTAGACTGGCTACATTGAGTTGAACTTGTTTAGAGAGCAAGCAGTTGTACATCACATTGTGGCCTTTTATAATCTGACAAATAAGAATTTATATATTTATACTATCACCAAATAGGAAATCTTAATCCATATTCTACAGTTTTTTCAGTAATTAAATTTTTATTTAGGCCAGGTGTGGTGGCTCACGCCTGTAATCCCAGCACTTTGGGAGGTCAAGGCAGGCAGATCACTTGAGGTCAATAATTTGAGACCTGCCTGGCCAACATGGTGAAACCCTGTGTGTCTACTAAAAATACAAAAATTAGCCAGGCGTGGTGTCATGCACCTATAGTCCCAACTATTCGGGAGGCTGAGGTGGGAGAATTGCTTGAACTCAAGAGGTGGAGGTTACAGTGAGCCAAGATCATGCCACTGCACTCCAGCCTGGGTGATGGAGTGAGACTCCGTCTCAAAAACAAAAACATATTTTATTTTTAAAAAATCTTGTCAACTGGGGCCGGGCACGGTGGCTCACGCCTGTAATCCCAGCACTTTGGGAGGCCGAGGCGGGCCGATCACAAGGTCAGGAGATCAAGAACATCCTGGCTAACACGGTGAAACTCCGTCTCGACTAAAAAATACAAAAAATTAGCTGGGCATGGTGGCAGACGCCTGATGTCCCAGCTACTCGGGAGGCTGAGGCAGGAGAATGGTGTGAACCCAGGAGGCATAGCTTGCAGTGAGCCGAGATTGCACCACTGCACTCCAGCCTGGGCAACAGAGCGAGACTCCGTCTCAAAAACAAAAGAATCTTATCAACTGGTTAATTTGTCTCTACCCTTCCAGGCAACTAGTTCACTCATTTTTTGTGAGATACAGACTTAGTGATATAACTGAGACAGGAAATTTTAGAAGATTTTTTTTTTTTTCTTTTGAGACAGAGTCTTACTCTATTGCCCAGGCTGGAGTGCAGTGGCGTGATCATGACTTGCTGCAATCTCGACCTCCCTAGGCTCAGGTGATCCTCCCACCTCAGCCTCCCGAGTAACTGGGACTGCACGCACATGCTACCACACCCAGCTAATTTTTGGGTTTTTGGTTTGTTTTTGTTTTTTTTGTTTTTTGAGACAGAGTTTCACTCTTGTTTCTCAGGCTGGAGTGCAATGGCGTGATCTCAGCTCACCGCAACCTCCACCTCCTGGGTTCAAGTGATTCTCCTGCCTCAGCCTCCCGAGTAGCTGGGATTACAGGCATGCACCACCACACGTGGCTAATTTTGTATTTTTAGTAGAGATGGGGTTTCTCCATGTTGGTCAGGCTTGTCTTGAACTCCTGACCTCAGGTGATCCGCCCACCTGAGCCTCCCAAAGTGCTGGGATTGCAGGCGTGAGCCACCGTGCCTGGTTAAGTTTTATTTTTGTAGAGATTGGGTTTCACTGTGTTTCCCAGGCTTGTCTTGAACTCCTGGGCTCAAGCGATCCTCCCACCTTGGCCTCCCAAAGTGCTGGGATTACAGGCATGAGCCACTGCACCCGGCAGGAAGACCCTTTTTAGAAAATATAATTCATATCATTTAATCCCCATTCACTGGCTAGGGACCTCATAGTTAAGGGTAGATTACTCTGAATACCTAGATGTCTGCAAATCGCCTTAAAAAGAAAATCCCTCTTTTAGGCTAGCTTAGTGATTCTTTTTATTTTTATTATTATTTTAAGTTTTTTTTTCCCCATGGGACTCTACTTGATAAATGATTCTTAAAGTTAGTGATTCCTAAGTTATATTTTATGGGGAAGGCTGAAATATGCTGGGTGATTTTGAGGAATAGCCAATATGACTGTCAAGGAGTACACAAAGGGGAGTTGTAGGAGATGAGATCAGAGAGTTGATGCAGTCAGGTCATATGGGGCCCTAAAGATGTAACAGCAATTTTGGTTTTTGCCATGAGTAAGCTGGGAAGCTGTTGGAGGATTTTGAACAGAGGACTGACATGATCTAACTTTGGATTTAATAAGAATTCTCTAGCATTTATGTTGACAATAGACCTTAGTGGGGGGTAAGACAAGTGGGAAAACTATTTAGGAAGTTATTACAACTAGCAAAAGATGGTGGCTTTAAACAAGGTAAAATAAGTGAAGTTTGTAAGAAGTGGTTAGATACTGGATACAGAGTTGACAGAATTTGCTGATCAGTTGGATATAGAGTGAAAGTGGAGTCAAGGACTATCTCATTTTTGGTTTGAACAAGTAGAAGGATGGAAATAGGAAAACTGAAGCAGGAAAAAATGGAGCAAGGCTTTTAGGGAGAAATTGCAGGATTTTTGTTTTTAGATGTTTATTTACATCAAAATGGAGCGATCAGGCTGGGTGTGGTGGCTCACGCCTGTAATCTCAGCAGTTTGGGAGGCCGAGGCAGGCAGATCATGAGGTCAGGAGATCGAGACCATACTGGCTAACACGGTGAAACCCCATCTCCACTAAAAAATACAAAAAATTAGCTGGGAGTGGTGGCGGGCACGTGTAGTCCCAACTACTCGGGAGGCTGAGGCAGGAGAATGGCTTGAACCCAGGCGGCGGAGGTTGCAGTGAGCCGAGATCACGCCACTGCACTCCAGCCTGGACAACAGAGTGAGACTCCTTCTCAAAAAAAAAAAAAGGGAGCCATCAGGAAAGCAATTTTATATATATATATATATATATATATATATATATATATATATCTTGAGTTCAGAGGAGAGGTCTGGATCAGCACTTTCAATTAAAATTTCTGTAATGATAGAAATGTTCTGTATCTGTGCTGTCCAGGTTAGTAGCCACTAGCCACATGCGGTCCTCAAGCTCTTAAAATGTAGCTCCTGTCTTGAGCCCAGGAGTTTGAGGCCAGCCTGGGCAACATGGTGAGACCCCCATCTCCACTTAAAAATTCAAAAATTAGCCAGGCGTGATGGTGTGCACCTGTAGTCCCAGCTACTTGGGACGCTCAGGTGGGAGGATTGCTTGGGCCTGGGATCCAGAGGCTGCAGTGAGCCAAGATCACAAGACTGCACTCTACCCTGGGCAACAGGGCAAGACCCTGTCTCAAAATATGTGTGTGTGTGTGTGTGTGTGTGTGTGTGTGTGTGTGTATGTGTGTGTGTGTAATGTGACCAAGGAACTGAATTTTTAATTTTATATAATATAAATTAAATTTAATAGCCACATATTGCTACTGGCTACTGTATTAGACAGTACAAGTCTAGCCTGTAAATATATATTTACAGACAACATATATAAACAGTAGTTAGATTGGGTGAGATCATTAAGGGAAGGAATGTAGTAGATAAAAGAAAAGGTCAGTAGACCGAGTCTGGGATATGCCAGTGATTAGAAGGTGGGGAAGGAGAAAGAGCCGGCACGGTCAGCCAGGTAGAAGAAAAATAGGAGGCTGTGATTTCCTAGAATCGTAATGAAGAAATGTTTCAAGGAAGAGTGAGAGATGAGCTGAATCAAATGCTGCTAATAGCTCAGGCAGGAGGAATACTAAAAATTGACTGTTGATTTAGCCATAAGGAGGTCATTGATAACCTTGATGAGTGTATGGAATGAAAACCTGACTGGAAACAAGAAAAAACTGGAAACCCTCACACCTAGCCAGTAGAAATGTAAAATAATACAGCCACTTTGGAAAGCAGTTTGGCAATTCTTTAAAAAGTTAAACAGAATTACCGTATGACCATGAAATATCATTCCTAGGTATTTACCCAAGAGAAGTGAAAACGTATGTCCATACAGCTTGTATAAAAATGTTCAGGCCACACGCGGTGGCTTACGCCTGTAATCCCAGCATTTTGGGAGGCCAAGGCAGGTGGATCACAATGTCAAGAGTTTGAGACCAGCCTGGCCAACATGGTAAAACCCCGTCTCTACTAAGAACATAAAAATTAGCCGGGCGTGGTGGCACATGCCTGTAATTCCAGCTACTCGGGAGGATGAGGCAGAAGAATCGCTTGAACCCGGGAGGCGGACGTTGCAGTGAGCCGAGATCATGCGATTGCACTCCAGCCTGGGCGACAGAGCAAGACTCTGTCTCAGGGGGAAAAAAAGAAAAATGTTCAAAGCAGTATTATTCATAGTAGTCAAAAAATGGAAACAACCGAAATGTCTTATCAACTGATGAGCAGATAAATATAGATTTGTACAGTGGAATATTATTCAGCCATAAAAAGGTATGAAGTACGAATACATGCTATAACATGGATGAACCCTGAAACTTTTAAGTGAAAGAGGCAAAGTACAAAAGACCATATAGTGTATGATTCCATCTATATGAAACATCCATTAGCCAGGCTGGTGGTGCGTGCCTATGGTCCCAGCTACTTGGGAGGCTGAGGTGGGAGGATCACTTGAACCCAGGAGTTTGAGACTGCAATGAGCTATGACCATACCACTGCATTCCAGCCTGGGTGAGAGAGCAAGAACCTTATCTCTAAAAAATGAAAGTTTAAAAAAACCAGAATAGGCACATTTATAGAGACAGAAAGTAGATTAGTGGTTGCTTAGGGCTGGGGAAGAGATGGGGTGAAATGGGGGTTGACTGCTAATGGGTACAGGGTTTCTTTTAGGGAAGACCAAAATGTTCTAAAATTAGATCATGGGACTGGCACAGTGGCTCACGCCGTAATCCCAGCACTTTGGGTGCTTGAGGTGGGTGGTTCACTGGAGCTCAGGAGTTCAAGACCAGCCTGGGCAACATGGCAAAACCCCGTCTCTACTAAAAATACAAAAAATTAGTCGGGTGTGGTGGCACATGCCTGTAGTCCCAGCTACTTGGGAAACTGAGGAGGAGAATCGCTTGAACCCAGCAGTCGGAGGTTGCAGTGAGTGGAGATAACACCACTGCACTCCAGCCTGGGCGACAGTGAGAAACTGTCTCAAAAAATAAGTAAATAAATAAATAAATTTAAAAAATAAAATTAGATTATGATGATAGTTTCATAATCCTGTGAATATACAACAAAAAATAATTGAATTGTACATTTTAAGTGAGTAGCTTGTATCGTATGTGGATTATACCTCAAAGCCATTTTATAAAAGAGAAAACTAGAGAAAGGGAACTGCAAAAAATACTTTATACAAATAGAAAAATTAGCCTTAGATAGTTCATCCATGGTAATAGGAGGAAAGACAGACTGTATTACAAATAGGTGCAGGTAGGTGGGTGGATGTGGTTGCAGCGCGTCTCTTGAGTGCTTCTATTTTCTCAATGAAATAGGAAACAAAGTCATCAGCTGGGAGTGAGGATGAGGGGAGGAGTTGTTGAAAGTAAGAGGGAAGGTATAAAATAATTGGTTAGAGAAATGGGAGATTGAATGGATTAGAGAGCTGTGGTATGATTTTTGGGTGTTACCTTTGAGGTTAGTGAAACCAGCCAGCATGGTGTTATGTTTTCTCAGTCACGTTCAGCTGCACGAGTCCAGGCCTGAATAATGGGAGGCCAGGATTTAACCAGAGCTGGACTTTTGCCTGATGAGCGTGTTGACGAAAGAATCTAGGGTATGTTGCTCTACATGTTGCCAGTGGTGGGGCCAGGGTTGTGCGGTGGGGGAGGAGGGGAGGAATCTAAGGTATGAAGGTGTGTATAGAGAGTGATTATAATTATGGGCCATAGAATTTAAGCTGCGTAAAGAGGAAATGATGTAAGTGTGTTGAAGGAAAATGTAATGAGATTAATGGATTGTAGGTCTTGATTCCTGATAGAGCTGAGGAATTTTTGGTAATAATGAAACTGTATTACCATGGGAAATGAGTTTCTGAGATAAAGTAGAATAAAAGTTTTTTTTGGGGTGTGTGTGTGTGTGTGTGTGTGTGTGTGTGTGTGTGTTTTAAGAATAAAATATTTTTGTTGGAGAAGAGGTCAAGGAACAGACAGGCAGGGTATTGGAAGAGACATCTCCATACATATTGAAATTACCAAAAATTATGGGATTTTTGTTGGAGAAAGTGAGCTAAGAATAAAGGGGATTGGCCTGAAGGTCAGGAGATAACTGCAACAAGGTGGGTAGATAATGGGTAGAATTATCTGAGTTTTAAAACTGAGGAGTTTAGGGAGGAAGTGGGGAGAGAATGACAGGAGCAAGTGGATACCTATTCCACTTTGAGGTTCACTGGTAAAAGAAGTATGAGAGAGAACAGAACTATCACTTAAGAGAACTGCATTGTCGTCAAGACAGAGCCAAATACTCAGATAATAAGGTGAAGGGAACATTCAGAGGAGTTGAATACCTAGGGAATTTGCTAATGGCAGACTATGAGTTACAGAGAACACTGAAATTCAAGATAAGAATTTAGAAGTCATCAGTATAAAAATGGTATTTAAATCTGTGGAAGTTGGGCCGGGCGCAGTGGCTCACGGCTGTAATCTCAGTACTTTGGGAGGCCGAGGTGGGCTGATCACGAGGTCAGGAGATCGAGACCACGGTGAAACCCCGTCTCTACTAAAAATACAAAAAAATTAGCCGGGCGTGGTGGCGGGCGCCTGTAGTCCCAGCTGCTCGGGAGGCGGAGGCAGGAGAATAGCGTGAACCTGGGAGGCGGAGCTTGCAGTGTACCGAGATCGCGCTACTGCACTCCAGCCTGGGCACCAGAGCGAGACTCGTCTCCAAAAAATAAATAAATAAATAAATAAATCTGTGGAAGTTGATAAGATAATAGAGAAAAGAAGAGGGGTCCAAGATTCTCCCTTGAAGTTTCCCAGCATGCAGAGATTAGGTGGAGCAGTGTTTCAACTTTCTTTTCGTTATTGCCATTCTGAGGGGCCTTTATAGACACTTTTGTCCTAATGGCTCACTTCAGGACATTTTAATACTGTAGATATATAGTATGTGTTATTTTGTTTTGTTTTGTTTTTTGAGACGGAGTCTTGCTCTGTTGCCCAGGCTGGAGTGCAGTGGCGCGATCTCAGCTCACTGCAAGCTCCACCTTCGGGTTCACGCCGTTCTCCTGCCTCAGCCTCCTGAGTAGCTGGGACTACAGGCGCCTGCCACCACGCCCAGCTAATTTTTTGTATTTTTAGTAGAGACAGGGTTTCACCGTGTTAGCCAGGATGGTCTCGATCTCCTGACCTCGTGATCCACCCGTCTCGGCCTCCCAAAGTGCCGGGATTACAGGCGTGAGCCACTGCGCCCAGCCTATCGTATGTGTTTTTTTGTACTGTGGCCCTTTGAAGGCTATAAACCATTATAGTGTCTAAGTTTTTTTTTTCTTTTTTTTGGCCACCCTCCCTCCTGCACCAAGAACCAGTTTTTGCCCCTTTTAAGTGCAACATTACCTCTGCTAAAATGCATGAAGTAGAGGACAGAGAAATAGTGAAGAAGTAGCTGGTAAGATAGGAGAAAGGCCAGTACAGAGTGGTAGAATGAAGTCAAGAGAGGGTGAAGATTGTTAGAAGAAAGGAGAAAGGGTATTGAATACTGGAGAATACTCTCTTTATGACTTGGCAGTGTGGTTATTGTGACCTTCATCAAACCGTGTCACTGCAGTGATGAGATGGAAATGGAGTGGTGAGTTGAAGAGTATCTGGGAGGCAAGGAAATGGAGCCTCAAGGGCAGAAAACTTTTGAGAAGTTTGGGTACAAATGGGTATGGGAAGTGGGTAAGGAGTAGGAAAAGGCTTAATGGAGAACATGTGACTTGTATCCGGCTTTGAAGCATAGTTAGAATCTATGCTGTTGTAAAGAATAGGAAAGGTTGTTTGAGGGTTAGTTGGAAACTATCTTAAGCTCAAGCTAGAGGTGGAAATATGTAAGGCATATTGAAGGAACAGTGTATGTGTCTAATTTGACTATAGTTGGTAAATCTGCATGTTGTATAGTTAGAGAAATAGAGATTGGATTAAGTAGATTGTGGCAAGACAGTCTTGTGAGCCAGGCAGGAAGTTTGAATTTACTGTAATAGGATGCTTAATCTATTTTAGTTTCCTAAATGGGATAATAACAAGTTAAATGTAGTTTCATTTTGTTTTGTTTTTTGAAACTGGGTCTCTCTCTGTTGCCCAAGCTGGAGTGCAGTGGCACGATCTTGCTCACTGCAACCTCTGCCTCCCAGGTTCAAGCAATTCTCTTGCCTCAGCCTCCTGAGTAGCTGGGATTATAGGCACCGCCACCATGCCCAGCTAATTTTTGTATTTTTCGTAGAGATGGGGTTTCCCCATGTTGGCCGGGCTGGTCTTGAATTCCTGACCTCAAGTGATCCACCTGCCTTGGCCTCCGGAAGTGCTGGGATTATAGGCATTAGCCACTGCACCTGGCCATTTATATATAACTATATATAATTTAAGTAATGAGTTACATGTATTTCTGACCCTGTTTCCTATCCAGCTCTTCCATATCCATCCACTCTCCACCCTACTTTCCTTGTTCTCAGATGGAATTGTGTAAGGCAGATTGAGTCAAATTGGACTCATTTACTATTCTTTCTTAGATCATTGCCATATATCACCTAAACCTGCACTGAAGAATATAGTAGCCACTAGGTACATGTGGTTATTGAGTCCTTGAAATGTGGCCAGTGTGAATTGAGATGTTCTGTAAATGTAAAATATACACTGGATTTCAAAGATTTGGTTAAAAAAGAATATCAGTAATTTAAAAATATTGATTGTTGAAATGTTCATGTACTAAGTTAAATAAAATATATTATTAAGATTAATTTTGCCAGGTGTGATGGCTCATGCCTTTTATCCCAGCACTTCGCGAGACTGAGGCAGGCAGATCACTTGAGCTCAGGAGTTCAAGACCAGGCTGGGCAACATGGCAAAACCCTATCTTTACAAAAAATTTAAAAAATTAGCCATGTGTGATGATGCTTACCAGTAGTCCCTGCTGCTCAGGAGGTTAAGGCAGCAGGATCACTTGAGCCTGGAAGTTCAAGGCTGCAGTGAGCCATGTTTGTGCCACTGTACTCCAGCCTGGGTGACAAAGTGAGACCCTATCTCAAACAAACAAACAAAAAAGATTAATTTTACCTGTTTATTTTGACCTTTATTAATGTGGCTGCTAGAAAATTTAAAATTACATTTGAGCTCAAATTCGTGGCTTGCATTATATTTCAACTGGACAGTGTTAAACTGTGCTGCCACTCCATAGCTCTTATCTTCATTCTGGCTCTACTTTCTGTGCTATAACAAGTTGATACCATTTACCTAACCTCTTCCCTGCTCGTTATCACTAGCACTCTACTTGACTTTGTCTGCATACCTTCTGAGACAAAATGAGCTCTTTTGCCATGAGTTCTGCAAATGAAGAGATACAGTTGTGGTGGCAGAGAACCGATGAGCAGAGCCATAAGTGCAGAAGTACTAATAGTACAAAGGATGAGATTGGTGCAAAAATAAAGCCATCACAAAATTGTAATGCCTCTGTTTTACAGAAGAGGAAACCAATGTTCAGAGGGGTTAATGTGCTGTCTCCATCTGGGCACCTTCTATGATTTAAAGTATGCTGAAAAGCTCATATGCTCAAAAATACATCCCTCTTACACCTCTACAATCCCAAAGTGTTTTTGATGTAATATTTGAAAGTTCCTCTACTTGTGTTTTTCTTTCTTTTCTTTTTTTCTTCCCGAGATGGAGTCTTGCTCTTTCGCCCAGGCTGGAGTATAATGGTGCGATCTTGGCTCATTGCAACCTCCGCTTCCAAAGCTCAAGCAATTCTCCTGCCTCAGCTACCCGAGCAGCTGGGATTACAGGCGCCCGCCACCATGCCCAGCTAATTTTTGTATTTTTTTTTTTTTTTAGTAGAGATGGGATTTGTCTATGTTGGCCAGGCTGATCTCGAACTCCTGACCTCGTGATCCACCCACCTTACACTCTCAAAGTGCTGGGACTACAGGCGTGAGCCACCACACCCAGACCTTTTCTTGCCTTTTTTAATGCAGTAAAAAAAAATTTTTTTTTTTTTTGAGACAGAGTTTCACTCTTGTCACCCAGCCTATAGTGCAATGGCACAATCTTGGCTCACTGCAACCTCTGCCTCCTGGGTTCAAGCGATTATCTCACCTCAGACTCCCAAGTAGCTGGGATTACAAGCGCCTGCCACCACACCCAGCTAATTTTTGTATTTTTAGTAGAGATGGGGTTTCATCATCTTGGCCAGGCTGGATTCAAACTCCTGACTTCAGGTGATCCGCCCGCCTTGGCCTCCCAAAGTGCTGGGATTACAGACGTCAGCCACCACGCCCAGCAATCCAGTAAATATTCACTGAGCATGTATTGTGAGCTAGTTATTTGGAGGTGTCAACATGTAGTTAGTGGGGCTGTGTAAGTATACTCTAACCACGAAAATGTCAGCATGGGATTTTTCTTGGAAAGAGTAATAAAAAGTTAACACATCTTGGTATGTTAAATTTATCTAACTCTTAGCTAGCAAAGCCCTGAGGAAGCAGAACATAGGACAGATAATTTTAATAAGGAAAAGGAAAAATTAGGAAATAGCTAGACCTGGTGTAGCTAAAGAGGTTTGGGAATCACTGGTGAGAGGACTTAGCTACTAGGGACATGTAAAAGTAATATTTTGATGGGAGGTGGGGGAGAAGTGAACAAGAATGATGTAGGCAAAGAAATTCTGAAGGCTCTGCCTCACCAAAAGTAAACTTTATTCAGGGCCAGTCGTGCCAGAACAAATGTTCAATTTTCTAAGCTATTTAGATGTTCTGTTGAGATTACTCCATTTCTCTGGAGAAAAAAGAGATGTTTTTGAGTTAAAAAGCAAACACGGCTGGGCGCGGTGGCTCACGCCTGTAATCCCAGCACTTTGGGAGGCCGAGGCAGGCGGATCACGAGGTCGGGAGATCGAGACCATCCTGGCTAACACAGTGAAACCCTGTCTTTACTAAAAATACAAAAAATTAGCCAGGCGTGGTGGCGGGTGCCTGTAGTCCCAGCTACTTGGGAGGCTGAGGCTGAGGCTGAGGCAGGAGAATGGCATGAACCCGGGAGGCGGAGCTTGCAGTGAGCCGAGATGGCACCACTGCACTCCAGCCTGGGCGACAGAGCGAGACTCCATCTCAAAAAAAAAAAAAAAAGCAAACACTAGTAGAGGGATTGTAAGAGAAACCACTAATTGCTTTCCTAATACCTAGCTGAAGTACCCCAAGGAAATGGGAATTTTGATTGGCAAAGGTTAGAGGAGAAGAAGTGAATTTCAATCTGGAAATTTCTGTCACTAGAATATGAGAGCAGAGCCAGACATGGACATGGCTTTTTGAAGGGCTTTGGCATAGAGAAAGAAACACGATACCTAGGAAGTGTTAGGAAGTGTAATAAAGTAAGGTGTGGAAGAGATGTAGGGAGAAGGCAGGAAATGGGCAGGAATATGAAACTCAACATAAACTGGAATGTATATTGTGACTTCAGCCATCTAAAATTGTTAGTATGATGATGAGACTGGCGGGGGCGCATAGTTAAGAAAAATAATAGAGATGGTGGCATTGTCTTACTTTTAAAAAATTATTTTATCTTTTGAATATAAATACGCTATAAAGCGAGGTCAATGTTGAAGCATTTTAATTTCGCCCAGAGTTGCCTGTATTTCCTTTTTTCCAAATGTTCACCTGGTATAAGCTAACTTATGCCAAGCCCTCTCTTCCATTTTTTTGGCCTAAAGTAGCTATCAAATTTTGGTTTCTTGTTTTCTGTTTATTTAGAATATCCCATTAGTAGCAAGGTTTTCTTAATTCTTTCCTTGAAATTTTTTCTCTTTCTGTATGCTCATATTTCACAACCTGATTTACCTGCAAACTGTATCATTCTTTGTCCCTAAATTAGCCTACATATCAGTGTACTTTTCCTAAAGCATCAATTTCATTCTTCACTCCTCTACTTAAAAGTATAAAGATCCCTGTGATCTTTTATAGTCAGCCAAACTTATCAGCATATTATTTAGGATTTTCTAAAATCTGTTCAAGTTTACTCATTCAACCATGTTTGCCACTACTTTACAATATAAATCTTTTGTATTAACTCTTTGTATAAGCTGTTCGTGTGACATGATCTTTCTTATATGTGCTTTCTCCATTCATTCTTCCCCTCAAAAGATGCTTTTTCTCCCATTGCCATTCCAAGTTTTGCTCATTTTTCTGCATCCAGTTTAGCTTTTTTTTTTTTTTGAAACGATTAGCCAGGTGTGGTGGTGCGTGTCTTTAGTCCCAGCTACTCAGGAAGCTGAGGTGGGAGGATCACCTGAGTCTAGGGAGGTTGAGGTTGCAGCAAGTCGTGATCACGCCACTGCACTCCAGCCTGGGCAACAGAGTAAGACTCTGTCTCAAAAAAAAAAAAAAAAAAAGTCTTCTAAAATGTGCCATCTCAGTTACATCACTAAGTCTAGCTCTCACAAAAAATCAGTTAACTAGTTGTCTGGAAGGGTAGAGACAGATTAACCAGTTGACAAGATTTTTTAAAAATAAAATTTGTTTTTGTTTTTGAGACAGAGTCTCGCTGCATCACCCAGGCTGGAGTACAGTGGCGTGATCTTGGCTCACTGCAACCTCCACCTCCTGGGTTGAAGCAATTCTCCTGCCTCAGCCTCCTGAGTAGTTGGGACTACAGGTGCATGCCACTACGCCTGGCTAATTTTTGTATTTTTACTAGAAACAGGATTTCACCATGTTGGCCAGGCTGGTCTTAAACTCCTAACCTCAGGTGATCCACCCTCCTCGGCCTCCCAATGTGCTGGGATTATAGGCATGAGCCATCATGCCCAGCCCAGTTTAGCTTTTACAGTTCAATAAGAAAAGATAGGCCAGGAACGGTGGCTCATGCCTGTGATCCCAACACTTTGGGAGGCTGCAACATGGCAAGACCCCATCTCTTAAAAAAAAAAAAAAAAAAAAAAAAAAAAAGATGATAATTATATAGGTAGAAAATTCAAAGAAAAAAGTATGTACATACAGTTAATACATAATTTGAAAGATAATACGTAGATTTAAAAGTATTAAAATTGTGATCCATATTTTTAAAAGGTACTACATATATTTAAAAGTTGCCACATATACCAAAAGGTTATACATATATTTAAAAGGTGATACCAAATAAAAACTCGTATATAAAAATACCATCTTTTTAAATGAAAAGAAAAGAAATTTTTTTTGAGGCAGAGTCTCACTTTGTTGCCCAGGCTGGAGTGCAGTGGCGCGATCTCGGCTCACTGCAGCCTCCACCTCCCAGGTTCAAGCGATTCTTCTGCCTCAGCCTCCCAAGTAGCTGGGATTACAGGCACCCGCCACCATGCCCGGCTAATTTTTGTATTTTTAGTAGAGTTGGCCAGGCTGAACTCCTGACCTCAGATGATCCACCCACCTCAGCCTCCCAAAGTGCTGGGATCACAGGCGTGAGCCACCAAACCCAGCCAGATGCCAAACTTCTTTTTTTTACTTCTCAGTGTTGCAGACATTTAGAAGACTGATAATACCCATTGTTGGTGAGGTAATCAGAAATAGTTATATTGTTGACAGCAGTGAAATTTGTTATAACCTTTGGGACCTTTATACATAATAACATGGAATGATGCTGAAATATAAAATGGAAGTAAAAAGTTCAAAGCACTATAGTATATACATTGAAAAAATATTTGACGTGATAGGAAAAGTTAACATTGATTTTCTCTGGGTAGGATTGGGGAGTCAATTTTATATGTCAACTATAGCTACAGTGTTTTAACATTTATAATTAAGATCTATTACTTTTGTAATCAGAAAAACAAGTTTTTAAAAGGCAATTTTACAATTCTTTTTTTTTTTTTACAGGAGATTACATGCTTGATGCAAAGCCAAAAGAAATTTCAGAAATTCAACGTTTAAATTATGAACAGGTAATAAACAGTTTTTGTTAAAGTATATAATTTTAAAGTTTAAATATATACATTGGTTTCTATTAGTAGCTGGCAGCATTTTTCTATAAAGGATTAGATAGTAAACACTTTAGACTTTGCAAGCCACATGTGGTCAGTCTCTATTACATATTCTTTGTTTTCTTTTTTTATGCCTCTTTAAAAATATGAAATCCATTTTTAGCTCACAGCCAGATTTTTCCTTTTTTTCTCATTTTTTTCTCAGTATTTTTCCTTTTTTTTCTCATTCCATGAGAGATCAAACCTAGTGTTTTTCTTGAAAAATTGACTTCCAGGTCAATTTGTCATTGATGTATCTGTCCTCATTTTATTTATATTTTACAATTAAGTTATGTTCAGGAGAAAGTTGAACAAATGATGTATATGGTATGTCATTAGGACAAGTTTTGCTATTTGATAGTTTCAGTATCCACATTTCTTGGCATGTTCTTTAGAGATCCTGTTCTGCAATGTAGGAGGTATCACTAGGCTTAAAATTATTGGTGCTGGAAAAAAGCAAGCGGAGCTTCATTTTCTTCAGTATTCTTCCTTTACTTGGTAATAGAAGGCAAGAAGGAATTGGCTTCTTAGAGTGGAAGGAAGTATTAGCCAGGGAAGAAAGAGACATCGTTGGAACCTTCATATTTACTTTCAAAGCAACCTTTTTTAACATACTTTCACCAGTATCAAATTTGCAAAAAGAAAGCATAACTCATTTGTCTTGCAAAATTTCTTGAATTTAATGTTCAGATAATCTAGTCTTAATAAAATTTGAAAAATCAACAAGTTGGCTGGGCGTGGTGGCTCAAGCCTGTAATCCCAGCACTTTGGGAGGCCGAGGTGGGCAGATCACGAAGTCAGGAGATGGAGACCATCCTTGTCAACATGGTGAAACCCCATTTCTACTAAAAATACAAAAAAAATTAGCTGGGCATGGTGATGCGCGCCTGTAGTCCCAGCTAGTCGTGAGGCTGAGGCAGGAGAATCACTTGATCCCAGGAGGCGGAAGTTGCAGTGAGCTGGAATCGCGCCACTATGATCCAGGCTGGTGACAGAGCAAGACTCTGTCTCATAAAAAAAAAAAAAAAGAAGAAGAATCAACAACTTACATTGCATTATATCATAAGATAGGAAATCTAGGCCAGATGCGGTGACTCCTGCCTATAATCCCAGCACTTTGGGAGGCCAAGGTGGATGGGTCACTTGAGGCCAGGAGTTCGAGACCAGCTGTTCAACATGGAAAAACCCCACCTCTACTAAAAATACAAAAATTGGCCGAGTGTAATAGCATGTACCTGTAGTCCCAGCTATTCAGGAGGTTGAGGCATGAGAATTGCTTGAACCAGGGAGGCGGAGGTTGCAGTGAGCCGAGATTGCGTCACTACACTCCGTCCTGGGCAGCAGAGGGAGACTCTGCCTCAAAAAATAAGAGGCCGGGCGTGGTGGCTCACGCCTGTAATTCCAGCACTTTGGTAGGCCAAGGCAGGCGGATCACGAGGTCAGGAGATTGAGACCATCCTGGCTAACATGGTGAAACCCCAGCTCTACTGAAAAAAAAAAAAAAAAAAAAAAAATACAAAAAATTAGCCAGGCGTGGTGGCAGGCGCCTGTAAGTCCTAGCTACTCTGGAGGCTGAGGCAGGAGAATGGCGTGAACCTGGGAGGCAGAGCTTGGAGTGAGCCGAGATCGCGCCACTGCACTCCAGCCGGGGCGACAAAAAAAAAAGGAGGAGGAGGAGAAGGAAAAGAAAGGAAATCTGTAGCTAAAGCCAGATTTGTATTCTAAGTGATTTAAATTTTATCAGGGGAATTTGTATCTTAAAACAGTGATATTTAAACATTTTTAGCAATAGAAACCTCTTTTCAAATGAAATCTCATCCCAGCTTCCAATATATAAAACCAGTACATGATAAGTATAAAGTGATAAAGTTTAATTTATATCATGTATTTATGAAATTTATATCATTTCTTACTGAAATCATGAAGCTATTTTTATTAAAAACTTAAAATTAGGGACTGCGGATGATAGCTGCAGTCTGATGTCAACCTCCAAATTCATTTTACTTTCGTTGCCTAATCCTGAGAAAATCTTGATTGAAATGAGAAAATCTTAATTTTCGTGTTTGCAAGCACCAGGCGTGGTGGCTCATGCCTGTAATCCCAGCACTTTGGGAGGCCAAAGCAGGCGGATTGCTTGAGCCCAGTAGTGAGACCAGCCTGGGCAACATGGCAAAACCCTGTCTCTACAAAAAATACAAAACGTTTGCCAGGCATGGTGGCACACGCCTATAGTCCCAGCTACTTGGGAGGCTGAGGTCAGAGGATCGCTTGAGCCCAGGAGGCAGAGGTTGCTGTGAGCCAAATCACACCACTGCATTCCAGCCTGGACAACAGAGTGAGACCCTGTTACAAAAAAAAAAAAGAAAAGAAAAGAAAAGAAAACTGTTTGCAGCCAGTTACAGTGGTTCACAGCTGTAATTCCAGGTACTCAGGAGACTGAGGCAGGAGGATTACTTGAGCCTAGGAGTTCAAGACCAATCCGGGTGTGATATAGTAAGACTCCATCTCAAAAAATTAGGAAAGAAAGAAAAATAAAAATGCTTGCAAATGTTATCAGCATTTGGTTTAAGTCCATCTTGCATTGGAATACACTCCCATTACACTGATCAGGATTCTTGAAGGGAATTTGGAATATTGGCTCAAAGTTGAAACAAAGGATATCTAACAACTGCTTGCATTTCTCATAAACATATCAGGCAAAAAGTACCCTGCTTTTAAAATAAACAATGAAACTATAAGGTGTTATTATTACATTACTGTTTTGAAAATAGTGTATGTCAAGCTTATATGGCTGGGCTGAGTCTAAGCTAATGTGTAATGTTCCACAAGTGTGATGTAATAGTGTTCTTTTTTGTGTAATTTTACGTGAACAGATGTCTTCAAACCTAATTTTAGAAAGACCAACACAGAGCTGCAATATTCCCATTTAAAACTCTTTACCAGAAGTTGTAATGTAAGCAAAGAGCCTATTTTTTCCAGTTTTGTCTAATAGTGTACTGACAGCACAAGAAAACATGATGTGTGTATTCATAACAAATTTTTAATGAGTGCAAATATATTCTTAAAATATATTTTGTATTTAAATTTAAAATATTTGACCATGTTAAAAGTTCATTTGAAAAGAGTTCTAAGAAACAGTTTAACCATTGCCTTAAAGGATCCACTAGTACTCCCTTCTTGTGAGGTAAGCAACCATAGCTCACATTTATATTTTGTAATATTAAGTATAATTTGGAATTAGGAACAAAGTGGCAAAATACTTACCCAAGAGTTTAAAACCCTTTTAAAATAAGTTTGTTTGGTTTATCAGTTGTTGTTTTTTATTAAGACAGAGTCTCGGCTGGGCACAGTGGCACATGCCTGTAATCCCAGCACTTTGGGAGGCTGAGGCGGGGGGATCACAAGGTCTGGAGATCGAGACCATGCTGGCTAACACAGTGAAACCCCATCTCTACTAAAAATACAAAAAATTAGCTGGGCGTGGTGGCACGTACTGTGGTCCCAGCTACTCGAGAGGCTGAGGCAGATGGAACCCTTGAACCCAGGAGGTGGAGGTTGCAGTGAGCCGAGATCACGCCACTGCACTCCAGCCCGGGCGACAGAGCGAGACTCCGTCTCAAAAAAACAACAAAAGAAAAGACAAAGTCTCCCTCTGTTGTACAGGCTGGAGTGTAGTGGCATGATCTCAGCTCAGTACAACTTCCGCCTTTCAGGTTCAAGAGATTCTCATGCCTCAGCCTCCCAATTAGCTGGGATTACAGGCATGTGCCACCACTCCTGGCTAATTTTTTTATTTTTAGTAGAGATGGCATTTCACCATGTTGGCCATGCTGGTCTCGAACTCCTGGCCTCAAGTGATCCACCTGTCTGGCATTACAGGCGTGAGTCAACGTGCCAACTTTTTTTTTTTTTTTTTTTTTGAGACAGGGTCTCACTCTGTCACTTTGTCTGGTTTGCCGTGGTGCTATCGTGGCTCACTGCAGCCTCAAACTCCTGGGCTCAAGTGATCTGCTCACTTCAGCCTCCCAAAGTGCTGGGATTACAGTCATGAGCCACTGTTAACTGGCCTCTTTTAACCGTTTTATTAATCTTTATGAAGATATCAAATGGTGTTAACTTAGTTGTTTTAATATTAAATAATGGGGAATAATTGTAGCAAATATATGAAGGTATAAGCATGAGCCCAGAGCCATTAGAAATCATATTGCCCCTAAAGGAAGTTGGGTGGTTGACAAACAAGAATTTACAAAAATAGAGGAAAATCTGGTGGTTGTAAAACTATAATTCTTAGATTGCTCACTGTTGTTACTATTTTTTCAGATTCATCATTGCTGTAGATTTAAGAAAAGTTCTAAAACACTTAAGGGAAAAAATGTAAGCTGGTTGTTTTTAAGCGTTTAATTTTTGGGAAGGTTGAGAAAATATGTTGTTTGGGGGGAACAGTAGAAGAGATGAAACTGACAAAGGTCAAAGACTGCAGTATAACAATGTTATCCTATTATAAATGCATCATTCATTAATTTAAAACATTTGAATGATTTCTGTTTACAGTCTGTACAGTCTGTTAGAATGGAATTTTATGAATTATTTCATAAAACAGAACTTCATTTTTGTAACCTAAATTTGTCTTTTTCAAATTTCAAAGAGAATCCGTAGTTTTAATGTAAGATTTCCTTCATTTTCACCCTTTTTATTATCAAACCCCTCTACAAACTATAGTCTACTGTTCTTATTTTGTGTCTTTAGTATCTTGTACAGTGTCTGATTAGCAGTAGGGATTCAGTAAAAGTGTGTTAAATTTTATGTATTGGTTTTTCTTTATTCTTTCAAATGTATTCTCTATACATATGTCCATACTTAATGTGTTAACGTGCTTAGAAAAGCATTTTAAAATAGTCTTTTTTTTTTTTTTTTTTTTGAGACCGAGTCTTGCTCTGTCGCCCAGGCTGGAGTGCAGTGGCGCGATCTCCACTCACTGCAAGCTCCGCCTCCCGGGTTTACGCCATTCTGCTGCCTCAGCCTCCCGAGTAGCTGAGAGAGACTACAGGCGCCCGCCATCATGCCTGGCTAAAAGTTTTTTGTATTTTTTAGTAGAGACGGGGTTTCACCGTGTTAGCCAGGATGGTCTCGATCTCCTGACCTTGTGATCCGCCCGCCTCGGCCTCCCAAAGTGCTGGGATTACAGGCGTGAGCCATTGCGCCCGGCCTAAAATAGTCTTTATTCCAGATGTATATGACTACATTTATTGAGAAAACTGATGTGGACAAAATGACTCCTTAATCTGACAAACAAGTCTTTGTGATCCAGCCTCTGCCTGTCTCTTAGACTTTATCTCCTACAACTTTTCACTTTTATTTTGTCCCAGCCGCACTGGGCCCCATGCTATTCCATGGACACAGTAATAAACTCGTTTTTGCACTGGCATCTACTTTGGAATGCTCTTTGCCCAGAGCTTCCTAACATTTAGTGCTCCCTGTAGTCTCTATTCTAGTGTCATTTTCAAGGAGGCCTGTCTCCCTCACCTCCCTCTCCTTCTTTCCTCTCCCATTTACACTCCCCACTCCCCTCCCTCCCTCTCTCCCTCACTCCCTTCCTTCCATCCTTCCTTCCTTTTCAGTGCATTCACTGCAAAATTAAGTATGGAAAGTCCTGAGGCTTTCTATATACCTCCTGTTCCTCCTAACCCCATACACACAGCTTCCCCCACTGTCAACATCCCGCATCAGAGTGGTTCATTTATTATTGATAAACTGGCAATGCCACATCATTATCACCCAGAGTCTATAATTTACTCTTTCTTGGTTCTGTATATTCTGTGGATTTTGAAAAATGTATAATGTCACGTATCTACCATTACAGTATCATACAGAATAGTTTCACTGTCCTAAAAGTTCTCTGTACTCTGCCTGTTCATTCCTCCCTTCCCTTAATCCTTGGCAACCACTGATCTTTTTTACTGTCTCTGTAGTCTTGCCCTTTCCAGAATGTCATTTGGAATTATACAGTATGTAGCCTTTTCATATTAGCTTGTTTTCTTTACTACTACGCATTTAAGTTTCCTCTGTGTCTTTTCATGGCTTGATAGCTCATCTCTATTTTTTTTAATTGTGTTAAAAACCACATATTATAAAATATATGGTTTTTTTGTTTTTGTTTTTGTTTTTTTGAGACAGAGTCTCGCCCTGTCGCCCAGGCTGGAGTGCAGTGGCACAATCTTGGCTCACTGCAAGCTCTGCCTGCTGGGTTCATGCCATTCTCCTGCCTCAGCCTCCCGAGTAGCTGGGACTACAGGTGCCCACCACCATGCCCGACTAATTTTTTGTATTTTTAGTAGAGATGGGGTTTCACCCTGTTAGCCAAGATGGTCTTGATCTCCTGACCTCGTGATCCACCCGCCTCAGCCTCCCAAAGTGCTGGGATTACAGGTGGGAGCCACCGTGCCCAGCCACTTTTTCATCTTTAAAACTGAAACTTGCCAGGCATGGTGGCTTATGTCTGTAATCCCAATACGTTGAGAGGCTGAGGCGGAGAATCACTTGAGCTCAGAAATTCAGGACCAGCCTGGGTAACATAGTGAGACCCCGTCTCTACAAAATATCAAAAACATTAGCTGGGCATGTTAGCATATACCTGTAGCCCCAGCTACATGGGAGACTGAGATGGGAGGATCACTTGAGCCCAGGAGTTTGAGGCTGTGGTGAGCCATGATCATACCACTGCACTCTAGCCTGGGCAACAGAGTGAGACCCTATATTCATCAAACAACCCCCCTTTTCCACTTCCCCCAGTCCCCTGGAAACAACCATTCTGCTTTCTGTTTTTATGATTTTGATGACTCTAAATATCTCATATAAGTAGAATCATACAGTATTTTTACTTTTGTGACTGGCTTATTTCACTCAGCATGATGTCCTCAAGGTTCATCTGGTTGTAGCATCTGACAGGATTTCTTTCTTTTTTTTAAGGCTGAATAATATTCCATTGTATGTATATATCTCATTTTCTTTATTCATTTGTCAGTTGTAACTAAGAATAGATAAAGAATTATGAATAATGTTGCAATGAGCGTGGGTGTACAACTATCTCTTCAAGATCCTACTTTCAGTTATTTTAGATTCACCAGTAGGAGAGGCCTTCTTCCTCTTTGACTTGAAAAACATTTGACTTTGGACTTTGTGGTCTAAAATAGGTCCTTCATTTCTATTACTCTCTACAACTCCATCTTGTTCAGTTTTTCTTGCTAATACTTGACATTGTTTTATATATATACATGTTTATCTCTCCCAATAGAATGTTAGTTGCATAAGAGCATGGACTTTGTCTTGTTTTGTTTCGTTTTTTGAGACAGAGTCTCGCTCTGTTGACCAGGCTGGAATGCAGTGGCAGAATCTCAGCTCACTGCAACCTACACCTACTGGGTTCAAGTGATCCTCCCACCTCAGCCTCCCAAGTAGCTGGGACTACAGGCGCATGCCACCATGCCCAGCTAATTTTTGTATTTTCAGAGACAGGGTTTCACCATGTTGGCCAGGCTGGTCTCAAACTCCTGACCTCAAGTGATCCGCCCACCTCAGTGTCTGTTTTATTCATTGTTGTATCTTTCAAACTCCAACTAGCTTCTGACACATAGTAGATACTCAATAATAAAAATATGTTGAATTGAATTTATTGGATAAAATGGAAAATTAAAAGTAAATGTGCTTGTACTTGAATATCTTTTTTGTTCTCGTTTTGATGTTTCTGAATTAGAACTTTCCCCTTTTCTATTTTCAGAATATGAGTGATGCCATGGCAATTTTGCACAAACTACAGACAGGCCTGGATGTAAATGTAAGATTCACTGGTGTTCGAGTGTTTGAATATACACCAGAATGCATAGTATTTGATCTTCTTGATATTCCTTTGTACCATGGGTGGTTAGTAGACCCTCAGGTAAGTCGAAGAATTTAAATTATGTAAACACAAATACAGGAAAAATGTATTAATTTGGCAAATTAATCTCAATTTATATTTTTTGTTACTTACTTTTTTTGTACTTTTGCCTGGAATTAGCCAAACTATGAGGTTAAGAACAGAGTCCTCCAGACTACTAAGTCTGCCCAAGGCTTCTGACCCCAACTCTAAGGAGCTAGGGCCCAACTACAAGGTTAGAGGGAAGAGCTCATAGAAGACCACCCGTACTTCTCACACCAATCACAAGTTCAGAGGTTTCCCAAAACTACCCTCAGGTTCAGTAATTCACCAGAGTGACTAACAGGACTCCCTGAAACCTATTATACTCACCATTACAGTTCATTACAGGGCAAAGATACAGGTTAATATTAGCAAAGGAAAGAGACACATACGGCAGAATCTAGGAGGGTTCCAACTGTGAAGCTTCCCCTGGATCCTCAGGACATCATACCCTCCTGGAACTGATGTATGAAAATATGCATGGAGTGCTGCCAATCCTGGAAGTTCACCCCACCTTCAGTGTTCAGATTTTTTATTGAGATTTCATTATGTAGGTAGGATTTAATTTATTGCCCATGTAATTGAACCCAGACTCCTACCCTTCCCTCCCTGGAAGCTGAGCTGACACCATGTGGTTCAAGGGATCCATCATTAGTATAAACTGCAGGTGTGGCCCAAGGGGCCCACAATAAATAACACAGTCACTCCTATTGGTACAGCAATGCCAAGATTTAGAAGTTATTTCATAGGAGCTGGGACAAAGGTCAAACCTCTCTTTGGGCAAGACCGTATTCTTTATTGCATAGCTTTGAAAAGAGATTTTGTATTACCCAAACATTTATTTTAAAAAGGCACCCCCATATATCCATCACTCTAACTGTACATTTCTAAATGTACATTGACCTTTGGTATATTAGTCTAGCAATCCAGATTTTGCCTCTTGTTAAGCGTATCAGGGTCCTGGCAGGAAGTAGACGACACACTGAAGGATAACTGTCAAAAGTTTAATGAAGAGACTATTTACAAAGGTGTGGGCAAAGTTAAGGGGAACAACAAGTAAGAGATGGTGTAGCATCTTAGACCTAGCAACAGCAGAAAATAATTGCCACTCCTAACTCTGAAGAGATAAGGAGAGGGAATACTTAGCAGAACACAGCAAGATTGATTAGTAAAGCACAGAGCTCCTGACGAGGAGATGTGACCTTCAGGAGAGGAATACTACCCCCAAGCTATGGCCCAGCAGGGAAAGAGCATAGGTAATACATTCTCTGACTCCCACTTTCTGATTTCCTCTAGTAGCTCCCTTTGGCCAAATTCAACTGATTATTAGAGAGTAGGAATTCCAGTTGCTGCAGTCCATAGAGGTTAGTCTCCCGAATAGAGAAGAAATGGAGAGTCAATTGGAAGGGTGAAAGGAAAAAATAATTCTACTGTAACATACTAAATTTTTAAATAGGTTAGAGTCTTCTCTTTTCCACTGATCTGTGTTATGTCTACTCCTATACTGTTTTAATATTATTTTCACTTACTTACATTTTTTAACATAAAGTAAGATTCAAATTTCAAAATAATATTAGTTAATTGTAAACTTTAAAAGAAAAAGACAAAGGAATCATACCAGCCAATGCCTTTCAAATTTATTTTGTTTTATGGTATGAGGTGAGAATTTACCTTTTTTATAAATTAAACTTTTTATTTTGAGGTAATTATAGATTCACATGCCAGTGTAAGAAATAATAAAGAACAGTCTGGGCGCAGTGGCTCACGCCTGTAATCCCAGTACTTTGGGAGGCCGAGGCGGGTGGATCATGAAGTCAGGAGTTCGAGATCAGTCTGGCCAAGATGGTGAAACCCTGTGTCTACTAAAAAATACAAAAATTAGTCGGGTGCAGTGGCAGGCGCCTGTAATCCTAGCTACTCAGGAGGCCAAGGCAGGAGAATCACTTAAACCCGGGAGGTGGAGTTTGCAGTGAGCCGAGATGGTGCCACTGCATTCTAGCCTGGCCAACAGAGCAACGGTCCGTCTCAAAAAAAAAAAAAAAGAAATAATAAAGAATGATCCCTCATACCTTTTACCCAGTTTTCCCCAATGGGAAAATTTAGTAATTTTGCAAAATTTAGTAAAATATCAAAACCAGGAAATTGACATTAGTAAAGTCGAGATACATGGCTGGACACAGTGGCTCATGCCTGTAATCCTAGAACTTTGGGAGGCCAAGGCAAGAGGACCACTTGGGCCCAGGAATTCAAGACTAGCCTGGGCAACATGGCAAAACCTTATTTCTACAAAAATAAAAAATTAGCTAGGCATGATGGAACATGCCTGTAGTCCCAGCTATTCAGGAAGCTGAGGTGGGAGGATCACTTGTGCCCAGGAGGTTGAAGCTGCAGTGAGCTGTGATCACACTACTGCGTTCCAGCCTGAGAGAAAGAGCGAGACCCTGTCTCAAAATAAATAGAGAAATAAGTAAATAAATAAAATCAAGATATGGCACATTTCTGTTAACACAAGAATCCCGCCTGATGCCCTTTTATATCCACACCCACTTCTCTCACACCCTTACCCTCTTCTTAACCCCTGACAACCACTAATCTTTCTCCATTTCTATAATTTTGTTATTTTGAGAATATTATATACAGTGTGTAATCTTTTTGGATTGCATTTCATACTCACCATAAGTCTCCAAAGCATCATCCAGATTGTTGCATCTATCAGTAGTTTGCTCCTGTTCATTACTGAGTAGTATTTTGTGGTGTGGACCTACCGCAGTTTTACTTGTTAAAGAGCATCTGGGTGTTTTCCCGCCGGGCACGGTGGCTCACGCCTGTAATCTCAGCACTTTGGAAGGCTGAGGCAGGTGAATCACTTGAGACCAGGAGTTCGAGACCAGCCTGGCCAACATGGCGAAACCCCATCTCTACTAAAAATACAAAAATCAGCTGGCTGTCATGGCATGTGCCTATAATCCCAGCTACTTGGGGAGGCTGAGGCAGGAGAATCACTTGAACCCAAGAGGTGGCGGCTGCAGTGAGCCAAGATCGTGCCACTTCTCTCCAGCCTGGGTGATGGAGCAAGACTCTATCTCAAACTGCTGTAAACATTTGTGTACAGGTACGTTTTTCATTTCTCTGGGTTAAATGCCCAGGAGTGCAGTTGGTGGGTTATATCATAGTTGCTTGTTGGTTTGTGTGTTTGTTTGTTTGTTTTTTAAGAGACAGGGTCTTGCTTTGTTGCCCAGGCTGGACTTGAATTCCTGGGCTCAAGTGATCCTCTTGCCGCAGCCTCCCAAGTAGCTGGGACTACAGGCATGCACCATTATGCCCCGTTAACTTGTGTATTTTTTTTTTTAAGAAAGCGACAAACTGTTTACTAGATTACCTGTAGAAAAGTTTACATTCCCACCAGTAACATATGAGTGATCCAGTTTCTCTGCATCTTCATCAGCACTTAATGTTGTCACTATTTTTTATTTTAGCCATTCTTAGGTAGCAATATTTCATTGTAGTTTTAACTTGCATTTCTTTTTTTTTTTTTTTTTTTAATTTGAGATGGAGTATCATTCTGTTGCCCAGGCTGGAGTGCAGTGGCACAATCTTTGCTCAGTGCAGCCTCCTGCTCCCAGGTTCAAGTGATGCTCCTGCCTCGACCTCCCGAGTAGCTGGGATTACAGGCGCCCACCACCATGCCCAGTGAATTTTTTTGTATTTTTAGTAGAGACAGGGTTTCACCATGTTAATCAGACTGGTCATGAACTCCTGACTTCAGGTGATCCACCCGCTTCGGCCTCCCAGAGTGCTGCGATTACAGGCGTGAGCCATCGCACCCAGCCTAATTTGCATTTCTTTAACGGCTAATGATGCTGAACATCTTTTGATGTGCTTGTTTGCCATTTGCATATTCTTTTTAGTAAAATGTCTCTTCATGTCTTTTGCCCACTTTCTAATTAGATTGGTTCTTTACAGTTGAGTTTTGTTTTTGGTTTTGTTTTTTTTTTGACACAGGGTCTTACTGAGTCACCCAGGCTGGAGTGCAGTGGCATGATCATAGCTCACTGCAACCTCAAACTCCTGAGCTCATGTGATCCTCCTGCCTCAGCCTCCTAAGTAGCTGGGCACATGCCACCATACCCTGCTCACTTTTTAATTTTTTGTAGAAATGAGATCTCGCCATATTGCTCAGGCTGGTCTCGAACTCCTGGGCTCAAACCCTCCTCAGCCTCCCAAAGTGTGAGACTACGGCTGTGAGCCACCATGTCCAGCCCTTTTCCCCATTTTTTTTATTTGGCTATGTGTCTTTTTGTAATTGAGTTGCAAATGTTCTTGATGTGTTCTAAGCACAAATCTCTTGTCAGATATATGACTTGGAAATATTCTTTAATTTTAACTTTTTTTTTTTTTTTTTTTAGAAACGGCGTGTCACTGTATGACACGCTTGAACTCCCAGGCTGGTCTTGAACTCCTGGCCTCAAGCAGTCTTCCCACCTCAGCCTCTCAGAGTGCCGAGGTTACAAATGTGAGCCACTGTGCCTGGACTTAATTTCAGTGAAGTTCACTTTATTTTTTCTTTTGTCCCTTATGCTTTTGGTGTCCTACCTAAGAGGGCTTTGCCTAACCAAAAATCAAGAAGATTTAGTTCTTTATTTTCTATTAAGAGTTTTATAGTTTTAGCACTTACATTTATGAATATGGTCAATGTTGGGTTAATTTTTGTATGTGGTTCGAGGAAAGGGCCCAACTTTATTCATATACATGTAGATAGCCAGTTGTCCTAGTACCATTTGCTGAAAAGGTTATTCTTACCCTGTTGAATTGTCTTGAACTTAGCATGAACTTTGTAAAATAAATCCTTCCCTTTACCCTTCCCTCCTCATTGCCTTAAAAGCATCCAGTTTAATTAAAATAAGATTTAAAACTTATAAGTATTTATGGGGTTTTTTTGTTTTTGTTTTTTGTTTTTTTGAGACAGAGTCTCTCTGTGTCACCCAGGCTGGAGTGCAGTGGCACAGTCTTGGTTCACTGCAGCCTCGACCTCCTGTGCTCAAGCAATCCTCCCTACTCGGCCCCCCAGTAGTTGGGACTACAGGTGCACACCAGCACGCCTGGCAATTTTTGTATTTTTTATAGAGACAGGATTTCACCATGTTGCCCAGGCTGGTCTGAAACTCCTAGCCTCAAGCGATCCTCCCACCTTGGCCTCCCAAAGTGCTGCATTACAGGCATGAGCCACTGTGCTTGGCTCAAGAAGAAAGGATATTATTTCCTTCTTTTTCTTTTTTCTTTTTCTTTTTTTTTGGACAGAGTCTCACTCTGTCGCCAGGCTAGAGTGCTATGGCGTGATCTCCTCACTGCAACCTCCATCTCCCGGGTTCAAGTGATTTTCCTGCCTCAGTCTCCTGAGCAGCTGGGACTATAGGCGCGCACCAGCATGCCCAGCTAATCTTTGTATTTTTAGTAGAGACGGGGCTTCATCATGTTGGTCAGGATGGTCTCGATCTCTTGACCTCGTGATCCGTCTGCCTCGGCCTCCCAAAGTGCTGGGATTACAGGCGTGAGCCACCACGCCCAGCCAAAAGGCTATTATTTCTTTACCTGGTTAACTGTCATCTCCCACTAGAATATAGGTTTTATAAGGGCTGGACTCAGCATAGTATTTAGAACAGTGCCTGGCACATAAGTAAATATTGACTGATGGAATGCAGCATACATGTGTGCATCCATTAACTCTAGGAAACCAGAGATCATAATAGCAAGGACTTGGCAGTGCTTTTTTTTCATCTCTGTCCATTGGTAAAAGCTGCTGGGATTCAGGAGAATGGAAGGATGGCTTACTATAAGCAAGGCAACTCTGAGAATTTCACTGAAAAGTCTCAACATGTCCAGCAGTTTATACATCCAAGGTTGGATTCTGGCAGATCAATGCCAGATAATTTAGATTGTGAAGAATGACAGTCTGAGGAATGTAAGCCTGAATTCTTTTTTTTATTTTTAATTCTTTTTTTGTTTGCTTGTTTGTTTTTTTGAGACAAGATCTTGCTCTGTTGCCCAGACTAGAGTGCAGTAGTGTGATCATAGCTCACTGCAGCCTCAGATGGCTCAAGGAATCCTCCCACCTCAGCCTCCCAAGTAGCTGGGGCTGCAGTTGTGCATCAGCATGCCCAGCTCACATACAAAGTATTTTAAATATTGTAATTAAGAATTAAACCAATGACAGAGAATAGAGGCCTAAAAAGATCACTATACAGATAGAACTAGGGCACTCTAGAGCAATGGGGAAAGGCAATCCTTTAAACAAAAGGTTCTAAGACAATTAGGTAGACATAGAGGGAAAAAATGAAACTGTTTCCTACAACTCACACCGCAAAATTCTATTCCATGCGCATTAAAGTTTTAACTGTAAAAGCCAGGTGAGGTGGCATCCCTGTAGTCGCAGTTACTCAGGAGGCTGAGGTAGGAGAATCACTTAAGGCCAGGAGTTTGAGGCTGCAGTGCACTATGATAGCACCTGTGAATAGCCACCGTACTCCAGCCTGGGCAATATACTAAGGTCCTGGCTCTACAAACATGGAGGGGGAAAAAAAAGTTTAACTATAAAAAATAAAACTACAAAAGTTTGAAACTATGTTCCTGATATTATGACATCACTGTACGGAGGGATTTCAAAAACAAGATACAAACCTATTAACTGTAAGGAAACATTAGTAAACATGACTACCTTAAAACTGAGAATTTGTGTTCATCTAAAGGCATTCCAAACAGAATGTAAAAGCAAGCCACAGAGTAGAAGATGAATTGCAACTTTAAAAAATGAATAAAGGATTAATATTCAGAAAGTAGGAGCTCCTACAGATAATTTTTTAAAGATAGCCCAGCCAAAAAAAGGAGCAAATGACTTGAATAGGCACTTCACAAAAACAGATATCCAAATGGCCAATGAACATATGAATTGGTCATCAGAGAAATACAAATTAAAATCAGAATTAGAGACCACTGTACATACATCAGACTGGCTAACATTTAAAAGTCTGATGGTATTACGTTGGGCGCAGTGGCTCACACCTGTAATCCCAGCACTTTGGGAGGCCAAGGCAGGTGGATCACCTGAGGTCAGGAGTTTGAGACGCCTGGCCAACATGGTGAAACCTTGTCTCTATTAAAATACAAAAATTAGCCGGGCATGGTGGTGGGTGCCTGTAATCCCAGCTACTCAGGAGGCTGAGGCAGAGAATTGCTTGAACCCGAGAGGCGGAGGTTGCAGTGAGCTGAGATCGCACCACTGCACTCCAGCCTGGGCGACAGAGCGAGACTCTGTCTCAAAAAACAAAAATAAAAAAATAAAAGTTTGACAATATTAAATGTTGGTGAAGATGTGCAGCATAGAGAATTCTCATTCCTTGTGATGAGAGTGGAAATTGGCCATCTACTTTTGAAACCAGTTTGGTTTATCCATTAAAGTTGATGCTAAGCATTCCTTAAGACTCAGCAATTTGGCAAGGCATACACTCTTGATGAGTGAAAGAGGATAAACGTCCTAGAATTTTTCACAGCAGTGTTATTTGCCATAGTCCGAAACTGAAAACAACTTGAATAGCCATCAAAAGACAAATGAGTAACCACATTATGGTATATTCTATGGAATACTGTACTACAGTGAAAACAAACATCTGCATACCACTATATACAACAACCTTACATTATGTATTTGTTGATTTGGTTTATTATTTGCTTTTACTCTAGAATATAAGCTTTATGAAAGCATAAACCATTTTGCTCACTGTTGTGTCTGTAGATTCTCTAGTGGCACCTTGCATGTAGTAGTATGTAATAGGCATCCAAATAAATTGGATGAATGGAATTCTGGGGGTGGGGGAAGACAAGATCTTACTCTGACACCCAGGCTAGAGTGCAGTGGCGTGATCATAGCTCACTGCAACCTGGTACTTCTGGGCTTAAGCAATCCTGTCTCAGCTTCCTGAGTAGCTGGGACTATAGGCACACACTCCCATGCCTGGCTAGATTTTTTATTTTTTGTGAAGACAGGGCCTTGTTATGTTGCCTAGGATGGTCTCAAATTCCTGGACTGAAGCCGTCCTCCCCTGCTAGCCTCCTAAAGTGCTGGGATTATAGACATGAGCCACTACACCTGGCCTTGAGTGAAATACTAATGTACAGATTCTGTCTATGAATATTTGACATCTTTTTTTATTGGTACTCTAGAGAAATAGATTTGATTTTTGTATATTGATTTTTTTTTTTTTTTTTTGAGACAGTGTTTTTGTTCTTGCTACCCAGGTGTGATCTCGGCTCACTGCAACCTCCACCTCCCAGTTTCAAGTGATCCTCCTGTCTCAGCCTCCCAAGTAGCTGGGATTACTGGTGCCCACCACCACGCCTGGCTAATTTTTTGTATTTTTTGTAGAGATGGGGTTTCCTCGTGTTGGCCAGGCTGGTCTGGAACTGCTGACCTCAGGTGATCTGCCCACCTCAGCTTCCCAAAGTGCTGGGATTACAGGCATGAGCCACTATGCCCAGCCTATTGATCTTGTGTTTATTATTGTAGTTGGGTTTTGGGGGGTTTTGTTTTGTTTTAGAGACAGTGTCTTGCTGCATTGCCCAGGCTGATGTGTAGTAGCATGATCATAGCTCATTGCAGCCTTGAACTCCTGGACTCAAGCGATCCTTTCCTCAGCCTCTTGAATAGCTGGGACTATGGACGTGCACCACCATGTCCAGCTAATTAAAAAGAAAAATTTTTTTAGAGGCCTTGCATGGTGGCTAACGCCTGTGATCCCAACATTTTGAAAGACCAAGATGGGAGAATTGCTTGAGCCCAGGAGTTTGAGACCAGCCTGGACAACGTAATGAGACCTGTCTCTACAAAAAATTTAAAAATTAGCTGGGTGTGGTGGCGTCTGCCTGTAGTCCCAGCTATGCAGGAGGCTGAGGTGGAAGGATTGCTTGAGCCTGGGAGGTCGAGGCTGCAGTGGGCTGTGATCACGCCACTACATTCCAGCAAGAGTGACACAGTGAGACCCAGATCACACCACTGCACTCCAGCGTGGGTGACAGAGCGTGGGAGACAGAGTAAGAAAAAAATCTCAAAAATATTTTTATTTTATTTTTAGAGACAGGAGTTTTGCTGTGTTACTCAGACTGGTCTTGAACTCCCGGCCTCAAGATACCCTCCTGCCTCAGCCTCCTAAATTGTTTGCATTACTGGTGTGAGCCACCACACCCAACTTAGTGTAGCTATATTTTTGTGGATTTCTTAGAATTGAAAATTCAGATTATTTGAAAAGACTTACTGAAGTTGAGTCACTAATGAAAAGCACTATAAAGTAAAGGTGTTGAGGAAAATAACATCTGAACAGATTGTGCCCTCAAATTGTTTCTTAAGGGTCTAACTTCTCATTTCACATAAATCAAAGCTGGAACTCATAGATGTTTTTTTGTGCAATGTACATAGAATCTTATCCCAAGGATCCTCTCGCAAAGAAAAGGATTTGGCACTGCATCAAAAGATTGACCATTGAATACATTTTTGTGTTTTAAGTTAATGTGAAATGTTTAAGATATGGGCCAGGCACAGTGGCTCACACCTGTAATCCCAGCACTTTGGGAGACTGAGGCAGGCAGAGTACTTGAGGTCAGGAGTTCAAGACCATCCTGGCCAACATAGTGAAACCGCAACTCTACTAAAAATACAAAAATTAGTTGGGCATGGTGGCGTGCACCTGTAGTCTCAGCTACTAGGGAGGCTGAGGCAGGAGAGTCGCTTGAACCCAGGAGGCAGAGGTTGCAGTGAGCCAAGACTGTGTCAGTGCACTCTAGCCTGGCGACAGAGTGAGATTCCATCTCAAAACAAACAAACAAACAAACAAACAAAAATTAGTCAGGTGTGGTGGCGGGCGCCTGTAATCCCTGCTACTCAGGAGGCTGAGGCAGGAGAATCACTTGAACCCAGGAGGTGGAGGTTGCAGTGAGCCGAGGTCACACCACTGCACTCCAGCCTGGGCAACAGAGTGAGACTCCATCTCAAAAAAAAAAAAAAAAAGTTTAAGATATTTATGCCTGTAAACATTTTCCACAATTTCCTGCTGTGACTTTTTGAATTAACTGATTGTTTACTCAACCAATCATCAGTTCCAGTTGTATGAGTTAAGAGGCTTTTAGTATTGTAGACTTTTTCATAAACAAGGAAAATAAATTATAGCATAGAATGGTGGTTCTCAAACTTCGCTATGCATCGGAATCACCTGGGCAGTGGAATGAAAACTTAGACAATTGAGAAGCAACATGAGCCTGAAATTCTTTTACATCTTTTTAACAAGCTCCCCGAGTTTGAAAACCACTGCTGTGAGTATTGTGCAGATATATGTTGAGACCTGTGGTATTCAAAGAGTAAGTCTTCAAGGTGATCATTTGAATGTAGGAAGAAAACATTGGCCCTCTTATTTTTATTTATGTAATTCTAAAATTTGTATTTGTTTTATTAGATATATAACTTACTTATACAGCAATACACATAAATAATTTATAAATAAATATAAATATATTTTTATATATGGAAAGGCAACTATATAAGTTGTTTAGACAGTAGAAACCTCTTTTTCTTCTATAGTCAAAGCAAAGTGTAATGGAGAGAGAGAAGCCCAATTTTATTTTCCTATAGCTTAAAAGTTTAAGTTTACTGTACTGCTGTACCTCTAAAAACAAAGATTAAATAAGAATCATGGCGCATATCCCATCCCCCATTAACATATATTAACTTTTCTTCAGGAAAATAACATTAGTTATCTCTACTCATATCTCCACTATACTTTTCTAGGAAATAAGTAATAAAATGGAATAATTTTATTAATCCTATAAATTAACATATTTAAAGTTGCCTTGCTTTAAATGTGCAACATTTGTTTTTTAGTTAAAAAAAAAAAAAACTTGATACTTTATGCTGGGAGAAAAAAATGGATATTTTCTTATTTTTTCTTCTGGAATAGTTTATGTTTTATTTTGATCACTTAAATACATGTTTATGACCTTAAGAAATAAAGTTGCATGTAATAATCCCATTTAATCTTATTTTGCATAATTAAAATAATACAACTGCAGTATTTTTCATAATGTGTCCTACTGAGCTGTAAACAAACTTGGAAACTGTTGGGTGTTGATTTTAGTGCTGATTTTGTTTTTCGTAAATAATAGTTTTATATTTAGTATTATATTAGAATAAAATTCTAAAGAGTGATATGGCTTTCTTTTGTTTTGTTCCTAATCTTACCATGATTAGTGAGACAGTCATTTGTTTTCTAGATTGATGACATTGTAAAAGCTGTTGGTAACTGCAGCTACAACCAACTAGTGGAGAAGATCATCTCTTGTAAACAGTCAGACAATAGTGAGCTGGTTAGTGAAGGTGGGTGAGTGCTGCTATTTCCTGACTTTTGAAATTCTTGGCAAGATAATTTTTCTTATAACTTAATATCTTTCAAATTTCTTAAATAAGACTTCTAAAAAACACATGTTATATTACTTGTATGAATTTTAAGAAGTAACCATCCATAGGCTGGGCACAGTGGCTCCCGCCTGTAATCCCAGCATTTTGAGAGGCCAAGGCAGGCAGATCACCTGAGGACAGGAGTTCAGGATCAGCCTGGCCAACATGATGAAACCACGTGTCTACTAAAAATACAACAAAAAATTAGTTGGCCATGGTGTTGCATGCCTGTAATCCCAGCTACTCAGGAGGCTGAGGCAGGAGAATCGCTTGAACCCAGGAGGTGGAGGTTGTAGTGAGCCGAGATTGCGCCGCTGTACTCCACCCTGGGCAACAGAGTGACTCTGTATCAAAAAAAAAAAAAAGAAGAAGAAGTAATCATTCATAAAGGTGCCAATGAAAGGTTTTTCCTAGAACTCTTTTTCATTTAACTTGTAAAATCAGGCCTGGATTCTATTAAAAATTTTTGGAATCACTTGCTAACTTTGGTATGGTCAGGTACCCAGAGGTTACTGATAATTACTTTCTTAAAAAATGTTTATTATTTAGGAGTCCTGAATGGACTTTATCATTGATCCTGAATACTTCAACTGACTGAGATGAGTATTATGGTGCTCAAGTACTCTAGATTTTAGTAGACCTCTGCTTTATATTTCAGTATAATACAATATTAAAGCCCCATTCTGGATCAGAGTATGCCTCTGAAAATCAGTTTTTCTAATCCTTAGCTAACTGGAATTCCTAAATTCATCGTCACAAAATCAGTTTAATATTTTTTCAACTGTGTTCCAGTCAATGATGAGAAAAGGAGATTTGAAACAGAATGCTATCAAAAGGCATAGCATGTAGATATACCTTCTCAGTCCCCACTTCACTCTTTCAAAAATATACATAAATACTGAGGCTATAATTCTTCTGTCTGTGAAAGGGAAACAAAAGAGAAAGAGAAATCATGAGAAGTAGGGCATGAGTTTTAGTCTCTCTCAGACACACAATTATTTTACATAAGATATAATAAAAGTTTATTACAATTATCACATTTTTAAGAATTAAAACTAACGACTACAGGAGCATATGAGCATATAAAAGATATGTACATGAATTCCATCTATATTAATCAGAATCCAACTAATTACATTACTTAATTATCCAGAAGTTTAACACATTTTTGCAAAAGAGGAAAATAAGAAGAAAATGCATAGTATTTTAGTTAAGGTTTATCCTAATCTTTTTTTTTTCTTTTTTTTTTTTTTTGATACGGAGTTTCACTCTTGTTGCCCAGGCTGGAGTGCAATGGCGCGATCTCAGCTCACTGCAACCTCCGCCTCCCAGGATGAAGCCATTCTCCTTCCTCAGCCTCCTGAGTAGCTGGGATTACAGGCATGCAATAATTTTGTATTTTTAGTAGAGATGGGATTTTGTCATGTTGGTCAAGCTGGGAGGTTTATGCTATTCTTCTACTTGCAGTAAACATATAAAGATACAGGGACAGGCTGGACATTGTGGCCCACACCTGTAATCCCAGCACTTTGGGAGGCTGAGGCGGGAGGATTGCTTGAGCCCAGGAGTTTGAGACTAGCCTGGGCAATGTAGCAAGATCCCATCTCTAAAAAATAAAAATAAAAAATTAGCCAGGCACCTCTAGCTCCACGTACTTGGGAGGCTGAGGCTGAAAGATCACTTGAGCCCAGGAGGTCAAGGCTGCAGTGAGCCAATATCATGCCACTACACTCCAGCCTGGGCAACAGAACAGAATCTGTCTCAAAAACAAAACAAAACAAAACAAAACAAAAAACAGTATAGAGTCGTTGATCATTGATTCATCTGACAACTCTTTTGTTACAGCATGAGGCAGCAGTGTTCAAATTTTAGGAGAGAAAGAAGCAATAAAAACTATTACAAAAGTATATTCTCTCAATTAACAAAATTCCTTCTCAATGAGCTAGAATGTATGGGGAAAAAAATTCCACTCACTAGAAGTTTGCATTCCTATACAAGCTCTCATTACCATAGATAATTACTAAAAAGAAGCTCCTATTTTAAAAATGTCTATCTACGGAATCCTTCTTTTTCAGTAATGTCCAATATACCAGAGTATGCTATTCAGTAGTACTTGAAGGAACAATAGGATTCAGAAAGTGGTAACAGACAGAATGCTAGCCAAGAAGTAATACTTGGATAAACTGACTTATGGAGTATGAAGCTATGTGAAACACTGTTAACATCTTTCCCAATTCTGGCTACAAATACAGTAAGGGTAGGACTTAGTACTATAATAATTAACAAAATGAACAAAAAAATCAGTTCCTTCATTACTTCTTTTTCCTTAACCTGATGTCACAAATATTATTATTTCTCTGACATTGATTCCTCAGGATAATGAAAAACTATAGTTAATATATGTGTTATTGATAATTTAGGAAGAACATCATGGTGAAAGCAAAGAAAGAAACCCTCTAAAATGGTATAGAATTTTTAGGGAATATCTGCTGGGCATATTTATTACTTCCTTGATATATAAATTTCATAATGATGAAATTCTACATACCATATTTCCATATTAAAGAATAATTATATGTGTCATTTAGCATAATTAAAAAGCTAAACTAGATTTTTGTTCATAAGTAACTACAAATTTGTAGTTCATTTGAAATAATTACTTAACTCCAATGGTTACTTGTATAAGACACTAAGAAATCATGGAAAATAAAAGACCGTAATAGACATTTTTACTTACTTTGCAGCAATTAGCTTTTCTTCATCATATTATCTTTTTTTTTTTTTTTTTTGAGACAGTCTCGCTCTGTCACCCAGGCTGGAGTGTAGTGGCACGATCTCGGCTCACTGTAACCTCTGCCCCATGGATTCAAGCAATTCTCCTGCCTCAGCCTCCTGAGTAGCTGGGACTACAGGCATGTGCCACCATGCCCGACTAATTTTTGTATTTTTAGTAGAGATGAGATTTCACCATGTTGGCCAGGCTGGTCTCAAACTCCTGACCTCAGGTGATCCGCCAGCCTCAACCTCCCAAAGTGCTGCAACTACAGGCATAAGCCACCTCGCCCAGCCCATCATATATCATATTATCTTGAGTGGTGTTCAGTTAAAGTAATCTGCTTTCATTTTCTGTTTAGCCTGCAATTGTAGCTTTCCCTTTAAATCAATAAAATACCTCAAAGCCGACTTGTTTCTAATCTTTATTAAAAAATAAGTTTTGGTCACAGGTGATAACTTTTTAAAAATTCAAACATTTTATTTCCTATCAAGGTATGAGGAATAAGAAATACATTCACTAACATTCCTTTTTAAGGGAAAAGAAATGTTATTTAGCAAATAATCAAATAGAGTTAGGTGTTCTTTCAACTTCTTTTAGATAACATTTGCTTTCCTTGATTCTAATGCCTTATAAGTAAAGGTGCAGAACTTTTACTTTACGTAGAATACTTAATTGTAGAATACACTGCTTTCGGGTGTCGATACCTTTTTTATTTTCTACTTCTTTTCCAGTACAATGATGAATAGAAACAATACCTTTTTGAATCTGGTTGTGATGATGCTGATTTTTCATGGCAGCAAAAATCAGCAAGTTTAAAAAAAAGCGCAGTACCAGCAGCCAGACTTCACCATAGCTATTCATTTAATTCCAGATGCTCTCAGGAATGGTTCTTTTTTGTCTGTTTGTTTGTTTGTGTGGTGTTTGTTTGTTTGTTTGTTTTGAGACAGAGTCTTGCTCAGCTGCCCAGGCTGGAGGCTGGAGTGCAGTGGTACAATTTTGGCTCACTGCAACCTCTGCCTCCCAGGTTCAAGCAATTCTTCTGCCTTAGCCTCCCAGGTAGCTGGGACTACAGGCTCACGCCACCACGCTGGCTAATTTTTTGTATTTTTAGGTGAGACAGGGTTTCACCATGTTGCCCAGGCTGGTCTCAAACTCCTGACATCAGGTGATCCTCCCACCTCAGCCTCCCAAAGTGCTGGGATTACAGGCGTGAGATGCCATACCCAGCCTAGGAATGTTTCTTTAACAGTTGTTCCTAGGACAAAAATATGCTTATAAAAATATTTCTAGGATATGTATTCGTTAATTCAAATATTTATTGAGCCTTTATTATGTGCCATAGACACTGAACATTATAGTTTGGCTTATTATTATTTTTATTAAATAATATTGGTTTCCTTTTCTTTTTCTTTCTTCAACTTTTATTTTAAAAAATCTCAAACCTATAAAAAAGGTTGTAATAGCACAGTGAACATTTATATGCTCTTTATGTAAATTTACCAATTGTTGATATGTTGAATGTTTTCTTTTTTTCTGTATTCACACAATCTTTTTTTTTTTTTTTTTTTTTGAGATGGAGTTTTGCTCTTGTTGCCCAGGCTGGAGTACAATGGCGCAACCTTGGCTTACCACAACCTCTGCCTCCCAGGCTCAAGCGATTCTCCTTCCTCGGCCTCCCAAGTAGCTGGGATCACAGGCATGCGCCACCACACCTGGCTAATTTTGTATTTTTAGTAGAGATGGGGTTTCTCTGTGTTGGTCAAGCTGGTCTCGAACTCCCAACCTCAGGTGATCCGCCCGCCTTGGCCTTCCAAAGTGCTGGTATTACAGACATGAGCCACTGCACCTGGCCCCACACACTCTTTTTCCCTAAATCTTGTGAGAATTAATTGCAAATATAGCACTTTACCTGTAAATGCTTCATCATTTGTCTCCTAAGAACAAGGAATTCTCTTATATAAATTCTCCTATATAATCACAATGCAATTATTTCAAGCAATTTAGCATTGATACAATATTATTTAATATATTGTTCATATCAGAATTCTCCCGTTTTCCCAGTAATGCCCCTAATAGCTTTTAATTTTTTTCAATGGAGGCTCCAATTATGGATCATTTAGTTGTCACATCTCTTTAGTCTTCTGTAATCTAGAATAGTTCTGTAACCTTATTCCTTCCTCCCTCCCTTCCTCCCTTCCTTCCTTCATTTCTCCTTTCCTCCCTTGCTTCCTCACTCCTTTCCTTCCTTGCTTCCTCCCTCCTTTCCTTCCTTTTTTGTCGTTTATGACATTGACTTTTTAAAATAGTCCAGGCCAGTTGTTCCACAGAATATTCCTCAATTTGGATTCATCTGATTATTTCCTCATTAGTAGATTCAGGTTATATATTTTTGGCAGGGATGCTACGTAGGTGACATTGTGTCTTTCCCAGTGCATCAAATCGGGGGCACATGAGCCTGATTATCTCATTATTGGTGATGTTCAAATATGATAAGATAATATCTGCCAGGTTTTTATATTGTAAAGATGTCCTTTTCCCTTGGTAGTTAATAAGTCACCTGTGATATTATTCTTTGAACTGTGTGAATATGCTATTCGTTAATAATCTTTAACCAGGTAGATTTGGCATCCATTGGTTCTTGCCTGAATCAGTTATTACTGTGGTGGTTATAATTTCTGTTATTCCTTCTGTTTATTAGTTGTTATTCTTCTGTAACAGAACAGTTTTCCCTTCTCTTCCTTCTCCTCTTTCCCCATTAAAAAAAATTGTATCCATATAAACTCATGGATTCCTTTTTATTCAGACAGAACGGAGTCTTGTTGTGTCATCCAGGCTGGAGTGTAGTGGCGCGATCTCGGCTCACTGTAAGCTCCGCCTTCCGGGTTCATGCCGTTCTCTTGCCTCAGCCTCCCGAGTAGCTGAGACTACAGGCGCCCGCCACCACGGCCGGCTAATTTTTTTGTACTTTTAGTAGAGACAGGGTTTCACCGTGGTCTCGATCTCCTGACCTCGTGATTCTCCCGCCTCGTCCTCCCAAAGTGCCGGGATTACAGGCATGAGCCACCGTGCCTGGCCTATTCAGTGTATTATAATCCATTATCATTATTCTTTTTGATGCTTTAATTGTTCTAAATGTGATATGGCCAGTGGGATGCCCTCAAGTTGGGTCTTGTGTTCTTTTGTATCTCCTCATCTTTACTTAAGCACTTATTTTTTGGCACAGTAAAATGTTCTGGGCTCCCTACTGCACTCCTGGAATCAAATCATATGAGTGGGCTGGGCGCAGTGGCTCATGCCTGTAATCCCAGCACTTTGGGAGGCCGAGGTGGGTGGATCACCTGAGGTCAGGAGTTCGAGACCAGCCTGGCCAACATGGTGAGACCCTGTCTGTACTAAAAATACAAAAAATTAGCTGGGTGTGCAGTGAGCCGAGATAGCGCCACTGCACTCCAGTCTGGAAACGGAGTGAGACTCCATCTCAAAAAAAAAAAAAATCATATGAGCTTTTATCTTTTCAAGTAAAATCTGGGCATTTGTCATTAAAATAAATTGTTTTGCCCATCCTTTTGAGGAAAAAATACATTAATGTATTTGATCTTTGAAACTTAAATGTAGATTAAATTCTTAAAAGTTAGATTGTTTAAAGCTGTCACAGTGACAAGTTAAGTTCTCACTAAGCTTAAATTTGAACACAAATCTGAGACAGGACCACATCTAGGCAACATTTTAAAATAAATCAAGTTTCCTTCCTTCCTATTTCTACTTTCTATTCCTTTTTGACTAATTATAGTACCTCTGTAACTTCACCATCTTTAAGGCATTCATCACTTTCATGTTCTCTAATAACTGTCCAGTAACAGAGGAAAACAGTTTAATGAACTAATTTATTATTGAATTTCTTTTTTTTTTTTTTTTTTTTTTGTCACCCAGGCTGGAGTGCAGTGGTGCGATCTCGGCTCACTGAAAGCTCCGCCTCCCAGTTCACGCCATTCTCCTGCCTCAGCCTCCCGGGTAGCTGGGACTACAGGCGCCTGCCACCATGCCTGGCTAATTTTTTTGTATTTTTAGTAGAGACGGGGTTTCACCAGGTAAGTCAGGATGGTCTCGATCTCCTGACCTCATGATCCGCCCGCCTTCCAAAGTGCTGGGATTACAGGCATGAGCCACTGCGCCCAGTCTTAAATTTCTGAATGTAAGAAATATTTTCAAATATAGTAATCTTCTCAGGAAAATAAGGCTTAATTTAAATTTATTTTCATGAATAATACTCTATTATCATTAAGTTTTTTACCTTTAGTATCATCAATTACAATAACAATAAAATTGAGATTTAATGTGAATGTTGTAATAAACTGGATTATTTGAATCAATAACACCTCTTTGAGCGTTATAATGATTCTCTGATAAGTTTACAAATAAATAAACTGCTGTGTAACACTTACAGTTGTTTTCCAAAATTTGTTTAAATAGTTGTAAAAAGTTGAAACTAGATTGAGCTTTTCAATAAAGGCTAATTAATTATAAAAATTTAAAACTAGGTTAGCCTTTTCCACTAAAACCACTGTTTAAGAGATGACAGGAGAATTACGAAACATTGTTTTTTCTAGTTCTTAATAAGCTATGCTTTATGGTTTTGGGAGAGATATAATTCAAGTGGCATTTATAATACTCATCTGCAATAAATTTTAAAATTTAATATCCATAATAATTCTCCTAGGTTACTGTCTTCCCTTTGCCATAACTAGTTTGATGTCCTTGGGCAAGTCACTTATTCTCTCTGAGCCTATGTCCTATTCTGTAAAAAGAAGTAGCTGAGAAAGACCTTTCTAATGTTGAATTTTTGGATTTCACACTAACATGAAAGTAATGTGCTATATCTCCACTGAATTTCTGTGTCTTTTTGAAAGGGATCTGTGGAGAGGATATTGGGTGAGTAAGGTATGGAAGGGGCTTTTAAAAACATCTTTCTGAAGGGAACATTTAGTAATACAGATATTACAGACGGCAGTGGTACTTTTCAGCACAGGCATACCCAAGAAGTTGCAAGTATTCAATGAATTTCTTTTGGCTGTAGACCTCTTTATAGTTTTTGTACTTCTATCATAACAAAGTCCTTGCAATAGTGTGATAATTATAGTGTGGTAAGTTTTTACAACCACTTTGTAGCTTGAAGTACTATGGTTTGACACTAAGGGATGTCGAGGGAGTGGAATAAACCTATGTTATCTGCTTCTGGCACTACCAAGTTTTCTTTTCAATTTATTGTTGAAGTGTTAGTTTCATACCACAGATTTATCTTTAGTCCCTGTATCTATATCTCTCAGATCACTTATGAAACTTTTTAGGGCATTCCCTTCCCTCCTCCCCCATTGCTTCCGAGACATCTCTACTTACTCCAAAAGGAAGGAGGGAAAGAAGAAGAGAAATACAAGTTTAAAAAATATGTATACAGTTGATTCTCATTATTCATGGTAGCTATGTTCTATAAAGTTACTGTGAACACTGAATTAGTGAATGCTGAACCACTGTCCCTAGGATAAATATGAGTGAGTTTTTAAGGAGCATTTGGTAACATTTTCATCAGCTGATCAGTACATAAACTTGTTTTATGTGTGTTTCTGTTAAACACACCTTATTTAATATATACTGTTGATTCACTAGCGTTAAACTCACAGCCAACAGCACTACAGATAGAATATCCCTAATCTGAAAATCCAAAATCCAAAATGCTCCAAAATCTAAACACCAACATGACGCTCACAGGAAATGCTCATTGGAGGATTTCAGATTTCTCATTTTCAGATTAGGGATGCTCAGCTGATCAGTATAATGCAGACATTCCAAAATCCAAAAGAATCCACACCCAAAACCCTTCTGATCTCAAGCATTTTAGATAAGTGATACTCAACCTGTATAACTCATGCCTGAACGAAACCTATCTAGCACATGTATTTTCTCTATAAGGCACATCACAGCCTTTGTCTACTGAATGCTAGCCAGCACTTTGGCATTATGCTTGGATGCTGTTTGAAACAGCAAAATCACCAACAGAAAGCATAAAAATGTGAAAAACATGGCACTAAATAGACCATGAAAGGGACACTTGTTTACAGTATGCGAGAGAGCTGAAGCAAGAAGGCAGAATGTTGCCTTGTTTGACCTCAGCTGGGAATGTGCACATTGGGCCACTCAGAATTTTCACCAGTCTTCACATGTCCACAAACAAGCATGAAAATGCTGCAAGTATTGATTTGGGGGATCTAAATAAATTTTAGCCAGTTAGATGAACTTGTAGATATGAACTTGCAATGAGGATCGATTGTGTATATGAAGATCAGTTGTGTGTGTGTGTGTGTGTGTGTGTGTATATATATATATATATATGTTTTAAATTATACCCCGGATCACTTCTGTATATTTTATTGTATTTCAAAAACAAAAGCCATAATATCTATTTCCGAACTTGATACATCTACATGAGTGGCATATGTTGGAGGAGATTAGCATAAAAATGGCATAAAAAACCATTAAAAATGGCATCATTTATCCCACGGCTTTCTGTTCAGCCTTATGCCTACTTTTAGTTTTAAAGCAAGAATTGAGAAGTTTACAACTTAAGAATTATCTAGGATTTTTGTGAAATCTTAAGCTACTCAATTTATTAGGGCTACTTTTAATTTGAAAACACCTTGCTATTGGGAGGTAGCTGTTGACTGACATTTTTCTTTCCCACCCATTTTTAAAATTGCCTGACACCTGTCTTTTTACTTGCTTTCATGGCTTTTAGTTTTATTGTGTCTGCTTTTTTACTGCAACCTGCATGAAATCCTTTGTAATAGTAGGTGAAGTATAAGTAAATGCATTTGTTTATAAAAAAGAATTTCACATAACTATTTAGGATAGGAATGTCTGTATACACATATTTCATTGCAAAATTAAAAACACAAATGTCCAGTTTGGAGCCATCATAAAGTAGTAGGGAAAGTATTATAATTATTGGCCTTTTTCCATACTTGGAACACACTTTAAATAGAAAAAGAATAACTTTTTGATTTTGAAATTATTCTTCTATCTAATGTTATGCATTGGTTCTATAGGCTTTGTAGCTGAGCAGTTTCTAAATAACACAGCCACTCAACTGACATACCATGGATTATGTGAACTAACTTCAACGGTTCAGGAAGGAGAACTTTGTGTGTTCTTTCGGAATAATCATTTTAGCACCATGACCAAATACAAGGTATGATATAGAAATAGCTATTTAATCGTGATTCTAAATCAAAGGAGCTTGATTTAGAGTTGTCTTTTGATCTGCTTATAAATAAAAGATTTTAGCGTAATATTTCTTAACCATCAAATTATGAAGGTAATTATTAAATACAGTACTTCTTAAGGATGGGATGGATTAACAATTGAAGCATTACCTCAAATCACTTTTTGTTTTTTAATTCTCAACTTCTTTTTCACAGATCTTTGCAGTAAGAAGTATTTTATTATTTTCTTTCTGAGAGAAAAAAAAGATAAACCCTAGAGATAGAACTAGGATGACTTCTTTTTTTTTTTTTTTGAAATGGAATTTCGCTCTTGTTGCCCAGGCTGGAGTGCAATGGCGTGATCTCGGCTCACTGCAACCTCTGCCTCCCAGGTTCAGGCGCTTCTCCTACCTCAGCTTCCCGAGTAGCTGGGATTACAGGCATGCACCACCATGCCTGGCTAATTTTTGTGTATTTTTAGGAGAGATGGGGTTTCTCCATGTTGGTCAGGCTGGTGTCAAACTCCTGACCTCAGGTGATCGCCCGCCTCAGCCTCCCAAAGTGCTGGGATTACAGGCGTGAGCCACCATGCCCAGACTTTTTTTTTTTTCTTTCTTGAGACAGAGTTTCACTCTTGTTGCCCAGGCTGGAGTACAATGGCGTGATTTCAGTTCACCGCAACCTCCGCCTCAGGTTCAAGCAATTCTACTGCCTCAGCCTCCCGAGTAGCTGGGATTATAGGTATGCGCCACCACACCTGGCTAATTTTGTGTTTTTAGTAGAGACAGGGTTTCTCCATGTTGGTCAGGCTGGTCTCAAACTCCCGACCTCAGATGATAGCCCGCCTCAGCCTCCCAAAGTGCTGGGATTACAGGCTTGAGCCACCGTGTGCGGCCAGAACTAGGATGACATCTAATCATGGAAGTTTATATTTCAGTGCTAAAGGAATTTAGAAGAAATAAATTTATTTATTTATTTAGATGATTTGCCTTTATGATACTGTTTGCTATTATTAAACTTTAATGACTTTAATGTGACCAAACATTAAATTCTTTAATAATGTGTGGCTTTAAATTCTTCCTGTAGTGCCATTTATGGCTCTGTCAAAAACATTTACTGTTTTACTCTTTTTATCTCTTATAGCCATTCTTTTTGTTGTTACAGCTGTCACTTAGTTCAGAAGTTTGTCAACTTATACATAGATTTCTTCAGTAGTACAGTAGAATACTGTTCTGATCCCATCAGTAATATACCGAAAATGTTCAGTAGCACTTCATGCGTGGGGATAAAAATACAAGATATGTTCTATTTGCCAACACTTTACTTCAGCCAAAATGGTGTCTATTCACTGATAACTCTCCATCCCATACACACACTATACCTTCTAATTTCTGCACTTTACTGCCATATCTTGAAGGAGTGGGTTGCCCCTCCACACCTGTGGGTGTTTCTCATTAGGTGGAACAAGAGACTTGGAAAAGACAGAGACACAGAGACAAAGTATAGAGAAAGAAAAAAGGGGGCCCAGGGGACCAGCGTTCAGCATGCGGAGGATCCACGCCGGCACCGGCCTCTGAGTTCCCTTAGTATTTATTGATCATTATTGGGTGTGGCAGGATAATAGGATAATAGTGCAGAGAAGGTCAGAAGGTAAACACGTGAACAAATGTCTCTGCATCATAAACAAGGTAAAGAAAAAAGTGCTGTGCTGTTGATGTGCATATACATAAACATCGCAATGCCTTAAGGAGCAGTATTGCTGCCAGCATGTCCCATCTTCAGCCCTAAGGCGGTTTTCCCCTGTCTCAGTAGATGGAGTATACAATCGGGCTTTACACCAAGACATTCCATTGCTCAGGGACAAGCAGGAGACAGAAGCCTTCCTCTTATCTCAACTGCAAAGAGGCGTTCCTTCCTCTTTTACTAATCTTCCTCAGCACAGACCCTTTATGGGTGTCGGGCTGCCGGACGGTCAGGTCTTTCCCTTCCCACGAGGCCATATTTCAGACTATCACATGGGGAGAAACTTTGGACAATACCTGGCTTTCCTAGGCAGAGGTCCCTGCAGCCTTCCGCAGTGTTTTGTGTCTCTGGGTACTTGAGATTAGGGAGTGGTGATGACTCTTAACTAGCATGCTGCCTTCAAGCATTTGTTTAACAAAGCACACCCTGCACAGCCCTTAATCCATTTAACCCTTAGTTGACACAGCACACGTTTCAGGGAGCACAGGGTTGGGGGTAGGGTTACAGATTAACAGCATCTCAAGGCAGAAGAATTTTTCTTAATACAGAACAAAATGGGAGTCTCCTATGTCTACTTTCTGCACAGACACAGTAACAATCTGATCTCTCTCTCTTTTCCCCACAATATCTCACTCCTTAATCCCTGTTTGGAAAGGTCTTCTCATTCCTTTTTGCCTGTCCCAATTTTACCCATCCTTTAAGAAGCTTTTAAATACTAACTCTTTAGTAAAGCTACTTCTACTCTCCTCAAACCAGTGGTTCTCAACCCAAATTGTATGCTAAAACTGTATGGGAGGCTTTTTTAAAACTGCCAATCCTCAGAACCTACCACCAACTCCATTAAATGAGAATCTCCGGAGGTGGGATCTGAGCATCATTAATTTTGAGTGCTTTTCAGGTTATTTTAATGTGCAGCTAAGGCAGAGTACAATTCTCTAACCATCATCTAGCTGTTATTGGCTACATCATCTTTTTTTAGCCCTTATTGGTTAATACCTAATTACCAGTTTTCTTTCCATGTAAATATGTCATTTTTTTCTAAATGAAAGTGGCTTATTAAAGTCGTGAATTACATCTTCATATTTTCTTCAACACTTTAGTCAATGAATTACACAAAGTAGTATAAAATAATGACTTGTTTGCTTATGTAAGAATACCCTTAAAGCCGTTGCTCTCCCATTCCTATCTTAGTTATAGCAACAGCTCATTTGTATAACTTCAACATTTTAGCTAGATGTATGTCAGATGTGGGCCCAGAGTCATCCATACTCCTCAGAAATCTAAGGCCAAAGGACATAAGGATCAGATTTATTGATACATGGTGAATACTGCTAAATCATTTTATTTCTTACTTAACCTGACCTCTCAAGTCTAGGATTTATTCATTTATTTAACAAATATTTATTGAGCATGTATCATGTCTGGGTGCTCACTAGTAGTAGGAATACAGCCATGAGCAAGGAAGCTATGGTTTTTGCCTATTAAGGACCTCGTAGTTTGACAAGGGGCAGATATTAAATAATTACACAAATAATTATTAATTTATTTCTATTGAGATACAGTTTGTTAAGGATACATATCACAAGCTGTGAGTGTTTTTATCAGGATTTATAAGTTAGTTGCTTTTATTGGGACTTATAACTTAGGGATTGTCAGGAAAGATTTATTTAAGAAGGTCACATTTAAAATGATACCTGAGGCTGGGTGCGGTGTCTCACGCCTGTAATCCCAGCACTTTAGGAGGCCGAGGCGGGTGAATCACTTGAGGTCAGGAGTTTGAGACCAGCCTGGCCAACATGGTGAAACCCCGTCTTTACTAAAAATACAAAAATTAGCTGGGCATGGTGGTGGGTGCCTGTAATTCCAGCTACTTGGGAGGCTGAGGCAGGAGAATCGCCAGAACCTGGGAGGTGGAGGTTGCAGTGAACTGAGAATGTGCCATTGCACTCCAGCCTAAGCGACAAGAGCGAAACTCTGTCTCAGTAATTAATTAATTCATTAAATAAAAATAAAATGATACCTAAAAAGTGAATCTTCTAGTTTAATCAGTTGGCCAAAAAAGAGTTAACTTAGCAGATAGAACATGTATGCAAAGGCCCTGAGGAAGGAAACAGCTTGACTCCTGAGGAATTAAAAGAAAGTCAGTGTCCCTGAAACATAGCAAGTAAAAGGAATGAAGAAAGGCCAAATAGATAGCCAGGCACTAGATCTTGTAAAGTCTTGGGTTTTTTGTTTTGTTTTGTTTTGTTTTGTTTTTGAGATGGGGTCTTGCTGTCACCCAGGCTGGAGTGCAATGGCACAATCTCGGCTCGCTGCAAGCTCCGCCTCCCGGGTTCATGCCATTCTCCTGCCTCAGCCTCCAGAGTAGCTGGGACTACAGGCGCCCGCCACCACACCCAGCTAATTTTTTTGTATTTTTAGTAGAGACAGGGTTTCGCTGTGTTAGCCAGGATGGTCTCAATCTCCTGATCTCGTGATCTGCCTGCCTCGGCCTCCCAAAGTGCTGGGATTACAGGCGTGAGCGACCGCACCCGGCCTATTGCATCTCAAAATTAACTATAATTCTTTTTTTTTTTTTTTGAGACAGGGTGGGGTCTCACTCCATCACCCAGGATGGAGTGCAGTGGCTACTATCATTCTCAGTATCTAATAATCTAGTCCATATTCAAATTTGCCACTTGTCCCCAGAATAGTTCTATGGATGGTTTGTTCAAACCAGGATCTAATCAAAGACCATGCATTGCATTTGATAGAGTAACTCCATTTTGATATGATCCAAATCTTGTGTTCTTCAGGGATCCTATGGGCATTTGGATGATTATTTATGCCCCATTACAATTCTTGGTTCTATTTCCTATATTCCTATTGTACCAGCTTTCCAATCCTGAGTCTTTAGATAAGACACTGCTTTACTTCTGACAGAGTACCCAGTGAGTGCTTTTTTTATTTTTTATTTTTTTCCCTGAAACAGGGTCTTGCTCTGTCACCCAGGCTTGAGTGCGCTGCTGCAATCTCAGATCACTGCAACCTCTGCCTCCTGGGTTCAAGCGATCCTCATGGCTCAGCCTCCCAAGCAACTGGGACTACAGGTGTACACGATCACACCTGGCCAATTTAAAATTTTTTTTTTAGAGACAGGATATCCCTGTGTTGCCCAAATTGGTCTTGAGCTCCTGGGCTCAAGCAGTCTGCCCAACTCAACCTCCCAGAGTGTTGGGATTACAGGTGTGAACCACTACACCCAGACATGAGTGCATTCTTTATAAGGGTCAAAAGCACGTCTTCTTCACTGACCCAGTGACAGATTACCTGATTTACAACAGAATCTATAACACTTTGGCTGTTGGTGTAGAATAGAACCCCTAAAGGAATACTTTTAAAATACTAAATGAATGCTAAATAAAATTTAGGGAAGGGGTTCTTCCAGCATGGTGTCCATTTGCTTAATAAGGGAATAAGGCAGAGAGAGGATTGTGCCTTTGTTCTATTAAGGCTGTTCATCATTAAGATTATTATTCTCTCCTACTAATTCCTGAGTTGTTTGTAGCACTTTATAAACTTGAGCCCCAGAGAATGTGTGATTTAATAAGGACACAAATAATAATTTTTAAAAATAGAGGCTGGGCATGGTGGCTCATGTGTGTAATCCTAGCACTTTGGGAGGCCAAGGCTGGACAGTCGCTTGAGGCCCAGAGTTCAAAGCCAGCCTGGACAACATAGGAAGACCCCATCTCAACAAATAATTTTGAAAGTTAGCCAGTGTGGTGGTACGCACCTATAGTCCCAGTTACTAGGGTGGCTGAGGTGGGAGGATCACTTGAGCCCTGAGCCCAGGAGGGTGAGGCTACAGTGAGCCATGATGGCACCAAAAAAAAAAAAAAAGGAAACCTTTTTTAAACAAACTATGGCTATTTTTAAATCTACATTACATCTTCCATATCTTCCTACTGCCTTCTAGCATTTCACTTTTGAGAAACCCTGATTTTGAGGGACATCTTATGCATTCATATTTAATGACCAGCCAGGCTTACACATGTAATTGCAGTACTTTGAGAGGCAGAGGTGGGAAGATCACTTGAGCCCAGTAGTTAGAGACCAGCATGGACAATGAAGTAAGACCTTGTCTGTACAAAAAACTTTAAAAAAATTAGCCAGGCATGGTGGTGTGTGCCCATAGTCCCAGCTCTTTGGGAGGCTGAGATGGGAGGATAATTTGAGTCCAGGAGATCGAAGCTACAGTTAACTGTGATCATGCCACTGCACTCCAACCTGGATGACAGAGTAAGACCTTCTTTCAAAAAAAAAAAAAAAAAAAAAAGGAAAAATTATATTTAATCGTCACAGTGTTTTCCATCTTTCTACTCCTGTGAACTCTTTCTCTTTGGAACATCTATCGCATAAATACATTTCATCCCACAGAATTCAAGATATACTTTCAGGCCAGGTGTGGTGTGGTGGTTCACGCCTGTAATCCCAGCACTTTAGGAGGCCAAGGCAGGTGGATCACTTAAGGTCAGGAGTTCGAGACCAGCCTGGCCAACATGGTGAAACCCCATCTCTACTAAAAATACAAAAACTAGCTGGGCATGGTGGTGTGTGCCCGTAATGCCAGCTACTCAGAAGGCTGAGACAGGAGAATCGCTTGAATCCAGGAGGCGGAGGTTGTAGTGAGCCAAGATCATGCCACTGCACTCCAGCCTGGGTGACAGAGCGAGACTCCATCTCAAAAAAAACAAAAAAGATATACTTTCAGCAAACAAAATTTAACATCTAGATAGAATACTTTTCCACTTCAGTGGTGTTTACAACTAGGGGCTTATAATAATAAATTGCCAGTCTGTAATAAACAGGCAATCAGACATAAATATCTATACTTCTATTATTTTGTTAGTGGGGCTACTTTTTAGGGATTTTTTTTTTTTTTTTTTTTTTGAGATGGAGTCTCACTCTGTTGCCCAGACTGGAGTGCGGTGGCACAATCTCAGCTCACCACAACCTCCACCTCTCAGGTTCAAGCGATTGTCCTGCCTCAGCCTCCCAAGTAGTTGGGATTACAGGCGGGTACCACCACTCCTGGCTTATTTTTTTTAGTAGAGATTGGTTGCACCATGTTGTCCAGACTGGTCTCAAATCCCTGACATCAAGTGATCTGCCCACCTTGACCTCCCAAAGAACTGAGATTACAGGTGTGAGCCACTGAGCCCGGCCTAATTTTTATTACGACTTTTCAGAGGATCTTTATGCTTCTAAGTATTCATGATTATATTATATCATTATCATCTCAAGACCTAGGCCAACAGGGGAAAGTCCATGATGGCAGGACAAAAATGATTACCTAGGAAGGGTCACCTCCAGTTTCTTTACTGGTTGTACCAATTTCTATAGGAATTTACTAAACCCTATATATGAAAAGTTTTTTTAAATATTTATTTATTTATTTAATTTTTTTTTGAGTGTGCGTTAAAATCTTTTGTCATCCAGAGTCTTTTGGAATTCTAGAGATGTTTGAGCTGTGGGCTTTGACAAGAGGGGAAGGGAGGTATATATGCTTTCTAGTTATTAATGGTATTGTTTACATCTCTATTCTAACTCCCATCTCTAGATATTGTATAGAAGCAGGAGCAAATTCTCTGTTAAGTTAGACTGTTTTTTTGTTTGTTTGTTTGTTTGTTTTTTTGAGATGAAGTCTCATTCTGTTGTCCAGGCTGGAGTGCAGTGGCACAATCTTGGCTCACTGCAACCTCCACCTCCCCGGTTCAAGTGATTCTCCTGCCTCAGCCCCCGGAGTAGCTGGGATTACAGGTGCCTGCCACCACATCCAGCTAATTTTTGTATTTTTCGTAGGAATGTGGTTTCACCATGTTGGCCAGGCTGGTCTCAAACTGTTGACCTCAGATGATCCACCCACCTTGGCCTCCCAAAGTGCTGAGATTACAGGTTTGAGCCATTGCACCCAGCCTAGGGTTAGGCTTTTTGGTGATCCTCTATACACCAAAGTGGTGTTTAAAGGACCACTAGGTGGTGTTTCAGTACAGCAAACCATTGAAAAGTATATAGCTGTTTCTAAAACCTGCACCTGGACAAAGTATTCTCTGTTTATTAACTTCATGATTTCATCTTTATCTATTTATTTATTTTTACCACAGCTGATTTTATCTTTTTTTTTTTTTTTCTTTTTGGGACAGAGTCTCACTCTGTCACCCAGGCTGGAGTGCAGTGGAGCAATCTCAGCTCACTGCAACCTCCACCTCCCAGGTTCAAGCAATTCTCGTGCCTCAGCCTCCCAGGTAGCTGGGATTATGGGTGTGTGCCACCACGCTCAGCTAATTTTTTGTATTTTTAGTAGAGACGGGGTTTTGTCATATTGCCCAGCCTAGTCTCGAACTCCTGACCTCAGGCAGTCTGCCCGCCTCTGCCTCCCAAAGTGCTAGGATTACAGGCGTGAGCCACGCGTTTGGCCTCGATTTTATCTTTACATACTTTTTTAAGCCTTCTGCCATCATGAGGTCACAATGGATGTGTAATCAAACTGATCCATTTTTTGTGAATAATATCTACCACACTTCCGAACGAATATAGTACAAACAATGATTTTTATTGCACAGGACATTTTCCCTGACCACAGATATTAATTGACTTCCTGTTGTTGGAAAGTCCTCTTATCATTCCTAGTTTTGTGGTTTACTGTTGCTAAATTCTGGAAAAATACCTCTGTGTTTCTTTCATTATTAGCAAACTAAAATCCATCTCTGTTAGTTATTACTTGTAATAACATCCTCCATGAACCCTTCATTAAACTTTTTATTCCTCATCTATCTATTGGCAACAAATAGGAATAGCCCTAATTTCTGCTATCATTTATATCACTTCTTTCCTTGTACATCCACCTGGTCTTCTACAATTAAACTGGGCGGATCCTCTTTGTGAAATACACATTGACCTCACTATTTATTTACTTATTATTATTATTATTATTATTATTATTATTATTATTATTATTTTGAGATGGAGTCTTTCTCTGTCACCCAGGCTGGAGTGCAGTGGTGTGATCTCGGCTCAGTGCAAGCTCCGCCTCCCAGGTTCATGCCATTCTCCTGCCTCAGCCTCCCGAGTAGCTGGGACTACAGGCCCCCGCCACCATGCCCAGCTAATTTTTTTTTTTTTTTTTTGTATTTTTAGTAGAGATGGGTTTTCACCGTGTTAGCCAGGATGGTCTCGATCTCCTGACCTCGTGATCTGCCTGACTCGGCCTCCCAAAGTGCTGGAATTACAGGTGTAAGCCACTGCGCCTGGCCAATTTTTTTTTTTTTTTAATTTTTTTTGGTGTGTGAGACACTTTCATTCTGTCACCCAGGCTAGAGTGCAGTGGCATGATCTTGGCTCACTGCAACCTCTGCCTCCCGGGTTCAAGAGATTCTCATGCCTCAGACTCCTGAGTAGCTGGGATTATAGGCGCGCACCACCATGTCCAGCTAATTTTTTGTATTTTTAGTAGAGACAGAGTTTCACCATGTTGACCAGGCTGGTGTTGAACTCCTGACCTCAAGTGATCCACCCACCTCAGCCTCCCAAAGTGCTGGGATTACAGGCATGAGCCACTGCACTGAGCCAACTTCATGATTTTCTTATAAATAATTTCAATTTTGGGGGCCAGATACAGTGGCTTACGGCTATAATCCCAACACTTTGGAAGGTTTATGATTCTATGAAGATAATACGCTTTTCCTTTCTTTTCTTTTTTTTTTTTTTTGAGACAGAGTTTCACTCTTGTTGCCCTTCCTGGAGTGCAATGGTGTGATCTTGGCTCATTGCAACCTCTGCCTCCCAGGTTCAAGCAATTTTCCTGCCTTAGCCCCCCAAGTAGCTGGGATTACAGGTGCATACCACCATGCTTGGCTAATTTTGTACTTTTAGTAGAGACACAGTTTCACCATGTTCGTCAGGCTGGTCTCGAACTCCTGACCTCAGGTGATCCACCTGCCTCGGCCTCCCAGAGTGCTGGGATTACAGGCGTGAGCCACCGCGCCCGGCTGATCTGTGCTTTTCAACAGCATAACTAGATTGATTTCTGTGAGCAGAGTGAGGAGACCATAAGAGAGCAAATGCTTTCCTGTGGGTCACTATAGATAGTGAGATGACTATTTATCCATGCAGGAAATTTGAAAGTGTAAAGATGGGTTGTAAATAAACCATTTCTGTCCTAGAAACAGACTCATTTAAGTCAGTTTTGCTTCTCATATTATACATATGATCATGACTGTTGGATTCCTATCCTTACCTAATTCTATATCCTAGATCTAGTTGTTGCATTTCATTTTTATGGCCCTCCTTCACCACCCTCTGATAACTTCTGCTTGCTCTTAACTAAGATTACATAGCCCCTGTCTAGATCACATAGCTTCTAGATCTTTGGTTCATATAATGATATCTGCATAGCTCTTTTCCTATTATGACTTCTTGATTGTCCTTTTACCATAGCAACCTTTATATTCATGTCATAACTGTTTCCCCTATCTCTTGGTTTTAAATTACTGACATCTCTGAAGTATATTCAGTCCCAACGTTTTTGAGGTTGGTTGTTTTGTTGTTGTTATTTCTTTTTTACCATAAACTCAGTCAGATGGTATGAGGTTGGTTCTGTTTGCTTTTTTACTCTATGTTTAGGGATTAGAAGTGAAAAGTAGTTTAGAAGGAGGTACAGTTCTGGATAAATACTAAAACCATGTTAAAGAAATAAATTTGTTTATTCTATTTCCTCTTTGACTAAGGCCATAGTGGAAATTTTTTTCACAGAATGCTACATTTAAGTAACAATCCATTAAGTTTAGCTATTTTTAAAGCTGGTTGATATATCAAAAATTGTCACTTTTTAAATTAAAAGGGGAGGGGGCAGAATTTGGAAACTGGAATAAGGAAAGTGATGATTCCATAGTACAAGCAGAGAGATTCATCTTTTTCTCTTAAATAGGAGATAGAAGCAGATAGACACAGAAATTGAGATCGATTTAGATGATACTCATGAATATAATATCTTCTGTTTATGAAGCAGTTAGAGGCTTTGTACTATATTAAGCATTTTATATGGATTATCTCATTTAATCTTCACAACTCCTCTGTGAGGAGTGGATATTATTATTCTCACTTAATGGCTGAGGGAACATGTAAAGACCCTAAGTAACTTGCCCAAGACCATTTAGCTTATCAGCATTTCCAGTGTGACTTTCAAGTCCACTTTCAACTTGACTTTCAAGTCAACAACTATGCTTCACTGCCTCTCTGGGTGGATAAGAAAGTGCTTTTTTGGATAAGACTACATTTGTTAAGTAGGAGTAGTAATTTCATTTTTGATACTTAAAATACTTTAGAAACTCTCTTAGAAATGTATAAATTTTCAAATTATAAAGTACCTTAGAAACTTCAAAATTTCTAAGAAGAAAAAACTAAAGTCTAGAGATGTTAAGTAATTTGTGTTTAGGTGTGTTGGTGTTTTGTTTTGAGACAGAGTCTCGCTCTGTCGCCCAAGCTGGAGTACAGTGGCACAATCTTGGCTCACTGGATCCTCTATCTCTTGGGTTCAAGCGATTCTTCTGCCTCAGCCTCCTGAGTAGCTGAGACTACAGGCATGTACCACTACACCTGGCTAACTTTTTGTATTTTTAGTAGAGACGGGGTTTCACCATATTGGCCAGGCAGGTCTGAAACTCCTGACCTCAAGTGATATGTCCACCTCAGCCTCCCAAAGTGCTAGGATTACAGGCGTGAGCCACCACACCCGACCTAGAGATGTTAAGTAATTTGAATCCGAGCTAGTTAACCAAAAATATTTAGCCAGTGCTTTCCTCCATATTGGATCACAAAAGAACACGGAATGAAAACCTATTCTGTCCAGAAATACCCTCGTAAATTAATTCTACATGGAGTAGTTACTTGTATTAACAACATACCTGACAGTGGAGTTCGAGACCAGCCTGACCAACACAGTGAAACCCCCTCGCTACTAAAAATACAAAAATTAGCCGGGCGTGGTGGTGGGCACCTGTAGTCCCAGCTACTCAGGAGGCTGAGGCAGGAGAATGGCGTGAACCTGGGAGGCGGAGTTTGCAGTGAGCCAAGTCACGCCACTGCACTCCAGCCTGGGCAACAGAGTGAGACTCTGTCTCAAAAAAAAAAAAAAAAAAAAAAATCCTGACAATATCATCACAATTTGTAAATTGATAAAGTAGAAGAAAACTTGTCAAATTTAATAATATTTTATAAATTTACAAATTGTGACAATATTGACATTTATATAATTTGAACTAATACACAATTAAGAATTTAATGCATTAAAACCTATTCTATATTATTATTTATGAAATTTTTCAGTATTTTAAAAACTGATGAAATTAGAAGGAAGATTTGAGTCTTAAGAAAGCATTGACTGCATAATCTAGCAAAAGTGCTGGAATATCAGTGCAAGAAATATTCTTGATAGTGATTTAACCATAGACTCTCAGGATCAGATGGGCCTAAACTAGTACTATAGTCATAGATATTTTGCTATTCTATGCTATACTTACATAAAGGAACTGTGGACTAATAATCTCCATTGTTGGCCGGGCACGGTGGCTCACGCCTGTAATCCCAGCACTTTGGGAGGCCGAGGCGGGTGGATCACAAGGTCAGGAGATTGAGACCATCCTGGCTAACACGGTGAAACCCCGTCTCTACTAAAAAATACAAAAAAAAAATTAGCCGGGCATGGTGGCGGGCGCCTGTAGTCCCAGCTACTTGGGAGGCTGAGGCGGGAGAATGGGGTGAACCCAGGAGGCGGAGGTTGCAGTGAGCCAAGATTGTGCCACTGCACTCCAGTACTCCAGCCTGGGCGACAGAGCGAGACTCCGTCTCAAAAAAAAAAAAAAAAAAAAAAATCTGCATTGTTGACAGTGAACCAGTTATAGTTTTTTTAAAAAAATAAACGTCAGGCCAGGCGCGGTGGCTCATACCTGTAATCCCAGCACTTTGGGAAGCTGAGGCGGTGGATCATCTGAGGTCAGGAGTTCGAGACCAGCCTGGCCAACATGGTGAAACTCCATCTCTACTAAAAATACAAAAATTAGCCAGGCGTGGTGGTGTGCTCCTATAGTTGCAGCTACTTGGGGCTGAGGCAGGACAGTCGCTTGAACCCAAGAGGCTGAGGCTGCAGTGAGCCAAGATCACACCACTGCACTCCAGCCTGGGCGACAGAGTGAGACTGAGACCCTGCCTAAAAAAAAAAAAAAAAAAAAAAAATGAAAGGACAACCCACAAAATGGGAGAAAACATTTGCAAACTACCTATGTGACAAGGGATTAATAACCAGAACATATAAGGAGCTCAAACAGCTCTCTAGAAAAAAAAAAATCTCATAATCAAATTTAAAACGGGAAAATGATTTCAGTAGACATTTCTCCAAAGAAGTCATGCAAATGAGGCCAGGTGTGGTGGCTCACACCTGTAATCCCAGCACTTTGGGAGGCCCAGGTGGGCAGATCACTTGAGGTCAGGAATTCGAGACCAGCCTGGCCAACATGGTAAAACCCCATCTCTACTAAAAATACAAAAATTAGCCAGGTGTGATGGTGGGTATCTGTAATCCCAGCTACTCAGGAGCCTGAGACAGGAGAATCACTTGGACCTGGTAGATGGAGGTTGCAGTGAGCCAAGGTCACACCACTGAACTCCAGCCTGGGCAACAGAATGAGACTCCATCTTAAAGAAAAAAGATAAACAAATGGCAGACAGGTATGTGAAAAGGTGCTGAACATCACTGGTCATCTGAGAAATGCAAATCAAAACTATGAGATATCATCTCACCCCAGTTAAAATGTCTTTTTTCCAAAAGACAGACAATAACAAATGTTGGTGAGGATATGGAGAAAAGGGAACCCTTATACACTGTTGATGGGAATATAAATGAGTACAACCACTATGGAGAACAGTTTAGAGGTTCCTCAAGACACTAAAAGTAGAGCTGTTATACAATCCGGCAATCCCACTCCTAAGAATATACTCAAAAGAAAGGAAATCAGTATATCAAAGAGATATCTGCACTCCCAGGTTTATTGCAGCACTATTCGCAATAGCCAAGATGTGGAATCAAGCTGTGTCCATTGACAGACAAGTGGATAAAGAAAATGTGGTACACATACACAACGGAGCACTATTCACACACAAAACAGAATGACATCCTGTCAAATGCAACAACATGGATGGAACTGGAGGTCATAATGTTAAGTGAGATAAGCCAGGCACAGAAAGACACACTTCGCATGTTCTTTCTTATTTTTGCGGGCTAGAAATTAAAACAATTGAGCTCCTGGAGATAGAGAGTAGAATGATGGTTACCAGAGGCTGGGATGCATATTTGGAGGCAGGCAGGATGGATGGTTAATGGATGTTAAAAAAAAAAAAAAAGAAAAAACAGAATGATTGAGACCTAGCATTTGCTAACACAAGAGTGTGAGTATAGTCAAAAATAATTTAATTGTACATTTTAAAATAACTAAAAGTATAATTGGATTGTTTGTAACACAAACAGTAAATGTTTGAGAGGCTGGATACCACATTTACCCTCATGTGATTATTATGCATTGCATGCCTGTATCAAAATACCATGTAGGCCAGGCGCGGTGGCTCACGCCTGTAATCCCAGCACTTTGGGAGGCTGAGGCGGGTGGATCACGAGGTCAGGAGATCGAGACCATCCTGGCTAACACGGTGAAACTCTGTCTCTACTAAAAATACAAAAAATTAGCTGGGCATGATGGCACACGCCTGTAGTCCCAGCTACTCAGGAGGCTGAGGCAGGAGAATCGCTTGAACCCAGGAGGCGGAGGTTGCAGTGAGCTGAGGTGGCACCACTGCACTCCAGCCTGAGCCTGGATGACAAAGTGAGACTCCTCAAAAAAAAAAAAAAAAAAAATCTCATGTAACCCACAAATACATACACGTACTATGTATCCACAAAAATTAAAAATTAAAAAAAAATTTGTATGCACGTACAGAGTTTATGTGATAAGGCAGGAAAATACAATCAATACTGGGCAATTTGGTGCTACGAAACACGTACAAAACAATTGTGTTGTATCTATTATTGGTATACAAAAGAAGTACACTGATAATACAAACTAGGTACAAAGTATTATTGGTGTATAAAAGAAGAGCAACTAATGGTGTAGAGAAAGGAAAAACTGGTGTGGATTGGACTAGTCATGTAGGCTTAATTGGAAAAAAAAACAGGCAACATGGTATCATTTTTTGTGACTGTAATGTATTTTTCAGGAATTTGTATGGTATTTTTCTATTTTGTGAAATGAGATTATAAACCCCCCCAAAGGTGTTTATAAGTCATACATTAGCTGAACATGCCAAGAGCTCTTATTTCTTGTTATAGTGTAGTGTGCCAATTATAAACTATATTCAAAGCCGAGTGGATTTGAGGAAGTAAAATATCTACTTGGTCTATTTATTGTGTTGTACAGATCTAAACAGTAGGAATGTTTAATATATTCTGAAGATACAGATTGTAAAACTTTCCTTAAATATTATATTACTAGTTTTGATCAATTTAACAGTCCTTTTTCTTTTGTTACTTCTTATTAAGGGTCAACTGTATTTGTTGGTAACGGACCAGGGGTTTCTTACTGAAGAGAAAGTTGTTTGGGAAAGCCTACACAACGTAGATGGTGATGGAAATTTCTGTGACTCAGAATTTCATCTTCGACCTCCTTCAGATCCTGAAACTGTATACAAAGGACAACAAGATCAGATAGATCAGGTAAATTTGTATTGTCGTCTTTATAGTGGTTAAAATGCTGATTTTTTTCAAATGTGAATTCATGTATCCAAAATTTTTCAACTAAAGATTAATTCATCAATATGCTTGTGAAATTTTCCTGACACTTCCTGAATAGTTGGTGATCATTCTACATGTACATTAATTATGTACTTTGGTGCAGAAGGCCAGATCATATTGAACTGTGAAGGTCATGGTGAGAAGTTTGAATTTTATTCTAATTGCAGTAGGAAAGCTATGTCAAGTATTAAACACAGAAGTGATGGGATCTTCTTTACCTTTTTAAAAGACTGTTATTTGGAGAATACATAAGAAGGAAACAGGTCTAAGCAGAGACAAATAGTCCAAGCAAGAGCTGATGATGGCTTAGCCTTGGGTGGTAGAGATGAAGAGATGAGCACATATCTGAGCTATATTTTGACTAGTTAGAAAAAGTAGAGGAGAGAGAATCTGGAAGGTAGCATATAGTGTATAAAGAATGGGTGGATATTCTAAACCTTAGAGGCCAAGGTAAGGAGGAGTAGTAGACATTTGTAGCAGGAGACACACTAGGGAATAGAAGTTGCATTTAGAAATGAGACAGATGAGATTTTTTTTTTTTTTTTGACAGATGAGATTTTTGCCTGCCATAAGTGGGCAGTCTTGGAGCCACAGGTCTGTTTATTATTAGAAATATGATGGTGATGTGAATTCTTCCCTGACTGAGGCAAAAATATGGTCATGTTAAACAGTTGACATATATTTCACTCATAACAATTTAAGTGCACAAAGACTGTTCAGTTAGCCAATATTCACTGAGGAGTTGTATTCCTGGCACTATAATTAGGTCCTAGAGATACAAAGATAAATCATTGAGTCCTGTCCTTAAAGATGCAGCCTAGTAGGGAAGGCAGATATTTGACCAACTCATGTTATATGTTCTATAATGGCAATTTGAAGAGCAGTTATCAAGTACACAAAAGAATATTTAATTCTCCGGGTGCGGTGGCTCACACCTGTAATCCCAGCACTTTGGGAGGCCGAGGCGGGTAGATCACAAGGTCAGGAGATCGAGACCATCCTGGCTAACACGGTGAAACCCCGTCTCTACTAAAAATATAAAAATCAATTATCCGGGCATGGTGGCGGGCGCCTGTAGTCGCAGCTACTCAGGAGGCTGAGGCAGGAGAATGGCATGAACCAAGGAGGCAGAGCTTGCAGCGAGCCGAGATCGTGCCACTGCACTCCAGCCTGGGCAACAGAGCGAGACTCCATCTCAAAACAAAAAAAAGAATATTTAATTCAAACAAATATGCATCTTTCTAGGACTTTTCTTTGAAAAACAGTTCTGAAAGTCGTGCTCATTTTCCTTCAGAAGCTATACAGGGGTGTTGTTTTTTAAACGTTAAGAGAAATATGCGAGATTTTTCTAAGCATTATATTCTATATAAAAAATACTGGGCCAGGCAAGGTGGCTCACACCTATAATCCCAGCACTTTGAGAGGCTGAGGCAGGTGGATCACCTGAGGTCAGGAGTTCAAGACCAGCCTGGCCAACATGGCGAAACCCTGTCTCTACTAAACATACAAAGATTAGCCAGGTGTGGTGGTGCGCACCTGTAACCCCAACTACTCGGGAGGCTGAGGTGAGAGAATCACTTGAACCCAGGGGGCGGAAGTTGCAGTGAGCCAAGATCATGCCATTGCACTCCAACATGGGTGACAGAGCAAGAGTCTGTCTCAAAAAAAAAAAGGCTGGGCACGGTGGCTCACACCTATAGTCGCAGCACTTTGGGAGGCCAAGGCGGGCCGATCACGAGGTCGGGAGATCAAGACCATCCTGGCTAACATGGTGAAACCCCGTCTTTAATTAGAAAAATGCAAAAAATTAGCCGGGCATGGTGGCACGCACCTGTAGTCTCAGCTACTCGGGAGACTGAGGCAGGAGAACTGCTTGAACCCAGGAGGCAGAGGTTGCAGTGAGCCAAGATGACGCCACTGCACTCCAGCCTGGACGACAGAGCAAGACTCCGTCTCAAAAAAGAAAAAAACTGGAGAAGGGGAATGAAGGCAGAGTGATAGATTGTCACAGTAGTCCAGATAAGGTGTTGAGATTGTTATCTGGAAGCAGCAAGAAAGAGGTGGATTCAAGACCATGAGGCTTCATAAAGAGCAGAGTTTGAAGAATTCAGAAGAACTTGAAGGACAAATTCTTTATATCTTTATATCCATGAGATAGTCATGCTATATATATGACAAGATCTTTCCAGGCAACAACCTTTTTTATTTTTTGAGACAGGGTCTCACTCTGTCACCAAGGCTAGAGTACAGTGGTGCGATCTCGGCTCACTGCAACCTCCACCTCCCAGGCTCAAGCAAACACCTCAGCCTCCTGAGTAGCTGGGACTACAGGCATGTGCCACCACACCCGGCTAATTTTTGTATTTTTAGTGGAGGCAGGGTTTCGCCATGTTACCCACACTGGTCTCGAACTCCTGGGCTCAAGTGATGTGCCCGCCTTGGCCCCCTAAAGTGCTGGGATTACAGGCGTGAGCCACTGCACCTGACCACAGGCAAAAACCATTTACCCATCCTCTGTATTATTTAAAATTATCTTATTTTGAGGGTAGATGGGGGAGGAGGTACACAGACTGGTCAAATTTTAGTCAACACCGACTCTTAATAAAGTGGATATTAAGTTAATGCTTGACCAAAATGCACTGTTTCTGATAGAAACTAATCTGAGTGTGTACATGGGAGGAGGGAGGAGATGGTTAAATAATTGAGTAAGACTATATGATGGCTACTGTGTTGGCTTTAAAAGTCATCTTTTAGAAGAATATTTAATAATCTTGGGAAATTCTTATTTTCTTAAACAGAAGACTTTTATGACACTAAGTGGAAAAGAAAACATTACAGTAGTTTCACAGGGTTGGTTTGAATTTGTATGGGAATGTAGAAAAATAATAATAAACTACTGTTAACAGTAGTTATCTCTATGTAATGATATTATGGTGATTTAAACTTTGTTGTTTATGGTTTTCAGTTTTGTCTGAATTGCCTATAGGCATGTTTCTTTTGTAAATGGGGAACTTTTTAAAAAATTCTTTAAACCAATTTACTTATTTATTTATATATGAAACAGGGTCTCAGTCACCTAGGCTACAGTGCAATGGTGTGATCACAGCTCACTGCAGCCTCAACTTTCTGGCCTCAAGTGATCCTCCCACCTCAGCCTCCCCTAGTAGCTGGGACCATGGGCATGCATCACCATGCCCAGCTAATTTTTTTGTGTTTTTTGCAGAAACAGAGTTTTGCCATGTTGCTCAGGCTGGTCTCAAACTCCTGGGCTCAAGCAGCCTGCCTGCCTCAGCCTCCCAAAGTTCAGGGAATATAGGTGTGTGCCGTTGTACCTGGCTCCCCGCTACTTTTTGTTTGGTTTTGTTTTTAGCTTTCTTGGCTGCCTATATATGGCTTCCAGAAAAAATTTCAAATACATTCCCCCAATTTTTTGTTTTTTTTTCACGACTGAGTCTTCCTCTGTCGCCCAGGCTGGAGCGCAGTGGCGTGATCTCAGCTCACTGCAACCTCTGCCTCCCAGGTTCAAGTGATTTTCCTGCCTTAGCTTCCCAAGTAGTTAGAATTACAGGTGTGCACCACCACACCTGGCTAATTTTTGTGTTTTTAATAGAGACGGGGTTGTACCATGTTGGCCAGGGTGGTCTCGAACTCCTGGGCTCAAGCGATCCACCTGCCTTGGCCTCCCAAAGTGCTGGGATTATAGGCGTGAGCCACCGCACCTGGCCTCCAAAAATATTTAGAACAATGACAGAATCACTGAAATAAGTTCATAGCTCCCCAAGGGAAATACTTAGGAAGATAACTGTCATTTTAATGTTTAAAATAAAATGTTTTTTATTTTATTTTAATTATTTTGTTATTTTATATTGTTTTCTTTTTCTTTTTTGTTTTTATTTTATTCATATTTATAGACAGGGTCTCTCTCTGTCACCCATGCTGGGGTGCAGTGAGGAGATCATAACTCACTGTAACCTCAAACTCCTGGGCTGAAGCAATCCTCCTGCCTCAGCCTCCCAAGTAGCTAGGACTATAGGTGCACACCACCACACCTGGCTGGTTTTTAAACTTTTTTTGTAGAGACAGGGTCTTGCTATATTGCCCAGGCCTGGTGTATTTTTTAATAGCCATTCTTACAGCTTTATAGATATAACGTTTGTATTTGCAGTCATTCATTCTTGGGTAAAATCTCATAGCTAATGATGGTTATAATTTAATTTATTAGGATTATCTTATGGCATTATCTCTACAACAAGAACAGCAGAGCCAAGAGATCAATTGGGAACAAATCCCGGAAGGAATCAGTGATTTGGAACTAGCAAAGAAACTCCAAGAGGAAGAGGACAGACGGGCTTCTCAATACTATCAGGAACAGGAACAAGCAGCAGCTGCTGCTGCTGCTGCTTCTACACAGGCTCAGGTAAAAACTAGTGTTTTGAGTCTTAAATGTGATGATCATGGCTGGGTGTAGTGGCTCACACCTGTATTCCCAGCCCTTTGGGAGGCTGAGGCAGGCAGATTGCTTGAGCCCAGGAGTTCGAGACCAGCCTGGCCAACATGGCAAAACCCTATCTCTATTAAAAATACAAAATTAGCCGGGCGTGGTGGTGGTGAACACTTGTAATCCCAGCTACTGGGAGGCTGAGGCAGGAGAATTGCTTGAACCTGGGAGGCAGAGGTTGCAGCGAGCTGAGATTGTGCCACTACACTCCAGTCAGGATGATAGAGCAAGACTCCTTCTCAAAAAAAAAAAAAAAAAAGATGATCACTTTAGCAGTAAATTTCGCTTGAGATAAAAAATTTTAAATTAGGTGTTAACTCTTCAATTTTGTTAGGATTTTAGCACCTATGGGTTTTATGACGTTGTCCTAAGCTTGTATCTCGTTTAGTAAAATGTTTTCTCCTGAGGTTCTGATTTTCAAATTTATTTTTAAAATTCGTAATAGCTGCAAAGAAAATAAGCCAATTTGGACGAAGTCCTTTCAATCAACTAGAGGGCAGTATGAGGTACTACTAGAAAAAATAGACTTTGGAGCCAGATAAATGTGGATTTGCATTTCCTGCTCCTGTCTCTCCTTCTAGTTGCAACCTCTTGGATGACGTCCTCTACCTCTCTTAGCCTCATTTTCCCTATCTGTAAAATAGAAGAACTCTTAAGTTTGTTGTGAAGAACAAATAATATTAGCACTTACCCCAATTTTTAACATGTACTAGGCATTCAACAAAGGTTGACATCTCCCTACTTTTCACTTTCTGTAGTTAAACGGTTTAAAGCACTGAAAATTTAATGGTGGGATTCTACATGTTAAATCTCATTTCATTAAGTTAAAAATATTCCCCTTTTTTATGTTTATACCATGCCAGACTGCTGTTCCTGTTTTTTTTTTTTTTTTTTTTTTTTTTTTTTTTTTTTTTTTTTTTTTTTAAGACAGAGTCTCACTCTGTTGCCCAGGCTGGAGTGCAGTGGCGCAGTCTCGCTCATTGCCAACCTCTGCTTCCTGGGTTCAAGCAATTCTCCTGCCTCAGCCTCCCAAGTAGCTGGGATTACAGGTGTGTGCCACCATGCCCAACTAATTTTTGTATTTTTAGTAGAGATGAGGTTTTACCATATTGGCCAGGCTGGTGTCAAACTCCTGACCTCAAGTGATTCACCCACCTCGGCCTCCCAAAGTGCTGGGATTACAGGTGTGAGGCACCACGCCTGGCCTAAACTGTTCATTTTGATTCAGATACATAAGAAATTCTGATTTGGGCATACAAGAAAGCAAGATGCCCTTTTAAGTCTCATAAAACTAAATATAGAAGTCCCCATTAAAATAAGTATAAAATTTCTATTTCTAGCTCAAATATTGACTACTCCAAGCTTAATAGTTAAATCCTACCATGTTATGTGTAGGTTTTCACTCAAAAAAGGTGTCTTATTTCACTAAATACACTTATTCCAAACTCCCAATTCTCAGGGGTTCTTTTCTCCTTTTAAAATCTGTTTATTATGGCTGGTGCGGTGGCTCACACGTATAATCCCAGCACTTTGGGAGGCCAAGACAGGTGGATCTCGAGGCCAGGAGTTCGAGACCAGCCTGGCCAATATGATGAAACCCTGTCACTACTAAAAATATAAAAAATTAGCTGGGTGTGGTGGCGTGCACCTGTAGTCCCAGCTACTCGGGAGACTTGAGGCAGGAGAATCGCTTGAACCTGGGAGGCAGAGGTTGCAGTGAACCGAGATTGTGCCACTGCACTCCAGCCTAACAGAGTGAGACTCCATCTCAATAAAAAAAAAAAAAAAAAAAAAAAGTCTGTTTATTATGGAATTTAATGAGGTTTTGAAGAACTATTATAGTTTATCAAAAGGTGTCACTTTCCTTAACATTTTCTAAACTTTTAACAAATGTGTCTTCAATTTGACTTTAGGCAATATAATCTTACGTTATTTACTGTTTGAAATACCGACTTTGGGAGGCCAAGGTGGGCGGATCACAAAGTCAGGAGTGTGAGACCAGCCTGGCCAACATAGTGAAACCCCGTCTCTACTAAAAATACAAAAAGTTAGCCAGGCGTGGTGGCAGGTGCCTGTAATCCTAGCTACTTGGGAGGCTGAGGCAGCAGAATCTCTTGAACCCAGGAAGTGGAGGTTGCAGTGAGACAAGATTGCACCATTGCACTCCAGCCTGGGCGACGGTGCAAGACTCTGTCTCAAAAAAAAAAAAAGGAAAAGAAATTTTATTTATTCAGAATAATGAATACATTAATTATATCCAGAATGGTAGCGGTAATGGCTCAGATACCATGTAATATAACAAATCTGTATGCCAATAGCTAGCTTCTTTTTCCATCAGTGATTCCTTCCACTGTTACAGTTTTCCTTTCTAGATAACCATGAGTAAGTCCCTCAGAATAGTTAGAGTAATTTCTTGCTGTATATTTTTCTTAAAGCAGGGCCAGCCAGCACAAGCCTCTCCATCAAGTGGAAGACAATCTGGGAATAGTGAACGTAAACGGAAGGAACCACGAGAAAAAGATAAAGAAAAAGAAAAGGAAAAAAATAGCTGTGTTATTTTGTAACAAGTGTTGGCTTCTGTTGGAACCACCTATATGTCTTGAGAAACAAAACCACAGGAGGAAAGGAAGAAAAACCGATCAATACCGTCTGTGCCTGATTTCCTAATGGATTTTGTTCGTTTTTTCAGGGGAACGGTTGTTACTTAGTTACAATCAGACTTTTTCAAGTCACACAATACACTCTTTATGAGCTGGAGTTTCATGTTACAAGTTGGAAATGCTGTGTGTTGACATTCATGAAAAATACTGCACTTGTAGCCAGATTAGCAAATCACAGCAAATTTTGTGTCATAGTGACATTCATAACTCATATCAGTTAGTAAGCTATTATATCTTCTGTTCTAACAATGAATGGAGGTAATTGATTTAGTCTGATTCCTTCCTGAAATCTAAATATTAGCACAATAGTTTCTGAAATTTTACAATGTTAAATTATGATCTAATTCATGAGAAACCACGGGTTTAACATAGGGATTCAAAAAAACAAAAACAAAAGAATAGGAATAAATAACCCTTAATTGTATATTGGACTAGTTCAGCCCTTAAACAGCTTTACCTTTATTTAGGAATGTACATTTTAGGTATTATCTTGATCATGGAGCTTAGTTTTAATTTAGATAGCAAAAATAAAGATTTGTATTTCTTTTCCAATAGCAAAAAGTTACATAACACTAATACTTATAACCTATCAATATCAGATATTAATGACTTTGTAGTGTTGTAAAATTTTGAGGAATTTTGGAGTCTTTATCATAGGTAACCTGGACCACAGTTACTATTTATTGACAATGTGATTGAGTGTATGGAGGAAAGCACAGTGGATGCTAGGCTTTGTAAATATGGGGATGTAGAAAAGCAGATAGTTCAGTGTCTACCTTTTTCTAGAACTACCTTGAACCTTAAATTTTAAGTCATGTTCATTGCTAGAAAATTAAATGTACTTATTAAAACCAATGAAAAAGCACATTTCTGAAATGAAGTTAGAGATAATCTCTGTGTCTTATAAAAAGACATTAATAAAAATCTGAAAGGGCCGGGCGCAGTGGCTCACGCCTGTAATCCCAACATTTTGGGAGGCCAAGGTGGGCGGATCATCTGAGGCCAGGAGTTCGAGACCAGCCTGGCCAGCATGGTGAAACCCTGTCTCTACTAAAAATACAAAAAATCAGCCTGGCATGGTGGTGCGTGCCTGTAGTCCCAGCTACTCAGGGCTGAGGCAGGAGAATTGCTTGAACCCGGCAGGCAGAGGTTGCAGTGAGCCGAGATCGCCCTGCTGCACTCCAGCCTGGGTGACAGAGGGAGACTCCGTCTCAAAAAAAAAAAAGTCTGAGAGTAGCTAAGAATTTATGTAAAAGCAATCAGAGTTTTTAATTTATGGGAACCAAATAAAACTATAACCTCATAGTGTTTATAAGAACTCAGAAATAATATTTATTTAACTTTATTATGAGGCCACACATATTTTCCTGTGTTTCTATATATAGTTTGGAAAACTATCCTTAATAGTCTGTTTTATATGCCTTATATTTAAAAGTTTGTTTTAGTTATTTTGAAAGACTATTGCTGCTGCAAATAGTTGTGTGCTTTACATTCTAAGCTTCAGTACATTTATTTAAGAGCATCATAATCTGACCTGAGCATCCACTTGGAGAGTGTTTTTTTTGTGTGTGGTCTGGGGTGACAAAAGACCACAAAAATGTGTGGTCTGGATTTTTTCAACTATGTCATTAACTTTATGATCCAAGACCAGTTATAGGATGAATCTGTATGTAAAAATAGAGTCTTATTTATGGAAGGAATTATTCTAAGGGAAAAATCCAGGGTCAAGCTGTATCTTTTATGTCCTTTATATTGCATGTCTATTTCTGTTACACAATTTGTTATTTCTTCAAATTTCCTATGGTAGCATGATAAATCATCAAAGAACCTGTTTGGGATATAAAACTCTGATAGAAAATATTTAATGAGTATCTTGATTATAACCTAGAATATGTATACGTTAGTAAAATAACCAGATATACTACAGAACTCTCTATTGGCTCAAACAGGTTGACCTCAATCCAAGTTTACTCTTGATATCACTCTGTTGGCTGAAGGAGGTAACTCAAACCTCAGGGTTTGTTTTTCCCGGGACAGATAGTAGTGATAGTGCATTATATTTGAATAAGAAAAACAAACCAGTATACCTTGAGAAATTTTAAAAAGCATAGTTGAGGCATATTTTTTCATAATTATATACTTATCTGTTTATTGCCCATGGAAAATATATGTGTAGAAGTATTTCTTCTGTTATTTGTTACTATCTTCTTAATTTGTTCCAAAGAAAATGCTGCCATACTGCATTCCCTCTGGAAGGAAACAAAACAAAACAAAACTCACTCAAAACCAGCAGTGCTGCTATCAGATAAGTAGATGTCAATGTATACTTACAAGGAAAAACTAAAAAATGTAATGTGTTAATTCAGCCTTTTTCTATGTAATATTTCCAAGTCAGACTTTCTTACATTCCTGGAATTTACTTTGATATACCAAGAATAATAATGATAAAATGTTTGCTTTGATTACTGTGGGGGGAAAGATGAAATGTTCAATTGTATTAAAACAAACAAGCTTTTCAGAGATACTGGTTTCCTGCCCTTGAAGGGTATAAAGAATTTAGATCATGCCTGTAATCCCAGTACTTTGGGAGGCCGAGGCAGGTGGATCACCTGAGATCAGGAGTTCGAGACCAGCCTGGCCAACATGGCAAAACCCTGTCTCTACTAAAAATACAATAATTAGCCAGGCATGGTGGCGGGCACCTGTCATCCCAGCTACTTGGGAGGCTGAGGCAGGAGAATCGCTTGAACCCAGGAGGCAGTGATTGCAGTGAGCTGAGATAGCACCACTGCATGCAAGCCTGGGCAATAGAGCGAGACTCCGTCTCAAAAAAAAAAAAAAAAAAAAAATTAGAGCTATTGTGTCTTTATTTTCTTAAATTTTGCCCAAGGTAACGTTATATATCCCACCACTTCATTGCTGGTTTGGGTACATAGGATTTTGAAAGTGGTATATTAAAGTCTTTCCTTCCAAGTATTTTGTAATACTTGAAAATTCTTAGATGTATACTGCTAACAAAAGTTAGAACTTAAACATTTTTGTTTTTATCATTTATAGCCTAGATTAGGGACATATTTGCATCAACCAAATCATCATTAGATTTGAAAATAGGCAGATGAATGAACAAATATGGTCATTGCACTTTCCTTTTACTTTCAGAGTCTAAGTATATTCCTTAAGGTTAGTAACCAGTCTTTATTAAAAATATAAAATTTTTCTTCATGTCTAATCCCATTGCATCCACAATGCTGTGATTTATAGTACATGATCAACACTTAAAAGTACTTTACATATGTGTGTTTCTGAAGCAAGTTTTCATGACCTCTGTTAGATTCTCAAAAGAATTCAGAACTTCAATTTAAGAATCACCATTTTAAGAATACATGTGTACATATACACATTAAGCAGTATAAAGCAGCTAAAATTGGCATTGGTTTTACACTGGTGCAGTGTGCTTAGGTAAAGTAACTTCTTCCATGTTTCAAGGTCAGGTTCAGAGTTGAATGAAGTGTAGATTTAAATTTAGGATTAGGCTTTGGAATATATCTTGTTTTTATTGTCTCACATTTCTGATATTGACTACTTATCCCATATTCTGTTTCAAATTCTTTATCATATTTCAAGTTCTTTCTCATACTTCTTGATCTTGGCTTAACTAAGCAAGTTAGTATCAGAGACTAGTTGACTGAACCCAAGATTAAACATTTTGCACTTGCACAAAACCTTCTTAGCATTTTGCTTTCAATGAATCAGAAAGTCAATTCACTAAGAGACAGATCATGAGAGGAAAGAGAACTAGAGGCCAATAAATAAAATAATTGTTCATATATTAATGTTCACATGTGAACTACATATCTAAAATCTTGGAGAAAAATCAAGGCAAGAATTTCCAGAACTGTCCTCAAATAGCTCATTTATTTAAGTTTTGTTAAAAAGCAAAAGCGAATTGATTACATTTGATTAACTTTTCCTATTCCATGCACAAGTTACCTTAAAACATGATAAAAACCTTATGGGCATTACCTATCACACAGTACTTATGCATAAACTTATAATAGTAAAATTACTAATGTTTGATAAAATAAGATGGAGGCATTACAAATAGTCTACAGTTTGTATTTTAAGGAATTGGACATGAAGAATTCTAGATCATTTTGTGTCTATAAACCCGACTTTCTATCTTGCCTTGGGCAAACTTTCTGTGCCTCAATGTACTCTTTAAATATGTGAAGGATGCTCTTTTTGATTAAGTGTTTTGCACTCCTGAATAAAGGGCATAGTATAAGCACAAAGTATGACTTAATTTATCACAAATATTACACATCCTATGTTCTTGAATGTGCACACTTTTTTCTCAATAACAAAATATATCTTAAGTCAGTTTTTTTAATGCTGTCAAAATTTGTAGAATTTTCTTTGAGTATGGCGTGATCTCTTCCCAAATGCATTTTACAGTTTTTTGTGTGTTCTATAGACTATAGAGTCAAAATCAAGAGTATTTTGAGAGGATCAGAAGCATTTAAAAATCTATTTTTTTCTAGTATCTTTCACAGATCTAAATATTTAGATTCTCTTTGCCTTTTTCTCCATGGAATACGGTGGTATCAAATTACTAATACAGTATATAAACTTCGTTTGCATTGGTGGAATTCATTTAGATCTCTCAAGTAATATTATTTTAGGGCTATATAAATTGTGTTTTTAGTGTAAAATGTTATTTGATAATGTGAAGTTAAATCCCTTTTAGAAAGTGACTGAAAATGGTAAAGGAACTCATCAGAATCTTAGCGTTCTTAAGTTCTCTGATAATTTAGTATATTTTATTAATGATGTCCAACACCTCTAAGATTGTTGAGAAAACATGAAGAATTGAGGTTACTCTTCTCAGGTGACACTTTAAATATTAAAATCAGAGGCTTCCTGAACAAAACAAATTGCAAAATAGCGATAATGGCATGGGAGAGGCCAGATGCAGGACTCTGGTAAATTTAACTTACTTTGAATATCTATCTAAATTTTAGTTCATGCATGTTCTTACTTAATCCTGGTGTTTTTGCTCTTAGATGTTAGAGTTTAATAAATTGTGATACGCATATATTTTTTTACATGAAGGATTCTACTTTCTAATTTTACTTTTCTGATCTCAAGAAAATTAAACTTGAAAAACGGGGTAAAATTCTTCAACTATTGCCTCAAGTTCAGTTTTGTCCTATTGTCCTGAGAAAGGAGATTTAGACTTGTCTGCCTAACACAGGTATTTTTTAGGGCATCGTACTATCCCAGAGAAAGTGTTGAGATACCATGGCAGAAATATAAAACCTAAGCTTTGAACCCCAGTAGACTTCTTCTTCTGCCATTAAGTCTCTCTTTATCTGATATTCTAAGGATTTCTTCAAACTACTTAATAATTTGTCACCATTAACTTTAATATCCAGTTTTAATCTGCACTGTAATATCCTGCTTTGAGAAGAAAGAATGCCTCATAAATTAGAGAAGGACAAAACAAAATGTTTTGGAAGGTGATCCTGGCTCCTTTGGCTCTCATAATTGTTTTATAGCTGAAAATAAAAAGTCAGGAAACTGGCCCGGTGCGGTGGCTCATGCCTGTAATCCCAGCACTTTGGGAGGCTGAGGTGGGTGGATCACCTGAAGTCAGGAGTTCGAGACCAGCCTGGCCAACATGGTGAAACCCTGTCTCTACTAAAAATACAAAAAAAATTAGCTGGGTGTGGTGGCACATGCCTGTAATCCCAGCCACTGGGGAGGTTGAGGCGCAAGAATCGCTTGAACCCGGAAGGCAGAGGTTGCAGTGAGCCAAGATTGCCCCACTGCACTCCAGCCTGGGCGACTGAGCGAGACTCTTATATCTCAAAAAAAAAAAAAAAAAAAAGTCAAGAAACTGAAATTCCCATTTAAGTTCTCAAATCAGTGATCTGTCAAAATAGGCCTTGTAACTGAAATACCTTACAAAGCAGTTCTAACTAATGCAATGTGTTTTTTAAAAATTTTTAATGAACCTTACATTGTGAACATAATTGCAACATGTTTTAAGACAAACAGTATTTAATCCTTGAAGACCTGTCTTGTATGTCTCTCAATTTTGTCAGAATTTTTATTATTGTTTTTCACATATGTGAAATAAGCAGTTTTTTCAGGGTACATAGGGTATCTTTGTTTTACAGATTTTTAAAGATGAGGTTTTGAAAAGCCCTCAGAGGTTTTTGTTAAAAGACTATCTTGCTTAATAAATGACAGCTTGTTACAGATTCACACATTACAAGTAGGACAGTATAACAGGAGATTGGTGTGTGAATGCTACAAAACAGTCAGCAAAAGGAATCATGTTTGCTTGTGAAACTTCAGAGGTACCCTGAAAGTCATTTCCTAAAGCTAGTGCGTGTGAATCTTTTCCTTGAATTGTGCAGAATAATTGGATTGAGGCACATATTTTGAGGAGTAGCAAGTGGAATGGTATAATGACTACAGAGAAAATTATCTTGAAATATAGCAAGGAAGAGAAACAAGTTTTCTTTCTCCACTTTATTGTTGGACTAATTGGGTCAATTTGCTGTGACATATCAAAGATCTCTTTGTGCCAGGCCAAGACTGGCTACTGAGTTCTCAAAGCGTTTTAATATATAGATTACGTATGAGTGCCTATTTTTTCCTCCTCCTTTCATTTTTTATCTTAATACCCATTTTACTTCTGAAATAATTCATCTGTTTTGCTTTATGACCAGCTTTAATTTCAATTGAGGAATAATAACAACCCTAGAGATTCATAGGAAAGAGCATTGAAATACATTTTTTGCATAAAGATACCTAAAACCATCTACCCAGCTTAGGGTTGAACTGAATTTCTGTGAAATAAATTTGTTTTAAATACTAATTATTTTAAAACTACTTAATTCTTAAAAACAATGTCATCAGTTTCAAAACTTTCACTTTGGGAGGATATTCCTTAAAAGGCATACATAGATGGTAAAGTATAAAATATTTCTGACAGAATTATTCAGTATTATTCAACATTTACTTTCATGTTTGTTATTGTACCACAAAGATAGTGTCATTGTTGGGTTAAAATGTTGGCTGTTTTTGTTAATATACTTAAAACTGTAACCAGTGAATAACACCTGTAGTATTTTTTATTATAGATTATATTTTATTTCAATAAACTTTGATATTTAGACCAAAGTCTGTTCGCTCTGTATATTCATGTCATTAAGCTACAAAGTTAAGAAAGATGAGCGGGGAGATGGGGAACTGACATATTGATTCACATTTACCTATAACTCTTAGAATATTAGGGCCAACTTTTGATAAAGAGAAAATTTCCCCACTCCCAGGAAGTAAACAGTTAACTCTAAACCATGTTAAAAAATTAGCTGGGTGTGGTAGCATGTGCCTGAAGTCCCAGCTACTCAGGAAGCTGAGGTGGGAGGATCACCTGAGCCCAGGAAGGCTGAGGCTGCAGTGAGCCATGATCATGTCACTGCAGTCTAGCCTGAGCAACAGAGTGAGACCCTGTGTCAAAAAAAAAGGTACGTGTTGGTGAGAAAACAAAAATCAGACCCTCATATATGACTGATGGGAATATAAATTGGTGCAGTCACTTTGGAAAACAATCTGGCAGTTCTCTCATTGATTAAATACAGAGTTTCCATATGACCCAGCAATTCATTCCCAGATACATACCCCCAAGGTAATAAAAACACATGTACACACAAAAACTTGTATAGGAATGTTCATAATGGCATTATTCACAATAGATAAAAGGTGAAAACAGCCTAAATGCCCATCAGCTGATGAATGGATGAACAGTATGTGGTAGATCATACAATGGAACATTATTCAAATCGAGAAAGAAATGAAGTACTGCTGTATACCACAACACAGATGAGCCTTGAAAACATCATGCTAAGGGAAAAAAGCCAGTCGCAAAGATAACATTTTATATTATTTCATTTAATAAAATCTCTACAGTAAACTCTGAAGATAAGGTAGATTAGTGGATGTTTATGCCTCGGGGAGAGAGGGTCAACAGTGACAGCTAAAGAGTATAGGATTTCTGGCCAGGTGCGGTGGTGGCTCACGCCTGTAATCCCAGCCCTCCAGCCCGGCCAACAAGAGCCAAACTCTGTCTCAAAATAAAGAGAAAAGTATAGGATTTCTTCATGAGGTGATGAAAATGTTCTAAAAATCATTGTGGTGATAGTTGTGTGTATCTGACGATATACTAAAATAATTGTACACTTTAAGTGGGTGAATTGAATTGTATGGCATATGAATTCTATCTCAATAAAATAATCTGGTTGTGTGTGTGTGTGTGTGTGTGTGTGTGTGTGTATGTGTTTTGTTTTTGAGACAGAGTCTTGCTCTGTCTTGCCCAGGCTGGAGTGCAGTGGTGGAATCTCAGCTCACTGCAGTCTCCACCTCCTGGGTTCAAGAGATTCTCCTGTCTCAGCCTCCCGAGTACCTGGGACTACATGTGTGTGCCACCACACCTGGCTAATTCTGTATTTTCAGTATAGACAGAGTTTCACCATGTTGGCCAGGCTGGTCTCGAACTCCTGACCTCAGGTGATCCACCCCCCCCGCCCCCCCCCACGCTCCCAAAGTGTTGGGATTACAGACGTGAGCCACTGCAGCAGCTTTTTTGTTGTTGTTGTTGCTTTGTTTTTTGTTTGTTTGTTTTGAGATAAGGTCTTGCTCTGTCTCCCAGGCTGGGGTACACTGGTGGGATCTTAGCTCACTGCAGCTTTGACCTCCTGGGCTCAAGTGACTTCCACCTCAGCCTCCTGAGTAGCTGGGACTACAGGCGTGCACCACCACCCCCAGCTAATTTTTGTATTTTTAGTGGAGACAGAGTTTCGTCATGTTGTCCATGTTGGTCTCCAACTCAGCCTCCCAAAGTCCTGTGATTACAGACGTGCACCACTGCACCAGGCCAATAAAGTGGTTTCGAAAAAGAAAAGTTTTTAATTTTAACAAATCAAATCCAGTAAGATATATATATATATAACCATAACCAAGTGTCAATTTTCCCTGACTTACAAGATTGGTTTAATATTTTAATATCAATGTAATTCACCATATTAACAGAATGAAGGGGAAAACCCCTGTCAATACCATCATATCATCTCAACAGATATAGAAAAAGCATTTGACAGAATTTTTTTTTTTTTTTTAGATCGAGTCTCACTCTGTTGCCCAGGCTGGAGTGCAATGCCTCAATATCCGCTCACCACAACCTCCGCCTCCTGGGTTCAAGAGATTCTCCTGCCTCAGCCTCCCAAGTAGCTGGGAGTACAGGCCAGTGCCACCACGCCTGGCTTTTTTTTTTTTTTTTTTTTTTTTTTTTGAATTTTTAGTAGAGACGGGGTTTCACTATGTTGGCCAGGCTGGTCTCAAACTCCGCCCACCTAGGCCTCTCAAAATGCTGGGATTACAGGCGTAAGCCACTGCGCCCGGCCCTTGACAGAATTTAATACCCATTTGTAATAAAAACTGAGCATTTTAGGAACAGAAGGGAATTTCCTCAGCCTCATAAAGGGTGTAAGTGACAAACTCAAGGTTGACACCACACTTAATGATGGTGAAAGCCCGAATGCTTTCTTTCTAAAATTGGGAACTGTGCAAGAATGTCTACCCTCGGCACTTCTTTTCGACACTCTATTGGAGACACCAGCCAATGCAGCAAGGCAAGGGAGAGAAAAGGCATTGAAATTGGTAAGGAGGATATAATGCTGCCTTTATTCCCAGAAGACATGATCGTATACATGGAAAACCCTAAGTCATCTAAAGTAAAGCTACTAGAATTAATAAGTAAATTCTGCAAAGTCACTGGCTAGAAGGATCAATACACAAAAATAGTATTTCTAGGTACCAGCAACGAATAATCAAAAATGTGTAAGAGGAGTTCCGGTGAGCTCTGTGCACATGTGCGCGGAGGTAAAGAGGCTTGGGAGGCCTCGCCTGAGAGAGTGAGCCAAGGACATGGAGAGACAGTGTATTACAAAAGGTGCCTTGTACCTTGTCCAAGGACACAGAGCTGGTGGGAGGCAGAGCTGGAATTTGCTCCAGAGCCTTTGTGCTGTAGGACAGGCTGCGGGAGGAGCTGCAGGACTGAGGTACAGAAGCCGCGGAAGGGGCCCAACGAGGGGCAGAGCCGGCACTTGACTCCGTGGGATCCCACGAGACAGACACCCTTTCCTCACCGCCCGAGTGAGCGCCGCCCCTCACAGAGACCTCTTTGCACCCTGGGCCACGCGGGGCAGGCGCTGCCGTCCAGGAGGCCCCATGGAGCTGACGGTGCCGCTGAAGCAGGAGGCCGAGGGCCTGGCGCTGGGCTCCTCGTGGCACCGCTTCCGCCGCTTCCACCTGGGCGAGGCGCCGGGCCCGCACGAGGCGCTGGGGCTGCTACGCGCCCTGTGCCGGGACCGGCTGCGGCCCGAGGTGCACACCAAGGAGCAGATGCTGGAGCTGCTGGTGCTGGAGCAGTTTCTGAGCGCGCTGCCAGCCGACACGCAGGCCTGGGTGTGCAGCCGTCAGCCGCTAAGCTGGGAGGAGGCGGTGGCCCTGCTGGAAGAGTTCTGGGTGAGCCTGACGGGGCTGCGACGGGGGAGGGGAGGAGGCAGGGGAGCGGGGAAGCCAGGAGGAAGCGGAGGGAAAACCGCTGCTTAGCCCCCGAAAACCAGTGTGACCCACGGTGGGGAGGCCATGGCGCAGCAAGGAGGGACAGTCCATGTGGGGCTCCATCCAACACCAGCTGCAAGTCAGTAGGGCCCCCAAGACCTTGGCATACTTGCGAGTTCTCTAGAAGGACTCACAGCCATGTTCACAGTCACGGCTTATCACAGAGAAGGACGCGCTGGAAGCAGCCAGGAAGAGGGCCCGGAAGGCTCCACGGAGACCAGTTATCAGCTGTCCTCTCCCTTCACTCCTCCCGGCACGCAGGGAGTGTTGCCAGCCAGGGACCCTCCTCAGATCTTGGTGTCCCGGGTTCTTACTGGGGACTCCTCCCCGATCTGTGTGGCTGACCTCAGCCTCCAGCCCCGGAAGCTCAAGGATACCACCTGGCCCAAACTCCACCCCAAATCCATCTTGCTGTCGGGCTGGCCTGAGGGCCCCAGGCAGTCAGACCCTCCTCATGCGCGAGACACCAAGGGCTCAGAGATGACTTCCCGAGGGCGGAGGGCAAAAGCCAGGCCTCTCTCTGGGCAGGTTTGGATTCTTCTTTTTTTATTATTTCTTTTTTTTTTCTTTTTTTTTTTTTTTGAGACAGAGTTTCGCTCTTGTTGCCCAGGCTGGAGTGCAGTGGCGCTATCTCGACTCACTGCAACCTCCGCCTCCCAGGTTCAAGTGATTCTCCTGCCTCAGCCTCCTGAGTAGCTGGGATTACAGGCGCCCGCCACCATGCCCAGCTAATTTTTTGTATTTTTAGTAGAAATGGGGTTTCACCATTGTTGGCCAGGCTGGTCTCGAACTCCTGACCTCAGGTGATCCGCCTAATCTTGGCCTGCCGAAGTGCTGGGATTACAGGTGTGAGCCACCGCGCCCGGCCCCAGGTTTGGATTCTTTCACACAGCAGGTATGGGCCGACTCACTGTCTGGGGCCCGCCCAGCCCAGCCCAGCAACTGTGTTTGTGAAGTCTTGGTGCACAGCCACACCCATTCACTTACGTCATCTGTGGCTGACTCTTGCCACCGTGACTATGACAGAGAGCCTGAGAAGCTGGAAGCATTTCCTGTCTTGCCCTGTAGGGGAAGCTTGCATCCTGGTTTAGAGTACGCTCTCCAGGGAGGATGTGTAAGGTGAACCGCAGACGCCATCTTACGTGTTCTAGTCGCCACGTTAAAAAAAGTGAAAAGAGGCCGGGCGCGGTGGCTCACGCCTGTAATCCCAGCATTTTGGGAGGCCGAGGCGGGCGGATCACAAGGTCAGGAGATCGAGACCATCCTGGCTAAACAGGTTGAAACCCCGTCTCTACTAAAAATACAAAAAAATTAGCCAGGCGTGGTGGCGGGCGCCTGTAGTCCCAGCTACTTGGGAGGCTGAGGCAGGAGAATGGTGGGAACCCGGGAGGCGGAGCTTGCAGTGAGCAGAGATCGCGCCACTGCACACCAGCCTGGGCGACAGAGCGAGACTCCGTCTCAAAAAAAAAAAAAAAAAAAAAAGTGAAAAGAAACAGGTGAATTTAGTTTTGATAATCTGCTCGTTGACCCTAATGTCTTCAAAATATTGTCCTTTCAATACCTGACACTCTCACGTGCCCGGTGGGGGCTGTGTGGGGCCTGGGTGATGAGCAGCGGGCAGCCACGCAGAGACCTCTGAGAAGAGTGGTCCAGGCCACGGGAACAGCCAGTGCAAAGGCCCTGAGGCGCCTCGAGCAGCAGAGGGGCCCGTGAGTAAGGGAGTGTTAGCAGTGAGGCTGGAGTCACCAGTGGTGGGAGGGTGAAGAGTCAGAGCAGTCGGGTGTTCATCGTAGGTGTGTACCGAGTGCCTGCTGGGTGCTGGGATGTAGCAGCAGAAAGGGGGCATCTAGGTGAGGCAAAGCGAGCAAAAGCCTTCAGTCCACAGCAGCCGGGGGTCCTTCCTTTCTTCCAGAGGGAACAGCTCCTGTCAAGGCTGCCACTTGGCTTCTGCGCCACCCAACTCAGTGGCCTTGTCCCTCTGCCTTCTTATGCAGCCTGACCAGCCCCCAAACACTCTCCCCTCTTACTGTCTGGGATACAGCTCGCCCCTCCTCTGCTCCCGCCTCCCAGCACCTCTGTGCTGACTCTGGCTTCTCTATCCTCACCCTCCTTCCGGGTCAGTGTTCCCTAAAGTGGGTTGTAACAAATCACCACAAACCCAGCAGCTTACAAATAACGCACATCTGTTATCGTTCTGGAGGTCAGAAGTCCAAAATGGGTCTCACCGCCCAAAATCAAGGTGTTTGCAGAGCCACGTTCCTTCCTGAGGCTCTAGAGGAGAATCCGTTTCCTGCCTTTTCCAGGTCCTAGAGGCTGCCTGCATTCCTCGGCTCATGGCTCTTCCTCTGTCCTCAGAGTGCTGCACTCCAACTTCTGCTTCCGTCTCCCTATCTCTCCTCTGACCTTGACCCTCTTAGGTCCTGTGGTCACTTCATAGGATGCCTGTGATGACATTGAGCCCATCAGGAAAATTTAGGATAGTTTCCCCGTGTCAATGCTTAATTCCTTCCCGTCTGCAGAGTCCCTGTTGGCCTGTGAGACAGCATGTGGCAGGTTCTGGGGATCAGGCCATGTATGTCTTTGGGCCATTATTCTGTCTGCCATAGAGATGAGAGGAATACAGGGTGAACTGGAGGTGGAATAGAACTAACATGGAATTTGTCGGCCTCAGGGTTACTGCCTTTCCAGTTTTCGTGACTCCTCAGAACAGGAGCCGGCGTGGGTGCCAAATAGGTAGATTTCAGCCACTGTTACTGCTCTGACCTCATGCCATCTGTTTCTTTGGCATTAAAATGTCCTTTTAGGAAAAGATGGTAAAAGTACACTTGGTAGTTATTGTTGCTTTTAATGTATATATCACTTTTAATGTATATATCTTGCAAAATAAAACCAATCCCTTCCATTTGGGATGCAGTGAGAGTTAGAGAAAAATGTGTCAGACCTATACAATGAAAATTATAACACATTACTGAGAGATATTAATGAAGGCCTATGGTCTACTAAATGAAGAGAGACACTAATTATGGATTGACAGATTCAATACTCTTTTTTGTTTTTTTGTTTTGTTTTGTTTTGTTTTGTTTTGAGACAGAGTCTCGTGCTGTCGCCTAGGCAGGAGTGCAGTGGTGCGATCTCGGCTCACTACAACCTCCGCCTCCCCGGTTCAAGCAATTTTCCCTGCCTCAGCCTCCAAAGTATATGGGAGTACAGGGGGCCGCCACCACGCCTGGCTAATTTTTGAATTTTTACTACAGACGGAGTTTCACCATGTTGGCCAGGCTGGTTTGGGTTTCACCGTGTTGGCCAGGCTGGTTTCAAACTCCTAACCTCAAGCGATCCACCCAACTCAACCTCCCAGAGTGCTGGAATTACAGGCATGAGCCACCATGCCTGGCCAGGAAAATAAGTATTTTCAACAAATAATACTGAAAAAAGTGGATATCCATATTAATATGGTTTGGGTCTGTGTCCCCACCAAATCTTATGTGAAAATGTAATCTCCAGAGGTGGGGCCTGCTGGGAGGTGACTGGATCATGGGAATGGATCTTTCATGAATGGTGTAACACCATCCTCTTGGTGCTGTTCTTGTGATACAGTTCTCATAAGATGTGGTTGTTTAAAAGTGTGTGGCACCTCCCCACTTCGCTCTCTTGCTCTTGTTCTGGCCATGTGGTATGTGCCTGCTTCCCCTTCGCCTTCCGCCATGATTGTAAATTTTCTGAGGCCTCCCCAGAAGTGGAAGCCTCTATGCTTCCCCGTACAGCCTGCAGAACTATAAGCCAAGTAAACCTCTTTTCTTTATAAACGACCCAGTCTCAGTTATTTTATAGTAATGTGAGAATGCACTGGTACACATATAGATAAAAATGAACCTTAATCCTTAATTTATGCCATACATAAGTTAACTAGAAATGGATTTTTTTCTTTTTTTTCTTTTTTTTTTTTTGGAGACGGAGTCTTGGTTTGTCGCCCAGGCTGGAGTGCAGTGGCAAGATCTCGGCTGACTACTACCTCTGCCTCCTGGGTTCAAGCGATTCTCCTGCCTCAGCCTCCCGAGCATCTGGGACTACAGGTGTGCACCACCACACCCAGCTAATTTTTGTGTTTTTAGTAGACATGGGGTTTCACCCTGTTGGACAGGCTGGTCTCGAACTCCTGGCCACTGCGCCCAGCCCACTTCATCGAAATCTAAAAACACAATTAAAGATGGAGTAAACCTTTCGGCCGGAACCGCCATCTTCCAGTAATTCGCCAAAATGACGAACACAAAGGGAAAGGGGAGAGGCACCCAATATATGTTCTCTAGGTCTTTTAGTAAACATGAAGTTGTTCCTTTGGCCACATATATGCGAATCTATAAGAAAGGTGATATTGTAGACATCAAGGGAATGGGTACTGTTCAAAAAGGAATACCCCACAAGTGTTACCACGGCTAAACTGGAAGAGTCTACAATGTTACCCAGCATGCTGTTGACACTGTTGTAAACAAACAGTTAAGGGCAAGATTCTTGCCAAGAGAATTAATGTGTGTATTGAGCACATTAAGCACTCTAAGAGCCGAGATAGCTTCCTGAAACATGTGAAGGAAAATGATCAGAAAAAGAAAGAAGCCAAAGAGAAAGCTACCTGGGTTCAACTGAAGCAGCAGCCTCTACCCAGAGAAGCACACTTTGTGAGAACCAATGGGAAGGAGTCTGAGCTGCTGGAACCTCTTCCCTACAAATTCATAGCATAATAGGTGTTTTAAAAAAATAAAAGACCTCTGCACTGTAAAAAATGTTTCTCTTGGCGGGGCATGGTGGCTCACGCCTGTAATCCCAGCACTTTGGAAGGCTGAGGCGGGCGGATCACCTGAAGTCGGGAGTTCGAGACCAGCCTGACCAGCATGGAGAAACCCCGTTGCTACTAAAAATACAAAATTAGCCAGGTGCGGTGGTAGGCACCTGTAATCCCAGCTACTCGGGAGGCTGAGGCAGGAGAATTGCTTGAACCCAGGAGGTGGAGGTTGTAGTGGGCCGAGATCACGCCATTGCACTCCAGCTTGGGCAACAAGAGCAAAACTCTGTCTCAAAAAAAAAAAAAAAAGTTTGTCTTTATTGAGTAGAGGGTGCTGTCCTCTCCCCCAAAGAAATATTTAAAGCAAATTTTAGTTGTGTCCTAATTCAGTGTGTAATGTCTTTACTATTCAAATTTAATGTATTTCTTGCTGAAAGATGTGAGGTGGCTTATTGTGCAACAAATTACTCAACTGGTTAGAAAACGGCCACATACCATTTATGAAATATTTGTACTGGCTTGAAGATAGTCTCTCTAAATCATCATGGAAGAAATAAATAATTTACAAAAATGTTAAAACATGAAGATTTAAATAAATAATTCATGGCTGGGTGCGGTGGCTCACGCCTGTAATCTCAGCACTTTAGGAGGCTAAGGTGGGCAGATCACGAGGTCAGGAGTTTGAGACCAGCCTGGCCAACATAGTGAAACCCCATCTCTACTAAAAAATACAAAAAAAAAAAATTAGCCGGGTGTGGTGGCGGGCACCTGTAATCCCAGCTACTTGGGAGGCTGAGGCAGGAGAATCGCTTGAACCCAGGAGGCGGAGGTTGCAGTGAGCCGAGATCGTGCCCTTGCTCTCCAGCCTGGCCAACAGTGTGAGACTCCGTCTCAAATAATAATAATAATAATAATAATAGTAATAATAATAATAATTCACAAAGGAAGATATATTAATGGTCAATAAGCACATAAAAACATGTACAACATCGTTAGTCAGAAGAACACGTAAACACATTTGGGCCGGGCACGGCGGCTCATGCCTGTAATCCCAGCACTTTGGGAGGCCAAGGCCGGTGGATCACCTGAGGTCAGGAGTTGGCCTCACCAACATGGTGAAACCCCGTCTGTACTAAAAATACAAAAAATTAGTTGGGCATGGTGGCACGTGCCTGTAGTCCCAGCTATTCAGGAGGCTGAGGCAGGAGAATAACTTGAACCCAGGAGGTGGAGGTTGCAGTGAGCCGAGATCGTGCCATTGCACTCCAGCCTGGACAACAAGCTCAAAACTCCATCTCAAAAACTAAAACAAACAAAACTACATTGAACTGTACTGAAATAGTACAGCACACCCACTAAAAAAGGCTAGCATTGAAAAGATTGACAATACCAAGTGTTGGTGCATCTGTGAATCAATTTGAACCCGTTACATTGCTGATGCAAAAAGGTACAACGATTTCAGAAAACTCTTTGGCAGTTTCCTGTAATGTTAAATATACACTACCATATATCCAATCCTGTTTACCCAAGAGAAATGAAAACGTGTCCACACAAAGACTTGTACACAAATATTCATAGCAGTTTTATTCATAATAGCCAAAAATTGTCAACAACCCAAATTTCCATCAATAGGCGAATGCACAAAAAAATGTGGTACATCCGTACATGGGAAACCTACACAGCAACAAAAAGATGGAATGACTGATACACACAGCAACATGGCTGAATTGCAGAAACACTGTGCTGAGTGAAAGGAACCAGACACAAAATAAGACATTACTGTATGATCCTGTTTATATGAAACTCTAGGAGACATAAAGTCTCCAGTGGTAGAAAGCAGGTAGGTGGTTGCCTGGGGCTGGAGATGTGGTTTAGGATGACCAGAAAAGGACACAAGGAAACTTTCAGTGATGGAAATATTCTTGATCATGGTGGTAATGACTTGGCTGTATACATTTGTCAATGTACTGTACACTTAAAATGTGTGCCTATTTGTAAATTTTACTTCAAAATACTTTTGTTTCTGTATGCTAGCAATGGACAATTGAAAATTGAAATTCAACAGGTCCATTTATAATAGCATCAAACAAAATACTAGAGGTAGATGTAAAACCTATGCACTGAAAACTAGAATTTGAGTTAACTTTACTTTTGTCATTCTATGTGACCACTTGGAGTTTTTGTGTTTAAATTTTAAAAATAGTCAAGCAGGCCAGGCGCGGTGGCTTACACCTGTAATCCCAGCACTTTGGGAGGCCAAGGCAGGCGGATCACGAGGTCAAGAGATCGAGACCATCCTGGCCAACATGGTGAAACTCTGTCTCTATTAAAAATATAAAAATTAGCTGGGCGTGGTGGCAGGCACTTGTAATCCCAGCCACTCAGGAGACTGAGGCAGGAGAATCACTTGAACCCAGGAGGCAGAGGTTGCAGTGAGCCAAGATTGTGCCATTATACTCCAGTCTGGGTGACAGAGCGAGATGTCATCTCAAAAAAAAAAAAAAAAGCAGATAAGATAAAATTTACTTGAAAAAAATAGTTAAACAGTGTGTAAAATAGAAAGTGTAATATTTTTGCTTAGTGAATGAAAATTTTAGTTGATGCAAAATGAGACTCTTGATACACTCCTTTCTTTCTTTTTTAAGACGGAGTCTCGCTCTGTTGCCCATTCTGGAGTGCAGTGGTGCAATCTCGGCTCACTGCAACCTCCGCCTCCAGGGTTCACGCAGTTCTCTGCCTCAGCCTCCTGAGTAGCTGGGATTATAGGTGCCTGCCACCACACCCAGCTAATTTTTGTATTTTTAGTAGAGACAGGGTTTCACCGTCTTGGCCAGGCTGGTCTTGAACTCCTGACCTCGTGATCCACTCACCTCAGCCTCCCAAAGTGCTGGGATTACAGGCGTGAACCACCGCGCCTGACCTCTTACACTTCTTTCAAAGGTGATTCTCTACTTAAATAGAATTCTCTACTTAGTATAATGAAAACAAAGTATTACTTATCTAAATAATACATAATATTAATATTTCACAGCTTAACCAAAGCAGTTCGGTTTTGTTTTTGTTTTTAAAGAGACGGGGTTTCACTATTTGGCCCAGGCTGGTCTTAAACTAGCCTCAAGTGATCCTCCCACCCCAGTCTCCCAAAGTGCTGAGATTAGAGGCATGAGCCACCATGCCCGGCAAGCAGGACAGTTCTGAAAGCTCTGGACCCAAGTTCCTAAAGGTGATGCAGAGGTCCTCCACTCCCACCCTGGGTGATTCAGCTCTACAGAGGAACTGATCATTTAACCACAAAATTACATTATTCAGAGCATCTCATCCCACTGGCAAAAACCCAGAGTTGATTGCCAGCAGCTTGTAAAAAGCATTTGGTTTTTCCTACTCTGAGCTACATCTCCAGAGTGATTGTCAAAACTTGCTGTACATGTGAATCCTGTGGAGGAACTTTTGGGGGTAAAACATGTTGGGACTCCATCCATGAACCTCTGGGGGTGTGGCCCAGGCTCATCACCCATTAGACCTCAGATTTTGTCCACTTAGCATATATGCCAGTTCAATTATCTTTTCTTTTTGAGACAGTTGCACTCTGTCACCCGGGATGGAGTGCAATGGCACGATTTCGGCTCACTGCAACCTCCGCCTTCCGGGTTCAAGCAATTCTCCTGCCTCAGCCTCCCCAGTAGCTGGGATTACAGGCGCCCGCCACCACGCCCAGCTAATTTTTGTATTTTTAGTAGAGATGGGGTTTCACCATATTGGTCAGGCTGGTCTTGAATTCCTGACCTCATGATCCTCCCGCCTCAGCCTCCCAACGTTCTGGGATTACAGGCGTGAGCCACCACACCCGGCCAATTATCTTGTTTTTATTTTTACTTTTTTTTTTTTTTTGAGTCGGAGTCTCACTCTGTCTCCCAGGCTGGAGTGCAGTGGCATGATCTCAGCTCACTGCAACCTCTGTCTCCCTGGTTCAAGCGATTCTCCTGCCTCAGCCTCCTGAGTAGCTGCGACTACAGGTGCACACAGCCATGCCCGGCTAATTTTTGTACTTTTAGTAGAGACAGGGCTTCACTGTGTTGGCCAGGCTGGTCTTGAACTCCTGACCTCAGGTGATCCACCCGTCTCGGCCTCCCAAAGTGCTGGGATTACAGGCATGAGCCACCACGCCCTGCCTAATTCTCTATTTGATCAGCGACCTTTTACAAATGAGGTTGTCTCTTTTGTCTTAAATCAGGGAACACAAGGTGACTTTGCAAGAACAAGAAAAACAATGGGCAGAATTTGTTCAGTATTTGACACATATTTTCCCACTTAAACCCTTACAATAGCCCTGTTCCTACTAGTAAAGTTGACTATAGTATTCTGGACATACAGATAAATTGCCCATAATTGAACACATCTAGTAAATGGCAGACTGGTTTTTGAGTCCTTATTCCTCTACATTCTGAAGCCTATGGTTTCTAGACTGGATGCCCCTGCACGTTGTCCCAGCTGCAAGGGCCTTCCCTGTAGTACCATGTTATCTAATAAATTTGATTGTTCTTTGAGTAGTTCAGAGGGAGTGAGCTGTCAACCAGGTGAAGCAAATCCTAGCAGGCTACCTGTCCAGAGGCCTAGGATGGCAGATCCATAGGAAATAAAGTCATTAAAGAAGCTAACAGATAATTTGGTAATTTTAGAAAATTAGGGTGTTAGTTCATTGGATCAGAATTCCTTAGAATTTTTAGCCTTATATTACCATGTCCTTGAGGGATGCACCATTTCTTGTCATGGTATCTGACCCATTTCTCCTGCAATCCACCTTCCAAATGCCTGAAATGTGGTGAGGAAATTAATTTTATAGTTTGATGGACATCACTAGATTTATTGAGAGAAGGGGCAGGGCATGGTGGCTCACACCATGTAGTCCCAGCACTTTAAGATGCCGAGGAGAGCAGATCGCTTGAGGTCAGGAGTTTGACACCAGCCTGGCCAACATAGTGAAACTCCATCTTTACTAAAGATACAAAAATTAGCTAGGTGTGATGGCAGGTGCCTTGTAATCCCAGCTACTTGAGAGGCTGAGGCATAAGAATCACTTGAATCTGGGAGGCAGAGGTTGCAGTGAACTGAGATTATGCCATTGCACTCCAGCCTGGGAGACAGTGAGATACCATCTCAAAAAAAAAAAAGAGAAGGAAAACTGTCTCTGTCCAAATGAAAGGTTATTGCTTGAGCTTTTGATGGGCTGTCTCATAAACTGATGAAAATTTAACCAGTGAGTAGATTTCATACTCATTTCCTAACCCTGTTGGCAAATCCAGGTGGGAAACTATATACATGGTGAGCATGGAGCCAAGATGACTTCATGGCTAATGTTTATGCCTGGGGCAGGCATCTCACCTCAGACAGTATGAATTCCAGGCTTAGAGATGCTGGTCTGGGCAACCTGTCCCTAAACAATCCCATTTCTTACTGATGGCTGCACCAATGGGGTGGCTTAAGTATTCAGCCTTAAAAAAGTGTGTTTGCTACAGCAATGCTACACCAATGTTACACCAACTTCAAGACAAAGCCCAGGCTCCCCCATTCCAACCAGATTGCTTTCCCTAAGTCCCTATTATAAAAATTCTGAATCCTTCACATGGTTATTTATTCATCCAATATTTATTGAGTGGCTACTAAGAGCCAGGCGTCAGGGATACAGCAGTGAAAAGAAAAAATAGACAAAAACAGCTGTCCTTCTGGAGCTTACATGAAGTAGGAGAAGATGGATTATAAATAGGTTAGATGGGAAGGAGGGGGAATGCTGAGAAAGGGAATAAGTGTGGCAATTTTATTTTATTTTGAGATGGGAGTCTTGCTCTTGTCATGCAGGCTGGACTGCAATTGCACCATCTTGGCTCACTGCAACCTCCGCCTCCCGGGTTCAAGCAATTCTCCTGCCTAAGCCTCAGCTGGGATTACAGGCGCCCACCACCATGCCCGGCTAATTTTTTTGTAATTTTAGTAGAGATGGGGTTTCACCATGTTGGCCAGGCTGGTCTCAAACTGCTGACCTCAGGTGATCCGCCCACCTCTGCCTCACAAAGTGCTGGGATTACAGGCATGAGCCACTGCACCCAGCCTAAGTGTGGCAATTTTAAATAAAATCGGGAAGGCATGGTTGAGAAAATGACATTTTAGCTAAGAACTGAAGCAATGAGGGAGCGAGCCCACATGGCTATCTGAGGAAGAGCGTTTCAGATGAAGGAGTGAGCACAAGCAAAAGGCTTGAGATGAGATGCTGTGGTCAACACACGGGACGAGGCCAGTGTGGAACCAGGTGAACAAGGAGGAGAGTAGTAGGAAATGAGGTGACAGACTGAATGTATTCTACAGATGAAGAGACATTAGAGGGCTTGGAGGGGAAGTTGGTCTTCTCAGAGAAAAATGTAAGAGGGGCAGCGGTGAAGACATAGATATTGGTGATTTTGGTACAGAGTATGTAGGTGAACATTAACTAGATGATACCTGCCCCTCAGGCCTGGCTGGAATAGCTAAGTCAAAAGGAAAGAGAAAGGAAAGATAAAGGCTTATCTGTAGGAAGCACTTAAAGGATTTCAGGAAACAATTTGTTTCAGATAAAAATAAACAGTATTTGTTGAGTGGTGCGTTTTAGGGGATATTATTAATTTTACCTACAATGCCCTTACTGAGTTGAAGGTGGTGATTAAATATTTGAGAGGATGAGTTTTTGGGGGTAACTACACATGGTAAATTTGAGGTGTTTGACAGAAATGCTAATTAAGCAGTTATTGGAGGTATTGTAAGAGATTCATCTTTAGTTAGATGGATTGGATGAGGTTCTTTATAAATGCAAAAAATCTGACAATTTTTTCAATGAGGATTCAGTATTTGTTAGGACCTGTTAAGTATGGAGGAACTGAGTTAACTGACAATCCAGGCAGAAAGGTTTTAAATGTTTTCATTACTTCATACATTTAAGAGCTTGAGATTTTTTCTATGTAATTCCTAAGCTTTTAATTTTATTTTACAATTATTTTTGGCATGTGTAGTTTCTGACGTCAGCATCTTGCCCAACTTACCAAGACTGGCTACTATCTTTCTTGAATCTTTTTTGCATCATATGAGCTGTCTGTAGCTTCTGACTCATTGATGCCATTGTCCTGTGGCGAAACATTTGGATTACGCATCAAGCACACGGGGAATGGCACATTTTCCTCCATTCTCTTGGCTTTGAAGAATCTGTCTTCCTTCGTGGATCATGAAGTTAGGAGTTCAAGACCAGCCTGACCAACATGGTGAAACCCCGTCTCTACTAAAAATAGAAAAAATTAGCCGGGCGTGGTGGCAGGCACCTGTAATCCCAGCTACTTGGGAGGCTGAGGCAGGGGAATTGCTTGAACCCGAGAGGCAGAGGTTGCAGTGAGCCAAGATTGTGCCACTGCACTCCAGCCTGGGAGACAGAGTGAGACTCCACCTCAAAACAACAACAAAACCTCTAAATAGGCCAGGCGTGGTGGCTCACGCTTGTAATCACAGCACTTTAGGCGGCTGAGGCAGGCAGATCATGAGGTCAAGAGTTCGAGACCAGCCTGGCCAACATAGTGAAACCCCGTCTCTACTAAAAATACAAAAAAATAGCTGGGCGTGGTGACTGGCACCTGTAATCCCAGCTACTCGGGAGGCTGGGGCAGGAGAATCGCTTGAACCCAGGAGGCGGAGGTTGCAGTGAGCCGAGATCGTGCCACTATACTCCAGCCTGGGTGAGAGCTAGACTCTGTCTCAAAAACAAAAACAAAACAAAACAAAAACCTCCAAATTTGGTTTTCACTGTTGACCCTGAGCCAGCCAGATCGCTGCTAGCTGCTGCCCATGATGGTTGAGGGCCACTCAACCTCAATGCCAGCATATCAGGTGGTTTTGTCAGCTTTTCTGAACTTAAAGCCATCGCCATGGCAACTCGAGTAAAAAATAATTACCTATAGTGTCTGTAGGCTTGTACCCTTCAGTATAAGTGTAGAAAAGACTGAAACAAATCAAGGATCTAATGTTTAAAAGGCAGGTTACTATCCAGATTCCCATCTGAAAACTGGTCAGGTCAGTAATTCTACCTGTGGCTAGGAGGATTCTTCTGAGTATTAGGCAAGGGAACATATGTCAAACGCTTAGCACATTGCCCAGCACGTAAAGCGCTTAGCCAGTGTTTGCAGCTGTATGATAATCCCTTCTAAGAAGCACAGTCCCACTCTACAAATGAGGAAACAACGAGAAGTGACATTCTAACCCAAAGTCACCAACATTCACTCCAATGGATACTGAGGCTTCTCCTGTGCCACTCTACAACACGTAGTGATCAAAAATGAGGTAGACCTCCCCTACACCAACGCAGACACCCAACCTGCTCCCACAGCTGTAGGACTGGGAATGGCAGAAAACGTAAGAAATCCAGAGAAGTTCCCCAAAGGACCAGAGACCACAGAACCTTGGTTGCCCCACGGCACTCAGAAGTGTGAGCCATCTCATGGGCATGACCGTATTGAGCATAGAGAGTGCTGAATTTACCAAAATCTAGACCATTTGGATTTTTCTTCACTGATTTATATAAAGGGATGTGGGAAGCTTTTTTGAAAGAGCAGCATTTACCTTGAAGGGCTTTCCTAAAAGAGATGCCTTTAAAAAAGCCATAGGATTAGTGGTTAAGTCTCTAACATGTGAACAGCATGTGCTGCCCAGCTACTGAGGTGAAGAGTCTAAGCTAGATTTATTTCTGAAGAACAAAGACCAAAAGAATGCCTTTATAGCTCTATATCTAGTCAGTCACCTTGGGCTGAACTACAGAAAGAACTGGACGACTAACACCTAAAACGCTGAAAACAAAGACACATACACTTCCAGGTGTGGATTTTTATTTTCACAAAAAGACAACAATGTCTTCCCCACATACAAGTATTTACAAAACCCAACTGATTCACCCATCTAGAACCTGGGTTTTTTTCCACTTCTCAACATAGTTGGGAACATGGAAACATTAATACCCACACAATTCCCAGAGATGGAATTTATCCATCAAACAAACAGTGCAGATTACCTAAAAGTGCACTTACCTGCACAACTCGGTCTAAGAACCTTGTGAAACAAACCTCATGGCCAAGGTTTCATGAATCTATTTGGTTTCATACCATGCAAACCTGAACAAGTGTGCTGCTACACTAAACTGAAAATCGGTTCTCATTTTACAATTAAAAAGGTTCTCAACACTTTAGCAACTATACAGAATATGAAGGTTTATTTCAAAAAAGATTACATTTTTTTAAACCAGGATACACAGATGCACTTAATGTAACAGTACCTTCTGCAAAAATAGGTTACATAATACTCAGAAATGCAATGAACAATCTTATTCTCTAAAAATTAGACAGCTAAGACTTCTTAAGTGTAGACAGCCTTCAAAATGGAGGCTGAAAATGCTTGGTAAAAAGAAGTAACTCTAGAGCCAGACACCACAGAGCTAAGGCTGCAAATTAAACCACTACCACACAGCTGCAAACTACTCTTTATATTCACACAGCGTTAAACAAAACGACTTCAATTCCATCTTTTCAAATGTGCCTCGGTGCTGCAAGAAAAAAAGTTGAATGATACACAAAACTATTAAAAGTTACAACAGAACTATTTAAACATCTTCTCCAAAATTGAGAAAAGCAATCATGTTAAATTTTTAAAAAGAAAAGTCTGACAGAACTCTCAAGCAAGTCAGAGGTCCTCTTCATAAGTAGTCAAGTAAAGTTTACAGGAGATTTCAATAAATTATCTTAAAACCTTGGCAGAGAGCTCATTTTCAGAATCGTCGCGGAGGTCCACCCTTAAATGGCTTAAATCCGGAGCCACTTCCTCTTGGCATGGAATTGCCACTGATTTGTACAATTCTATTAATTGGGGATGCGTTACTGAAAAAGGTTTAAAAGAAAAAAACATCAGAGAACAAAGAACAAATCATCACTGCAAATACCAGGCACTGTTCTTGGTACTTTATCCAAAATAAATCATTTACTCTTTTCAACAGTCCCGTGAGGTCTGAACCATTGCTAACCCCACTTTACTGAAGAAACAGATCTGGAGGTTGAGGAACTCTTCCAAGGTCACAGAGCTAATAAAATGGTGAAGCAGAGATTTGAACTTGGGCAATCTCACTTTGAAGCCCCATTACTTCAGAAGCCAGTTGTGGATCTGCACGTGGACTACAGCAGCAGATCTCTTAAGTGTGGACCCCAAACCAGCAGCAGCAGCACCAGCTGGGTGCCTGTTAGAAATGCAAATTCTCACCCCCATCTCAGACCACAGAGAAAGAAACTGAGGGTGGGACTCCCAGCAACCTGTGCTTTTCTTTGTTTGTTCTTTTAAATATATATATTTTTAGACAGGGCCTCACTCACTTCACCGAGGCTGGAGTGCAGTGGCACATTCATGGCTCACTGCAGCAGCCTTGACTTCCTGGGCTCAGGTGATTCTCCCACTTCAGCCAGCCACCAGAGTAGCTAGGACTACAGGCAAGTGCCGCCATGCTCAGCTAATTTTTTTTATTTTTCTTAGAGACAGGGTTGCGCCATGTTGGCCAGGCTGGTCTTGAACTCCTGGGCTCAAAAGATCTGCCAGCCTTGGCCTCCCAAAGTACTGAAATTACAGGCAGGAGCCACCACGCCCGGCCAACCTGTGTTTTAACAAGCCCTCCAGGTGATTCTGTTGTTTGCTAAAGCTTGTGAACTAAATTATAGAAGTCATTTAAGAATATTTCTGGAATCTTTATGTGTAATGCAACAGAGCAGATGTTAGTAACACAAAAAAGCAGACCCCCTCCCCCGACAAAAAACCTTTAACAGGCCGGGCGCAGTGGCTCACGCCTGTAATCCCAGCACTTTGGGAGGCCGAGGCGGGCGGATCAAGGAGAATTGCCTGAACCCGGGAGGCAGAGGTTGCAGTGAGCTGAGATCATGCCAATGCACCCCAGCCTGGGTGTCACAGCGAGACTCCATCTCAAAAAAGAAAAAACTTTAACAAACCAGGAGATAAAAATCTACAGTGAAGGCCGGGTGTGGTGGTTCACACCTATAATACCAGCACTTCGGGAGGCTGAAGCTGGAGGATCACCTGAGGAACAGGAGTTTGAGACCAGCCTGGCCAACAAAGTGAAACCTCCATCTCTACTAAAAATACAAAAAAATCAGCTGAACATGGTGGCACACGCTGTTGTCCCAGTTACTTGGGAGGCCAAGGAAGGAGAATCACGTGAACCCAGGAGGCGGAGGATGCAGTGAGCTGAGATAGTGCCACTGCACTCCAGCTTGGGGGACAGATACTTCGTCTTGGAAAAAAAAAAAAATCTACAGTGAAATGGTTCAGGCAGAATAAAACTAGATTATAAGGGCCAGGCTGAGGAATCTGGGCTCAATCCTGTGACCTGGAGCAGCTGCTTGTTGTGGTTTTAGAGCAATAAATGGTATAATAAAATGGGAGTTTCAACAGTTCAATTTACAAATGGGGTAATGGAACACAATAATTGGGAAGATCAGATAGAAGCTAAAATGAGGAATAAGGGATAGCTATGATAAACTTTCTTTTTGTAGAGACAGGGTTTTACCATGTTGCCCAGGCTGGTCTCAAACTCCTCAGTTCAAGTGATCTACCTACCTTGGCCTCCCAAAGTACTGGGATTACAGGCATGAGCCACTGTGCCCAGCCTGAGAAACATTTAAAAAAAAATAGAGCCACACGGCCGGGCGCAGTGGCTCATGCCTGTAATCCTAGCACTTTAGAAGGCTGAGGTGGGCAGATCACAAGGTCAGGAGTTCAAGACCAGCCTGGCCAACATGGTGAAACCCCATTTGCTAAAAATACAAAAATTAGCTGGGCGTGGTGGTGCACGCCTGTATTCCCAGCTATTCACTTGAACCCAGGAGGCAGAGGTTGCAGCGAGCCGAGACTGCACCACTACACTCCAGCCTGGACAGAGCAAGACTCTGTCTCAAAAAAAAAAAACCACACTTAGAAATTTATACTAGGAATGAAGAAAGGTAAGGACAAGCCCCGTATTTCCAGTCAGGGTGAATGAAATGGATGGTGGCACTATCAAATTGAAAGAAACTGGAGGCAACAAAAGGGACACAAAGGTTTGAAAAAGGAGAGGAATGAGTTTGACTGTGACCTTGAATTCATGGAAACAGCAAAGCACTTACATGGCAGTGGCAACATGAAGCTGAAAGGAAACAGCAGTGTCTAAAGCTTAGCCACGGGAAGGAGCCTGCAAAGGCAGTCACAAAGGCAGAAAGAAAATGATGGTGCCCTAGAAAACAGACTCCCTCAAAATAAAGATAAGTGACCGTGTGAAACAGTGTTTAACCACCAAGGAGTCTGACAACCATGAAAATAAAAGAATCTATATTTATCAAGAGAAAAGTCATCGGTGACCTTTACAAACCAGATACAATGAATGTTGAGCTTGTGCAGGCAGAAGTAGCACACTTACTGAAGTTTGATGGTAGAAGTGACCATGGAATAGTAGTGACCTGGGTCACTGAGTCAAGCCAATAACTCTCCTAAGAAAGAGGAATGGGAAAGAAAGGAGGACATGAAAGAGATGGGGAAGCTGAAGACCTGCTGGCTGAAGGGCCACATCCGACCTCAGTGTGAAGAGAAAGTAAAGCTCGCCTCTTAACGTATGAAGAGATTTTGTGTTAAATGTCTAAAAGCCTTCCCAAGAGTTATTTTAAAAGGGAGGAAACAGAACACACTTTCAGTATTTTCTTCCTAAGAATTTGAGGAATGCTAGGTAGAGAACAAGATGATGGTTCCAATGTGAGGTTAAGATTCATTATCTAGACTGAGTGCAGTGGCTCCCGCCTGTAATCTCAGCACTTTGGGAGGCCAAGGCAGGCGGATCCCCTGAGGTCAGGAGTTCGAGACCTGCCTGGGCAACATGGTGAAACCCTGTCTCTACTAAAAATATAAAAATTAGCTGGGCATGGTGGCACATGCCTGTAATCCCAGCTACTTGGGAGGCTGAGATGAGAGAATTGCTTGAACCCAGGAGGCGGAGGTTGCAGTGAGCCAAGACCTCGCCACTGCAGTCCAGCATGGGCGACAGAGTGAGACTCCATCTCAAAAAACAAAAAACAAAACAAAACAAAAGAATTCATTGTTTACTGGATCCTGCCATACGTACATACCCATATCTATATCAACTTGCCAGAACGTCACTGAATTCATTTAAAAGGAAGAATACAAACTAACACATTAATATCAGCTGTTCTGCAAACACTCTTTTGGAGACTACGGGTTGATACAGGGAAATGTTCAGGCAGATCTAGGGTTTTCAGTAGTTGCAATTCAGTCTCTCAGAAACTATAATGACTTTTATGGAAAGGATAAAGTGTTGGTTGTGTGCTGGCAGAAAAACTGGTTAGTTATTTACCTTGAATGTTGGGTTATCATGCCTGCTCCTGCCCGGCCGTCACCCATTCGCCTCGTATCATGATAGCTAGGCCCTTGAGAGGGTGGACCATGCCACTCTTTCCTTGGTCCGCTTGTGTCCCGTCCATGGCGTTCAACCACATGTCGCTCCTCAGGATAGTGCTAAAAGAATAGCATATGAAAAGTCACTTGGCCGGGCGCAGTGGCTCATACCTATAATCTCAGCACTTTGGGAGGCTGAGGCAGGCGGATCACCTGAGGTCAGGAGTTCGAGACCAGCCTGGCTAACATGGTGCAACCCCGTTTCTACTAAAAATACAAAAAATTAGTCAGGCATGGTACCCCACACCTATAATCCCAGCTACTCAGGAGGCTGGGGCAGGAGAATCACTTGAACCCGGGAGGCAGAGGTTGCAGTGAGCTGAGATTGCGCCATTGCACTCCAGCTTGGGCAACAAGAGTGAAACCCCATCTCAAAAAAAAAAAAAAGGAGAAGTCACAATACCCTCAGTCTTGGTCTCATACCAACTTATATTGGTGTGCTTTTAATGTCAGAAGCAAATTAATAAGATGTCTGAGAAGATAAAAGGATGAGTAGTGCAGCAGCATATGAAAAGAGTTTATATCTATTTTGTAGTGAGAAGCTACTCAGGTCTCAGGGAAGGGTATGGAGGAAATGATTTAATACTTTTGTTGTTGTTGTTTTGTTTTTTGAGACAGAGTCTCGCTCTGTTGCCAGGCTGGAATGCAGTGGCGCGATCTCGGCTCACTGCAACCTCCGCCCCCCGGATTCAAGCGATTCTCCTGCCTCGGCCTCCCAAGTAGCTGGGACTACAGGTATGCACCAGCACGCCCAGCTAATTTTTGTATTTTTAGTGGAGACGGGGTTTCACCATGTTGGCCAGGATGGTCTTGATCTCTTGACTTCATGATCCGCCCGCCTAGGCCTCCCAAAGTGCTGGGATTACAGGTGTGAGCCACCACACCTGGCCAATTCCTTTTTTTAAAAAATAATTTTTTTTTTTGGAGACATGATCACACTGTTGCCCAGGTTGGAGTACAGTGTTGCTACCGTAACTCACTGCAACTTTGAACTCCTGGGGCTCAAGCAATTCTCCTGCTTCAGCCTCCTGCCTAGCTGGGACTACAGGGTGCACACCACCATGCCCATCTTTAATTTTAATTTTCCTATGGAGATGGGGGTCTCACTATATTGTCCAAGCTCGTCTCGAACCCTTGGCCTCAAGTAATCCTCCCGCCTTGGCCTCCAAAAGTGCTAGGTTTACAGCCACGAGCCACCAGGCCTGGCCATTAATTTGTATTTCTGTATTTTCTAGCACCCAAGGGCTTTTTGACCCTTGATTATTTCAAATACTTGGATCTTATATTGACTGTAAGAAGGCACAGCCAGAGATCAAAACCTTAAGACAAGGCACGGCAGGGCCTATGATCAGCCTATCAGGACAACATGCAGACAGCACAGCAAACAGGAGTTGTGAACTTATTTTACATTGTACTACTTAGTGCTATGGCACTTACAAGGTGCTACATCCATAACTATGGAAAACAGAGTAGCAAACACAAAGAAACAGAAACTGTAGAACTAGAGATCTATGGAAAGAGAAAGCAAGCATTGTGATACTTAGCTTACAGGAAAGAAAGCAGAAGGTACCCACAGAGAGGCTTAGATATAATACTGGCAGAACAATTTACAGACTAACATTATGAAAAAGAAAATTTTCAAGGGAGGATACAAGATCTCCTCCTCAGGACACATTTTCTAAAAGGACCTCTGAATGCGGAGGGCTAGTCTTTGATACTTAAATTTTACTATAAACAAGGCAGACTTATTTGGATTATAGACTCAGTCTTAAAAATTCTTTTTAGGAGGTGGGCGTCATGGTTCATGCTTGTAATTCCAGCACTTTGGGAGACAGAGGTGGATGGTCGGAAGTTTGAAACCAGCCTGACCAACATGGTGAAACCCCGCCTCTACTAAAAATACAAAAATTAGCCAGGCGTGGTGGCGCACATCTGTAGTCCCAGCTAATCGGGAGGCTGAGGAAGGAAAATCGCTTGAACCTGGGAGGCGGAGGTTGCCGTGAGCCGAGATCGCACCACGGCATGTCAGCCTGTTTGACAGAGTAAGACTCCATCTCAAAAAACAAACAAACAAAACAAAACAAAAAAAACAACAACACACACACACACACTGTATTAAAATACAAAACAAACACCAGCATATAATGGAGACACACACACTGCACAATTCTTTTTGGTATATAATTTATGAAAGTATGTCCTAACTGTGCTACTATCAACCCACACGCCAGTATTTCATCAGTAGAAGAATACTTTTAAATGAGGCAAAAGGTTTTTGTTCATTTCGGTCTCTAAAAGATAAAGACACTTTCCTCTGTCCAGCTCATTAACTTACAAAATATTCAAGTCAATAAAGTGTCACAAGAGTAAAAATTTAAAAATATGTAACATTACACTCATCTACCTTTAGGATAAGAAGACAAAAAATAGACAAAAGTTCTATTTCAATTTTACACTTTAAGCTACTTAAATGAAGCAGGAGAAAAAGAAGAGTGTGTGTGTGTGTGTGTGTGTGTGTGTGTGTGTGTGTGTGTGTGTGTATTTTTTTTTTTTTTTTCCAGACAGGGTCTGGCTCTGTAGCCCAGGCTGGAGTGCAGTGGCACCATCTTGGCTCACTGCAACCTCCAACTCTTGGGCTCAAGTGATTCTCCTGCTTCAGCCTCCAGAGTAGCTGGGATTACAGGCGCCCACCACCACGCCCGGCTAATTTTTGTATTTTTAGTAGAGATGGGGTTTCACCATGTTGCCCAGGCTAGTCTGAAATTCCTGAGCTCAGGCGATCTGCCCACCTCGGCCTCCCACAGTGTTGGGATTACCTCCCAAAGTGTTGGCATGAGCCACCATGCCCGGCCAAGAATATTTTATTGAAAAGGAAACACAAGTAGGGGCCAAAGATTTCAGATGCAGTTTGAAAGCCTCAATTTCTTAAAAAGAAATAAAACCAAAGTTATCATTAGATAGGCTCACTTACCAAATTAACAATTCTTAAATTTCACTGGGAAGTTTAATCGAAATGGAGTATTTCAAGGCTAGTACCTTAACTCTTTGGACTACTGATGGTCAACTACTGACAGTAAAGTATGAGAAAAATTCAGATTTTAAAAATTTAAATAAAAAATTAATGCCTCTGAATCATTCCAATCTAGCTAATCTAAGCCACATCAAAATGCTACTGTATATCCAGAGTAGCTCATGAATCCTCTAAATGTATGTGTGCAGGCTCGCGGCAAGCCTCCCGCAGCACTTACCTGTGATCCACCTCCTCGGTCTGTGATGACTCCTCTGTCTCCCTCTCTGCTCCCGTACCCCGAAGCGCTGCTACGATTCCCAGGGGGAGCGCCTCTCACACTGTGCCCTGATACTTCTCTCCCAGATCGTTCTGGCCTTTCAACTCTGTTAAACAAAACATAAAAACATACATGATCAAAACTGTAATCTTAACTTTTTTTAACCCCAATGCATGAGACCACTAGGAAAGCATTACATAGTACACAGCTACCTTGTTTCCCGTTTGTCAGTGGACATGCTTCCTTCACTTTTCCAGCTGGTGGGTCTGGAAGGATTGGGCCCTGCCTCTCGAGGATGTCTAGGATGAGTGATATCAGGCCTGTCATGAATAATCACCGTTCTCCTTTCGTCTCGCTCCCCTCGTACTTCTCGCCTGTCTGATTCTCTAAGTTCATTTCTTGGTGGTGGAGGCTCATTTCTTCTGGAGTCACTGAAATTTTTGGGATATCTTTCGAAGCTTGGATCTTCCCTTCGTGCAGTAGGTCGTGCTTTTTTCCCCTCACTTTGACCAACAAAGCGATCCCGCCTATTGATTAGAAACAAAGAATATAGGTCCAAGAAGTGCTTACTTGAGTGCTTAATTCTTCTTAACTTTGTCTGCATAACCTACAATAATGAAACCAAAAAATGAACTTAAGGCAAAGCCATGGAAAAAAGCTAGTTATTGATTATTACAACTCATTTTCTTTTAAACTGAACTAAGTGTCTAGCCTAAAGGTTGGTTTTTTAGCATTCAGGAGAAATGATACCGAACACTCAAAAGTCACTACCAAGCTGAAGAATGTTTTACTGTTCTTAACAGTTGAGGCATATCCAAAGCAATCAGTGCTTCCACAGTTTTAAAGATAAGAAGAGGCGGGGAGTGGTGGCTCAGGCCTGTAATCTCAGCACTTTGGAAGGCTGAGGTGGGTGGATCACTTCAGGTCAGAAGTGCTAGACCAGCCTGGCCAACATGGCAAAACCCCGTCTCTACTACAAATACAAAAATTAGCCGGGCATGGTGGTGGTGCATGTCTATAATCTCAGCTACTTGGGTGGCTGAGGCACAAGAATCGTTTGAACCCACGAGGCAGAGGTACAGTATGCCAAGATTGCACCACTGCGTTCTAGCCTGGGAATCAGAATGAGACCCTGTCTCAAAAAAAATTAAAATAGAATAAAGATAAGAAGATAAAGCCAACCTGCTTAATGGTGTTCTAGTTAATTAATTTGGAATACTGAATCACATTCCCATTAACAGAAACAAAAACCACGTAAATTGTTCTGAGCATTCAGTTCTGACCTGGTACTTCCAGTTAAGATTTTAGGAGAAACAGAGTTATCACTAGCAAGGCTCATAAAATAAATATAACAATTTTCAACATATCTACCTTTCAAAAGATGAAGACTGTACTGCTGAACTCTCAGGAAACCTGCCCCTCTCTCGGTGATCAAAGTCATTAAATCTGTTCTGTTGGCGAGAGTAGTCGGATCCATGGCCAAATCGTGCATCTGTATCTAGAGACAACTTTTTATTCTCGCTCCAGTAAGGATCATCTCGCCTTGAAGAGAAATATTTGCTTATTTACATAAATTAGTTCTACAGTAATCAAACGACATTTACTTGGAGTCATACATACCACATGTTAGAACTGTGGACATAACAGGGCTAGTAAACTCAAGACATAACACATCAGGAGTACAAACTAGCAAAGACTTAATTGTTGAATTACATAAAGTCAAATAGTGTGAGAGGAATTTAACAGGAGAGAAAATAGTTGAAAAACTGCCTGTCTTTTCCATTAAATGGAAAAGACATTTAGCATTCAGGAGAAATGATACCATTAAATGGAAAAGACAAATAAAATACCTGAAACCACTTTATAATAAAATTCTAACCAGTTCACACAACCTCTTCAGTTATCCTTAACTTTGGAAACGTTAGAGTGGTAAGTCAGAAGCACAGTTCATTCATTCCACCTATTTCTCTACACAATCAACTCAGTTTCATAGAATTTATGTTAAGAAGATTAAATGGGCATACTTATGTTTTTAAATCTATATGAAGTATGAATCCAAACACACAATAGAATCTATCTTTCAATCTCAAGTTTATGACTTCCATTTCTATACTACCTGCACTACCTTTTTAAGAATGTTCAAAATCTGTTTAATTATTATTGAAGCCTACTATGACAATGTATTTCCAGTCATAATGAAAAACATTTGGCATCAGAAAGGTAGACAGGGAAAGAAACACAGACTGTTCCCACTTGCTAGTGCACTGGGTCTACCCCAGTACTGTAATCCTTCCCATCCCTGTTGATCATGACTTTTATTCCAGTGATGGGAGCCTGTACTTTCTAATTCTCTAGTCTTAGCCTAAAGGGAATAAAACAGCAAGGTTAACTGTTAAGGAATAAAATGAGTAACTACCTATGATCTACATCACGTGGGCGTTTCAAGGAATTCCTTTTTTCTTGTTCATAACGAAGCTGCTGTTGTTGCCTTCTGAGTTCCTCTCTTTCTCGAGCAATCCGTTCAGCTTCCTTACGACGTTCCTTCAGACAACACAGAATGAAGAACCAACCAAGGCAAAATGAAAACATAAGATAAGTATACATGCAACCTTGTTTTAATCCTGTTGCTAAGAAACCATCATAAGCAAAGACCAGGCAAAACACAAACCTATGACACCTAAATTTGATTTCAATAATCTAGGCTGTAGCTATTGTTCTGCAACATTAAAAATAACAAGGACTGGGTGGTAAAAGTTGGCAAGTATTTGGGAAGGTCAAGTTTAGTTTAATCATTCGACTAAAACAAAAGCACCTAAAGGGAATTAGAAATAGCATTCTTAATATGCATGGAGACTAAGTGCCTTAAAACCCTGAGGTGCAATTCTGCAAAGAGAGGCATTATTTCCTTCCAGCCTTGGGAAATCATTCCCACTATAATATGTAAGGAAATCGTTATTATTTTCTAAGACTGGGATAGTGACAGAGCCTGGATTACAACTACTCTGGACTCATAGTCCTATGCTCAGACTATTAGGCTGCCATGATATTGCAGAGCTAGAATTATTACCAGTTATCTAGAACAAAGTCACTACTAATTCTATTTTTAACTAGTACCTAATTCACTGTTATCTTTCAGGGACACTTAAAAGCTCCTTAGCTAAACTCATTCTATAGACGCTTTACAACAAGTAAAGCAAGTTTTAGGGCTAAAATCACAGAGTCTGAAAAAGGTGAGTTATTTAAGATGAAAAGATTTTCTGACTGCACCTGTTCAATACGAATGCGTTCCCTTTCCAAGCGTTCGCGTTCCATTCTCTCTCTCTCTAGTTTTTGCCTTTCAATTTCTAGGCGCTCTCTCTCTCTCTGTAAGCGTTCCCGTTCTTCCCGTTCACGAATTATTCTAATGCGTTCTCGCTCTCGACGCTCTCTCTCTGCAATCTCTCTTCGTCTACCAAAAATCAGTATTTAGAAATACTTAAATTATGCTAGCACTGTGTGAAAGAGAATAGCTTTGAATTTGAATTTTTCCTTGAGGTTGGCAATTTTAAATTTCAACTCAATCTAAGTAGTTTTAATGTAATTGGAAAGAGAATTCAAAGTAAAACTTTAAACAGATCCCAATATTTTCACTTATCTATAAATAAGACTGTCAACTGAGCAGCTAAATTTTATAATATAGAGTAGTTGCCTCTTAGATGATTCCTGTTTAAATAAAAATTACTATAATAGTCCATTAATTAATTGACATTTTAGAAGGATGTAATCTGCATATGTAAATTTACAAAACTACAACTTCCAACACTTGTTTTTGATGGAAAAAGCTCTAATCCCTATTATATATTCTATTGTATCTCCTTAAACAAGTACATACTTTGATGATTTGGGATCATAACAATGAACATCAATAATAGCAAATACTACATATAACAAAATGGTGTCCTTAAGGGCTATTTTGGAATGTTTACTATCCTATAATAGATGGCTCCAGGTAACATGCTTTTCTGAGTCAGAGGTAGTTCAATTGTTCACTGAACTGAATTGTTATTGTATTAGACTTTTAATGTTATTTTCTTACTGTAAGGTAGTCAGCATCCTTTTCTGTCATCAGCATGTCTTTCTCTAGTAACCCAGTGGTTCTCAATGGGTCAGTACTATTTCTACAGAAATCAATGGGATATTTTTAATTATCACAATGACCATGGGGCAGATACTAGTGTTTAGTGTATGAGGATGAAGGTATCTAAGTATCTTATTGATGCATGGAATAGTGAGGATAGTCGTACACAACAAGAACCATCCAACACCTCTCATACCTTTCAGATGCCACAACGGACATGCACACCATTAAAAACAACCAAACACCTTAAGCAAAAATAATATGTCAGTCTAGAACTCAACCCCATTTTTAATAAATACTGTTTGCTTTGATATTATTTCTATAATCTAGAATTTCCAATAATGCAACTCCATATAAATAGAAGGAAAATTATACTTTCTTGCGACTTTTACCAAGAGTTGCTCACCATTTCAGAAATCATGTCATAATGTCAACACTACTTCTGGTATTTACTAACCAATACAACATATTAAATGACATACAACGTCAGTCTGTATTTGAAGCTGTCCCATTCTCAGTGAGTCTAAATAGGGATGCAAACATCTGACTACTTCATTAAGTCATGCCTAAACCTTCATATCTGGAATACATATTTTTATTATAAATTACTTTTATTTCTCCTTTATATTATAGTTAAGCCATTACATTTTTTTCTTTTTTTGAAATTGTTAGTATAGCTTAAGTATGTTATACATCAATTTCATTTCAGGAGAGTAAAGGCATTGCAACTTTTTTTAATATAAAAGGGAATTTGGTCACATAGGGTTTGAGAATCACTGGTCTAGTTGCTCCTCAATCCCACTCTCCTCTCAATCTGTTGTCAACTAAATACACAGGAAGCTAGGCACATTTGGACTTCATCTTAAAAAAGAGAAAATGGGTTCTATGTGCTACAAGGATTACTTCCTTTTAGTAAAGTTGTGTGTCAATTATTGTACAGAATAATCTAAGTTGCTAAAAGTATCTCTGGTAGTTCCTAACGCTGTCGTCAATGAATGGATGAAATCCCATGATAAGTAACCCCTGGACAAGACAGCTTAACATTTGAAATAATATACTATAAAACACACCCACAAGACTATTTTAAGTGGCATCCAAAAATTGATATACAAAAGTAAACTGACACTCGTGAACTGTTGAGATATGGCCACTAAAAATGGAAACATCTTGCTTTGTTTATATTTTCCGTTTGTTTTAAAGAGAATGCTTGCTTTGGGATATAATCCGAATACCATTAGGCTCACAGGGCAAATCTTCCTTCTCTTAGGCACTAATGCAAACAATAAATTTTTGCTAAATTTGTTAAAATTTCAGATTACAGTATTTGAACACTGTAGCTACTTTGAAACTATCTTATCTCAAATTTTTCCTTTGAAGTCATGTTTTTTATGGCAGCAGCTTTGGTGTTGAGGAAAGAGCATTGGACTTGGAGTCAGAAGACTTGGGTCTGAGTCCCGACTCTGCCACTTGTTAGCCATGTGGCCATTGGAAGAGTCATTTAGCCTCTCTGGGCCTCCATTTTTTTCAATTGTATAATGGGCATAACTAGCCTTACAGAACTGTTGAGTTGGAGACAACAGATGGAAAAGCACTTTGTAAATTGTAAAGTGCTATGCAAACTTAAGAAATCATTAGATGCTACCGTAACTTCTTTAAGGTGGCAAACAGTTTTCTGTGGGAATACAATTTCCAGAAATATGGCTTACAACTAGTGTTAAATATTTACCTATATTTAAAGACAGGTATAAAACAGACTCTCTTCCTACCTTCGAAGTTCCATTGCTCGTCGCAGCCTTTCAAAACGAACTAAATGTTCTCTCAACCTTTGTTCCTTCATCTTTTCAAAAGGCAAGATCTCTTTCCTTCTGTAGTCTTTATCTCTTTTTTTATCTAGACTAGCTCTCTCCTTTTCCTTACTTCTTCCATGAATCTGTAGAAAAAAATTAGAAGAACACTAGAAATTAAAATATTTTGGGGCTTTATTTTTCAAGTTTAGTAGGTCATTTAAAAAGTTCAAATGACTAGTAACATTTCCTTTTTCTTGGGTTTGCTAGCATGCAAGTACGCAAAGATGGTTATGGAAAAACAGAATTATCTTCTTTTGTAAACAGCTGAAGTAGTATACAACCATCCTGATCAGAGACTTACTTTCTCATATCTTCCTCTTCTTGATGGTCTACAATGATCTCCTTTAGTTTGGTCTAGTATTACCATATGTCCTGGACTCTTGGAACCTAAGGGAAAAAAATTATATAAAACAATGTCTAAAATTTTTCATTGAGAAAGAAAATATGTATGTAAAAATGCTAAATTCTGATAGTCACACACCAATACATGAAATAAAAAAACTACTTATTCTACAAGAACTTCAATGCAAAGAGTTTTTTAAACAGTTCAGTCTGCTAACATAAATACTTTCAGTGATACCAAAAGATCCTAATTCAATAGTACTAATCAATGACCATTTTAAGTCAGCCCAGAATAGCAAAGGAGCTTAGCTGGAAGAATACATTTGTTTGTTTCCCCAGAGTAGAAAAGAAGACAATTACTCCTACTAGACCTCCTTTCCTACCACAATGACACCTAACAACAAAGCTTATATCTGGATTAGAATTTCAGGTTTTCCCTTCCACTGTAAAAATTAAGTAGTAGAATGCATTAGAAAGGGATTGAAAAGATGTATAGCATACTTATTCGCTTCTTTTCTTCACTTTTTTTAATCGATTCTGATGTTTGGCCACTTGCTCCATTATCATTCTTCTCATCTTTACCTTCTATTTTCTTAGTATCCTTGCTTTCTTTTTTTTCAGATTTCTCAGACGATCTTTTCTCTTCTTTTTTGACAGAGGCTTGTGTCCTGACCATACCGCCCCAGACAAAAAAACAGAATGAGTACTTCATAATGTACCAAAAAAGTCTATCTGCTTATCAAAATAAATAAATAAAAATAAATCCTTACTTGCTACTTCTATCACTCGTATTTTTTTTATCTCCAGAACTTCTTGAACTACTCTTTTCATCATTTTCTTTCTTCATTTCTTTCTTAGAGGGATCACCTTTTACCTGAAAGGTTCGAACCAGAAAAACAATTTGTACATATGGTTACATTTTTGTGATTATAAGAAGTGTGCTAATGGCAGAAAATTTGGAAACGATAGGAAAAATATAAGGAGAGTAAAAACTACAAATACATAAAAATTAAAAATCACTGCAAATTCTACTCCCTGCTACTGTTAACAGCTATGAGTTGAGAACTAGCCATCAAATTAGACTTGCTTTGATAAACAGTTAGGGAAGCTTACTTTTTCAACAGAAATCAGCTGTCCATGCAGCTCAGTGCGATGAAGATGTGCAATACACCTGGACACCTCTGTGCTTGAAGACATAGTTACAATGCCATAGCATTTTGCCCCAGGACTTCGAGCATTTGTAACTACTTTTGCACTCAGAACCTATAAAATCAGACTGTACTTTAGAGAGTTTTACAACGTTCCAAGTACACAGACTTCTAAATACATGAAACTTCACAACTGAAACTATATATTAATTCAGGGTGTATCTTATTCTGTCTCATGTTTTTTTTTTTTTTTTTGAGATGGAGTCACACTCTGTCACGCAGGCTGGAGTGCAGTGGTGTGATCTCAGCTCACTGCAACCTCTGCCTTCTGGGTTCAAGCAATTCCCCTCCTTCAGCCTCTCAAGTAGCTGGGATTACAGGCATGCACCACCATGCCCTGCTAAGTTTTGTATTTTTAGTACAGATAGGGTTTTGCCATGTTGGCCAGGCTGGTCTCAAAGGCCTGACCTCAGGTGATCGGCCTACCTCGGCCTCCCACAGTGCTGGGATTACAAGCATGAGCCACTGCAGCCAGCCTATTTCATATTCTTGTGATCACCATCTACGTTACCCATCTTAGTAAATATTCAGGGGAACAATTTAAAGTGCCAAAAAGCAATTTAACCTTTTTATATTTATTTCCTCCCCTCAAATATGTAGCCAAAACACAATCTCATCAATGAAGTAATGGCACAATTAATAAAAGCAAATAAATTGGATTTGAACCAAAATATCCCTATCATAGGCCCACCCTGAATGTCTTTAGAGAAAGTTTCTAGTATTTTATTGATGAGTGTTAACACTTTTCTATAATGAGTAAAGAACCAATCACATATAAAAAAGCGGACTTAAAAATGCATCCCCCGAAAAACACCCTAAAGCTTGAAAGACAACACTTTCAATCTATGTGCTTTTAAAACGTATATGAACATGACAAATAATTGCAATTGTGTAAGATGGTTAGTTAAGAGAGACAAAGCAGGGATGGATGAGTGAGAAGAAAAGAGAGAGAACGATTCGGTGCTGAACAAAGAAGAGTAAAGACATAAAGCTGGGAAGAAGTAAACAGGAAAATCAGGAGTTTTATGGTATGGGTGGCTGGAACAAATCAACTTTTACCTCAACCCTAGGAAAGGCTGATTTGCTCCATAGCCATTTATTTTTTAACTCCACGGGTCTTCTTACCAAATAAATGGTATCCTCATATAGTTTTACTACTAATAAATACCAACATTAAAATATTGTTTTCACATCTCTAACAATACATTATTGAAAACAGAAGAAAAAATATAACACAGCCTATCATGGGACTACAATTCTCAGTGTTCTATTTCTGACACCTACAAGAACCTCCTTTACACTCAGGCAACTCACTAATTGAAGCAGGAAAAAAACCCTCCAAAAATCAAGAGGACAGGTTTTGGTAATATTAATGGCTATTTACCAATAATGGTCACTAATTCAGTAATTTCAATATCTGAAAGCCTATCATGTGCACATGAAGTACACTAAATAAGGTCCCTGACCTCAAAAAGCTTACACTGGAGTACATTAACTATTTGATGTATATGAAAAACTATAATGTAAGTAGACAGTATTGAGAGCCGTCAGGGATGCGGCTCACAATTCAAAGCATTTGTTATTAATTGAGTATTCTTTGACTACTCCTTCTCTTCCTTTAGGTCTCCCCTTAACTGCCAGAGAAACTTTTCCTGATGAACTAACCACAGGAAAGCCTCCCCTTTTTAACACCTGTGTACTTTTCCTTCACAAGACTTATAACAACTTCTGATTAGGTTTATATATTTAGGCGTGGTGCGATGGCTCACACCTGTAACCCCAGCACTTTGGGAGGCTGAGACTGGTGGATCACCTGAAGCCAGGAGTTTGAGATCAGCCTGGCCAACATAGTGAAAAACTCATCTCTACTAAAAATACAAAAATTAGCCCAGTGCAGTTGCTCATGCCTGTAATCCCAGTTACTAGGTAGGCTTGAGGCATGAGAATCGTTTAAACTTGGGAGGCAGAGGTCGCAGTGAGCCCACATCACGCTGCTACACCCCAGCCTGGGTGACACAGTGAGACTGTGTCTCAAAAAGAAAAAAAAAAGTTTATATATAAACTTAATGTAGATATATGTTTATATATAACTTTATATAAGTTTAAACCATTCTCATGCCTATATATATAGCCAGTTTTATATTTTTCTCCATTACTGGACTAGAAATCTGTAACAAGGATCATATCTGGTTCTCCCCAGGCCCCCGTGAATTATGTATCCCACTGACTAATAATAGTCTAAATATAAATGTATTTTCAAGATGTCCAAATCAGGCTCAGCAATATGCTAGATCCCAAGCTACGTGCTACAAAGTATCATGATGAATAAACTTATTAGTCCTTGGCTTAAATAGGTTTAAAGTTTGGAATACAAAGATTCCCAAGGCTCAGAGAGAGATTAAATGATGAAATGCTATTTATCCCCTAACTCTCATCTACCATTACCACAGAACTCAATAATTATGTCTATTAACAGTCCTAAGAGATACAATAAATTAGAAGATATTCATGTAATACTATTTAGAATACAATCCTCATTTCAAATGCAGACACCAGAAAGACAGATAAAAAGGTAAAAAGAATGTACCTTTCCATATTTGCCAAAGAGGTTCTTCAAATCAGCAGCTTTGGTATTAGATGAAAGTCCACTAACCCAGATATTTTTAGTTGAGCTTCCACTGCTACCACTAGTACTACTTGTACTTCCTAGAATAGATTTAATATCAGATGTTTAAGTATCTCAATCAGAATCTTTATACAAAACTATAAGGGCCACATTCTTTCAAAACTATAATTTTGATAGTATGACGTTACTATATCAAAATCCTGTGAGTTTACTATTATTGAAATCAAACAGACAACATGACTAGTGAGGGGAAAAAATCTGAACGTATGTACATTTCCTATTGTATGAGTTCTAAGTTGAAGAGGGTAAAAAAATCAATTACATGTCTCAGACTTTTGCTGTTCAGTTTTAATAATTTATAGTCTACCACTGCACTGAATAGAGACAACTAGGAAGCAGTCATTTAGGAATGAACAGACTGTTTAGTTGCCACATCTGCTGTGGGCTTTAGATCCTTAGAAATTGAAATGGAAGAAGAAAAAAGTCAGAGCAAGGTATACATTTTTCAAGAATTTATATGATTAATAACAAAGACGAACCAACTGGTACACCTTCATTCCATATTAGAGAATAAGTAAGACAAAATGGGAATTATATGCAGCTGGATAACTCTAGATTCGATAAGAAACAATCTTCTAAAACAAAACAACTACAAGATTAAGATCAGAGGTCTCAAAATCCTTTATAATAGGTAAATGATTATATGAATCATTTCTGTACTATGTCACACATAAATTATGGCTTCATATGTATAGAGGCCATATCTTAGGATACAGGCCTAGCCAGTCACCCTTTTCTTCAAATGTGCTGTAATAAAAGGGAAATTTTCATTCACTTGACTTTATTTGGAAAATAATTTTTACTCACTTTAAGAGAAACAGTATACAAGCAATTAAAAGGAACAATTTCTATATTTCACATTCTTTTAAGCAAGACCAACCAATTCATAAATCACATCCTTATGATTTCTAACGATTTAAAATAAACTATGGAGGATGCATACAATTCTCCTTTACACATTTAGGAGGTATTTAAAAGCTTTGCAGTACCTGAATGTTTTATTTTCCCTTAAAATCCTTTTCTAGAAATTAAGTATTTTTCAAGTAAACACAGCACATGTACAAGATGAAACTACAGCTCATGGGCATGAGATAACCAGAGATTTCTCAGTATCAGAAAGCAACTAAATATTGCACTTTGAAACTTACAAGAATTTAAAAAAAAGAAAAAAGAACACTAGACTCCACAAATACACACAAGTATTATTTAAAGACAGAACAGGAAAAAGGTTGTGGTGATACACAGTAGTTATAAATGAGTAACAAAAGATAAAATAGTTCTGAAATTATAATGTAAGAAAGTATCTATTAATATTCAACACAGTCCCTTAGAACACACCAGGTAAGTGTTCCCTAGCTAATGGGTTTTTAACGTACCCCATTACCAGTTTACAAAGTAAACAGTAACACATCAATCAGTTTTCTGTAATATATATAATTCCACAGTTTATATAAAGACCATCTCAAGTTTCTAGTCTGTCAATAAAATTTTTAAGGACTAAATGTCAAAGAAAACACCGCGCAACTACTACTTTTTAATGAAAATACACAATGTCAACACTGAAATAAATAGGGAAAAAAATTCTTTACCTTTGTCATCTTTAGATGATGTCTTGCTGTCTTTAGATTCCTTTGAAGAGCTAAAGAGGCAAATCACCAGAAGAAAATTGAAAACAAAAACAAAAACAAACCCAAAACAGAACAGCTTGATATTTACTATATTTCAAACTAGTGCTATTCATACAAATTAACAATTCCAAAGGCCTAGATTAGGTTATTTGAACAAATGACTCCCTGAGGATTCTTGCACTGATTTTCCCCAAGATGCCTGAAGATCTAGATTTTCTGACAATTCTATTCAGTGGAAATATGGCCATCTTCTCCAGATTTCAGGACTGGGACTTGACTTCATTTTGTGTTCTTAGAACTGATAGTTGTTCATTAACCATCATCACAAGGATTTTAAAAAATAAAACACAAAAAAATTGTCAATTTGAAAAAAAAAAACAAAAAACAAAAAACAACAAAAAAACCAAATATATGCTGACATTCGACAATGCAATCAGTAGAACACACTGCATTATTATGAAGATCTTGAAAATTTTTAAAAGTAACTTATGACGGTCAAAAATATTATAGGCAGGATCATAAGACACTAATTACTGTACATGTTCTTGAAGCCACCCCCTTAATGTAGAGTGATCTTATTGAATGCTGGAATTCAGTATCGTAAAGAACTGACATAGAAAAACAAACCTCTTTGCTTGACCAGAGGCCCCAGTAGACGAGGGCCCTTTCTTCAAAGTATCCTTTTCTTTGTCTCCAGATTCTGCTTTCTTAGAACTTTCTCTGGCTTCCTTCTCGACAGGGTCACCCTTCACGCAGTCTTCCTTCTTACCATCTTTATGGTTCGCATTCATCTCATAATCCTTGCTTTCCTTCTCCGGGCTCTGTGCAATGGCGTCCTGCCCATCTTTTGGCTTACTTGCTTCAGAATCTGTAATTTTCACATTTTTACCTGTTTCTAGGAGGTCATCACCATCAAAATCCAGAGTGATGGCATCTTCAGCCTGGATTGTGACCGAGATGTTGTCATCCTCAGCTTCTTTCACAGTCGTATGAGCTTCCATCTCTTCATGAGCTGTGTGATCAGCCTCAGCTAGGCTCCCTTCTGAAGGAAGAGGTTTAGATACTTCTTGTGTACCATCACCAGAACCTGCTATATCTAAGAGGATTTAACAGGAATAAATATGGCAAAACAAGAAGTTTAAACAATTTCATATTCATAAGCTAGAATAGGACCTAGAAAATATAAAGCCAGTTATTAGCACTGATGGAAGTTAGGGAAAAAAAAAAAAAACACAAGGGTATTAACTAACATAAACCATCCTTTACCCAGGATCACTTATTCTTCATGGAAAAAATGATCTCTACATACAAACACCAAACAACAATAGTGAGAAAATGGTTCCATCCTGAAGATACCAGCTCTTCATTTCTGGTTATAAGTTAATGGCATATGGAAGATTTTGTTCCTCCATGTGACAGTGACAAAAGTGCAGATTGTTGTTCAATGCTGGAATTATCCTGGGATTGAACCCTAGTGACCTTCAGAACTCCCATGGTGACTTCTTGACAGGTAACAGTCTGAGGATATCAATCAGTCTTCAGAGTATTTCAGAGCCCCATCTTTTCCACTCTTCAATGCTTGAGTAGTCCGGATTCGTAGGGAAAACTGGTACAGAAGGCTCCAAAGATGCTCCTGCTCCGTGACGTTCAGGAAATTGGTTATTTCCAGTCTTCATCCTGTCCAGTCAGTCTGCAATTACCGTTTTCAAAGATGTCTTGCATTCCCCCAAAACAGAAAGGCTTCGGGCATGTGAGATTTTCAGTCAGTAGCTTCATTTCATCACTGCTTCTAGGCTTTTTATTTGCCTTGCTTAACCCTGCTCCATGTCCTTTCTAGTCCAAAGTAGGATCCTTTGACTTCTGTCCAAGGACTCTTCCATAACCTCCTACTGACCACATGTATTGCTACTGTTGCCCCTGTAATTGTATTGAATGAGACAGCTCGTCTAAACTAAAATTGTCAGACGACTGTATGGAAGTTTCTCTAAGCAGCAAACACAAAGTCAGTCTCCTGGTCATTCATCATTTTTAGGACTAGTTGTAAAATTCACTGTGAGTTATGCACTAGGACTCCAATAAGCACACATGAGTTACTGCAGTGTCAGTCTTAAGAATTTAATCAACTTACCGTATACCAGAAGTTATTTTAAAAATAAAATTAAAATTGGGTTAAATAAAAAATAGCATTGTTCACTACAGTAACTGATATGTACTATTAAGTTGCAATATATCTTTAGTGTTCAAAAGAAAATTAAAACCAATTGGAAAATAAAATCAAGATGCTAACTTAATTCACTAAATGGATAAATTTGAAAATAAACTAATTTCAAAAATAAGATTTCAAATAAGGAGTGCTTTTTACATAATTTACTGTTTTTCTAAATTTTAGCAATTTTTAAGCTCTAGCATCAAACATACCTTTCTCATTTTCTTCTTCCTCACCATCCTGAAATTCAAAGAATAATCAAATGTAAAATGAATTCACATAAAACTAGATTTTAGTAATAGTACAAAATCAGCCAAGTTAAAATTGGTGGATAATTTAATGATATTATTTAGGGATACCTAACACTAACAAATAAATAGGCTATTCCAATCAGAACCAGAGTCCATGTAGAGAGATATGTGGCACAAGTTTGGTACATTTTAGAAAACAGGTATATCTATCAATGAGTACATAAATAACAAACTGGATTAGTTTCACTATTCAAAACTAGTTTATATAATCCAATTCTTCCTCATATCAAAGAGCTGTCAATAAGAAGGCTGACCTGATGACGTATTTTACGTCACTCAGTTCACAGGTACTCTTAGCTAAGATATACTATTCAAAACAGTACCAGAAAGTATAATCTGTAGACGTAACTTTCAAGTGCTTGAATACACAGTAATAAACCAAACAAACAAACAATACTCCCCTTTAAGTATATCAGACATTAGAAGAACAGTTACTAGGTCAGTTTCAAATTATTCATTCTTTTAATGTGTTAAAAGTGAGTTCATATCAACCACTGCACTCCAGCTGGGTGACAG